>NC_000002.12:79167625-79792625 GCF_000001405.40 Homo sapiens | reverse complement strand
TTAATTTTTTTTTTCCCAAAAAAGGTAGGGGCAACTCATTGGAATGAATCAATGCCAAGCAATGAGGCAGGTAAAGTAAGAAAGAACTTGTAAGAACACATCCAGACACAAGGCCTTCCTTCATCCAGCATGTCACAGGATCTAAGACATTACACTGCAAGCTAAAAAGTCAGCCTGCCACAGTTTTGTGGGGCAACAAGGCTGAGCAGAGGTGGATGCTTGTACACACAGTAGTCTGTATTACAGGAAAGGAACTCTGAGCTTAGAGAAACACTGTTTTTTATGGATAGCAAACATGTCTGTCCTCTGCTCCAGAGGGAGACATTATCTTTATTTCCAAGGCTGTTTACTATGCAAACATCCTTGAAAAGCTAGTCAGGTACAAAGAGTACCCAGTGCCTCTGCTCACACAATGTGCAGAAATGTGAGAGATCCATAGAGAACTGTATCTAACACAAGACCTCAGAAAGCAGAGAACATACCAGTCACCTACACGGCTATATTTCCAGAGCTGAGAAAGAATAGGTCTGATTAGAACTCAAAATATATTTTTTAATGGAAGAATTATACTAGTTGGTATTTGCATCCACAACTGCATTGTATAAAAATGTCATATTATTTAATTTTATTTACACCTGACTCTTAAGAAATTCAATTACGAATGCAGGAGGCCACCTGTCCTTCTCCGTAGAGTGACAAATAATACAGGTGTCTTTACTATACCTAAGGTAGAGATTCTGGTAGATGGTTGAGAATGATGACAGCTCATTGTCCAAATTACACATGATCCCTTGCTGCACATGGGTTTGAATTTTTCTGAATGCTGAGAATTTGCAGCCCCTAGAAGTACCTGGAGGATGTCTCCTTTGTGATCCTGCTAGAGCACAGCCATGGGCTTGGTCTTTGTGGAACACCCAGTCCTCCATCTACTTCCCAGTCTTGGAGAATACTCCTACTTCTTTCTACTTCCTCTAAGCTCAAAAGTAATATTCTCCCCATTTTCTTCTCTCCACTAGCATGATTCTTTCAAGGAGTATATGTTTTCATAAAATAAAAATCCTACCTAACAAAGGCTACCCCTGAAGCAACTATGCACAGAGGCTTAATTACCTTCTTGTAATGGAGAAGAGAAGATGCAGGCAGGATGAAACAAACATTATCTCAATACATTATCCTAACCCATTATTATTGTTTACATGTCTCTATATGTAAATCCATTTCTTTATTTTAAAATATTTGGGGCTTGGAAGGATGAAAGGAGAGGTAAAAAGGATCGGTTGAGGCATGTCTGGGAGAGAAATGGGAAAAATAAACTGGATTCATCTTTAGGGCTTCAGGATCTCATGAGATTCTTATTTGTTCCACAGCTCAAATGCCAACCTCCCACTCTGTTAACATCTCAACATTCAGTGACAACCATTGAACAGATCTTGAATGGCCTTTTTTATGTCTATTAATTCATGTAGGGGCTAAACATATTATTTAAATAGTTTTTGAAATCTACCAATAAGTACACTGGGCTAATTTTATATCTGTGCCCAATCTATTCATACTTTGTAAGCCATGAATCAAAAGTTGAATACAAGTAGGTTTATACTAATTCAAAATAAATGACTCATTCAACTCTTAGGAAATAAAGTTACAAAAGGTTTAATTAATCAGCTCTAGCTAATATATGTTCTCTATGTTCTAAATGATCTGCAAAATGGTTCATAATTTCTACTTCTGAGGAATAAGCCAGGTGAAAATAATTATATGGCCCTAATATTTATGGCTTGTCAAAAGTGGTTACTATGTCTTATTATGCATAAGTCTAAGTAACGATCAATAATAGGGGCATTAAATGACATCAATAACTATGATTGGATCAGGGGACACTTACTCAAAACTGGAAGTTGAAGAAAATAGCAGGAGACTGAATGATAGGTATAACTGGTAGCCAACTGATAATTCTACTTACAATTTACCTGGTCCCAATAATTATTCTCTGGCCTTACATTCTGATTCCTAAGTAATTTCATTTAAAAGTCACAACCCCATTGTATTTCTAACATTACACTGAAGTTAGTTTCAAAAGATCTTAGAAGGTCATTTATTTAATCAACAATCATTACGCCTCAATTCATTAGTATATAGCCCTCAAATCCCATTTACCTCTACACCTACTCTTTTTGGCATTTTACCCTCACCACCATATTCCAATCACTCTCACAAAGGTTACCAATTATTCTCTTAACTGGCAAAGAGCAATTTTCAGTATTACCTTACTCACCCTTTCTGCGTCCTTTGACATCGTCAACTCCTCCCTCTCTCTAGTGCCTTTCCCCTTCACTGGTTTCTCTGACACCATTTGGCTTGGTAATTTTCCTAACAGCTCTTAAACAGTTCCTAGCGGAAATTCCTCTTTTCCTCTTCCCCAGCGTTTCATTTGTATCTTTTTACTTACTGCTCTGCTTCTACAAATTCTACGTAAGATATTGCATCCACTATTACGATTTCAGCTACTACTGATGTACTGCTGACTACATCATCACTATTTGTGATTCTCATTTGCTCTAGAAGTACATTTCCAAATGTAAATATTCCCTGAGGTGCTCTTTCTTGGCCTTTTTCTTTATTCATATGATCTGTTTTTCTAATTGGCTGACTCTCTCCCAGAAGATTAATATCCACTCTCATCACAGATTGCCAAATCCTAGGCCAAATATATTTTGAGCTTCAGGCCCATATAGCCAAGTGCCTATGGAGGCCTCTCCCCAGATAGCCAGGAAGCATGTCAAATGCAACATATCCAAATATTAATATGCCATCTTCCCAGAAGTCTTGACTCTCCTCTCACCATCACAGTCTTGATGAGGGGCCCCTGGACACCATCCTCTACTTCCCAATTTTCCTTCCACTTCCCATTTCCACTCACCACACACTCTCAACTCTACCGTAAAAATGTGCCACGTGTTTGTCCTTTGCACTACCACATAGATACAATTCTCATCATTTTTAACCTAGACTACTGAAATAGGCCCCTGAGCGCTAATTATGATTCCTGGCTTCCTCACCTCTCCCCAGTCCCCAAGGGATGCATTTTTCCCTCTGCAATAAAAACTCGGCTCACATGCAAATCGAATTGGCTCACTGTCCTGCTCAAAGTCATTTGTCTTCCCATAAGCCATATCATACAAAATAAACTCCTTCCACTCTGGTCACAATGTCCTTTGTGAGCTGACCTTCCCGTTTCTGGCAAGCCTCATCTGTTGCCATTCTCCCTCTGGCACTTTAAAATCTGGCCCACTCATCACTCCCTGACACATTGTGCCTTCTCAAATCTCTCAGCTTTTTCCAATGTTATTCTTCTTTTGATAGCCTTTCACATTTATAGACCTGTAAAACCTCATCCATGAAGTCTCATTTCAAGGGCTAGCTCCTCTAGGAACATTTCCCTGACTCACACAGGTTTGACTCGTGACTAGAATAAAGCTGTTACCCTTTTCTCTGTTGTGTACTTTACACGCAATGTCCACCTTATATGACGATTGTAACATTTAATTAGCTAACACATTTAAAAGGCTAAGCAGTGCTGAGCTCATAAGGTTTAAACTTAGTAAACATTAGCTATTACTATTTTTAACAGCTGACATGGTGTATCATTATTACATATGTTTATCTTACCATTAGACATTAAACTCTTTGAGAGCAAGAAACAACTTCATGATTTCGCATTGTAAAGGATTTATTTTTTCCAATTGCTTTGTGTTTCTTTTACATTTACAGGAGACTAAGTATGGAATGTATGCAAAGCAAAATTATAAAATGAGCTTGAGCCTGCACAGACTGAAATGGAAGCAATATCTGTATTCAAAAGAGCACTGATACCTGGAAGTTTTGATGATTTATACTATTATGCCCTGGTCACTAAGGTCAGTAAATTGTGTGCATGGATGTATGTGCATGTATACATATGTATGTTTGTAGGTATACATGTATGCATGTGGACATGTATGCATGCATGCAACCACTCTGGAGTCCTCTCACGGAAGCAGGTGTCCCTTAACCTTTCCAGTTAAGTCCAAAATACATATTTGTAAATCTGAGTGCAGTATGTTTTCTGCAACATGACTGCCAACCTCTGATTCTGAAACTGACAGAGGCATTTCTCATAGATATTTATAACTGAATTTATTCAAATTCATTAATGTTGTCATTTCTTATGCTGCCACCTAAGCTAAAAACTTCAAAAGGTATCCTCTATATTCCTACCTCTCTGCAAACACTTCCAAGTCCACACAGGATCCTCTCTGGAATGTCTCTGCAACATCTGCCTGCACTCCAATTCCATTGCCATTATTTCTGAGTTTAGGCTTTCCACCACGTGAGTCTGAGCTCCCATCAACCTCATTCTGTGATCAGTTATTTTTCTAAAATATAGAACTGAGCAGGTTCTTCACCTGCTTGGAAAGCACTGAGAGTTCACCAATGCCTAACAGATAAAGTTTCCAAACTCCTTGGCACAAAAGAGAAGCTCTCAAACTATTTGTCTGTAGTGACATGCACTAGTGATAAAATCCACATGTCGGACATACCCTCTAGTGTACTCAGGGTAACTTCTTTCGCATTCATCTAAGTGAGTGAGATTGGCACTAGTAGGGATTGTGATAGTCAAAATAATGCCCCTTCTACCAAATGTCCATGTCCTCATCCCAGTAACCTGAGAATTTGTTACCTTATATAGCAAAAGGCACCGTGCATGTGTGGTTAAACTATAGGTCTGGAGAGGGGAAGATTTTCAGGATTGTCTAGGTGGGCCCAGTGTCATTGGAAGGGTCTTTATAAGACAGAGGTAAGAGGATCAATAGATAAAAGGAGATGTGACAGTGGTAGCAGAGGTAGGAGTGATGCTATTGCAAAAAAGGGGCCACGAAACAAGGAATGCAGTGGCCTCTAAAAGTTGGAAAAGGCAAGGAAATAAATTCTCCCTGACACCTCCCAGAAGGAACCAGCCTGCCAACATCTTGACTTTAGCATGTGAAACTGATTTTAAACTTCTGACTTTCAGAACTATAAGATAATAAATTAACATTGTTTAAGCCAATAAGCGGGTAGTAATATGTTGCAGTAGCAATAGGAAATGAACACAATGATAATAACTATAATTTTTTTTAAATTAACCAACTTGCTTACTTCATCTTTTATGAACAACACAAACAACCCTGCTAAGCTCATCTTTACTACTCCTCCCTGTGTCTTCTGCATTATGTATTACAAAAAGTCTCAGCTAACTCACTGGGCTCCCCTAATTGTATAGCACTTTAATACTATAAAGATCAGATCATATGGTCTCGATTTTTTATGAAGTTGCTAAAATAGAAAGTTGAAAAAAGTTATAAGTATATAAAGACAAAAGCAAATGAAGTAAATACAGTGTGCAATAATATAATTTATTTTTAAAATCATGGCAATGCAAAGAAAGGCGGTGATTATTTTGAAGCGAGGATCATTTAGCACCTGTTTCAAGGAAGTCATCTTACTGGTTTTGGACACAATTCTTTATAATTAATTAAAATGAGTTTTCAGTAAGGGTGAAGAACACAGAGGCAGGAATGAGTGAGATTATAGAGGAGATAATGCCAAGGCATGGATTGAATAATAGGGGAGATAATGCCAAGGCAGGGATTGGATCTGATGGATCATTCAATGTCCTGAAGACAAAAATGGGCATTTAAAGTAAGAAAAGAGGAAAGTGAAGTTCCCAGATCGATAAACAGTTCAGAGGCAGGAATGATTGTATTTATTTGGTGACAATGGATTGTCAGGTTGAGAAATCCTGGGAAATTAAATTTGTTAGACAATGGGAGATGAAGCAAAAAGTAGCAGGTTGGGGAGTACTTATAAGAAATTGTTGCTGAATGACATATTAGCAAGCATCACAATTAAATAGGTATGGGATGGTACTCCTCTAGAAAGTTCTCTAGTGTTGCAGTGTAAAGACAGGTAAATCTTAGCTGAATTTCTTAGTGTATTCTAACGTACCTGAGGAGAGTCTACTATCGTTATAATTAAAGTGTGGCAACTAGTTTCACCTCTGCCCACTCTTCTGGAAAGAATGCCTATTCCCCCAACACATCCAAAAAAGAAAAAAAAATATCTTTACTTAATTCATTTATTCTTGAGGTAAAAATAAGACGTGTGTTTCAACAGTAAATCTTAAAGTAGGATGTGTTTAATCCATTACCTTACATTTTATAGTACATGCATAAAATTGGGGGAAAAAGGTCATTTTCTATTGGAAAATTTATCAGCTGAAGTTCTGCATTTTGAGTCAAAAATTAAACTTATATCTTAATTAAATTATTCTTTCCACCTTTATTAATTTTAATGAATAAAATAAAAAAAAACCATGTCTACTTACTATTCTTTATTCTGCTTTTCTACTTAAATATCATTTCATGTTAACATGGTCATCTGTTTTCCATATGTATTAAATCACACTGAAGCACTTGTTAGTGTTTTTCAAACATTTTCATATTTCAACATGGGAAATGGGATAAGACCTCTTCCAATCAATAACAATGTGTTTCCCTATGGAATATGCAAGACCACCCTTAACAGGAGATTGGGATCTTCTCTCCTGCCCACCTCCTTCTTCCCTCAATTTAGAACCATTTAGCTGAGTTTTCCCTTTTGTTAGCCTTTGTATATAGCAATTGTGAAGAGCATACAAACAATAACATGCAAGTGGCTATTTCTTTCATTTTTTTCTTTGGGATATACTTACAAAGTTAGAAATACCCTATCATAGGATCTAGTAAGTACTGTAGTTCTTGCTCATTTTCTCAATCACAATGGAGTACCTGTTTCCCAGTTGTTTTTATTTATTCAACAAATATTCACTAAAGTCCAGCTAGCTGTGTGTCAGGCACTTCTCTAGGCACTGAAAATACAAAAAGGAAGGCACCAAACAAACACACACTAAATATCCCTGCCCCCATGGATTAAATATTCTGGAAAATATAGAAAAATAACAGATAATAACAAATTATAAATACAGCTTTTCATAGAATCATTTTCCTGTGGGGAAAAAAAGCAAAGTGTGTTAACATGGGTGAGATCAGCAGAGGTGCTATTTCATACAGGATGGTCATGGGAGGCCTCGCTGGTAAGAAAAAACTACAGCAGAGATCAGAAGGACCGAGGGAGAAAATCCTAAATGCATTTAGGGACAGAGTTAAGTTAGGGTCACAAGACAGCAGAAATGTCCCGAGGATGAAAGATGGTTGGCATCAATGAACTCTGTGGTCAATGTGGCTGGAGCCCAGAAAGAAGGGATGTGAGTAAGGGGAAGTAAATCCAGAGAACTAAGCACAGTACAACAGAACAGGTGGGGCCTGTAAGGCCTTTGGCTTCCACCTTGCAAAAGATGGAGAGCCATTGGCAACTTCTGAACAGAAGTGGCACAAACCCAGTTACATATTAGAAGATCACTCTGGCTACACACTGAGGAGAGCATGGTGGCAGAAAGAGAAGCAAATAGGAGGCCATCCCCAGGATCCGGTTAAGAGATGGCGTTGTTTGGATCAGAGAGGTAGAAAGACATGTCCATATTATTTTAACATAGGTATCATATACAAAAAAGTACACATATCATCAATATATAGCTTAATTTTGACCAAGTAAACATCTGGAAGCTCCCATACAATGCCTCCCAGTCACTAAGCTTCACGGGCAACCTGACTTCTAATAGCATAAGTAAGTTTCGCCTGTTTTTTTCCTTTATATAGATAAAAGCATAGGTTGTATATTTGTGGCTCACTGCTTTTTTTCAACATTACATTTATGAGATTCATCCATGTTTTTATATATATATATATATATTTCATTCTCTGCTACATGATATGCCATCAATTGAATATATTACATTCTACATATAAATTCTGAGTACATATTGAAGGTAGAGCCAAGAGTTTGAAGATAGAAGAGATGAGGGTTATTAGAGAGAGGAGTTGAGTATGACCCCAAATACAACCTGAGAAATTACAACTGATACACAGAAAACTGGGGCAAGAGCAGGTTTGGGGAGAAAAAAACAGAAATTTGGCTTTGAACTTCTTAAGTTTGATATGTCTCCTAGACATCCCAACAGAGCTATCTAGTAGGCAGTTGGATATGTGAGTCTGTAGTTCTCAGGAAAGATACAGGCAAAGGTTCAAATGCAAGAGTCACCAGGGTAGAGCTGCTACATAAAATCATGAGTTAAATTACCTGCAGGCTGAGTGTTACAAGAGAAGTTCCCGTGGTCATAACTGTGCCCAGGGGAACTACGGCCTTTAGAGTTGGGGAATACATCAAGCTTAACTTAGAGGCATTTGAATATGCAGGTCTTTAACCAACAATAAGCCTGTGGAATATTAAGAAATAGTAGCATAAAACCAGCTCTGGTTCTGAATAAGTATCTTGTCCTAAGACATGACCACTGGAAGTAGAGTTTGAGGAACAGGGAGAGGGTGATGGTGCTGTCAATCATCAGCCTACTGTTTGCTAAGTGAGATTCCTGTCCATATAAACCGTGATCTATTCTAGTCACTTATTTCAATATGAGCAGAAGAAAAACTTAATCCTCATTTTAATTTAATCATAAAGCTAAAATACAGTTGTTTAACACCAGAACTTCAAAATACATAGGTTTCTTCTTGGCAAGAAGCTGCTGTGAAATGCACAAAGTAAGGCTCAATAAATGTTGAATGAATTATTCCATATATATCTCAAGAGTTTTTAGTAACAACTGTAGGCAATTTAATGTGATAGATCTGTGAAAGTTAAGAAACCCTCTTTACAATCCAGTTGGGAAAATGAACAAATTCTATTAACTGTACTGAGATAAGCATGTATGTGTGTGCATTTTGAGAAGATACATGTTGGCAGGGAAGACATGGAGAAACATAGTAGAGGGAGGACAGTGAAGGGAGGGAAGTCCTGGAGATGAACATGGTAGGGAAAAGAATGATCAAATTTATGTAAAAATTAAGACAGAGTGAAAATTAGGGGATAAGAAGGTAAGCCACTCTTCCCACTGAAGATTCCTCTGCAGAGTTTAACAAAAGGAATCCACACAATTATGTGTGATGAGTTTCCAAGTATAAAGAATAAAAGAAGTCCAGAGAAGTTCAGAGAAGAGAGAAATAAGTTTACATTGGGAAAGCTTAAGAGGGATTTCTGGAAAAGGTGCAGTTGACGAAGGCCCTGCAGTCATAATCCTAGTAGAGATTCCACTTCTGCTAACTAGATATACTAGCAGAAGGCTTCTGGCCTGGGATTGTGTGTCTCATTATTTATTGCCATTGGTTGAGTCACAAAGGTCATGTGACCAAATCTAATTAACTAGAAAACTCTCTAAGACTCTGATTCTGTCCCTGGCCACCATTGGCACAGTTTCCAGCCTCTGGCAGACCTATGATTTCTATAAGCCACTTGTTCTCCCTCAGCAAGTTAAAGAACCTCCATCAGCATGCACAGAGGGACATAAAATGTCAAGATTAATTCTAAATATTCAAGAGACAACTCTTGTTGAGAGCTGACTTGAAACCAAAAATTACTAAGCACAATTGCTGACAATTAGGGGAATTAACTAGAAAGGGGGAGGAAAACTGGCAGAAGACAAAAAAAAAAAAGACTGTCAAGAAAGAAGGAAGAAAACATACTAAATTTATGAAAGAGATGACATGGACTAAAAGAGAATATTGGTGGGGCAGAGCCAATTTGCAAAAACTAAAAATTCCATTGGCTGTCAATTTCTTCCCTTTTTTTTGGAAATGGATTTGCACTCTTCCCCTTGCGAGGCCCCAAACTGACCGGTAGTAGGGCTTGTGCTGCTCAATAGCTGCTGCATTCTACCCTAGAGGCAGCTGCATTTCATTGTTCAGCAAAGTGATTCTTATGTAGAGACCGAACAATTAAGTACTTAGGCATCCTGCCCAAGCAGGAAGACAACCAGTATCACTACACTGCATCTGTGGGGGAAGATAAGAAAATTTATCTTCCTCCAAGTTAAATGGTACAGAAAATCTTGAAGTTGAGAGCACATCTAAAAGAAGGCAAGCAGGCCAGGTGCGGTGGCTCACGCCTGTAATTCCAGCATTTTGGGAGGTGGAGGCAGGCAGATCACCTGAGGTCAGGAGTTTGAGACCAGCCTGGCCAACATGATGAAACCCTGTATCTACTAAAAATATAAAAATTACCTGGGCATGGTGGCGCGCACCTGTAATCCCAGCTACTTGGGAGGCTGGGGCAGGAGAATCACTTGAACCCAGGAGGTGGAGGTTACAGTGAGCCAAGACTGTGCCATTGCACTCCAACCTGGGCAAAAAGAGTGAAACTCAGTCTCCAAAAAAATAAAATATAAAAATAAAAGAAGGCAAGCAATAGTGCTTTAAGTTGGCTAACTCTTCCAAAGTTTGCTTATTAATTTTCATTTTATATATAAAATTAAACATAATTATTGTAAATATAACCTTAAAAAATTTAAAGATTTGATAAGCAATAAATGCCACTAAACCAGAAAATATTATTTCACTTCAAGCACTATAAATCCATGTACAAATGTGAAATCTCAGCCTTTTCCATTTAAACTAAACAGAGTAGGTGTAAAAGGAAAAGGATTTAGTGAGCTAGTTCTGATTATTTTTAGATTATTGAGTAAACAATAAAGAAGAGAAAGTATTTCACAGTTCTTATGTAGAGTTTAAATTGTTTAAATTGGGTCTTTCAGCTTCTCTGGATCTCATAATTTGAGAAATGTATGATTTTGGACTAACTACTTGTGTGTTTTGCTTTGAAATGAAGCCATTTCAGAATTGTTATTTTACACACACACAGATATAAATTATCATCAGTTTTACATATAATTGCCCCAGAGATTCCTTAAATTTGAATTTCTGTAGAAAGCTGCTACATTTTATTATTTGTTTACTTCCAGTTCAGATAGCTTTACATAAAGCAGCTATCAAATACTTTTTGATCTTTCAAAAAGTGAAAAATAAAAATCAATTATATTTAAGGAACCATTAATTAGCAACATCTCATAAGAGCATGTCTTGTACTGTTTTTGGCAAATGGGCTATACACTAAAGCTCCTAGTGTCATAGGCATTTGAACGAGAGCAACTCCATCTTGAATAGGAGCTGGGTAAAATAAGGCTGAAAGCTACTGGGCCGCATTCCCAGATGGTTAAGGCATTCTAAGTCACAGGAAGAGATAGGAGGTCAGCACAAGATACAGGTCTAAAGATCTTGCTGATAAAACAGGTTGCAGTAAAGAAACCAGCTAAAACCCACCAAACCCAAGATGGTGACGAGAGTGATCTCTGGTCGTCCTCACTGCTACACTCCCACCAACATCATGACAGTTTACAAATGCCATGGCAACGTCAGGAATTTATCCTGTATGGTCTAAAAAGGGGAGGCATGGATAATTCACCACTTGTCTAGCATATAATCAAGAAACAACCACAAAAATGAGCAACCAGCAGCCCTCAGGACTGGCTCCGTCTATGGAGTAGCTGTTCTTTTATTCCTTTACTTTTCTAATAAACTTGCTTTCACTTTACTCTATGGACTTGACCTGAATTCTTTCTTGCATGAGATCCAAGAACCCTCTCTTGGGGTCTGGATTGGAACCCTTTTTCTGTAATACTAGGACATCTTTATTACTTTTCTTTTTTTAAACTTTGTTTTTATAAGTCAGTGCTTAAAACAAAGAAAATACTACCTTTAAATCTTCTTCTCTATATTGAATGCTTCCTTATATTTACAAAGAAAAATTTGAATCAAATATGAGCAAAGTATAAGTTGCATGAATTTTATGAAGTAGAAAGACACTTCTAAACAGTAAGTGCAGAAATTGAACATAATTTATAATAGATGGCACTGTCTTCCTATGTGAAGTAAGAGAAAGGATTGCTTGCTTAGCTAATGCCTTACCCTCCTTAGGCCATTTAGGGGATTAGAGGAGATCGGGCATTCTTAAAGTAGACTAAATGGTGGTTCACAGGGAATTCATGAAACTGAAGTTGTATGTAATGTGTTTGAGTGTGTGTTGTGTTTCTCTATGTTTGTGGGGGAAAGAGAATCCTTCCTTTTCCTCAGAATCTCAGAGGGGTCTGTATTCCCCAGACAAAAGCCTTAAAAACTGCTGAGCTAGAAGATCTCTAAGATTCTTTGAGGTCTCCAAAGTTCCTCAGATGTCTGGTAGTCAAATGTGATTGTTCACAAAAAGAGTCAAACTGCAAAATATTTGAAGAGATTTATTCTGAGCCAGATATGACTGATCAATGGTTCATGACACAGCCCTCAGGAGATGCTGAGAACATGTGGCCATGGTGGCCCGGCCACAACTTGGTTTTATACATTTTAGGGATACATAAAGCATCAATTAATACACGTAAGATGTACATTGGTTCAGTCTGGAAAGGTAGGACAAGTGGAAGCCAGGCTTCCAAGTTCTAGGTGGATTCACAGATTTTCTGATTGACAATTGGTTGAAAGAGTTATTACCAATAGAAAGGACTGTCTGGGTTACCATAAGGGGTTGTGGAGACCAAAGTTTTATGATGCAGATGAAGCCTCCAGGTGCAGGCTTCAGAGATAATAGATTGTAAGTGTCTCTTATCAGACTTAGGGTCTGTTGTAGCAGTAATTTCAAAAGGCAGGCGGGTATAATGAGGCATGTCTGGCTCCCACCTCCCATCATGGCCTGAACTAGTTTTTCAGGTTAACTTTGGAATGCCCTGGACCAGGAGGAAGAGGGGTCCATTCAGATGGCTGGGGGGCTTAGAATGTTATTTTTATTTTACATGATCATCAGGTAAGGGTGAACTTTCAAGCTCATCCTGCAATGGCTCCTCTCTGTGTGACTGTCATCTGGTCATTTCCTCCTTTGGATAATACATCCAGGGTCATCATGGGTAGTATAAAGACTTTAGGAAAGTCCAGCATATTAAAATTATCTGCTGCTAAAATGTCTGTTTACATTTCAGTGTATGGAGTGAGACCATGTTTCACAAAATCTGAAAATAACAATAGGGAAAAAAGTAAAAAAGTAAAAAGCACAGAGGTCAGAGTTAATAAGGGTAGGACAAGGATGAAAAGAAAGAATGACATGTGTCCATTAGTCCATCTGCTACTTATATGCTCTAGGCAGGCAGTAGATTCACCTCAGGCCATCCGCACCCTCCCACTGGATGCTTGACCTATTATCCAGGTGTCTTTCTTCAGGCCTGCTCTCACCCCCACTGCCTGGCAGAAACAGAGAAGGGGGATGAGCCCTTGCAAAACCTCTTGAAGAGGCCAGTCACCCTTGGATACTCCAGGAGGCTTCAATCTATCGTTGGCTGTCAAAATCACCCCAGAAGTTTTCTTCCTGAAAGGCAGTTCCAACCTCAAGACTATTTTTTCCCCATTAAAAAGATCTTTCAAATTACAAGACACACAAATGGAAAAAAAAAAAACAACAACAGAATTTCAGCTGTAAATGTTTCACATCAACAAAGTGAGGTATCTGCCATCATTAATGCCTAATTTGGCAAATGAGCCTTCCCTTGGCTGGAATAAATAAATATTTTCTAACCAGTGGAATGGCCCTATGTCTTAGGACCCTAGGACAGGAATTAGCAAACTTTGGCCCATGGGCCACACTCAGACTGCCACTTGTTTTAATAGTGCCTGCAAACTAAGAATGATTTTTACCTTTTTAAATGGTTGTGGTTTAAATATCTATCTAATAACTTTGATTTTTCAAACTGGCATAAAAACCTTAAATTGTTTCTGTTACTTTATATAAAAACAACTTTGCCTACTTCTTGTCTAAGAGATACATGTCACAGTGAGAAGAGAGAGGAGAGAGAGAAAGAAAGAAAGGCAAGGAAAATGTAATCTAATTCCATATATTAACATGGATGCAATTATCTTAAATATCAACAAGTAAAATATATCAAAGTATTTAAAAAGTACGTATGTTACGTGTGTATATATGTGTGTATATATGTATGTATATATGTATATACGTATATGTTTTATGCATGTGTATATATATGACTGCATATACCCATATATACAGTCATCATGACCAAGTAGGTTTTTTTTCCCATGAATTCAAGAATGGTTCAACATAGAATATTTAGGAATGTAATTGCCATACTAACACATTAAATGAGAAAAATTAGAAGCCATGCAGAAAAAGTACCTAATGATATAATGGAACACAAAAGTCATGAATAAGCCTTTTTTTATTTTTTTTTTTGATGGAGTCTCACTCTGTAGCCCAAGCTGGAGTGCAGTGATGCGATCTCGGCTCACCGAAAACTTCACCTGGCGTCTCAAGCCATTCTCCTGCCTCAGCCTCCCAAGTAGCTGGGACTGGAGGCATGTGCCACCATACTCGGTTAATTTTTTTTTGTATTTTTAGTAGAGACAGGGTTTCACCATGTTGCCCTGGGTGGTCTCAAACTCCTGAGCTCAGGCGATCCACCTGCCTCAGCCTCCCGAAGTGTTGGAATTACAGGCATGAGCCACCGCACCCAGCTGAAAAGGATTTTCCTCTTTCCATCCTTCCTGTTAGGAAGGATGAGGCACAACTATTTCATATAGACAGATCATGCAATCACATGCCATTTGTTTTATGTGAATTTCACATAAATCATTTCCTTTTATTCTTGTCTCTGGCAAGACAAGTACAAAAAAAAAAAAAAAACCCCATGCAAATAAATCTATGACTGGTGGATCTTTGCTACCTGGACATTTCCTCTTTACAAATATCTATTCACCCTGTCCTGGTTATCTTGCCACTAGCTCATTTGGAGAAATAGTATAGGTTAGAAATTGGGACATAATATATTTTTCCTCTAAATGGAGAAATAATTCTGCCATCCTAGAATTGATTTAATAAAATCAGGTCAGATTCCCATCCTTTTGTTTTGGTAAGATGGGTTTTAATCCCATATCTTATGCTCAAACATCAAGTGCTCTGCACAGAGAAGAGAATGGGGCAAGCTCTCTGCTGGACACAAAACATTGCAGTGGTGAAGTAAGTGGGCCTTGGGAGCACTCCACCTGCATCTGAATTCCTGTTCTAGTAATTATCAACCTGTGGCCTTGGTAAGTCTCTCGGCTACTCTTAAGAACCAGTTTTCTCATCCATATATAAAGGAAGATGAGAGTACCTTAGTCATAATGTGGTAAGGAATGCAAATGAATATACACAGTACAGACACACACACACACACACACACACACACACACACACACACACACACACATAACAAGTGTTTGGTATGGGCTAAGAGCTCAGTAAATATTGGCTGTTCTTATAGTAGAGAAATCATCCAGTTGTTGACAGATTGCTTTCACTTAAATTTTCCAGGTAGGGGCCCCATGAGGACCAGCTGTATAGTAAGCAGTTCCTATTTTTAGATTCCCATGAACCCTACTCAAGCTTAAGATAAATTTCCTTCTCTTCAGCTGGTTTGTGTGTGGCTTGAATCTCCACAGCAGCAGTCACAGCAACAAAGCTCTGATTGGAAAGTCAGGCTACTGGTCCCACAGACATGTTTAACCGCAGCTGGAGCCCAAGCAGGTCTCACATACACGAGTCGGCCAACCTGCATAAATCAAGTTGTGAGTTAATTCCAAGGGAGCATTTTCATTATGTGTACTTACATGCTCTAGGTTACTCACAGAAGATGCTCTCAGCTCCTCAGAAAGAAACATATAGAAATTGTACCAATGTGACAGAGCTCTTTAGCAAACTCCATGTGGGTTTGGCTCAAATAACTAAAAGGGTTAGAGATTAAGCTAATACTTTTATCTCCTAGGCTCCATAATTAGGAAATGTATTTTCTGTGGAATATAAGAACAGCCATCTGTCCTGAATTAAAGAATATATAATATCATTACAAAAATATGATGCCATTGTTTCATTGTTTTTGAAATATGATTAACAAGCCAGTGAACAATAAGTTTGAAGTTTAGAACTACTTTATGATAAGTGGATTTAAATGCTTGAATGTGCGGATATATTTGGCAATTCTATCCCAGTTGAGTAGTTCATGGTCTCTGCCATCTCCTAATTGTCTAAGTGATTGCTTTTGATTTATACAGTGGTTTTTCTTCCCGACTCATATGCAATTGATTTACCTTAAACCTTCAGTGTAGCTTTCTAAAGAATATAAGCTTAGAAAGCCCTTAGTTATCATGAAGAGATTTTGTATCTGTTACCATGGATATTGCTTTGGTGGTACCCAGACACTATCATGCCAAGAAGAATCACATAGTACCTTTCTAATTATGTATCCTGTTCATTATTTATTTAAAAAAAAATTCCAAAAGTTAACTGGTTGGAATTTATTAGACACCAATCTAAGGCATATACAAACAACATAAACAAAAGCCGTGTTCAAAGTTTCATTATTTGAGGATTCCACATTTTAAAATTTCAGGCAGATGAAAGTTTACTGGTCTTCATTAAACTGTGCCAGAATATCTTTGCTGTCTGTTTGAATAAATGCTTTGGACACTAATTTCCAAGTCTGCAGCTCATAAGGGAGGAGTATAATCAGATGACTCTTGCCTATGTATAATTCATAAGTAACTGTCAGGGTATGAAGTTAGATGAATTCCCTCTCACTCATACCCTTACCAACTATGGAGAATACTGTGAGTTAAGAGTTCAAGTACTTCCTAATATTAAGAGTCGGAAGAAGAATTTGAGATTTCAATAGTAAATTTAGAAATGCAACAAGAAATAAAGTTCTCATGACCACTGAAGAGTGCTATTTAGCTGGTGGTGGAGGTGGTGGCAATGTCAACTGTCTACTATGCAACACCTACCAAAAAACTCAAGAATAAAGATAACACAGAAAATGGCATTTATTTGTTTCGAAAACATAAAAAAATGGCCTAATGTTCCCATATTCCACATGCCCTCTACCACAGAGTTGAATCTCACTGGGCCTCAGTTTTGTTTTTGTTTTTAATGCTGTAACTAATAGTTAATGCATGCTGGGCTTAATACCTTGGTGATTGGTTGATAGGTGCAGCAAACCACCACGGCACATGTTTACCTATGTAATAAACCTGCACCTCCTGCACATGTACCCCTGAACTTAAAATACATTTTAAAAAATGCTTTAACTTATTTAAGTTCCAATATGCTTTGATCCTTTGTATTTTTCTACTCTTAGTTGTAGCCTCTTGAGAAATGCTAATATCAATGATGCCAAAATGTACTAAATAGATCATTATATAATGGTAGCATTGCTAAAGGGAAAAGTTAAAAATAGAGAGAAAATTAAAAATTGAAGTAGACATACAGCTGTCCATTTCTGTCTGTATCCTCTACAACCAAAATGCCACAAAACTGCAGAATTTTTAAAATAGAATATTAAAAGATCCAGGGCTTTTGTTGCTTCTTCCAGAACTGTTTTCCAACTGTCATTCATGCCTTGTCAACCATACCAAATGAGAGAAACCCAACACTGTCCATTTATCAGCAGCTGCTGTTATTGTTTAGTCTTTCTTATGAATATCGCCCCCTTCCCAAGCAATGTTCCAACTAGATAAGCTCAGCAGTATTAACCATATAGTCCAATCATAAAGGGATGGCTTTAAAATATTCATTGGTGATAAAAATGACCCCTAATGTTACTGACGCAATCTGCAATATAGGAACAATTCATCCTCTAAAGTTACAAATGCTGAAGGTCAGAAGAAAGGTTTCTCTATGCCACTAAGGCTTAGGAATCTATTCCTTTCCTGGTAAGTGGGGTGAAAGTGAAAGAGGGAATAAGAAATAGAAATTTCCTAATATTGGGCCAGAAAGATGGTGCAAATTCAATATTGCTTTTGGGGGCTCATTTCAAAAAATAATCTTACCACCCTGTTTTGTGGATATTCACAAATGAAATACATAGTTTGTAGTTCAGTATTACTGCCCTGTTTGCTTATAACCATGCCTTCTTCTCAGAGCCATTTCCTACAGCTCTGTTAACTATGGTGCCTTTAATCAGTACTATGTACATGCAATTACCCAGGGAGCTCTCATTTTCCTGTGTGACTCCACTCCTGGCCCAGAGTGTCTAGAAGAGTCTAACAGTTACATATTGCTGCATTAAAACAATAAAAACAAACAAACAAAACCACACTCCAGAAGTGAGTGTCTTAAACCAATAACCATTTATTAGTTCCCATGACTGGAGGCATGGCGGGTATTCTCTGAACTTTCTAATACAGAGGCTTTCAACTACAGGGTCAGCTAGGCTAGAAGGTTCAAATGGCCACATTCCCATTTAGCAATTAGCACTGCTGTCAGCAGGGGGTTAAGATCAGCTGGGAGAGCCACACTTCTTTTTCTATTTAGTATTTCATCTGGGGTCTTCATGCCTTCTTCTCTCATGTCAGCATTACAACAGGGCAGAAACAAACATTAAAAAGTCTCTTGAGGCCCGGGTGCAAAACTCATTCAGTGTCACTTCTGCCACAACCAGTTTGTTAGTTAAGGCAAATGTTAAGACAGGTTCACAGATTCTGAGAGAGGGAATATTTGATTTCTTGATGAGAGAAGCCACAAAGCCACATTGCAAAAGATCATGGGGGAAGGTGTAGCAGCCATCTCTGAAAACAATCTACCAAAAGGGGACTCGAGTCTCTATAATAATACAGCAGCCAAGATTTTACACTAACCCAAAGAAAGTAGTGAATCAACTCTGGCTCTCTCTGGTTAAAACTCAGATTGTGTTGGATCTATCTAGTGGACAGAAAAAAACAAAAGATAATCTTCAGCATGAAAGCAGTTTGGCACATATCAGAAAGGAACAGAGTTGAAAGACAGAAAGACTCACTATGTTTGTTTCCACCTTTGCATGAGGCCTCTCAGTGGGTGCCTTAAGACCCCCATTCTCCATAAGATACTGTGAAAGAAAAACATCTTGAGCCCCCAAAATCACTAAGCTAAAAGGAAAATTTATGCTGGAAACTGCTCAGGGCAAACCTGCTTCCCATTCTATTCAAAGTCATCCCCTCTGCTTACTGAGATAGATGCATATTCTGACTGCCACCTTTGGAAAGGCTTATCAGAAACTCAAAAGAATGTAACCATTTTTCTGTCACCTACCTGTGACCTAGAAGCCCCCTCCCTGCTTCGAGCTGTCCCCATATTTCTGAACGGGAGACATATATTGATTGATGTCTCAGGTCTCCCTAAAATGTCTGAAACTAAGCTGAGCCCTAACCACCTTGGGCACATGTCATCAGGACCTCCTGAGGCAGTGTCATGGGAGTGCATCCTTAACTTTGGCAAATAAACTTCCTAAAATCATTGAGACTTACCTCGTCATTTTTCTTGATTGACAATACCATCCTCTCTTGCTTAATTCAGATTGGGTTCCTGCCACTTGTACCTAAAAAAGTCATCTTAACTCACACTTCCAGTTTATGTCCAGTTTATGGGTTATGGCTGTTCACTCCAACCTTTCTAGTCTTCATGGCTGTTTCCACATGACTAGATGCCTTTTATAATATTCTTCCAATTCTGGAAGTAAATGGACATGGAAGGCCTATAGGAGAGAAAATCCTAAGCAAGCAAGCCCTAAACCTATCTAATCCCAGAGTGAGATAAAGTTCCTAGAATAAAATGTTATGTTTGATAGAACAACTGAAAATGCTACATTAAAGTTTTTAAACATTTTTCAAAATTCATTTTAATATTACTGATGATCTAATATGGTGCTAATCATTAGGTATGTAAAAATGGACAAACATGCTTTGGGAGGCCAAGGTGGGAAAATCACTTGAGACCAGGAGTTCAAGACCAGCCTGGACAACATAGTGAGACCCTGTCTCTACACATTTTTTTTAAATAGCCAGGTAAGGTGGCCTGTGGTCCTAGCTACTCTGGTGACTGGGCAGGAGAACCGCTTGAGCTCAGTAGTTCATGGCTGCAGTGAGGTATGATCATGTCACCACACTCCAGCCCGGGCAACAGAAGAGAACCTGTCTCTTAAAATAAATATTCCATGTTCTCATGATGCTCAAAGGCAAGGCAGAGAGTCAACAAAACACCCTGGCCTTATGCTGAAGCCTCATGCTGAAGATGGGAGAGCTGCTCACCAGACCATGCATCCACTTCTGAACTATTATCTGAGATGGAATTAAACCACTATCTTGCCATCTTCTCTAAGGTACTGTATTTTTGCATCTTTTTATTAAAGAGACCTACCATATGCCTTAACTAATTTTATGTGAGCAAACAACAAGCTGTGGGAACACAGACACTTGAGAGATTGAGTCTTCAGGGATGGGGAGTGGAGTGTGGATGGACGTGTTGAAGACAATTTTTTTAATATCAAACTGATTAATGTCCCTATCTTTTTTCTTTAAACCTCAAAGTCTTAGTTCAGCATCTGTCATGTTGTAGGCAGTTAATAAATATTAGTGAAAGGAAGAAAGGGAAGGAGAGAGGATGGACAAAAGGTAAGAGGAATAGAGAGAAATGAATTTCAGAAGTCCATTCTATAGCAAGTCTTCTCTATCCTCTCTGGCACCATCAAAAGAAAAGAAAAAAAAAGAAGAGGAGAGGAGGGGAGGGGAGGAGGGGGGGTTAACTTATCCAAAGGCTCATTTTAGCACAAAACATATGAAATTGTTACATCTTTAACACGGGATTTTTATAAGGCTGTGATCATAGCCATAAAACTATTATATAGCATTAGCTTTAAAATGTACAAAACAGTCGCAATGAGAATTCTCAGTTTGGAAGATAATTTTGTATCAACTAGAACAAGGGTGCCCAACCCCCAGGCCATGGACTGGTACTGGTCACAGCAGGAGGTAAGCAGCAGGCAAGTGAGCCAAGCTTCATCTGTATTTATTTACAGCCACTCCTCATCACTGGCATTACCGCCTGAGCTCCGCCTCCTGTCAGATCAGTGGTGGCATTTGATTCTCATAGGAGAGTGGACCCTCTTGTGAACTGTGCATGCAAGGGATTTAGGTTGCCAGATCCTTATGAGAATTTAATAATTGATGATCTGTCACTGTCTCCCATCACCCCCAGATGGGGCCATCCAGTTGCAGGAAAACAAGCTCAGGGCTCCCACTGATTCTACATTATGGTGAGTTGTATAATTATTTCATTGTATATTACAATGTAATAATAATAGAAATAAGGTGCACAACAAATATAATGTGCTTGAATCATACTAAAACCATCCCCTTACCCCTCGTCTGAGGAAAAACTATCTTCCACAAAACTGGTCCCTGGTGCCAGAAAGGTTGGGACCGCTGAGCTAAAAGACAATGACTTTCAGAGGACATGATACTTTTCTGCTCTGTGGTTCGACTATCAGCTTAATGAATTCTGATTTTTAAGTATATTCTAGTTCTCATTTTGATGCCATCTACAAGGATTAAGTTTACATAAAATATCAAGTTTTAAAATAAGTACAAACCACAAATTTCTCTACTGTGATTCACCACATAATAGGTAGTTTGATTTGGAAAATCAAAACAAAGCAAAACAAAAGCAGCCTTGTCTGTCAACAACAAAAAATAGGCTGTGATTAGAAATTTCACGAGGTTAGAGGCCAACCAGCTTGATCTGCATTCTAATTCCTGATTTGCCACTAACTGTGTTACCTGGTAATTCTTTTAAACTTTCTGCAATAATTTCTTCATCTAAAACATAGAAAGCTAGATGCTATACAAGTTAAGAATTGATTTCACTTACTTTGAAGATAGAACTAAGTTTGAAACCAAAAGCTGCTAATAACTGGCTGTCATAACTTGAACTTGTTACTTAAGTTCTCCAAGGTGCTCCAGTCTCAACAATAAAATGAGAAACATATTATTTAACTTTTAACTAATGGAGTTTAAAAAGAACATATATATCTCTCTTGGTAATCAGAAATTGAATGAGTAATGTTTCATTTCTTTGTACTCTATTTTGATTTTAAAATAGTTTGCCCATATTTTGCAAATGTTAAATACTGACATTTGCCTTAATAACATGAAGCTATTTTGTGCACATCAAACATAGCTTACTGTGTGCAGACAGTATTTTTGTGGTATGCCTGTTCATCTTTAGTGTTACCCTTTACTTATTGTAGTTTACTGCTTTAGTGAGCTTACAAAGATTATTACTTTCATTGCATGTGTCTCCGAAGTTTTGTATTGCCTTATTTTTGTCTAAAAAATGATGCACTTCCAGTGATTTTGGTGTTGACTAATTGGTCTCTGTTTCAGTTAATTTTCTGCAATTTAGAGACCATGAACTAAATAATATACACATAGCACAATGTTAGGCACTGAGACAGGGAAGCAATCCTCGTCTCAAAAATCTCAGACTCAAAACCAGCATTTCTCAACCTCAGCATTATTGACCTTTTAGGCTAGATAATTCTTTGCTGTGATGGCTGTCCTGTGCATTGCAGGATGTTTAGCAGTATCCCTGACTTCTACCCCCTAGATGGTAGAAGCACTCCCCAACTTGTGACAACCAAAAATGCCTCCATACATTGTCAAATGTCCCCTGGAGGGAAGTGGTAAAACCATTCACTGTTCTAGATTCATGCTGCCAGTAAGGTAACAATTTAAAATTAAGTAAAATTAAATGAATTTTAAAACTCAGTTGCTCAGTCACACTAGTCACATTTTAAGTGCTCAGTAGCCACATTTGGTGAATGGATACCCCACTAGACAGCACAGATATAAACTATTTTTATTGCAGAAAGTTCTATTGGACATGATGACTTCAGGGTAAAGGCTATGACAAAAATACAATAACAAACGTAATAATAATCAGGATTCCATTCCAGTATTTCCTCCATTGGAGAACTCCTAATCAGAAGAATATTTCAAATTGAATTCTTTCTGTAAACGCTTCCTCAACTCATCCTTTAAGAAAGAATTTAAGAGACTTCTGCTATGAGGCCAGTAGTTCAAAACGTAACTAATGCTTAAGGACAGCTTCAAAACAAGGCCCAGTTGTAATTATTGGATAGGCACAATGACAGAGCTAGGGATTAATCTTTACTAAGGGCTAAATTAGGAAGGATTATGAAAGGAATTTTTAACAGGTATATATAATCCAGAAGTTTCTGGAGATGTAATCTACGTGAAGAACCTGTTGTTAAAACAAGATGAAAATATCAACTGACTTTATGGAGGGTTTCACTTCAACAAAACCAGAAGTGGCCTGCAGAGTCATCCAGCTTTAACACTTCAGTCTCCTTGAACATCAGAGTCAGCTGGCCCAAGGAAAATGCATTGATTAAGTGACCCTCCATTTTTCAAGATCAAATATGCCCTCAACCTGCTAACAGAGCAACACGAGACCACAATGTCCAATCAAGAGGGCATTCCGAAGTCAACATTTTTGGACATTTTTTAAGGGGAAAAAAAGAATTCTAAGAAAGAAACTTTAAGAACAGTCACACAGGCCGAGCACAGTGGCTCATGCCTGTAATCCCAGCACTTTGGGAGGCCGAGCCGGGCGGATCACGAGGTCAGGAGATCGAGACCATCCTGGCTAACATGATGAAACCTCTTCTCTACTAAAAATACAAAAAAATTAGCCAGGCGTGGTGGCGGGCACCTATAGTCCCAGCTACTCAGGAGGCTGAGGCAGGAGAATGGCGTGAACCCGGGAGGTGGAGCTTGCAGTGAGCCGAGATGGCGCCACTGCACTCCAGCCTGGGCGACAGAGTGAGACTCAGTCTCAAAAAACATAAGCAAAACAAAACAGTCACACAAACTGCTTTTCACAAAAGGTTGAGCTGGACTCTTACTGGCTACACGGTATGAGAGAGTTGGCGTGTGTTAGGGAGGGAGATGAAGCCTTTGTGTGTATGAAGCTTCATATTTAATAAATCCCCTAGAAACAGTACTAATGAATATTGTCTCCTAAACATTAATCCCCAAAATGAAGGGAAAAAACCCTCCTTTTATTATTGACAATTTTACCTCCTTTTATAATTGACAAGAGCATGTGATGCTATTGTGGACTAATTGATTCAGAAAGTAGTTATTAAATATTTACTGTGTCTTGTCTCAAGACAAGAAAGCTGGGGAGGAGGCAGAGCAAGATGGTGGAATAGAAAGCTCCACCGATCACCCCTGCCACGGATACCAATTTAACAACTATCTATATAGAGAAAACATCTTCAAAGGAACCAAAAATCACCTGACACCTCATAGTACCTGGTTTTAACACGGTATCACTGAAAGAGGCACTAAAAAGACAGTGCCTCCTTCAATCATACAGTGTTAAAACCAGGTACTATGAGACTTTTCTCTTCAGGCACAGAAAACTCCTGGATCACTGAAGCCACCCCTCCCTGACCCCATGCAAAGAGCACCTCTGGCACTGGGAAAGGGACAGCTCAGCAATCCTGAGGAAATGAACTCAGTGCTGTCCTGTTAGAGAAGAAAGGAAAATCAGACCAAACTCGGCTGATACCTACCCACAGAGGGAGCATGTAGACCAGCCCTAGCCAGGGTGAACCACAGATCTCAGAGGTCTGAACTTGAGTTCCCACAGACCTCATCACCAAATGCCAAAGTGCTCTGGGTCTCTAAATAAACCGAGTCCTAGTGCTCAACTGGGTCACAGACAGTGGACTGAAGGGGCATGTGACATACTGACATACTAGCTGGGGTGACTAAGGGAGTGCTGGCATCACCCTTCCTCTAACCCCAGGCTGCACAGCTCACAGCTCCAAGAGAGACCCCTTCCTTCTGCTTGAGGAGAGGAGAAGAAAGAGTGGGGAAGACTTTGCCTTGCATCTTGGATACCATCTCAGCCACAGCAGGATAGGGCACCAATCAGAGTCATGAGGTGCCCGTTCCAGGCCCTAGGTCCCCAAAGATGTTTCTAGACACACACTAGGCCATAAGGAAACTTGCTGCCTTGAAGGGAGGAGAACAAGAGTCTCTGCCTAATAATACAGAAAATTCTTCTGAATCTTGTCTGAGATCATCGAGGCAGTACCTCTACATGTCTGTGAGAATCACAGCATTACTGGGCTTGGGGTACCCCCTAAAGCAGATACAGCTTAGATCACTACAACGAAGTTTTTTCAAATATCTGGAAAGCCTTCCCAAGAAGGATGGGTACAAATAAGCCCAGACAGTGATCATTAAAATAAATAACTAACTCTTCAATGTCTAGACACCTAAGAATATCTACCAGCATCAATACCAGCCAGAAAAACATGACCTCACCAAGTGAACTAAATAAGGCACCAGGGACCAATCCTGGAGAAACAGAGACATGTGACCCCTCAGACAGATAATTCAAAATAGCTGTGTTGAGGAAATGCAAAGAAATTCAAGACAACACAGAGAAGACATTCAAAATTCTATCAGATACATTTAACGGAGATTGAAATAATTAAAAAGAATCAAGAAGTAATTAGGGAGCCAAAAAATGCAATTGGCATACTGAAGAATGCATTAGAGTCTTTTAATTGCATAATTGATCAAGCAGAAGAAAGAATTAGTGAGGTCGAAAACAGGCTATTTGAAAATACACAGTCAGGGCCAGGCGCAGTGGCTCACGCCTGTAATCCCAGCACTTTGGGAGGCCGAGGCAGGCGGATCACGAGGTCAGGAGTTCAAGATCAGCCTGGCCAACATGGTGAAACCCTATCTCTACTAAAAATACAAAGAATAGCTGGGCATGGTGGCGCGTGTCTATAATCCCAGCTACTTGGGAGGCTGAGGCAGGAGAATCACTTGAACCCAGGAGGTGGAGGTTGCGGTGAGCCGAGATCATGCCGCTGCACTCCAGCCTGGGTGACAAAGCAAGACTCTGTGTTAAAAAAAAAAGAAAAAAGAAAATACACAGTCAGAGAAGACAAAAGAAAAAAGAATGAAAATCAATGAAACATACCTATAGATCTAGAAAATAGCCTCAAAAGGGCAAATCTAAGAATTAATGGCCTTAAAGAGGAGGTAGAGAAAGGGATAGAGGTAGAAAGTTTATTCAAAGGGATAATAACAGAGAACTTCTCAAACCTAGAGAAAGATAATATGCAAGTACAGGAAGGTTACAGAATACCAAGCAGATTTAACCCAAAGAAAACTACCTCAACGCATTTAACAATCAAATCTGTCAAAGACCAAGGATAAAGAAAGGATACTAAAAGCAGAAAAATAAAAGAAACAAATAACATGCACTGGAGCTCCAATACATCTGGCAGCAGACTTTTCAGTGGAAACCTTACAAGCCAGGAGAGACTGGCATGGCATGTTTAAAGTGCTGAAGGAAAAAAACTTTTACCTCAGAATAGTATATCTGGTGAAAACATCCTTCAAGCACAAAGGAGAAATAAAGAATTTTCCAGACAGACAAAAGCTCACGGACCGCATTAACACCAGACCTGTCCTACAAGACATGTTAAAGGAAGCACTTCAATAAGAAAGAAAAGGACCTTAATGAGCAATAAATAATCACCTGAAGGTACAAAACTTACTGGTAACAATAAGTACACAAAGAAACACAGAATATTATAACACTGACTGCGGTGTGTAAACTACTCTTATCCTAAGTAGAAAGACTAAACCATGAACCAATCAAAACAAGAAAGCTGGATTTGTTCCCAAGAATGAATTCGCTTTAAAAAATAAGTTCCCACTAAATGCAATGTGTATACTGAGCATTGACAACGTGCACAAATAAGAACATACTCAGAGTAATTATAATCTAGGCAATGGGAGAAGGGCAAAGGTGAGGGAGTACGCAAGTAACATAACACCAAACAGGACAGAATATACACTATTAGTCACAGTGTTGAGGCTGCATAAAAAGAGAAAGATCACATCTCATTTTAAAAATTCACAAGCCTTTCTGGAGGTAGCCTTTAACTTTATCTTTGAGGATTAAGTAGAATTTTGGCATATTCCTGTGGGGGAGAAAATGTGATTCTCAGCTAAAGCCAAACTTCAACGCAGGGAAGATGGGTGTGTGTTCTGAAGTGCTTCGGCATGCTGGGATGTGGGGATAGATCTTTCTGGAAGGGCAGTCTAGGAGTCCAGTAGCAACTTTAACCTGCCCACCTCCCATTAAACACAAGCATCTTATTCAATGTGCATATAGAATTTATACTTTAACAAGCTCCCCAGGCGATTTTAATGCATACAGAAGTTTGAAAACCACTTCAGTAAAGGAACGTTTGAAACTACTTGGAATATTTGTAAGTAAAAGGAATATGTGAAGTCAGGGAATGCAGATAATTTAGATAGCTTTAGAAAAAAAGAAAGTACTAGTGACTTGTGTCTCTAGAAATGTAACAATAGAGGAAATACTCTTTTTTGTTCTTCTGTCATTATTTAAAGAAAATAAAATCATTTCAACCACGGTCAACAAATGTTTACTGAGATAAGCACTGGAAAAAATACTTTCACATATATTACCTCATTTCGTCTTAACCACATTGTGCACAAACCAAACCAAACATTGTGCACATTGTTTTGAAAACAAACCAAAAACTTATTAAATCTTCTTGTTGAAGGATGATGCCCTTCTCCCATTGCCTAGATATCTTGTTGAAGCTCTGATCCTTAAGTTCCATTTTTTCCCTCTGAACCCTACCATAACCTCTAATTACTCTCACTATTTCTAACACATATGCATACTGAATTCCAAGCAATCCTACCCGGTTGTCAGCTCAAGTTTTGGTCCACATCTTTTCCTCACTTAGTGAATCCTTTGTAAACCCTTCTGTTGTCTCTTTACCTAAGACAGACAGAGTGGTCAGCTCATGCCCTTACTCCCTGGGCCCACATTCTAGTTTTAGTCTATCTAAAGCAAAATGAAGTCTTTTAAAAAAAGGCAATTTTAAGATCCTATTTTTCAGTCTAGGAAACAGGTGTCTAAGCCACTCACTTATTTTTCCTTTTTACTGGACCACTCTTATCTCAAAGACTGTTCTGTGGCTTTTGGAGAACCAACAAGGCTTTTCCTGATGAGCCCTCAAACTTATCAAGGAATGCAAATCCTGTCTTTGTTTCTTACAGATGAATTGTTTTTGATTCTTAAGGATGTAATGTTATAAACATTAATTTATGTAATGTTAAAATACATTTACAACAGTATTTTTTGGCCTATAGTTTTCAACATTACTAGACTTCAATCCATGTATATGCACATGTTGTAATTCTTTCCACATACTTATTGCTAATGTAAAAACAAAATATATTTTTATTAGTTGAATAATAGTTCATTAGTGATAGGTTGCCTATAGTTTTGTATAATTGGCATAACAGGAAATATACAGCTAAAATAAGTAAAATCAAATTATTGAGTTATCTTTAAATTTGGAAGAGAACATTCTTTAATATGAAAATGTCCTTATTAAATACAAGGTGATTCATAAATATTGCTAGCAAAATTTACTGTATGTTGTTCAGTTAATTCTGCTCCAATTTTTAACACTGAGTGTCTCTTTCCCCACTGAGGAGTAGGAACTGGTGATACAAGTTACAGGGTCTGTTTTCCCTCCTATGTGGACCCACTGTGATCATCACTTAACTGTGTAGCTGTGTGTCTGGAGGGACTTTGTCCTTGACCAATTTTGCTTTTCCCGTTCTTCATGCAGGGAGGGGAGTGGATGGAGTGGGCTGTTGCCTTAACTCTAAGCCTAATGCAGTCCAAATACTACATGGCCAACAAAAGCTTTTAAATACAACTTATATCCATTTGATAACTTCGTATTAAACAGCACAGAAGAAAGACTATCATACCTGAAAATCTATGTCCTAGTCCTCTTATTCCTGTAATGAGCTGTGGAATCCAAGGGGAAACTTCTAGGAGTTACATTCCTCATCTTTAGAATATCCACAAACAATGCAACCGTCAAGTTCCTTTTCAGGTCAAAAATTATATGACTCTGTGACTGTGGCTTTATTACAAAGCAGATGGATGATATTACCAGATCATATTGTTTGATGATGACTACCATAGAGATGGAAAAATGATGCTGCTATTGCAGAGATGTTGAAAAACTATAAGAAATAATAAGTAGTTTAGTACTTATAATAATACTCTACCTTCTACCTTGCAATGCCCTTTGAAATAAAAGAGAAAAATAGGACATAAACAGACAATACCGATTGTCAAGGTGAAAAAAACATACAAATCATAAACACCAAAACAGTTATTTTCTGGATGGAGAAGAAAATGGAGAAAAAGCTACACAGAAAGAAGCTGTGGATCAAAGTGTGCAATAAATTCAAACCAATTGCTGCTGCATGAAAGAAAAATATCAGGGTCTGTGCAAGATGAATATAAAGCTGAATTATTCAACAAAACAAGGAGATACATAGTAACATTGATCTTGGTCTGCATCTGGAATAACTGGTTTAGTTTATAACTTCATTTTACCATATAGAAATGCAAATTGAAGATTTAAAAAAGATAAAAATATTAGCGATATAGACTTCATTAACAAGGAAAGATAAAAGGGGAGAGCCAAATTATTACTCCCATTGTCAATCACGAAACTGTCAAATAAAAGAATAGTTTCTAAGTATCTGAAAGATATAAAACCAGAATAAGACCCCAAATTAAGGGGATAAGAGCACTTGGGTTAAAGTTCTAGTTAACTAATAGCTAATTCTGAAAAACAGTTTGTTACAGAGCCCGACAGTACAGCTAAAAGCTTCTGACACTCCTAGAATAGGAGATACTCATTCGAAATCAAAATCGCCACCATAAAATTGTGTAAATGCATGAGATATGAAAAACTAAACCTCATGAGAACTTTACAGAACTAAATTTAAAGTCATTATCATTAAGCTCATACTATTGCACATTTTAGAATGTATATTCTTCTTGAAAGATGAACATGAAAGAGCAGAATACAAAGATTCTTGATTTTTTAATTGATTATATTCATTTTCAAGACAGAACATAAATGAAATATAAACATGAATTGAAAGATGCTGATTTTTGACCAGGTCTTGCCTGAATACCAGAAGAAGTAGATAAATTATCTTCAATTTTTTTTCTATTACTTATTTTATCTTTGCTCTTTAATCTCTAGGACACTCTATGCAAAGGGATTCTGACCCAGAATTGAAAACAAACTAATAAAAAATCATAAAATCTACTCGTTGTTCTAGGATTACACCTTTTACGCAATGTCATGATCTGTTTCCCAAGGCTGAAATGAAAGAACCAGGAGGGTCTTTTGCAAAAACCAGGAGGATTTTCTTGAAGCACTCCTCCAGGGGGATTTCTCTTGAAATGCTCGTATCTTGCCTTGTTTTCCGTGTCTTTCCCGACTCTTGGCCTGCTGTCAATTGAGACTGGAAGCTCCTCTGGGGCAAACCACGCCTGGGTTGACTAATCGAAATCCAACATTGGGCAGTGGATTCAGTCTCCATTCTTCCTCTTCTTTTTAAAATACAAGACAAAAATATATGGTTCCAAGAAATATTAGAGAACATCAAATTTGAAGATTTTGTTTCCTAGCTGAGAAATTAAGACCAAAGATTAAATAGGCTTGCTCAGAGAAACACAGCCTAATTAACGACGAAGCCCTTCTGCCTTGCTTTTCTTAAGGAAAACAAACAGAATACAATGGGGCTCTCAGATCACTATACCAAGAAGAGCAAGTGCTTGTTATTCAGAGCTCTTGGCATAAAAAAGAGATGTATTAGTTATAATACTCACACTTATAGTTAAAGACCATATTTTAAATGTATTAGGTAATATTGCAGATGACTGCTACCATTTCAGTGGAAGCCCATAGAGAAACAGATCAATATTTTTAATCATGACATTTAAGGTATTACCAAAGCAGTAAGTTCATAAGGCTCACAATTAGAAGTAAACCAATTAGTCTCTTTCCTTTCTGCCTACACCAAAAGATCATATTCTAATGAATGTAAATATTTAATCCTTTTGACCTTTCATCCCTTAAATACTCCCACATGAATCTGCATCGGGGAACTATAATATAATTATTATAAGAAGCAACAAACTGCTTCTTCCTTTATGCAGCCCATACAAATACGTGCACATTTTAAGGGCTTTTCAAAAGCCAATGTTATTAAATACTTTTATGCTTTAAAAAGACAAACGTTCTTGAGCTCAAATTTCACTCCATTCACGAGAGCACAAGTACAAAGAGAAATGGCAGAAACACTAAAAATATTTCAATAATATGCATTGACTTACATAGCATTAGTTATTTATAGAAATTCAAAATAGAAGGCCAGATTGGCTTAATAGCACCACAAAACTTAAACTACCCTTGGGTTGTTAAAACTGTTTTTTTAAAGTAAAACTTCAAATAAATCATGCCAACAGCTCATTAAATCCTTATGGTCACACGCACTGAAATGGCAAAAAATGTGAACCTAAAACATAGACGTGGCCGAAAATGGAAAAATTATCTATTTACCTAAAATATACAGCATTTCAGCTTATCGTCATTTCATAAAGGAAAAATCATGTCTTTAAAAGCAATTTAATTTTCACATATTCAATTTAAAAAATGTTTCTTGTTTTCCCAAATTCATTCTGGCATTTATCTAATTCTTAGAATTTTATAGATTAGATGAGACTGGCATTAATATTTGGCAAATACAAATTGTGGCACATAAAGGCTGACTTGCGCCATGCCATATATTTGGCTTTTGGCAAACCTGAGTCTCCATTGTACCCAAGAGGGCACACGTAACACCCTGCTTGGTATCTACACCCCACAGCCTCCATTTGGTAGGACAAGGGTTTTCCAGGAGAAATCTGGCACCAAGAGGCAACTATTTCTAAAAGAAGGGTCATGAACACTGCATTGTGTCATAGAAATTTAGAAACAATAAATGCACTTTTACATAAGTACAATTATTTCAAATTGGCATAGCATTACTTATCAATTATTACCTATTGTGATGGTTAGTTTATTCTGTGAAGTTGGTCAGGCATTAGTAACCAGTAATATAATCAAACACTAAGCTAAGTTGTTGCTTTCTAGACATTTTGTAGATATAGTTAACATTTAAGTAAAGAAGATTTGCCTTGATAATGTGAGTGGGCCTCATTGAACCAGGTAGAAGGCCTTACAAGCAAAAACCGAGGTCTGCTGGAAAAGAAGAAATTCAAGACTTCAGCATAACTCCTACTTGAGTTTCCAGCCTGTCAGACTGTCCTATAGATGGTGGACTTGCTAGTCCCACAACTGCATGAACCAATTCCTTAAAATACACACATATATAACCTATTGGTTCTCTTTCTCTGGAAAACTCAGACTAAAATAACTAAAGATTATATACACACACACACACACACACACACATTTTATATGTAATATACATATATAATTATTTATCAAGGGGTTAGAAAAGGCCTTTCTGAGCAAATGTCTTAATTAGCATTTACATAATGCTTTCTATCTATCAGTCACTGATTTACATGCCTTGCCTATATGACAATCATTATTATTCCCATTTTACAGGTGATGGAACTGAGGCCTATGAGACATTAAATACTTGTCCAACACCACACAGTTAATAAATTATTGAGTCAGGTTTCAAATGTAGGCTGTCTAGTTCCGTAAACTGTACTCTTAACGAATATGCTATACCGCCTTAAAATGAATAGCTTTAAGACCTGCTTTGGAGCATGGCTGAGGGCTTTGGATGTGAGGAATGAGGGGGCAAAAAAGAATAAAGTTTAACTCTAGCACTATTGATTTAAGCAACTGGATTTTTAGTCCCATTTCTGAATTGGAAAAAAAAATGAGAGAGGCTGTATTTGGGCTATATTAAATAGCAATATCTATGGCTTGGGCCCAGAAGTAGAAATTATGGAATGGTTGGTATATACAGTAAAATGATTGACAAAGAAGAAAACAAAGCTCAGTTCAGAGCCCTGGGACATTCTAATAAATAGAATTCCAAGAAGATATGGAACCAGAAAAAAGTGGGAGGGAAAGGAGGTATTGTAGAAGCCAAGAGAAACAAGAAAGGGGATGAACCAGGGATGCAGGGCGGGAGCTCAACTTTATGTGATGCAACTGAGAGGTTAAGTAAAGATTTAGGGAAAGAAACATCCAGGTTTAACGAAGAGTTGAACCCAATGACTCAAAGCAGAGCAAGCTTGGTGAGCCTGAGAACCAGAGAAAAAGTATGGGAGAAAAAGTGACCATTCATAAGCATCAATTTTATTTTATTTATTATTATTATTATCTTTGAGATGGAGTCACTCTTGTCACCCAGGCTGGAGTGCAGTGGCACGATCTTGGTTCACTGCAACCTCCGCCTCCCAGGTTCAAGCAATCCTCCTGCCCCAGCCTCTCTAGTAGCTGGGATTACAGACGCGCATCATCGTGCCTGGCTAATTTTTTGTATTTTTAGTAGAAACGGGGTTTCTCCACGTTGGCCAGGCTGGTCTCGTGGCTTTTCATTCATTTTTAACTGTGGCAACAAAAGAGTAGGCATACAGTGTCAAGCATTATGATTTTTAGTTTAAGATGAGGTAATTCAGCCTCTGCATTTCTTTCTGTTTACCACTTTCTAATGATTAATGTGTCTGCTTAGCTCCACAATGCTGGGTTGACATCTCCATAATTTATTGTAAGATCTGATTTTTCCAGATTGCCTATATATCACTTCAAAGAGCTGGTCATCTGAGACCTTTTATTAACATGCACCTAACAAGATTCAGCATGGTTTAACCTTGACCTGTTTGTTTTCTTTTCAAAAGCAGACTCATGGAATCAACCTGGGTACTGATCAACAGTGGATTGGATATAGAAAATGTGGTACCTAAACAATAGCAAATACTACAAAGCCATAAAAAAGAATGAAATTATGTCCTTTGCAGCAACATGAATGCAGCTGGAGACCATTATCCTAAGTGAATTAATGCAGGAACAGGAAACCAAATTTCACATGTTCTCACTTGTAAGTGGGAGCTAAACATTGCATACTGATGGACATAAAGATGGTGACAATAGACACTGGAGATTACTAGAAGAGGAAAGGAAGGAGGGGGCAAGAGCTGAAAAACTAACTTGGGTACTAGGCTCAGTTACCTGGGTGACGGGGTTAATTGTATCCCAAATCTCAGCACCACACAATATAACCAGGTAACAAACCTGTGAAGGCACTCCCCAAATCTGAAATAAATCTTGAAATTATTATTATTTTTGTTTTAAAAAAAGAAGAGTCACATCTAGAAGCACGCTTGCCCAGCCTTGGTTTCTGAGAGGTCCAGAGTTAATGAAGACTGCCTGGTTTGCATCAAGTCACTGACATCAGAATTAGAACACATCAGTGAATCAGCTTCGTCTTCAACAATCTTATCTGGTTTTTATTCAAGATGTTTATATCGAATGCATTTTTGATTGAATTACAGACCTAGCTTTTAGAGAGAAAATGCTTGATAACCAGGTTTCTTTATCTTTATGTGTTAACGTAGAGTATTTTATGCACAAATCAAACATTTTGTTTAAGGAATTTTCCTTAAAACAAAGTGAATTACATGAAATGGAGATAGTTTCATGATCTATCGGAAAGATCATTTTATGATTAAAAATACAATTTTGTCATTAACTTTACAACTGATGTGTCAGAAAGCTTAAGAGCCCAATCTGTTGTCCAGTTGTAGCAAGAATAACAATGACGTTAGCAATAAAGACAACGTCCACCAGGTTTTTCAAGTCTGAGGTGTGCTAGGTCTGTTGCTAAGTACTTTACATGCATCCTATCATCTGCTCTGCATAGCAATGCTGGAATGAATGTAAGATGAGCCCCAATGAACTCATGAACACACTGGCACAGAGTGAGTAAATAATTTTCCCAGGTCGCACAGCGCAGGCACCATAAAAACTACAGTTGGAATTTGAACCTGGACTCTACTGCAAAGCAAGCCCCACCCATTGAGCCACCTGTGGCTGTGTTCTCGGGTGGACAGGTTTGCACAGGATGCATAGGCCCTAATGTATATGTGCATTAGTCACTTCCCTGACTCTTCTTGAGTCTTCGACCATATTTGTCTTTTCTCTTTTCCATGGATTTCTTATTCTCTTTCTGTATTTTGTATATCCTTGCATGCCTCTTTAAATGTTTTCTGTGAAACACAAGAATGGTTTTACTTAGACTGGTAAGTTTAGACTTCAAAAAAGGGTATTAAAAGAAACAGTCCTGAATTGGCAATCTTCTAAACTAGATTTCTGATTCTTATTCATACAGATGTATAATTTACCATTCTTTGCAAGTCAGCTTAAAAATAAGAATAGTTCGGCACTCACACTGTGTTTGTTCTTGCCATTTTTGCTAAGCATATCAACAGAAAGGTTTGTGATTATGGTTTTTTTATTATTATGCTCTGCTCAGTTAATAATCTATAAATATTGGTTTATTAATTGTGACAAATAAGTGTAGAGTATATGTAATTTTCTGTACTATCTTTGCGAATTTTCCATAAGTCTAAAATTATTCTAAGTTTATTTTAGAAAATGGAACAAGATTAGGTGATGCCATATAAATAGATGTTTTCAAATCAGCAGAGTAAATATGTAGGGTTGTGATTACTGAGTTATAAGGCAATTAAATCTGTTTAGTTTTATTTTAGAAACTGCCAAACTGTCCTTCAAAGTGGCTATATCATATTGCATCTGAATGAATGAGATCTCCTGTTGCTCCACATATCACCAACAGTTTGTATTGTCAGTTTTGGAGATTTTAGTGATTCTAGTAAGGATATTAAAATCTCATTGTTGTTTAATTTGCATTTCCCCAATCACAAATGATGGTGAACATTGCTTCTTATGCTTATTTGCCATCTGCATGTCTTCCTTGGTGAGGTATCTGTTCAGGGCTTTCACCCATTTTTATGTTGAGTTACTGGTTATCTTGTGCAATTTTAAGAGTTCTTTGTATATTATGGATATAAGTCTTTCATCAAATATGTAATTTACCAGTTTTTTCTTGCAGTTTATGGCTTGTTTATATTCTCTTAGTATTATGTTTCTCAGTGCCAAAGTTTCTAGTTTTAATATGAAATTCAAATTATCAATTTTTTTCATGAATCATGCTTTTGGTTGTTTCATTTTTAAATTGCACTTCCATAGCCTATAATCATCACCCTGTTTAATATTTTACTTATTTGTCTCATCTCAAAATGTAATATTCTTATTAGCAGATAATGTATGTTTTCTTTATTTCATATTCTCAGCACCCAAAATAGTGCCTGTGCATAGAACTCAAAAAATATTTGTAGAAGTAATCAATGCACATGGATATCAGTATCAGTGTCATATTATACAAGTATGGATAATACTTCAAATGACAAACAGGATGACTTTGAGAGACTATATACAAAGTTTCTTACAAATGGAGTGGCAAACAATAAACCATTGCTATTGTTGCTGTTATTTTTGCTGAAAGAATATAGCATTTTCAAAAGCCAAGGGTTCCAGAAAGAGAGGTCAGGTGAAAGAATAATATGCCATTATCTTCCAATGTCTTGCAATAAAAGCCACACAAAGGGCTCTGTGCTGACCTGAAGTACTCCTGGGCCCTCAGCTAATGCAAACTTTGGCATACAAATATATTTTATTTAACAAAATATGCAACAGATGAACCTATTGCAAATGTTAAAATTTGCATTAAGATGAATCCTAAGGGTATATGACATTTTCACGTGTATGCATTTTTCATCATATTTTCACATGGAACTTCTTTTTGTCTTTTTGTCATTGTATGCATCTCTAGGTTTTTTGGTATTTTTTAAACTTCTGATGTTAAACCTTCTGAGAATTGATTTCATTCCTAGATAGCATACTTTTCCATGGCAAAGAGACCTAACTAATTAAAATGATGTTGATAACGATGTATTAAACTTAGGCTATTAGTGATTCTCAAACTTTAGAAGCATAAGATTTACTTGGGGTGCTATCTAGTAATAAAATTTACAGGGTCACCCCAGACATACTGAATCTGGAGTTATGGCTAGACTTATCAAGATGAATTTTCATGGACTCCTCCCATACCCACGCAGGGAATTCTGAACCAGATGGTCTGTGAACTTCACTCTGAGAAACACTTGTAAAATGAAGTTTCTATAAGGAAGGGGAGGAGAAGCCACTGGAAGGACAGTGAGTGGCAGTGTATGGCCATAGTGGAGCACCATCAGATCTCTAGCTCAGCTGCACTCATAGACTCAAGAACGACATCCTCCATTCCAACTTCAAGGTCTGCCCTTGCTGGATCTAGCACACATGCACTTTATTACATTACTCAAACTGTATCATTTGCTCTTGCTTTGTCACTTAGGCTGAAATGCAGTGGCTCTATCATAGCTCAATGTAGCCTCAAACTCCTAGGCTCAAGCTATCCTCCTGCCTCAGTCTCTAGAGTAGCTGAGACCACAGGTGTGCACCACCATGCCCAGCTCATTATTTTATTTTATTTTTTGTAGAGATGGGGGTCTTGCTATCTTGCCCAGGCTGGTTTGAACTACTAACCTCAAGCAATCCTCCCACCTTAGCATCCCAAAGCACTGGGATTACAGGTATGAGCCACTGTACCCGGCTGTGAATAGTATCATTTTAAAAAGTAATGGATCTACACTCAGCAGAGTCCAGGCTCAATGAAGTGAGATCCGTAGAGGGAAGATACATGAGTTATCTTCCCTTCTCTTACCTAGGATTTGCCTCTTGTATCCCCATTTTCTGTCCTAGAATACTCTTCTTTCCCCAAAGGTATCCTCCTTCAGTGGAAACATCCCCTCCGCTCCCCATACAGGAGTGAAATCTTACCCTAAGACCAGCAAGAACCCATACTAGAACATGGTAACTAAGGTACCATCCATACAGAGGCAGTCAGGCAGCAGTGAAGAGTCAGCGCACAGCACAGAAAGGAAGCCCAATATCCTAGGAGACTCAAGTATTCAGGGTATAAGGAGTAGAGGCATAAAGCCAGGGATACTTGAGAAAAGGACACACAGAGGAGTAACAGAATCCTGCCCACCTCCCGCAACTCTTGTTTTTAGAGAGGCTGACCCCTGCGGAAAGTGCTGCAGGAGCGAGAAGAACATGCCCACCATCCCCACACTGTGCTGCTTTATGTATTTATAGGGCAAATGAAGGAGGAGGGACAGAGCTGTGTGACAGAGGGAGCTTCCTGGTCAGGGAAGTAGTCTCTGACCAGCTCTCAGCCTAGGAGTTCACACAGCTGGCATCAACTGAAGTTTCTGTTGGGTCCTCTCATTCCACTAACACCTCACCACCAAAGAGGGTGAGAAGCAGGGAGGCACCAGGTCATTAGGAGGCAAGGGCTTATGACCTCTCAGATATGTGAAGGAGAACTTTCTGTCATGCTCTGTCATGTTTTCTCAGTCTTGCTCTCTGTCTTAGCCCATTGGTCATCATTTACTTAATAAATGTCGATTGAATAAAAATGAAATAGTGAGGCCAGGCACAGTGGCTGAGGCCTGTAATCACAGCTCTTTGGGAGGCCTAGGTGGGCAGATCACAAGATCAGGAGTTCGAGACCAGCTTGGCCAACATGGTGAAACCCTGTCTCTACTAGAAATACAAAAATTAGCCAGGCATGGTAGCACACTCCTGTAATCCCAGCTACTTGGGAGGCTGAGGCAGGAGAATAGCTTGAACTCAGGAGGTGGAGGTTGCAGTGAGCCAAGATGACGCCGCTGCACTCCAACCTGGGTGACAGAGCAAGACTCCATCTCAAAAAAAAAAAAAAAAAAAGAGAGAAAAAGAAAAGAAAATAGTGGAACTTGTTGATATCACCATATCACTTCACATTTGAGGTTATGTCATAACAAAGAAAATACTGCATGAGCAGTGAATGGCTTGGCCATCACTTTCATTTAGGAAATGGTCCCATGAAGAAGCTTCTTCTTTCATCTGCACCTCCTTGTCACTCTGCTCCATAAGATTCCCCTTAGTTTTGAGTTAGGACCATGTACATCTCATCTACACGCTGGCCAAATACACCTTGGTGGCATGGTCATATCTTAGCTGTTTGGATTTGTCATTGCTCAGACAGACAGTGGGCAATGTGAAAATGCTGTTGTCGAACGAAGGCAGGAAACATAAGCAACTGCTCCATGGCTTAAGAGAATGTGGAGATATAATAACGGGGTGACAGAGGAGGTGTTTTAAGGATTCTCTATAAGTCCTATGGCATACAACCAATGCTGTGTTACACCATTAAATGGATTTGCCTATTGAGAAAATTTGAGAAAGGATGCCTATCATTCAAAGCACAGCTTTCAAATCTATTTCAAATTGAATAAGATTACTGACTACCGTATGTGAACACCCCATTTTTAACAGATGCAGTTACATACCATATAAATGAATTAAATAAAAAATTCTTAGGCAAATTATGCCTCATAAAAATTGGCCTTTTCAGCAGCATCCATGAAAGGAGTAATCGTCAGCTGTATTCAGTAAATTAAATCCCTTAAAAATGTACGGGAGATCCACACAGATGGCAGTAACAGACAAAAAATAGAAAAACATCTCCAATAGTGGTCAAGTATCAGCTATCCATGGTCCATTAAAAACACCTCTGTCTTTGTTCAAAATAATCGAGATCATTTCATCTAATCTGCTTTTGCTCTTACTTTTTCCACAAAACATTTTTGGGATTATCTCTCCTCCCTACCTGCTTTCTAGATAAAGAAATTTCCTCTCTGCATCACTTCATGCAACCCTGAACTGTCTTTCTTTGTATTATAATTATGGCTCCTTCTCTTCATATATACCCTGATACTTCTTTTTTGGGCTGGAAACAATAAGCAAGCAGGCAAACAGTTGTAATTTTGTGCTTGCCTTTAATGTCTCCCCATTGCTCCTCTCCATTTCTCTCCTTCCATTCTGTGACGATCTTCTAATGCATGCCTGAAGTGCTCACTATGTGCAGACATTGTGTCAGGCTCCAGAGATACACAAAATAATAACAAAGGGGCCCTTAGTTGAGTACCAGACTATGAGAGGCAAAAAGAAATACCTTCAATATGTATTGCAATGATAACCAAAAGAGAGTCTAGTTAGCATTCCTACCTACATCAATTATTTCAACATCTTTTCTGTTCCTTCAGGATGGATTCTTTCTTTTCATTTAGCTATTGCCCTTGTGGCTTCCTGAAAATGCACTTTTGAATATAATTAATGACACCTGTCTAGCTAAATCCAAAGCATTTTCTCATTATTCATTCTCCACAATCTCTGAACACTCTGATATGACTACAACAACATTCTAGAGTCTAGAGTGATCACTATCTCCTTTAAGAAACATCCTATTCCCTTGGATTTTAGGATTCTTTGTTCGCTGGATATTTTTCAGGGGATTGCTTTCCCTAATTTAGTTCTACTTCATTTTCTAATACTAGTTTGTTCTTTCTTCCAAAACTATACCTTCATCCCTCTGTTCTCCTCTCTCTATTGGCAAGTACTTCCAAATTTCTCTATTTCACCATGGCATTGTCCTTCTGCCAGGTGGTCCTCCCCATTCATCTATGTTTAAAATCAAACCCGTACACTCTCCCCTGCCCCTGTCACTCCTAAAGACTTCCCAATTAATTAGCCTAGGGCCAAAAATGTAGAACAAATTTTGGCTCTTATCTCCCCTTCAGTAAGTTGAAAAAGATTTTATTCTTTTTTTGTAATGCCTGCAACTTTTAGCTTCTTTCTGTTCCCATTACCACCTCCTCAATCCTGGACCCTCAAAGTAGTACTATATTTTGTTTCATTTCCCTTGATATTATGATCACACCTAACCAATCTGTCTGGGTCCAGTTTTTCTCTAATTTAGTCAGGTTTTCATGAAGTTGCCATATTAATCTTTCTAAAATATCATTTAAGTGAGTAGAAGCCAGCCAGGTAGATAGCTTCTGTCCTCCTTCCCTCTCTCCCTTCCTTTCATCATGTTGTCTATACTTTTCCCTATCTGGATCTGTTCTATCATCTTATCATATTTCCTTCTTTCTTTCTTTTTTTTTTTTTTTTTTTTTTGAGATGGAGTCTCTCCATCACCCAGGCTGGAGTACAGTGGCACAATCTTGCCTCACTGCAACCTCCGCCTCCCAGGTTCAAGTGATTCTACTGCCTCAGCCTCCCGCCTATCTGGAGCTACAGGCATGAGCCACCACACCCTGCTAATTATTTTGAATTTTTAGTAGAGACGGGGTTTCACTATGTTGGTCAGGCTAGTCTCAAACTCCAGACCTCAAATGATCTGCCTGCCTCGGCCTCCCAAAGTGCTGGGATTACAGGCATGTGCCACCCTGCCCAGCCATCTTATATTTCTAACTGTACCTGAATATGAAACATTTCATCAAATCAGGGCTTCTTTATCCAACCTCCAATTATTAGTGCCATTCTTTTTTATGCCTTTGAAAATTAGATACAGCCTGAAATTCTTATCCCACCAATCTTAAACCTGCAATTCTTGTCCCACTGGTCTTCGAAAATTTTTAATCAATGATCACATTAAATATTACCTCCTTCTTGTTAATTTCAGCTATGTATCTTTTTTTCCACAACTCCTGAAATATTTAACTGCCCTATACATTTGACTGCCCAGTATATACTTAACACATATTCCTGTGTACCTGCAGAATGTCAGGCTGGGTAACACATCATTTAGCATAGGATATATCTATCCATAATATTTTAATATAGAATATCAAGTTGTTTCTCCTAGGTAAGTCTTATCTACCTCTTTTTTTTTTTTTGAGACAGAGTCTCACTCTGTCATCCAGGCTGGAGTGCAGTGGCAAGATCTTGGTTCACTGCAACCTCCACCTCCTGGGTTCAAGTGATTCTCCTGCCTCAGCCTCCCCAAGTAGCTGGGACTACAGGTGCCTGCCACAACCCCTGGTTGTGGTTCTTCTGCCCAGCCTGCTGCCACCAGACTTCTCTTTCACTGTGTTAGCCAGGATGGTCTTAATCTCCTAACCTCGTGATCTGCCCGCCTTGGCCTCCCAAAGTGCTGGGATTATAGGCGCAAGTCGCCACGCCCGGCCCTTACCTACCTACTTCTAAGTAAACAATAAGCTCATAAACCTTGTATAATGACTGCCTGTTATCAGCTGCCAAATGTGAAACACTAAATAACTACCATGGATTGATAAGTAATCTAAGCAGGGCTGATAAGCAAGAAAGGGATTAGTCCACTTCTTCTCAAATTGGCTGTAAAATGAAATCACCTGAGGAGCTATAAACATCTTGAAGCCTGGGTCCAACTGCAGAGATTCTGATTTAATTGAAGAGGGGTGAGGCCTGGACATAAAGATTTCAAGATCTTCCCAGGTGATTCTAGTATTCACTAAAGTTTGAGAACCCCTCAATTAGTGCATAGTCAAAAAAAAGTTTTCAGTCTAGAAAAATCTTCGTGGTAAACACTGAAAACGTTCTGGAATTCCCCGATTTAAGCTTTCCTTGGTCCAGAGCTTCAATATGAAGAAATGATTGGAATAACTCCTTTGCATTCCTTGTTTTCAAGAAGCTTTTCTGTGAATGGTTCACCAGCTGCACATCTATCCACTCATAGTTTGCGGACACCACGTGCAACTACCACCAACTGTAAGCCATACCGAGCTACTCAATCTTCTTCATGAAGACTATTAGATGCTGATTCAGCTCTCTAGCATCCTGCTTGGAAAGGCCGGGACTTGCTCACTAATCAAAAGGTAGTACACATTGCTATAGGTAGTACACATTGATTTAATAAATTATAATTAATAAATCTACTCTGACATCTATAGAACATTTAGCGTTTTTTTAATCCCCTGTGACTTCATTTAGTAAAACAATTCATTTAGGTAGACACAATAATTGTATTTGTAAAATGGAGAAACTGAAGCTAAAAGTGGTTAAGTGACTTAGCTTTTCAGCTAGTTATTTGTAAAAGTTAGATTAGAAGTTGGATATCTTAGCCAAACTGCCAATGCTTTCCTGATTTCACAAGACTCCTTCCTGAATATCACCTACCATGTGCTTAGAGGACCATGCCGAGTGCCTCAGGAGAAGAAAGAAATACATAAATCTCATTGTTCCTATTCTGATACGGTTTAAACTTACATTAGGAAGATAATATGCATATATCACATGACTTTAGTCATAAGTGAACAGATAGGAAGGGAGAAACACACACACCAAACTAGATATCCTATCTTTCCCAAAGTCTAAAACATCAGAGTTCTAAGTTTTGAATACAATATCTCTTTTAGGCAATTTATTTTTGTTACTTCTTTTAAATATAAATGCTATCATAAGCCTACTGTATATAAACACACCTGAGAGCAAAAACTTACGCATACTCCGAGAATGACCCCATACGGCAGATGCATCTGAATGTGTCTGCTGAGCTAGGGAATCTGGGAGTGGCCCACCTAGAGATTCATTCCTTGTCTATGAGTAACATCTGAGCCCCCAGCCCAGCCCATGGAACATGGGGTGTAGAGGGGATGGAGGCACCGTTTTGGGTTGAATGAAGGTTGCCAGGTGAAAGTTGTTAGGTAAATGGTGATACGTGAAAGTACTATATGAACTGCATGCCTTTCACAAATGGTTATGGTTCTTCTGCCAGCCTGCTGCCACTAGACTTCTCCCCCGTAGGTAAGCCCCCCAGTAAAACTCCATGTCTCATTTGCTGGCTCTGGGTCTCTTCTTTGGCCCCGTGATCCTGGCGTCATCCCCATCAGAGTCCATAGGGGTTCAGCACAACACCTACTCCAGTATTTTTTTACAGATATAGGGAAATCTTCTACTGGAATATTCTAGAGTAAAAATATAGTCACCACTCATACTGAAAACTTTTAGAGATCTGGCATGCAGCCAGGTTTAAAAGATATATATATATATATTTAATGATAAAGAAATTCAAATAACACTGTTTAGCCATATGAAATACAATAACATAGTTAAATAGATAATTCTATAATCTTGACAGATGGGGTAATTATAATGAATGTTGTGAAACTTCAAAAGAAAAACAAAACAGTTCTATATTAAAAATCTGAAAATGGACATGTACAATATGAAAACTGGCATTTACTTATGCTGAAAACAAAAAGTGACAATACTTTTTAATAAAAACAAAAACAATGCAATAGTAAAACTAACAGATTTCATTCCCACAACATATCATTTAATAAATAAGTCATGTATGGATGCTGGAGGTAGTTTAAAAGAGGTTATTGTTTTCTAAATGTCAGTGTGTCCATAATTTCTGAATATCATCTTGCATATTGGAAAACAGATTTCTATGATAGAAGGAAAGATACTGTGTTTTAAAGTTTCCATTAACTAAATATCTTGCCCCATTCCATATTCCTTCCCCACAAGCTCTTTTCTCTCTACCTCTCTCTCTGAAAATCAATGCAGGCTCTCATTGGTAAATAAAATTTGGGTAATGGGCAAACAGGAAAATCAGCTAAAGCCAGATAAGCTAAGGGGATTACATAATGACGAGCTGTGCTAGAGAATGGAAAGAATGGAGATAAGAGCTTCTGGGCATCAAATTCAAACAAGAGACTGAGGACCTTGCTGTCAGTGAGGAGGTGCACCACTCACACCTGAGAGGCATGTGCAGTGTATGGAAAAGATTGCAGAATGAAAAATAACAAAGCAAATTTTAAATGCTTTTACCCATTTTTTGGGTTATTTTGCATACTATAGTAATGCTTCTTTGAATTTGACACTGTTCAAGAGAAGGAGCACGTGGCATTTGAGTTTTATACAGGTTACACGTAGACAACATTTCTGATATAGAATTGTTTTGTAAGAAGAAATCGATAATATAAAAAGAAAACTTGAAATATCCCCTAGAAGTTCAACCATTGTTAGCTGTGTTAAATTAGCATCTGTAGAAATTTGTTACTCCAATACTCCTAGGATAGTCTGGCCAAGAACTGTGTTGTTTATTGTATTATATCCACGAGAACACAATTTCATGTAAGCTTCAAGAAAATGAAAACGTTAGTTTCTACAGAATGTGTGAAAACTAACTTGTAATGACAAAAGAATTCTTAAGAGGTTTTGGAGAAACTAAAGGGAAAAATTTATTATCATAGAAGACAAATGTTTTAAAAGGAGGCCCGGGGCCAATCAAACCACTCTCTACTATGAATACCTTTGCTATCTTCAGTGCAAAGATGGTTTCATGGATGTATACATTTGTCAAAATTTATCATATTGTAAATTTTAAGTGCATACAGTTTATTATATGGCAGTCAACCTAAAAAACCCACAACAAAAGAAAAAAATAAAACAACTATCCAGGCTATAGATGCATGAAAACAAACAAGCGTCCATCTGCAATTCAGAAGGAATATCAGTTTTCGAATGCACCTGAAAACTTAGATTTGGCACTGCCAAAACACATACACAAATATACTCTTCACAATAGATAAAATGTGGCACATTTAACGTTGCAAATTAAAGTAATAATTTAAGTTAGTATAATAGAGATGAAATTAATTTTTAGGAGGAAGGAGAGGATGAGGAAGAACAGGGCAGAAGGGGAACAGTATTTGTTAGTGTGGAAGGAGGGTTGGTGTTTCCAGGTACTAAATATCCAGCTGTGAATTGATACAGTGGTAGGTTTGCAAGAAGAATTGGAAGAGACCATTCATTCACCTCTTAATTCAATAATTCAACAAATATTTAATGAGTACTAAGCATTGAAAATCAATGATTAGCAAAAGAGACATGGTCTGGTCTCTGCCTTTATTAATTTATAGTATGGCATGAAAGACAGTCACCTCACAAATACTTAATTATCCTGTGAAAAGTAACAAGGAAAGAACCCATTAAAAAGTATGACAGGAGTTTCAGATAAAGTTTCCCTGAGAAGGTATTCCTTGAGCTGGGAAGTGTAGAAATGTGTGAAAGAGGCAGCATATATAAAGGCCCTGGGGCATGAAAACATAGTGCTTTTAAATAACTAAGACAGGAAGTGGTCCATTAAACAGATATATAGGAGGTAAGATCTAGGAAACTTTACAATAGACTATATTTGGAAGGAAAGGGAAGTAACAAGAATGGCACTAAGATTTATGCAACGTGCAACTCAATAGACATGCATTGCATTCTTCAAGGCAGAAAATGCAGGAGAGAGACCAAGCTTGGGAGTAGGTGTCTGTTCTGATTTCATGGTCCTTAGAACTTTCAACTACAATGCTGCATAGGACTACACCAAAATTTAAAAATTCTCTGTGTCAAAGGTCACAATAGAGTGAAAAGGCAACCTACAGAATGGGAGAAAATATTTGCCAATCACTGTCTGATAAGATGCTAATATCCAGACTATATAAAGAACTCCTATAACTTAACAACAGCAACAAAACCAAACAACTTGATTCAGAAATGGGCAAAAGACTGGAAATATTTCTCCGAAAAAAATAGTCAAATGCCTAGGAAGCATATAAAAAGTTCTTCGACATAAGTAATCATTAGGAAAATATAAATCAAATCTACAATGAGATATCACCTCACAACAATTATGATGATACAATTCACAAAATAAAACAAGTGTTGGTGAGGATTTGGAGAAACTGGAACCGCTGTGCACCATTAGTAGGAGTGCACTACTATGGAAATGGTGCAGCCACTATGGAAAACAGCATGCAGGCTCTGAAAAATTAAAAATATAATTATCATATGATCCAGTAATACCACCTCTGAGTCTATATCCAAAAGAACTGAAAGCAGGGCATTAAAGAGATATCTTTACCTCTATGTTCATAGCAGCATTATTCCCAGGAGCCAAAAAGTGGAAGCAACCCAAACATCCGTGAATGGATGAATGTATAAACAAAATGTGGTATATACATACGATGGAATTCTGAAACATGCCACAACATGTATGAACCTTGAAGACATTATGCTAAGTGAAATAAGCCAGTCAAAAAAAGACTAATATGTATGATTCCACTTATATGAGGTATTTAGAGCAGTCAAATTCATAGAAAAAGAAAGTAGAATGGTGATTGCCAGAGGCTTCAGGGAGGAGGATATGGGAAATAGTTTAATGGGTATAGAGTTTCAGTTTGCAAGATGAAACAGTTATGGAGATTGCTTGCTCAACGATATGAATATCGTTAACAGTATTGAACTGTACACTTACAAGTAGTTAAGACTTTTTTCTTTTTATTTTATTTTTTTTTTTTAAGAGATGGAGTCTCACTCTGTCACCCAGGCTGGAGTGCAGCGGCGCGATCTTGGCTCACTGCAACCTCCGCCTCCCGGGTTCTAGCAATTCTCCTGTCTCAGCCCCCTGAGTGGCTGGGACTACAGGCGCACGCTGCCATGCCCGGCTAATTTTTTGTATTTTAGTAGAGACAGGGTTTCACCGTGTTGCCCAGGCTGGTCTTGAACTCCTGAGCTCAGGCAATCCACCCGCCTTGGCCTCTCAAAGTGCTAGGAATACAGGTGTGAGCCACCGCACCCGGCCGTAGTTAGAACTTTATGTTGTATATTTTATACAGATCAAAATTTTAAAATGCTAAATCAACAGTATTATAGCTAGCTAGCTAGAGAGGTAGCTGATTTATTAATGAGTGGCTAGCTTGCTACATTTGTGAGGAAATCTATGAACTGAAAACATGAATTTGAGACTTGCAGAAAAATAAGAATAATTCTCTTATAATACTTTACATTCTTCTCCCCCTTCATCCATAGAAACCTGATTTTACATTGACTCTATAAACGTTAGGTCTTCCCATCCCATTCTCCCTAAAGCCTGAGTTTGACACAAAGTCTGTTTACATTGACCAAGAAGAAACATCTTGAAGATTTGACGTAACAGCAGACATGGAGTGTTTGTAGCTGTACCATACTGCAACAATGAAAATATCTCTATGTACCACATCCAGCAAACATTAAAAATGACAAGTGTAGATAGAAAGGAAAAAAACGTAAGACTTCTTCTTTGAGTAAATATCCATTGATTCTAAAGAAAAAGCCATTGTTTGCACATCAGTATAGATCCGCCTTGAACAATAATATCATTCTGCCTACCTTGTTTGCGCACATCCTCTACAGCAGCCACCAACTCTTCTTTGAGATCTTGACTCTCCTTAGCGATCTGTTCACCCTTTTCCAGGAAATTCTGAGTGGCTTGCTCTACAGAGGCAGCTAGTACATGGGCTTTCTTTGACCTCCCTTTCTTTTTACCAGATGGGCCTTTGTTGCTTGTGTTGACAAGTGTAGTCACCTTAAATATAAAAGAGAAACTGTAAAACTTCTTTGCAAAACTGTCTAGAAATGTCATGTTATCTCATAATTTCTAAATCTCCGTGTTTATTAAATCATGGGATTTCAATACTAAATCATGAATGCACATCACTTAGCCTCCTCACATAACCTTATCAAGGAAAGTGTGAAATTATGTGGATTATCATACAAATAAATGGTTATCATTTATTTCCTGTGGAAAAACAAAAGCACATGAATAACCAGAAATAGCATACTTGCCAGTGGGTCAAAGCTTCAAGTTCACTCACTTTTACAGACTGACAGGTACAGTGCTCCTTGGAGTACCCAGCCTCAGGGTGGCAAGGAAGCAAAGCAAATATGGAAGTACCTCTGAGTATTGAGCTAGGAGAACCAACATCCAGTGCTGAGCCCTGTAAGTCAGGGCAGAGATGAATGAGCAATTAATAAATAATGAGTAGCCAACACCCGGTACTTATGTGTTATTTTCCAAGGACTTTCGAAGACCTTTGCTATTTAGAATTTTATCTTATACAAATAAAATGGTAAATTTCTGCCAGGCGTGGTGGCTCACACCTGTAATCCCAACACTTTGGGAGGCTGAGGCAGGCAGATCGCCTGAGGTCAGGAGTTCGAGACCAGCCTGGCCAACATGGTGAAACCTCATCTATACTAAAAATACAAAAATTAGCTGGGCCTGGTGGCAGGTGCCTACAATCGCAGCTACTTGGGAGGCTGAGGCAGGAGAATCGCTTGAACTCGGGAGGCAGAGGTTGCAGTTAATCTAGATCGTGCCATTGTACTCTAGCCTGGGTGACAAGAGCAAGACTTCGTCTCAAAAAAAAAAAAAATAAATAAAATAAATAAAATGGAAAATTTTATGTGAGGGAAATAAATGATTCAGACTCAATGTTTAGTTAACCAGCTAAAGTTTCTAGAATCATAATAAGATTTGAATCTATTATTACTCTTTTTCTAAGTATCATAATTTGGACACCTATCTCAACTGCCAAACTTCTTTTAACACTATATCTAGAGGTATTTAATTTGCTAAAAAGGCTATTAATATCTTTTGAGCAACATGTTATCTCCTATAAACTTCTGAACCTTTATTTTCTACCAGTGAGAAGTTTGGAGGGGAAATGAATGCAACTGTTCCATATTCTGTTCAACAAAAGTTGCCAGTCATGTTTACTGCTGTATTTTTTTTTTATCGGCTTCACAAGAATGTAGGTTCTGTGGTTTATTTTCGTTGATATTTATCCTGGTTAGCAGACTAAAGATGTTATTGGAGGTTATTAAGAAAGCCAGTCTACAAAAAAGTTCCAAATGCAGTTAGCTTCTGAGGTTTACTCCAAATCCCAGAGCAATCAAAGCGATGACTCAAAGTCACAATTAATATCCGGTCAGTTTATAGAGAAAGAGATAACACTGAAAGAAAAAAAGGATTGAATAAATGTAAACTAAGATGATGTGTATAGATAGAACCAATACTTAAGAGGTGATTAGTGCAGGGTTGGGAGCTGTTTTATTCGGCTCTCTTTTGATTGCTAAATAATTAGGTAGAGTGAATTTAAGAAAGATTCTATAAGGCCATTTAAGTACAAACACTAGCCAAAAAAATGGCAAAATCATTAACTATAAGAATATCAGATAATAGTGGTTTAGCTGTAAAATGTGTATGCGATGAGGAACACGTTGTAATCTTTTCAGTGCCACCCATGTGAGGCAACCATTAAAAAAAGAAAGACAGCTTGTCACAAAGATTGCTTTTCTGAGGTGCAGAAGCATTCTCCTTAATGAGGATTTACTCTAACACATGAACATGTTACTCTTCCAAGAACCTCAACTCCCCAGAACAGCCAATACCTGGAAACAAGCACATAAGTCCCCTAAGCAAACACAGCAACCATCTCTACCATCTGCATTTAGGCCAGGCTCCTTTTATCAGAGGAAAATACTCCCTATTCTCACTGAGATGTGATTTATTTTCACTTTATGCATAATTCTAAGATGTTTCATAATCTATTTTTTTTTAGACTTCACAAATTAAAAAAAAATAGGGTGGAGAGGAGCTATTAATTTTAGATAAATTGACATTTCAAAGGAGTAGAAGCTGGTAGTGACTACCAAAATTGCTACACGACTATAATGTGGGTTCATTTTCTGGAGGGGCCGACACATTTCTAGCCTTCTGTATGTCATGGTGCATTACTGCATTAGGCACAGTTTTGGTGATGCAAATAATAGCAAGCCAGTAGAAAATGTCAGTTTTGTGGGGGGGAAGAAAAACATGGAACATTACCAGGAAGTTCCTAAGAAAAATGTGATTACTTTCAGAAGAAGCAAATCAATCCTCATTTAGTAAAAGCTCTCATGTACTCATGGGTGGAAGAGCACAAAGGGAAGAAAGGGAAAAGAGACAAATGGAAAGAAAGGGATGGGCTTCCATAAAGGCTCATGTCATAATCAGCTCGGAATAAACAATTGTCAATGCTTTTCACTGCTATTCAGTGTTTTATTGGAGGACAAACTATTAAATTAGATAAGAAAAATAAAGAAGATATATAAGTATTAGAAAAGTAAACATTAAATTACATCTTATAGAGAATATGATTCTTAAGAAAATAAAAAAGAATTGAAAGACAAACAAGTCCAACTACTACAAGAGTGAAGAGCAAGGTGGCTAAATACAACATAAACAATAAAAACCTAAAGGAAGAGCAGTAACAAAGGAGAAATGTGGTTTTAAATATGCCATTCACAATCAGCATACATTTATATGATCAGAAATAACCATAACATACCATGTAGAATGTTTCATGGGGGAAAATGATAACATTTTAGTGAAGAACATAAAAGAAGACCTACATAATAGAGAGACATCCCGCATTCTTGGATGGGAAGACTCAAGATTGAAAAGATGTCATTTCTGCCCAGTTTATTCTACAATTAGCATTCGAGATATTTACACAGTAAATAAGCAAGAAAGTCTCTCACTCGGATCAGTTCTCTTTTTACTGTAAACTTAAAATATCCTCTCATTCAGTTCGGTTCTCTTTTTACCATAAACTTAATAAACTTTTCAGTAAATTAGAGACAGATTATTTAAGATTAGCATATGCAGGACTCTTGCTGCCCACTTCTGGCCAATATATCAAATGTTTAAATGGAAGCAGCAAAAGTAGTTTAGCTCCATTAGTAGGTGAAAAAGTTGGGTCTATCTTTTTAAACTAACCACTCTTGGGAATTCTCAGCCTAGCCCTTGCTATGCAAATTCACTGATTTATTCCCACTCCTTCCCCTGAGTTGCCGTGCCCGTTCTCTTGCCACCCTATGACAATGCATGCCACTCCACACTACTGCACATTTTCCTTTTCTCCCACCTGAAGTGTCATTTTTTCCCATCATGTTACAGGCTTTTATTCTTCTTGAGCTATGCCTATATTTACACCTAAAATTCTGAAAGTTCATATTCATCTACTTCAGTTCTATCTTGTTATTTCACGGGTAGGGAAACCCAGCTTAGAGAAGTTACCATACGTTAAAAAAAAAAACTTCTTCAAATTCACATGACTCGAGAGAGACAAAAGGCTGAATTGTTGTTGTGCTCTATGCTGTATCTTTGGAACCTGAGAACTCACCAGTCTCCTCTTGCTTTTCTTTCTAACAATGAGAGGCTGCTAAACGACAAAATAATCTTAAAATGTATTTATTCTCTACATTTGTCTCACTACATTTTTTGTGTCCTATTGGTTGTCTTTTCATTCAAAGGCATTATTTATATATATGAATATATGTTTATAAATGTTAGTGAAATGTTAACCAACTATTTTATCCTATCTTCCTGCAATGCCCTGTAATATCTGATGTATTCAAGAGTCTCAGTCTAGAAAATGCATATTAGGGCTTTTTGTGTCAGCTGAAAGCAAAAGAAGGACAAAAGTATTTCAAAAATCTTATAACTAACCAAATAGGAGATCTTAGGGTTCCTATGTAACAATGCTCTTCTATGGGTAAAGAATAATAAGAAAATTTGTTGCTTAAAAAAGAACAAGATCATGTCCTTTGCAGGATCATGGATGGAGCTAGAGGACATTATCCTTAGCAAACAAAATCGAATACTGCATGTTCTCACTTACAAGTGGGAGCTAAATGATTCAGACACATGGACACAAAGATGGGAACAACACACACTGGGGCCTATCAGAGGGTAGAGGTTGGGAGGAGGGAGAGAATCAGGAAAAATAATTAATAAGCATTAGGTTAAATACCTGGGTGACAAAATAATCTGTACCACAAACCCCCTTCACGCAAGTTTACCTATATAACAAACCTGCACATGTACCTCTGAACTTAAAATAAAAGTTAAATTAAAAAAAGAAATTTATTGCTCAGTCATGAAGAACCAAGATATACTAAAGATCAGTAATCAAAGATTTTTAGTGAAGAAAATGACTACCTTGTCCCATGGATCCACCTACTACCTCTCAAGTCAGTTAGTGAGTATCAGAATTATGAATTCTAATGAATAGTGCAGTCACCTTTTGCATAACTGGATGCCTTAGAGAAGTCAGAGCAGCAGGAACACATTTTGATCTAAAGGTGGGAGCCACAAGGTGGCCCAATTGCTGGAATTGCAGGTATCTGTGCGTAAGTTTGATATCCAGACTGACACTAGGTCTTGGTAGATGGTACTTATAGACTTTTTAAGTGTCTGATGCAGCTTGTTGGCAGTCTTGTAAGAAATGGCTTATTCTGGACTTCACCACTACACAATATATCCATGTAACAAAACTGCACTTGTACCCCCTAAATCTGTATTTTAAAAAAGGCAAATATCAGCATGCTTTCTTAAACATTCATCATAAGCTGTTTTCTTTCAGTGAATGAAAGAGCTTGACAGAGAAAAACTTTTGTAAACAGACATTGAGAATATGTTACTAGAACATGGGCCCTATGAGGACAAGTAGAGAAATCCAGAAATAAAAGGCAAATGTAAGCATACTTTCTTTAAGATACATCATAAGCTGTTTTCTTTCAGTGAATGGAAGAGTTTGACAGAGAAACCCCTTTGTAAGCAAACACTGAGAATATGTTATTAAAACATGTTTCTGTCTCAAAACAAATGTTTCATTCTATGGAAATCCTTGGTTGAATGTTAGGCCTCCCTCTGCCCCAACCAGGGATTCTCTCTAATTCCCACTCTCAACTTCCACTCAAGGCAAGGATCACTCAAGATCCACACATTCTTCTTTCCTATCCATTTGTAAAGCAGTAGGGGAAAAAATGGAAAAAAAAGAAAAAAAAAAAAAACAGCAAAGTCCCTGCAACAAAAACTGGTAGTAATAGCATGAATATTGACATATGTAAAGATGGAGCTGATGTTTTCCAAGGCAGTAAGGAAATCAGTCTTAATTGAGAATAAAGCTAACCTATAAATTATTTGGAAAGTAAGGTTAGATAGATGTAATGGAACAAAACTTTGCAAGGCTTTGAAAGCCAAGTTAAGAAATTCAGATTTCATTAGTCACTGCCAATTTTTTAAAAAAGAAAAGCATAGGTTCAAAATGTCCGTTTCTCTTTCCATTCATTTCTCAGCCCAGTGAAATTTGCTTTAATCCTCTCACCTCCTGTAGCAGAGTCCTCTTGTTAGTTAACAGGTTGCTAAAATCAAATCATTTTTATCTTATAATACCATTCTACCACATTTAGTGCCGTTGACTCAATTCCACTTCCTCCTGGAAATATCTCCTGGTTAATTTTCTTAGCAATAATCATTTCCTTCTCTAAACTCATACAGCTTTAAAAGGAACATACATTACCGTCCACCAAACTCACTTATTTCTGTACCCATCTTTATCTCTATCCCTCCTCCAACAGGAAAAGCCTGCTACTACCATCACCCCTTTAACTAATTTCCTAATCACATCCTCCAGAACTGTTGTATTAGCTGTGCCAGCTTCCTGCTAAATCTTCAACGTCCTCCTCTCTGCAGACTTCCTAACCACAACCTACAAGAATACTCAACTTTGCTCTAGCCCCACCCCAAATATTTCCTCAATCTCTCTGCCTCTCCTTAAAGAGAAGAAATTCCGCAGGTCACAGGTAAGAGTGTAAGTGTTCTAGGGTCCTTCGACCTTAATCTAATAATGGTCCCAGGAACACTGGCCAGTGGAAAACTCAGAAATAGCCAGATAATAGGCACCACTGTTTTCAGATATGTTAATGGTGTGATGTGAGTATAAAACTGAGACCCAGGCTTGTATAGACTGCTCATGACCTAAAGTCCTAAAAGTTGACCTACCACTCCTGCACAATGGCGGTAGTGCAGTGGCCAAGACCATTTCATTCATTTCTCTTTCTTGCGATATGTTGTATTTTAAGACAATTTGTCAACTTGACTGTGTCTCTTCTACTTGATCAGTACTCCACTTTTAGGCTGCAAAAGCTCAACAGGCATGAAATACTTCTTTCTCCAAAATAATAGGCAATAGGGCATCAAGGCACTTTGTCTTGGAAACTCCATTACACTGATTTTGAAATGTGAGAAGGACCTGAGACTTGTGACAGAGCAACTCTGTTGCTTCCTGAAACCAGCAACACTATAGTTTGTCTAAGCCTTACCTATGGGGCAGCCAGCTGAAAAACTTTAGCACACTGATACTCCAAGTGAGCTATGGAGAGCATCAGTGTTATATAGGCTTGTTAGAAATGTAGAATTTCAGGACCCATCCCAGACCTACTAATAGTTGATTCATATGCACATTAAAATATAAGAAACGCTAAAATTTGGCACAATTATTTTCCAACTATATCATCCCTAACATTCCCCTAGATTCCTGTAAGAAGGCAAATTTCTGGACCCTACCCACAGAGCTTCTGATCAGGTAAGTCTGGGCTTAGGCATTTTGCATTCGTTGCATACAATTAAGATTTGTATGGATAATAAACTTCACTTGCAGAAACATTTATCTAGGAGTCTAGCTGAAGCGAAAAAAAGTGAAAGACAAAGCAGTGACCTTTTTTTTTTTTTTTTGAGACGGAGTCTCACTCCGTTGCCCAGGCTGGAGAGTGGTGGCACAATCTTGGCGCACCGCAACCTCTATCTCCTGAGTTCAAGCTATTCTCCTGCCTCAGCCTCCCGAGTAGCTGGGATTACAGGCACCCGCCACCAAGCCCAGCTAATTTTTTGTATTTTTAGTAGAGACGGGGTTTCGCCATGTTGGCCAGGCTGGTCTCAAACTCCTGACCTCAGGTGATCCGCCTGCCTCTGCCTCCCAAAGAGCTGGGATTACTGGCATGAGCCACCGCACCCGGCAGCAGTGACTTTTAACAGGTAAACCCTTCCTCTCATTTTAGGTGCCATGATACATCATGATTCCTTACAAACAGCTTGGTGAATCAATTCACCGTCTTTTGGTGGGAAAGCATCTCCTCTATTATGGAGGCACGAGGAACTTGGGAAAGTGAGAGTATACATATATAAACATGGTGAAATTGTTGAGCTCTCCAGAAAAACACCAGTAAAGGAGAACCAAGATAATTTGGGCATTGTTTTGCTAGATGCCTAAAGACTTGTGCACTTTGCAGATACGAGTACTAAGCTTTTGGGAATTCTACTGTGTTGCTCTAAGGTAGTTCAATCTTCACGATTACTCAGCTAACACAAGAGAAGGCTTCAATTGCTGCCACAACCTAAAAGAATTAAAATTTAAAACAAGTAAAAATTAAAATAGAAATTCCAAAGCAAGACATTTTTGGGGTGAATGTTTGAAGACAAAATTACAAAAAACACTCTATTTATTCCAGCAGCAACTGAAGATAAATGAAAATTTCCTGAAAGAGGAAAACTAGTGTAACTAACTTGAAATATGAAGAAGCTAAGTCTTCAACTAGTAATATATTTGATAATACCAAGCTTCTAAGGAGAAATCTTCAGTCAGGTTTTAATGACCAGTTAAAAATTAACTGCCAAGTAATACATCAAAATGTTGTTTTTCTTAAATTATTCTTCCTTGAACCACCTGATTTATTCCTTTAGCAATGATAGAGTAAGTGCAAATATGGCTTGTGCCTTTTCCTCATAAAATATATAAAAAGATATACGCTTACCTTCTGGTATACTCTATTAGAAGTTATTTCCTAAAGCAGAATACTTGTGAGATTTAAAGATATATGTATGTTGTATGTTGTACACATCAGAGAGAAAGGCAGACCAACAAAGTTATACAAATTCTGACGCAAAGGGAGGTGACAATACAGACTTATTTCAGCTTCATTAAAAACTAAGATAAAACTTTCACAGAAACTACTACAATAGAAACTACTACAATAGGATCTCTTGTTGAAAGGATCATTTCTCTCAAGCACAACTTCACACCTTATTTTAGATTAAAAAAGAAGTAAATAATAAGAACCAAAGTTACTGATGCTTCCACAGTTTCAAAAGTCAGAAACAATGATCTTTTAATGATGCATTAAAAATTTATAGAGGAAAAAACCCCAGAGAATTAGTCTGTCTCTTTGTCTTTGAAATTTCCTCCCCGTTATCTGACAGTAACTGCATAGAATTCAGATGCATGCCCACTGATACTGAGACCTGGAAGACCAGCTTTCTGAAACCTTGAAGATATGGTTTTATGATTTAATTATCTAAGATAGGACTGAACTGGCACTAATTAATTACTGCTACAAAGAAAGCCTATAATTAACGTATTATACTTATTAATTATTGTAGACGTACCCTCAACTTTTAAGTAAGGCCATGAGGCAAGCCTTGTAACTCAGTTGCTGTGGTCTACATTTCCTGAAGAATATAATAGCAAGTAGAATTCAGAAATAACTCCCCAAATAAATATCTATGATTGGGTGAGATATTTTTATGGCCAATATGAATGGCCAGTCATACGTATATTAAAATTTTTCTAGGCTAAAGTTTCTGTGGCTTCAAGTTATGGAGTAGAGCATTTGGGAACTGGATCATCCTTTCATGTTGTCGGTGAGATGTGATTTGAACTCATTTCCTAGGAAGTGTTTCAGTAGTGTCTACGAGCCAAGACAAAGTACAGCAGCCTTTTCTTCATGCACCTGTTCTTCAGAAGAAACTCAATTTTCCCTAGAGAATATCAACTAATATTTTTTCCAGTCTCTATTAGGGCACGATGTTTCATATTTAAATAGCAGCACAGATAAGCTCCATTTTTGGTAACCTCCAGAGAGTATGGTGTAGATTACTGCCATCCAAAAGCTTACATGAGAGAAACATTTAGTTTGCTTAAGGATGTTCAGTCCATCTCTCTCTCACCACCTAGTACAAACCACCAACCACTCTACATTAAAGCAGATAAGCCAGGAGAGAAGAAGTATTATAATGGACACTGGTAAAAGTGTTTCTACTGACTTATTGTGATACCACTTACCTCAATGGGAGGACACTACTGCACAAAGTCATAGGATGCTCATTGTGTATTCTCTAAGGTTATTGATGAGATATTATTGTTGCTCACATTACATAAATTTTTGTTCATTACCAAGGAAATTGATACTTCCTCTTAGAAACTGGTTTGATTTTACTTTATGATTTTAAGCTGCATAATAAATTAAGATTTCCTTTTCCTTTTTGTACTGACTTCAAAACAGTTTCACCCAAATTTATGCTCCCTTCAGGAAGGCATATGACGTAATGATGATTATTACCAAATTAGTCTCAATCCTGGCTCTTATTTGTGCTACATTCATCTTGCTTTCTTAAAAGCATTTTCCCTTAAGATGTTTTAATCTTTCTGCACTTTATATATCCTTAAAGTTTCCTGAAACCTTTGCTGGAAGACAGTAGAATACTTTGTATTTCATTAATTCTAAGGTATACATTTTTACCACAGTTTAACATATACAAAATAAGAATGAGTCTTACAATTTATGTCATTTTAAAGATATATTTGATAGAACTTAATTTTTCTCTTAGAGTATCTAAAATATATATCTTACAGTTGATGGCATCTTTGATTTGATAAAACACAATAAACCAAGCAATGAAAAGAAACAAACTGGTTTAAAGGATCTATTGCCAACCTAGGTTATCCTAAAATCTATACAACTTTCAATGTCTACACTTACAGCCATTGAAAAGTGACACTAAAAATTAAGACACTAAAATAATGCCAGATATTCACTGAAGAAACAATTGCTTAGAACCAGGGATTTTAAATGGGTAAGAAGGCATTCCTCTTTTTCAAATTCCAAAATATTTTAAGGATCAGTGCCCATCTCAGGAAAGCTGTTTGGAATGTCCCTAGAAATTAAAAATTCAATTCCATTGATGAATCACTATTTTGCATTTACTAAGGTTAAAACAAAATGAAACAAAGTAAAGCTAGACTGTTCCAAGAAAGAGTAGAAACAAATCTGAAAGCACAATAGACACAAAATATTTTCCAATCAATAGTATGTTAGGCAAAGGATTCTGTTTACCCAAATTCCCATTATCCCAACATTCATCATCTTTTTATTGCACTCTTTGATTGACATGAACACGAGGTTTGACATTTTCTTTCTTTAAGGTTAGTGGACTCCAGCACAGGGTGCACATACTCTATAGGGAGTAGTCGATGGTGAGATGCAGGAAAAATATGAGGACTCTATATTGATTTTTGTCTAAAAATATAAAACAATGTATCCTGACTACTGTTTCATGTAAGGACTTACACTTGTACCACCACCCATCCCTATGTTAGATGGTCACATGTCACATGTGATAAATGGGGTATCTTGAGGGAAGGGTAAGTTCCCACAAATTCAGGAATTGCAGGGATGAACTTATACTTTAATGCGTGCCTGGTAAGTGGGTTTAAGTCTTAAATTTTCTAGTTTTCACACACACTTGCACACACACACACACCTATGCACAGAATGGAACAGGCTTTAAAAGACTATAAACTGGAGATTGAAGATAGTACTAAAAATACAAGCATAAGTAAACTATAAGAAAACACATAGCTGACACTGCCTTTATTCATAATACAAGCTCTTTGTCAACTAGTTATGAGGCTGAAAAAACATATAGTCTCATCAGAGCTGAGAAGTTAAAATATGTATTTACATCTATTATTGCTGACAGTGAATCTCATCCCAGTGTCCTTAAGATATTAGCTCATGATGGTATAAGCAATTATGACTTGCAAATCTTTAAAAAGAAAAAACACCAGCAAATGTAGCTATTTGAGATATATTTGTTGATTTTCATTCTTAGCAAAAAGCAAACTTATTATATTTGTAATTGTTAGTGGAGAAGACTGCTGGGTGCCACCAGCGAACCCGCTTCTTTTTCCTGTGGACACAATGTGAGACTATATTTTTCACTCTCGTTTGAAGTTGATGCGGTCAATTGACAAATTCTAGCCAATGAAATGTGAGCATCAGTGAGTGCTGTGTGTTCTTCTCAATCTGGCTCATTAAAATCAACCTCCATTTTGTTTTTTGTTTTTTGTTTTTTGTTTTCTCCCAACTGGCAAACATGGAAGCCAGGTGTTAAAGACGAAGAAGCCACAGGTAGAAAGGAGCCTAACTTCCTGAAGTTTCCCTTGGAGGAGAGTGACCTATGGATCAGAAAGACCCATTTAGATATTATGTAGTAAGAAGAAAACTTCTGTTAAGTCTCTGAGATTTTAAAGATACTCTATTACAGCAGCTAATATTAACTGTATCATCGTATACAGTTAACAAATAGAATGTTGTTTTTAAAAGTGTATGCCATTCTTTTAAATGTCTACTTTTATGTATATTGTATAATGTATGTAATACATTATTAGTTCAGGAATGTATGCTCATTTAGAAAAATAAATAACACATACATTCTCTATTTGTATGCATACAGAGACATATACAAACTTTTTGTTGTTTTACTGTTTTATGTTATTATGAAAATATTTCTATTATAACATTTGGCAGATAAAGCTTTGCATGCCAGTCTCGTGCTTTTTAGGTGGCTTTCACACACTTTTTTCTATGAATTGCTAGGAACAAATTCCCATTTTTTATATGAAAAAATTTTAAATCGTCAAGTCCTTGTTCTTATACAGTTCTAGAAATCCATTCTCTTCACTTTTCAATGACCTGGGAATAACTCAATTGCCACTTGTTGGCATCTCTCAGAGCAGAAAACAAACAACATGGAGACAAACATCACAAATCTGAAGTTTTTCACGTCAGATTTCAAACTTTTTCTTATGGTAAAAACCCAACTACTGACTCTAAAAAGAATTATTGAGAATGAAATTTCAAACAGTCAGTTAATGGCTTTAGTAAATTATGACACTAGTATAGACATTTTAAATAAGCTTACAAAAACAGGTAGATATAGTCGGTATGTATATAGTCCAATGTATTTATAAATTTTTTTTAATGTTACTTGAGGACTTTACAAGCTTTTACTCTTTTTAATGTCATTTTAGGAGAAAATGAGTGATTTCTGCTAACTGAGAAACTCTGTCTGAATATTTATTTTTGCTCTTAAAGAGACAAACTGCATTTGATGGTAAAAAAAAAAAACAAAAATAAAGTTGTAGAATAAATATTTTCCTGCCACTTTCTCAACTTGAGAGCACATTAAGGGCTATTGCCAAATGCTTTAAAGATATCTCAAATGTCTGATCATCTCCCTCAATACTTCCAGCCCAAATGAACCTCACGGACAACCAGCCAGATTTTCCACTCACTAAAATCCTTACCAAGCCTCCACTAGCAATGAATTTTCTATTTCTATCCACTCACACGCATCTCAATGTATCCTTTTCTTTTGGATGAAAATGATAAGCAAAACCCAACATGTAAGCGAACTCACATCTCTCTAGCACAAATAGTTCTGGTGGGTAGCCACAAGCTATCACATCTCCTTGTCTTTTATACCTGTATGGGTTTTGCAGAGGGATTATCAATCAGTTTTAATTCAGGATACAGAAAAACACATTAGTCAGTTTCAGAAGTCAGAAAAAGTTTTTCAGAAAACAGATATCAACCACATTTGGTAAAACTGTAGATGACTCGAGAGTACAGGGCTCCCTGAGACCACACTTCAATAAACAAGTCTAAATCATCAATGAAAAATCATCAAAATCATCGTTGAAACACAGGAGATTCAAGTACTTTATCACTATGCCCTGTCTATTCTTACTTCATTGGCTGAAGCTAGTATTTGTTCCTACTAAGTATAGCGGGTAAAGGCAACAATCAAAAGTAACACATTTTGAAACAAAGAAAATTTCTAGTAATGTAAACAAACAAACAAACCCATATTTTGATATGGGAAATTATAGCTTAAGTGACACTGACCTTAAAAAGTAACAGTGTTTGATATTAATTTCTTTATTCTTCTTTGATATTAGTTTCCTTGATATTAATTTCTTTTAAATTTCTTGAAAGAAACATCCAAGCAGGAAAGTATGGATATAAACCTCATTGCATCAAATAAAAATGATTTATTCATTTTTCTCATTTTTTTTGTAGTAACCACTAAATTTGTTTTTTATTTATTTATTTTTTGGTCTCCCTTTGTCTCTCTCTCTGTAGCATGAAAGGAATTCTAGCCTATATTTGTGTCCTGTGTATGTACGTATGTGAGTACACTCTACCTTGAGTTTCATGGTTTTGTCATATGACACATATTTTTAAAAATACTTTATCAAATCATGGTAACTATGATATGCTGAAAATGTGAATTTCAAGCTACTTTTAGAAATAATGAAAAGGAGCTTTAGATTCTTAATAAGCTCAAAAATTAATAGCTGGAATTAATACTAAAATGAAAAATATAAATAATCCATTAGCATTTCTTGGAATAAAACCAACAATACTAGTCTCCTATGAAGAAAATTATACTTGAAAGCCACAGGGAGATAAGTTTAACACAAGCCTACTAAGTTCTAAGAAAAAAAAATCTCTCCATTAGCATATATAAAAACAGTTTTTTCCAAAAATTAGAAGCAGAAAAATCTCAACAAAATCTCATCCTTCTATTGTTCATTAGTTTCTACTCTAGAATTAAAATAAACCATGATTAATAATGCCACCTTGCTCTTTGCTTAATAGAATGTTAAATACTAAGTGTTCTCCAGGTATGCTCAGCTCATTACACATATAGCACATGTTTGTGAGAACAAGGAAATAAAAGTATTATCCCTATTACTCAGATAAGAAAATCAAAGCTTTGAGCAATTTGCCTGCCAGAAGTCATAAAGCCTATCAAAGAATAATAATTCAGGTTTTAATTTGTCCGACACTTGTGGTTTATTACCCTAAGATAATGATCAGCACATATTTGTCTCATTTTACATATAATACAAATTTTTAAAACTAAAATCAATTGGTTTTATGGCAAGACAACTGATGTGGCTGCATAATTTTATTACAGTATGCAGGACATACTCCATTTTAAAAACATTCCCTTGTTTTTCAAAGAAACAATTACATCATACACTGACATTTTCTGATTTTGATGTGTAAGTGTACATTATTATTCTTCCATTAAATTACAAACTGCTGGTAAAATGCCAGTGACATGAAAAAAGGCCACACTGGTATTTTACTGTAGGGTCATCTTCATGGATAGAATAGCCAGCCTTCCACTTGAATGCACTGCCATATTGTCAAGCTGCATTCCTTAAGCATCACTTCTTAGAGGCCTCAAGCTTCTCGGGAATGTTTGATGACTTAAAGGGGAAATGAACAGGTTGCAATTATGCTTGTCAAGGTTCTTCTTGTGAACCTTTATTTGGACAATTCACACAAAAAAAGAAAGCAGCTCATTTTCTAATTCAGGATATTATTTCTTTTTAAAACTGGTATTAGCATTTCTGAAATTGCAGAATGGGCCCTGGATAATTAGTATGGAAGCATTCAATACTGCAGAGTGAAATGTCAGTGAGAGGAAGCAGCACGGGTCAGGGGACAGAAACAATACAGAATTTGGAACTTCCCATTTCTTACTTAGGTGCCAAATGATTGAATCTGAGACTCAGCTTCCCATTCTGAAAAGTGAAGACAATAATATACACCTTAAAGGGATGCTGTGAGGCTTAAGTAAGACAGTTTATTTAAGGAACTTAGCTCTGTAGCCAAAGGAATGCTTCAACAAATAATATTGAACATACAACCACAAGGGGAAAGGGTGCCGGACATGAGGTCAGAATAATTGAACTTGAGCCCCAGACCAGCCACTTATTCGCTGTATAAAATTGAGTTCAATTAATCTCTTTGGGCTTCATTTTTGTCAGCTATAAATTAAAAATTATCCTTAAGTTACTTCAAATTTCTACATTCTATGTGCTAATAAAATAAAATTCTTGACTCCTGGTTCATGATGGTAAGTTTTATATAGCATCACGCTACCTGACTTCAAACTATACTACAAGGCTACAGTAACCAAAACAGCATGGTACTGGTACCAAAACAGAGATATAGATCAATGGAACAGAACAGAGCCCTCAGAAAATAACGCCGCATATCTACAACTATCTGATCTTTGACAAACCTGAGAGAAACAAGCAATGGGGAAAGGATTCCCTATTTAATATATGGTGCTGGGAAAACTGGCTAGCCATATGGAGAAAGCTGAAACTGGATCCCTTCCTTACACCTTATACAAAAATTAATTCAAGATGGATTAAAGACTTAAGCATTAGACCTAAAACCACAAAAACCCTATAAGAAAACCTAGGCATTACCATTCAGGACATAGGCATGGACAAGGACTTCATGTCTGAAACACCAAAAGCAATGGCAACAAAAGCCAAAATTGACAAATGGGATCTAATTAAACTAAAGAGCTTCTGCACAGCAAAAGAAACTACCACCAGAGTGAACAGGCAACCTACAAAATGGGAGACAATTTTCGCAATCTACTCATCTGACAAAGGGCTATTATCCAGAATCTACAATGAACTCAAATTTACAAGAAAAAAACAAACAACCTCATCAAAAAGTGGGTGAAGGATATCAACAGACACTTCTCAAAACAAGACATTTATGCAGCCAAAAGATACAGTGAAAAAATGCTCATCATCACTGGCCATCAGAGAAATGCAAATCAAAACCACAATGAGATACCATCTCACACCAGTTAGAATGGCGATCATTAAAAAGTCAGGAAACAACAGGTGCTGGAGAGGATGTGGAGAAATAGGAACACTTTTACACTGTTGGTGGGACTGTAAACTAGTTCAACCATTGTGGAAGTCAGTGTGGTGATTCCTCAGGGATCTAGAACTAGAAATACCATTTGACCCAGCAATCCCATTACTGGGTATATACCCAAAGGATTACAAATCATGCTGCTATAAAGACACATGCACAAGTATGTTTACTGTGGCACTATTCACAATAGCAAAGACTTGGAACCAACCCAAATGTCCAACAATGATAGACTGGATTAAGAAAATGTGGCACATAAACACCATGGAATACTATGCAGCCATAAAAAATGATGAGTTCATGTCCTTTGTAGGGACATGGATGAAACTGGAAATCATCATTCACAGTAAACTATCGCAAGAACAAAAAACCAAACACTGCATATTCTCACTCATATGTGGGAATTGAACAATGAGAACACATGGACACAGGAAGGGGAACATCACACTCTGGGGACCGTTGTGGGGTGGGGGGAGGGGGGAGGGATAGCTTTAGGAGATATACCTAATGCTAAATGACGAGTTAATGGGTGCAGGACACCAGCATGGCACATGTATACATATGTAACTAACCTGCACATTGTGCACAGGTACCCTAAAACTTAAAGTATAATAATAATAAAATAAAATAAAATAAAAAAAGAAATATCTGAAATCTGTTCTCTGTATCCACTGAGATAGACTAAAATAAATGGGATAGTATTGATTTTCAATGAATTTTTACGTCAAAATTAAGAGGGATTCACAAAAGAATATCAGAGATCTCCTTTTCTGGTATCTTTCCAAGTCATTTAGGTGGCTAAGCTGAAGCCATTCTGGGGTTTACAGGGAGTCCTGCTGATCTGAGGACCACTGCTGTCTTTCATCCAAGTATTTGATGGAATTCCTCAACACATGCCATGCTTTTCTTCATATGTACACTTTCTTTGGTTTTCATGTGTTTTTAACAAGCTTTCAATCTGAATATATTTGTATAGTACCACTAAATTAGCTTAATTACAAAGTCTAATCTTTTGTTTTAAGCAATGCATAATTCCCATGTATTTTCTTTACATTTTTCATACAGAATGTGCAAAACAATTTTTCAAATTAAAGTCATATTTTTAGCAATGTGCTAGTGATTTTGAGAAGTCTTGGGTTTGCTAAGCAAGGAAGTCTAAGGCAGGTGTTTAATTGGACTAATTAAGCAACATGTAGTCACTTCCGGTTTTCATTTGCTGTTTGTGAATGCAGATAAGCAACACAGTGATTGCCTAATTAGACTATTTAAAACCGACTCACTTTTTATAGCCAAGGAATTTTTTTAACCAACAATAACAAATCCAAAACCTAATATGTAGTCTGAAGTCTGATATATTTCCTCATGTTCTAACCATCATTTTATAAGTAAATCAATCAACCTAACTATGCCAATAGGCAGATAGAATCTCTCTACCCCATTTTAAAATATTGCCTTGTTTTCCAAAGAAATAGTTACATCATATACTGAAATATTATTATTTTGATCTGTAAAGTGTACATTATTATTCTCCCATTACACCAGCGGTCCCTAACCTTTCTGGCACCAGGGACCAGTTTCATGGGCAACAATTTTTCCACCGGGGGAATGTGTCGGAGGGAGGAGGGATGGTTTCAGGATGAAACTGCTCCACCTCAGATCATCAGGCATTTGTTATTATAAGGAGCATGCAACCTAGATCCTTCACATGTGCAAATCACAATAGGGTTCGTGCTGGTATGAGAATCTAATGCCCCCACTGCTCTGACAGGAGGCGGAGCTCAGGTGGTAACGCTCACTTGCCCACCACTCACCTCCTGCTGTGGGCTCCTAACAGGCCACGGACAGGTACTGGTCCATGACCCCGGGGTTGGGGACTTCTGCATTAAACCACAAACTACTTAAAACACAAACTATAATAGTACAAATGAAATATAACATATATATTATATATACACATACATTCATATCTCTATCTATCTATTGACTGATGGACCAAAAGAAAGCTGTGTAGATGTGAACATGAAATTCAACAGAAGTCCATTTCAGTGTTTTCTAATAACTAGGATTACACCAATCTAGTGTCAAAGGTTAAAATTTGTCTTCTAGAAATGAAAACAGATTTAGAAAAAGGCTATGCCTGGTGAATTGCAAACTGCTGGCTAAATTTTATATGGCCGATGTGCCTAAATCCAAATTAGCTCAATCTCACACCCTGTATTTGGACATCTGCAGACCTAAGGTCACCTGGCAGAGGGACAAATGCCCAGACAGCCGGATTCACATGCATTTCCTTAGTAAGATCAGTGGACTCTCATCATTCACTCACTGTGTTTCAATTACTTCCTCCTGGACTCATAGAACAGATGCTGGAGGCAGGCAGCAGGAGAAAGAGGGATTATAAATGATCTATGGAAAAAATCTATGGGTGGTAAAGTTTTTGTAGAAAGGAACTGGGGAGCATCTTCAAGGTTTTAAGGTGCATGCACTGACAATTTAGAAAGAAATAAAAATGTGAAGAAGGATGGAAAAAGAGGACAGGAAATGACAAGAGACAGTCTTTTATAGTAAGGACATGATTAGATTTTATTGATCCTTGAATGAGTATAGTTATGAGATCCAAAAAAACTCTCAGAACTTACCCAAAGCCAAGCTTTATGTTATCCCTTTATCATTAAGATTTGAATGTTAGAAAGATGTAAGTGAATATTCAACAGTGTCCCTTCTCCAGTAAGCAAAGAACACTCTTGGAGCATGTGCTTTGTGATGGATTTTTTGATAGGCACTTACTATGCTTTCTCTCAATTTGCACAACTGTCTTGAACAATGGTATTAACCTATGTCAAAGAGGGGAAGTAACATTCAATGAATTCTTGCTTAAAGTCACATAGAAGTCAGTAGCGCAGCCAGGGTTTGTAGCCAGATATGAGTTTCTCTACCATACCATCTGGGCCTGATCATCTTTTATTTTATGTTTAAATATCAAATAGATTTTAACAATTTAGACAGAGATGTTCTGTTTCATGATATAAACTCAGGTAGAATGAGTATTTTGGTAAGCTTAATCTGAAAGACATATATCATCATGGAATTGAAATCACAAACTTAATTACAATGAAAGCTTATGTAGCTCCCTCTATGGACCTAAATTCTACAAAATATAAAACATATGCAATGAGAGTGCTGGACCAAGGCTTTTCTACAGCTCCTACTTGCTGTGACATGCTACAAGTAGTATGCTACTTGCAGGAGAAAGGCAGAAAGTCAAGAGCAGGGTAAAGACCAGGGAGTACCGCAGAGTAGACGTGCTGATGTGCTGCAGACAAGCCTCTAAGTCATAACTCACTCATTATTTCTTTTTTCTTTTCCTTTTTTTTTTTTTTTTTTTTTTGAGGTGGAGTCTTGGTCTGTCGCCCCGGCTGGAATGCAGTGGCATGATCTTGGCTCACTGCAAGCTCCGCCTCCCAGGTTCACGCCATTCTCCTGCCTCAGCCTCCAAAGTAGCTGGGACTACAGGCGCCCACGACCACACCCAGCTAATTTTTTGTATTTTTAGTAGAGACAGGGTTTCACCGTGTTAGCCAGGATGGTCTTGATCTCCTGACCTCCTGATGCGACCGCCTCAGCCTCCCAAAGTACTGGGGTTACAGGCGTGAGCCACCGCGCCAGCCCATTATTTCTTTAAAGTGGCGCTAGCATTGAACATGAACATCTTGAGTGGCTAATACTGAGTCCACTCAATCCCTTTATTATCTGAGAACAGCAGACCATCCTCCTGTTGTTCATGAAGGTTCCTAGAGAAACCACCAACTAAAGCAAAAATTAAATGAACACATCTCCTGGAATGCACAGAGCATCAAACCCTAACACGCATTTTGGGGTCTTCTTGTAGGGAACTTCTTGCAGTTTCTTTGTTTTGTTTTGTATTGTTTTTTTCCCAAAGGTGTCACTTGTCACAATATGAACAAGCATACTAGACCAAACCCAGAGCCAAAAGAAGAAAATGGAAAAAAACCTGAAGGAAACCAACTGGAGAAGGAAGTTAAGGCCACCAGAAGCTATTAGGCACTATGATGCTCCACATTTGGCTGGTGAAACCAGCTTCTCAAGTGTCAACATCAGTAACATCCAACGAGGCAGTCCAGAACTGAGATGGTGGTTGAGGAATTCCAGACTGCTGATACTGTAGACAAAACAGTTGGTGCTGAAGTCATGATGAGTCAGAGCAATATGTGCATCAGACGCAAGACCAAGGCAGTAGCTGAGGGATCTAGAGGCAGGATTCAAGTTTTCTCATCCAGGCAGGAAAAGACACAGGCAGGAATGCAACTGGCCTTCAGGCCTCATTCCCTTAGGAATTAGTATAGAGACAAACTTCAGCACTAATAGAAAAGATGCAGGGAAAATGAATCAAAAGATCAGTTCTAAAAATCGAACCATTAGAGCGGGGGGTGGGGAGAAATGCTAGAACTCACATATATTCATTTCCTGGACAGAAAGTACCATATGTATGATCAGCAAGACTCAGTTCCCTAATCTATAAGGTAGAGCTCATGTTTCAGAATGCTTACTGATTCGATTATGCTTAAGATTCTATTATGACTGATCTGAAAGCTACATGGGGATTCTGCCTTTAATCCATCCAAGATCTTCCTGTTATAAACAGGCCTAGACTTCTGCATAGAACCAGAGTATATGCAGATGTAGCTCATGAAGAGGTAGTCGGTTGATGAGTGGCATAGCTGTCTTCTGAGTTCAAAGAAAGAGTAAGATATTAACATCCTAACATGTATCAAGCATGTTTTAACTCCCAATAGCTACACTGATACCAGTAGGGAAAAGCAATTTACATTTGGAAATGCCTCTTCATAAACAATGCAACTGAAAAGTTCCTCTTCACAAATGAGAAAGTATTGCCAAAGAAAATAGTAGATTTTTTAGAGATCCCTGGTCTAAACCTTTTAATTTTTCTCTAAAGCCATCCATTTTCTCCAGGACCAATAGGACTTGTGCAGGAGTAGTGAGATGAACTACGCAGGTCTATAGGGGGTAGGAAAGACACTCACCTAACTGCTTGTTTCTTAGGCAGAAAACTTTTCTTATGGAAATACTAAAGCAAAACTTAAAAAAATAAAGTATTTTTATAAATCTTGCAATATTTTCTCTTACTCTTTCGCTTTCTTATTTCACCATATTTACTTACCTTCATTTTGCTTTATATGAAATATAATCTCCTTCAAAATAAAAATAAAAAGGTGGTTCACTTTTGTAGAAATGCTAAAGATCCTAAAGTAAAACACAGCATAGCAATCCAAAATAACACAACTCTCAACTACATAATCATGATCTGTCACAACCTGGATGTTTACATTTAGAAACTGATTTTGCAGTCATTAATAAATATTTATTGATCACCTACTTTGCCTGTGGACCAATTAGGACACAGGCAATGACTCTACTCAGGTGAACAAAACAGACATAGTTCATGTCCTTGTAGCAATTCCGTCTAGTGGTGGGGGCAAAAACATTAAAGAAGTAAACTGTAATAAATAAGTTACACAAATCTGAACCAGTGAGATAAAGGAAAAAGTGTACTGTGAGACAGAATAGAAGAGAGGAGGGCTCTTTTAAACAGGTGGTCAGGAAAGACTTCAGGAGTTGGGTTAGATAATCTCCGATATCAGAGATCCTGTGAGATCTGTCAGAAGCATTATATATTACTAAAGTAATTGCTAACCACTCTAGACCCCAGGTTAACACTTCCTCTAATCACCTGTTCATGTTAACTGAACGTACATTTCTGTGAGCAAGTTCATCCCTTCCTTAGATTCTTTTCCTCCAACAAAACAAATCCAACCAAGGCTGCCACATCAGACAATACAATTAAGCCCATTTCACCCCCTCACACTTTTGGCTGGCCCATTTTCATATTTGGCTTAATAAAACAAATATGAAATACGTTAAATATGTTCTGCCTGCTTATTGATGATGAGCCCATGCCTATGTTGCTCATCATTATATGTCCCCAGCCTTACAAAGAGCGTGAACCACAGTGGGTGTTCAAAAAATGTAAGCTGAATGAATGAATCAGTGGTGACACATGCTCCTTCCAAATATTTATGTAATTCAGTTTTTAGAAAATTGAATCAAATTCAAGTGTAATTCTGCTGCAGAAAGTTCATTTGAAAAGTAAAATATTGAGAAATATTATAAACACGCTTCATTTTTTTTCTTATTTCTTTGTTCTTATTTAAATTCAAGCCCATCTGCACGGTATTTATTCTATTATTGTAAAAACAGAAAACATTTTCCACTGTATTACATAATACATTTTCAAAAACATTGCTATTGTTTCAGATTTTCATTCAAATTTATTAAATTGAAAACCATAATGCACAATGGTGGCAGTACACTTTTCTAATAATGAGGACTTCCTCTGATTTGAGAACCAAATTCGAACATATTCAGTAGAAGAGCTGCTATATTAAAAGGTTTTGATAGCAGTCCAAATTATTTAGTACCAATTACAAAGAAAGTGATTTTATTAGATGATATTCAGGGATAAGTATGTGTGTGTTTGTGCATAGATAATACCATTTCTATCTGCAAGCAATTTATAAACAGTAAGGCAAAGTAGGTCTGGCAATGATATGAAGCGTACAGGCTGCTAGGATTTGAATATGTCCCCCACATTTCATGTGTTGGAAACATAATCTCCAAATTCATATGTTGATTGGAAATGGGAGGTAATTAGGATTAGATAAGGTAATCTGGATGGAGCCCCCATTTTAGGACTGGTGGCCTTGTAAGAAGAGAAAGAGAGACTTGATCTGAGAAGCATACTTTTGCTCTCTCAACATGTGATGCCTTCTGCCATTTTATGACACAGCAAGAAGGCCCTCACCAGATGCCAGATCTTCTATCTTGGACTTCCCAGAAGAAGTGTAAGAAATACATTTACTTTCTTTATAAATTACCCAGTCTGTGATACTCTGTTATAGCAACAAAAAACAGACTAAGACATATGCAGAGCAGAAGTCTCTAGACACAAAATACAAAAAATACCAAACTGCAAACTACATGAACTGAGCTTAATGGTTGAGATTTCCGCCTGAACAAGAAGCATGATGTGATTTAAAAAAAAAAAAAATCATACTTTTCTGGGCCAATGATAATTTAAAGTATAAATTTTGGCTCTTAAACCCCATATTAATTTATACATGATGTTCTTTTTATAAAACACATATAAGTACACTATTCCATTTGGCCTTTCCTTCCCTAAGCTTTTGTATGGTGTTAAAACAAAGTGGGAAATAAGTCCTAGACAGAGCAATAGGGAAGAGAAAGAAAAGCATCCAAATAGGAAAAGAAATAAAACTATCTTCCCTGAAGATATGATTCTATATCTAGAAAACCCTAAAGACTCTGTGAAAAAGCTATTAGAACTGATAAACAGGTTTAGCAAGGTTCCTGGATATGTACAAAAAAAGTAGCATTTCTATATACCAATGGTGTCCATGCTGAAAGTCAAATCAAGAACACACTGCTATTTACAAAGTCACAAAGAAAATGAAATACCTGAAAATACAACTAACCAAGAAGGTGAAGGTTCCCTACAAAAAGAACTACAAAACTGCTGACAGAATTCAGAGAAAACACGAATAAATGAAAAGCGTTCCATGTTTATAGATTGGAAGAATTAATTTTGTTAAAATGACCATAGTGCCTAAAGCAATTAGAGGTTCAATGATATTTCTAGCAAAGTACTAATATCATACTTCACAGAATTAGAAAAAAAAATTTTTAAGTAATATGGAACCAAAAAAGAGTCTGAATTGCCTAAGCAATCCTAAGCAAAAAGAACAAAGCCAGAGGCATTACACTACCTGACTTCAAACTATACTATAAGGCTATAGTAACCAAACCAGCACGGTACTGGTACAAAAACAGACACATTGACCAATGGAACAGAATAGAAAACTCCAAAATAAAATGGCACACTTACAATCATCTGATCTTCCTCAAGGTCAACAAAAGCAAGCAATGGGGAAAGGACCCCTTATTCAATAAATGGTGCTGGGATAACTGGCTAGCCATATGCAAAAGAATGAAATTGGACTCTCACCTTTCACCACATACAAAAATTAACTTAAGATGGACTAAAGATTGAAATGTAAGATCACAAACTATAAAAATTCTAGAAGAAAATCTAGGAAATACCCTTCTCAACATTGGCCTTGGCAAAGAATTTTTGGCTAAGTCCCCAAAAGTGATTGCAACAAAAACAAAAATTGACAAGTGGGGCCTAATTAAACTAAAGAGCTTCTGCACAGCAAAAGAAACAGTAGATAGAGTAAACAGGCAGCTAATAGAATGGGAGAAAATATCTGCAAACTATGCATCTGACAAAGGTCTAGTATCCAGAATACATAAGGAAGTTAAACCAACAAGCAAAGCACAAATAACCGCATTAAAACGGGCAAAGGACATGAACAGATACTTCTCAAAAGAAGACATACAAGCAGCCAACAAACATATTAAAAAATTGTCATCATCATTAATCATCGTAGAAATGCAAATCAACACCATAATGAGATAACATCTCATACCAGTCAGAATGGCTATTATTAAAAAGTCAAAAAACAACAGAAACTGGTGAGGCTGCGGATAAAAGAGAATGCTTATGCACTGTTGGTGGGAATATCAATTAGTTCAGCCACTGTAGAAAGCAGTTTGGAGATTTCCCAAATAATGTAAAATAGAGCAACCCCATTACTGGTTATATACTGAAAGGAAAATAAATCATTGTACCAAAAAGACACGCACATGCATATGTTCATCACTGCACTGTTCACAACAGCAACATCATGGAATCAACCTAGGTGTCCATTAATGGTGGATTGGATAAAGAAAATGTGGTACATACACACCATGAATATTATATAGTCATAAAAACAATGAAATCCTGTCCTTCAAGCAACATGTATAGAGCTGGAGGCCATAATCCTAAGGGAATTAACACAGGGACAGTGAATTAACATAATCTTAAGTGAATTAACCAAATACTGCATGTTCTCACTTATAAGGGGGAGCTAAACACTAAGCACATATAAACATAAACATGGCAGCAATAGATGCTGTAAACGACTAGAGCGAGGAGGAAGGGCGGGAGGAAGGATGAGTTGAAAAACTACTTATTGCATACCATGCTCACTACCTGGAAGCAATATACCCATGTAACAAACCTGTACATGTACCCCCTGTATCAGAAATAAAAATTGAATGAAAAAAATCAAACAACTATTTAATCACAGGTATTTAACTGTCCTTATTAAAACAGGTCAAACAACAATCACCACCACCACCACAAAAAAAAAAAAACAAGTGGGAAAAAGGTGCCTTAAATATTTGCTGTACATTTACCAACTCTCCTATTGAAAGCATCAGGCATTGTAGATAAAAATCTTTGCTATACATCAGCATATTTACTTGCAATAAAATAAATATGATGGCTACTCTTTCGATGTGTATATACGGTCTTAATCTATTTTTTATAAACCAACAAAGAAGACAACAAGGGTAATCCAAAGGGAAAGAGATATGTCTTCTGTTCAAGTGAGGTCTAATTTTTAGATAAAATTCATTTCTGGAGGCTTCATCTTTAAGGCACAGCCGGAATTACATGACCTCTCAAACTAATGAATAAATGTGGCAAGAATTCTAAAGTGGAATAAAGTGGGGAGCAGATCATTTTTATTTCTGTTTATTACCTGAGTCAGAGGAAATAAAATTTTTAGAACTAATGAACCAATTTCATCAATAATTAATTTATTAATAGTGTCAAATTTTATGCTAAGCATATTATAAGTCTCTCATATGCTCACAATATACTGAATATGATCATTCCAATCTCTGTTAGTTTTTATTTTTAAGAAAAGAGAAAATTCTTTTATGAAGCTAGGCCAGATATCTCATAAACGTACTTGTTAACTTCATTTGAGAAGTAATAAAAGTCGTATCAAAGAGGAAATCAGAGTATGTAGTTGCCTGCAAGGGAAACACTATTACTATAGGAAGTTATCACATCTGCTGACTTTTTTCTTTTCCCTTTTATGTAAACAAAAGCATTCCCCAAAGATCAAACCTGACCCAAGAGTTTATCCAGAAGTTCTAAAGCCATATGGTCTTCAAGAGGTTGCAGGAAATCTCAGTCCTGGGAGAGCTATCCACCTAACAGGGATACACCTAACTATCTGGGACTTCAAGGCTCTACAAAAATGATAACGACTCTGCTGACTTAGGTCCCCCAGTGGCACATATTACAGAGTGAAAGGTAGGTTCCACTTTTAAGTCCATGAAGCAGCATTCACTCTCTCCATGCTTTGACACAACTATGTCCCATACAGTCTCTGACGTTGGCCCTACCCCCTGGCCTGCTATCCCTAGATACCCACCTTATCACTAATTCTGACACTTCAACTGTTTTTCTGCCCCTCACTTTCTGTTATATTTTGACCACATTTACACCTAATTTTTTCCTACCATGTGACCAGTGGTGGTCAGTTCAGTTCTGGAATCAGAGTCATTATAGAATAGCAGACACTGCTGTTTAGATGGCTCAGGACAATGGAATCTTAGGAATGATCGGGTCAAGCTCCAGCCACCTAGGAATCCCTCCAGTGGCTTCTCTTGGCCGCTGCTGTGGCTGCCTCCTCCCTGGCCTAGCATACCCAGACTGCTTTCATGCAGCCTGAACCACACTTCCTTTAGCAATCCCACAGTGCCTCAGGTTGACTGGAGAAGACAGTACCAAAAGTCATGCCTTTCGCTATTTCTTCACAGTGATTAAAAGTCGAAGGACACCTAACAAAACTGAGAAAAAGTGATGGAAGGAAACTTCTGCATGAATCTTTCTAAATCAGGAAGCTGACTTATTTCCAAGGTAGCCTGTGGAGTTTCTTTCCATCCAATGAATGTTTACTTTTATCAAAATAAGATACTTACATAGTTAAAAATTTAAAAATTTAAATAGTGCCAAAAGTCTTACACCAAAAACAGCAGTCTCTTGTATAATTCTCTTTCCTTCTCCAGGGCTCATACACAAATAGAAATGGCTTTCATTTATTAAAATTGTTTCTTCTGGTATTCATATTTATATTTGCTATGTCCTATGTATATACTATATCCCTTAATTATTCAATCTTAGATGTCCCCTATGACTTCTTATTACAATGATGAAAATTTCAGCACCTTTTTTCCTTCCAACATTAAAGCACAATTATTTTTCCAACCACTTTCAGTGTCTTCATGCCTTTGTCAATGTTTTTTGTTTGTTTCTGATACAAGTAACATGACTACATTTTTTCTTGTACATCTTATTTTTTTCCCTGCAGTCAATTGGTACCTCCTGTTAAAATTTGATTTTCTTGCAACTATTGGCTAAGTCTTCCTACACTCTTCAACGGCTGTGTAAAATTCTCATAAAATACCAGAATATCCTATGTTTGTGTATTCCCAGGACACCCCTCCTGGAGCTCCCTGACCACCAGAGTTCACTGTGAACTGCCGTTCCCTAGGGCTGCCATATCCCTTCAGCCTTAAGACTACCATTAACCTCAGCAAACTAATGCAGGAACAGAAAACCAAACATCACATGTTGTCACTTATCAGTGGGAGCTGAACGATGAGAACACATGGACAACAAACAATGGGGCTTGTTGGAGGGGAGTGTGGGGGAAGGGAGACCATCAGGAAGAATAGCTAATGGATGCTGGGCTTACATAGCTTACATAGCTAATGGATGCCAGGCATGGATGCAACACTGAGGTGCTGGAATGATCTGTGCAGCAAACCACCGTGGCACATGTTTACCTATGTAACAAACCGGCACATCTGGATGTGTACCCCTGAACTTAAAAGTTGAAGGAAAATAAATAAATAATAAATCAATGACATAAAATAAAATTAAAATAAATTGTTGGTGTATTGGCAAAAAAATTTTTAAAAGTCTTCCTTTTGCTGTCATCTGAGTGTTCCCATCCTGCCCTCTCCCACAACTCCACCCTGGCCCTGTACACCCAATTTTGTTCTTAATTAGTTCACTACGTCATCTAGGTGGAGCATATCCCTGTGGCTTCCTAACAGGGGGAAGATATTGTCTGAAAATGCCTTTTTTTTTTCAATCCTTATAGTCGATTAACTGGCTGTATATAAAATTCAATGATGAAATTTATTTTTGGTCCAAATTTTGAAATCGTGATTGCACTTTGTCAGCATTGATACGTTGGATGTAATTCTTACTCTAGAGCTTTTTTAGGTAACCTGGTCTCTATCTCAGGATCTTCTACTTATGCTTGATATTAGACGTATCTATCCTAGTATATATTGATGTGGGTCACTCACTTTTCTGGGCATTCAGTGGGTTAGCAATGGGTCCTGACGGTCCAATGGCTCCATATTTATACATATATTTCTTTTTACCAAGTTTCATATTTAGTCCCCTCCCTCCAAGCATTTCCTCTAATTGATGAATTTAATTCCTAAGCCTTTCTCAGGTTTTGTGGGAGAGATGTAGCTTCTCATCAGTGTTCCCACACTGTGAAGTCATTTGCTGTTTCTGCATCCATTGCTTACCCTTATATGTATACTGTGGTTTGAGACTATAGATGTCCCCTGATTTCATCATAGTTGGAGTTTGGTTTCCTTTTTGTTGCTTTTGTCATCTTAAATCTGAAAGTACTGTTTCATTTTTTGAATAGCTTTATTCATTGGAAGATTCTTTACTGTACTGCCCCCAAATCTACCTGTCTGTATTTCTGTTCGTTGGTCCTAGATCTACCATATAAAGAAAGGCAGAACAATTCTACAGTGCTTTTCCATGACAGTCCTTCAAATATCTGCAGATGTTAGCAAGGCGTTCCTTCATCCTCTTTCTTCAAGCTAAATACCCCTAGATCCTTAACTCTTCCTCTGTGGGTTTTTTTTTTTTTTTTTTTTTTTTGACGGAATTTTGCTCTTGTTGCCCAGGCTGGAGTGCAATGGCATGATCTTCGCTCACTGCAACCTCTGCCTCCCGTGTTCAAGCGATTCTCCTGCCTCAGCCTCCCAAGTACCTGGGATTACAGGCATCCACCACCACGCCTGGTTAATTTTTTTTTTTTTTTTTTTTGGTATTTTTAGTAGAGACGGGGTTTCACCATGTTGGCCAGGCTGGTTTCAAACTCCTGACCTCAGGTGACCTGCCCGCCTTGGCCTCCCAAAGTGCTGGGATTATAGGCGTGAGCTACCGCGCTCGTCCTTCTCTGTGGTTTTTAGGATCTTTCCCTAAACACTTGCCCTTCTAAGAATGCATGCCATGCTAGTTGATTAACATCCTTTATAATTTATACAAAAAACAGAGCTGTAATTAATGTTTCAAAAGTGGACAGATTAATAAAGAATTCAAGGAGTTTCTTATCTATCACAATTCAGATGTCATCCTGTCATGACTGGATAAATGAAAGCTTTCTCTCCACCTTACCCCCAGTGCCCTACACAGATATCCTTGAAGATGATTGATAGTCAAAATCTAAGAATGTAATTAGGCCCCTAACAGTGATGGTTTGAAGTTCAGCTGGGTGAAAGATTGGGCATTGAGACACACATGGAATGCACATTTGCCTGTACATTGATAGGAAAGCGGTAGTTAGAAAGTTATTGCTCTTTCTTCTTAGGTTGAGCCAGCATAATCTATGATAGCCATATTTTATCACTGAGAAGTCAGTACATGTCTAATAGAATTGAGATCAGGAAGACAAACTGAGAAAATAAATAGCATGACTGCAATTCTCCAGTGGGAAGCAACCTCCTTGACTCCACACTTGCCCTATACAGCTTTTTTTTTTTAAAGTTGTGGTTAAACAACACATAATGTTAAATATATCATCTCAATAATTGTTAAGTGTTCAGTACTGTAGTATTAATTATGTGCCCGTCATTGTGGAGCAGATCTCTAGAACTGCCCGGACAGTTGCATGGACTGTCTTGAAGGAACTCTGGAGCTCTAGTCCAGTGTGTATAACTCATGTTTGGAAATGAGCCCTGTTGGAGGAAAGGCAAGGCTGTATGCTAGAGTAGAGCAGGTTGTGCCATACACAAAGGCACCAGGTGGAGGGACAAGCAGGGTGGAATTCAGTTCTTGCTCTACTTCGTAAAGCCCATGTCAAGGATCACCCAGAGGAAGGGAGAGCTTTTTGTGTTCGTACATAAAGACATATGAGTAAATTCAGGCAAGGGAGCAGGGCAGATAAGCAAAGAAATCAATGAGGGGCTCCTAGGTAGAATTTAAATTCTTGGGTGCTTTTCATTTCACCTTGGGCGTAAGTAATAATTAATGTACTTTTCTAAAGTTTTTATCCTATCCCACACACTAATTTTCTTCAACTGAGCCAGCCCTTCTGTCAAGCCTTACAAGCCTCTCTACAGTAATGGTAAAAATTTAAATGAACAGGGAATTCAGTGGAAATTTATCTACCTCCCTGCTTACCTTTCTATTGGTGCCCAAGTGCAGTGTCCTATCAAGACCACTGTGTCACAGGAAGTGACTAGCAACAAAGGCTGTGGGAACCCCTGGTAGAGCTGGGAAGCAGCAGAACCAGTACTGGAGTGATGTAATTCCCATGAGGGCAGGGATTTGGGTGAGTTTTGTTTACCAACATACTGCATGCAATTTTAGCAATTCCCAGCACAGAACAGGTTCTTAATGCTCTTTTAAAATTTTATTTATTTTTTACTCTTGCTGTCACCCAGGCTGGAGTGCAGTGGCATGATCACAGCTCACTGCAACCTCAAACTCCTGGCCTCAAGCGACCTTCCCACCTCAGCCTCCCGAGTAGATGGGATTACAGGCATAAGCCACAGTTCCCGGCTGCTAAATATTTTTAGAACGACCAAATGATTCAAGGGAATGTGATAAATTGTGGAACTGTATTAGAATTGCTATCTCAGATTGTTAAAGAGAAATGAACCAAGAATCTGACCCAACATTTTATTCAATGATTTTTGCCATGATATTCAATAAGCATAGCATGATTCAATGTTTTAAAAGTCCACTTTATAAAGAGAAATCAATTTTAACTAAATTTATTTATTTCCTTTTCTTTTCATTGTAAAGAAAGCCCAGGTTGGATACCAGTGAGTTTTTCCCCTGAGGACTCACATACATGCTGTTTAAAAATCTGTTGATGAATATTGCTAGGCATCTTAATTAGGCATACCAATCCCAGTTTCTAGAATTAACGTATTCTTATTTTGTGAAAATTATGGCAAATCTAGAGCTTTGGGTCTATACTTAATTTATCCATTAGATCTTAAATATTATCCTTAAGACTGCATCCACAAATTCTTTCAAATTTCAAAAACAAGTATGGTATGACTCAATTATACATGCCAATAGTAGAAATTTGCAATCAGAAATATTTTTGATTCTTTAATATACATTATTAATATACCTATGCCATGGCCAGCTCATCTTATTCTTTAAAAGCTGCTTTACCTGACTATAATTTTTTTTCTGATTTCTGCCATTCTTCACTCTCCCTTAGTGTCTCTCCTTACCAATTGCATAATGAATTTACACTCTTTCATTTGTTGACATATTGCCTCATCCTACTGCCTCATCCCAAGGATTTGGGGAATGATTTTTCCTTCGCAATTAGATAATAATATTAATTGATGTAGGATGTTACAGCTAGAGGAAAAAACAACTTAATACATACATTACTCTGATAGTCTTAATAATAATTTTCTAAAGCTGCACAGCTGTTTAGAGCTTTGAGAATTACATAAGCCTCAGCCCAACTGCATGGCAATGAAAGTAAGAATGGTACATCCATTTTACAGATGAAGAGACGAAAATCCAAGGAAGCAAAGGGTTTTTTCTAGAGTTGCATTGCTTGGTAGGAGCTGAACATAAATCTTTTGACTCTCCAAACAGTGTGATATTTGGAAAGTTTTTCAACTTCTCTGAGCTTCAATTAGTTCACTAAAGATCGAGCTAATAATGTCTAATACAGAATTGCTTTACAGGTTGATTAAGATGACATATAAAGTAGTCAGCACAATGCCTCAGATATAGTAAGTGCTCAATAAATGCAGTTATTGTCAGTTTTATCAATGCCTCATGAACAGTATAATGTTCTTTCTTTTTATCCTGTAGTTGGCAAACTATAGCTCTGAGTGAAAAGTAGCCCACCCCTTGTTTCTAACTTGGCTTATGAGTAAAGAATGCTATCTATCTTTTTAAATGGCTAAAAAATTCAAAGAATAATGATCCATGACACCAGAAACTAGTATGAAATTCAAATTTAATTGTCCATAAATAAGTTATATGGGAACACAGTCACACCTATTCGTTTACATATTGTCTGTAGCTGCTCCCCACAACAGCCGAGTTGAGCAGCCACAACAGAAACTATACAGCCAACAAAGCATAAAATATTCACTATCTGACCCTTTACAGAAAAAAAAGTTCTCCAATCCCTGTTCTTAATTAATAATCTACAGTGTTCTGATGAGCTATGCAAAAGTCAGGGTCTTTTCTGCTTTCTACCTTATTTGTATATACCCATTCCAATTCTTATTTGCAACAAAATGAGAAAAAAATATGACATAGGAAAGACTAAACAATTGCCATTATTAGGGAAAGTTATGAAGACCTGCGATATACTCGGTTGTCTTTTGTATTTAGCTATTTTATCTCAGTTCCTCCCTTCTGCCTTCTGGGATTGGGCAGAGGAGAAAGAGAGAAATCAGGCCAGTTCAAGTTCAAAAGCTATTAATCAGATGAGAGCATAGAAACCAAGTACTTTTTCCTCCTCCAGCATATCTGGAATCCAAGCAAAGTAATAGCAGAAGAGATGAGGCAACACCATTGAGCAAAATGCAGTGTCAACAATAGTCTTGAAACCACTTTATCTTCATCCCATTCTCATTCCCACCAGACAAAAATAAGGAATAAATCAAATAATATCAGTTGAGAGACTGCCATAGGTTTTCTCATTTCAAACAAAGTTAAAACTAAGCTGGAGATATCATTCCACTTTACAGCTACACAAAGCCAAAGTAAGTACATGGAGTGCCTACTTTTGTATACCACTACTTTAGAAACAATATCTAGCCTTTAAAACAAAAAGGAGAAAATGAGCGCATTTTATGAATAATCCAACATTTCTTTTCCTCTTGTTCAGCTAGCAGCACTGTATATGGTTGTGTTTCATGCAAAAAGGCATTCCTTTGCTAAAAATACATTCAGCTCATAAAGCCTGTGGATAAACAATAGCTCAAATTGAAAAGGAAAACAAAAAATAATGGAAATATTCATGTGGGGTATTAAGTCTACCTAGACTTTTCTCTGAAAGTAGAGGATGTTTATATCACTAAGCAGGAATATGTACATTCACAGACAGCTCATATGCACACACAACACACAGACACACATCACACACACAAACATACACACATCTACTTTCTCCTCTTACACCAGGTTTGAAAGCTGATTGGCTTGTGGCCAAAACTAATTTACAGGCCCTGCAAACACCTCTGTGGCATCCTTATTAAAAAGAATTGAGGTAATAAAAATAAAATGTTTAACCTCAATGTTCTCACCAGGTATAACGTGTCTCCCACCACTCGAAACACTCTCCACTGGGTGGAAATGGAAACACTTCTATTCACAATCCCTCTGTCATGACTAACAAATATAACATTTCTTCCTACAAACAGAAAGATCTGTCCTTCATGCATATTCCTAGACAGTTCAAAATAGGTGTAAGCACTTTCTTATAAAGGTTTGAGCCACTAATTCAGTGTAAGCATATTAGAAATATAGTATTTTTAAATATGAAATATGTGAGATTGAATCATTAGTTGTAACGTGGATAAAAGCAATAGCAACATTACGGAAGGATGTACTTTTCATCTTCATATGATAAGGCAACTGTGAAGTCTCATCCATTTTTTTTTTTAATAATGGTTTAGAAGAAATGTAACTACTCAGAATTAATCAGGCAGAAGCTGACAGGCTCAAAGATACAGTGCCTAACGTCTTCCCACCAATTCTGCAGGATGATTCAGAAAACATCATTTCGGGTTTCAGAATTCAAGAGGGACAAGTATCGGGATTTTTCCTCACCAAGCTCTACTCTGGGGAAAAATGACCAGTCCAGTGTTAGCAGCCAATCAGTGCCATTCTTGACCTTACTATGTCCAAATCAGAGCTCATTCCACTTTCTCCTCTCCCCTGAATGCCCACTCCTGACCAGTGTTTTCTGTTCTTGTTAATGTCTCTGTTATTGTCCCAATTCCCCATCTGGCCTCACAAAAGGGGCTGCAATACCTTTGATTTTGTGACTTTGATATTTCTCTTACTCTTCCTTGTTTTGGTCTCGCTCTGTACCCCACCCTACCCCATCCTATTTCTCCATTACCACTTCCTGCTGAGAATATTGCAATTGTCTTCTAAATTGTTTCTGCCCTCTGTAAAACATGCCCACAGTTTCTGAGGTCTGGCATACTGCAGTAGTCACTCCTGCTCAAAAACCTTCAATAGACCCCCACTGCTGACAAGAAAAATGCAATCTCCTTAGTCTATATTTATTATTATTGAGTAATAACAGCCAAAATTGGCTTTGTTTTGGATTGCCAAGTACTTTATCATATCACCCCTCATCCCTACAGTAACCCTGTCCGACATGCCTCTCATCCCCATATTACTGACAGAAATATTGAGGCTCAGAAGAGTGCAATGACTTTCCCATTGACCTGAGTCCCTGGTATATCTTTCATGTACTCAGTGTTCCTTATATTTTTATTAAATAAGTAATTGTTTTTTCTTCTTCCCCTCTCTGTCTCTTTTCATAGTAATTTTAAAGCAGATGATATTAGGACTTGTTTCTTTGTTAAATTCTTCATCCTCAGAGAAAATGATCTTTGAGTAACTGTTAGAACTCTGCTGGTGCTAGGTTTAAATGTAAGAGCTGTCACCTTCCCTAGGGTCAAAACCTTCTCGATTCAAGACATAGATGGCACTTCATTAGCTGATATGGTAATTAAAGGCCCCAGCTGTAATGTGTAAGGACCAGTATAGGATATACATTTATCTTACTTTTCAATTTTATTCCACTCTGGACTCCTAACTGAAATAGAAATCCTCAGATTAAACAGGTAAAACCATAATAGGTCAAGAGTATCAAGGACTCTCCTCAAATTGTTGTTCAATTCGAGAAAGGAAAAGACGATTTTGTACAAGGTTAAGTAGTACGTTATTATCTCTGGCCAGGAAGGCTGCCATGATTTCCAAACCTGTTCTGCCACCTCTCATAGAAAAGGAGAACAGATCTAAAGCCATAGTCCTTGTATGTCAATATATTTTGATCAAGATGAACTATATCAATATTAATTTGCAAAAATTGTCATTAAAAAGACAGGTATATGGTAACTCTTTACAAAAATGATACAATTTTCTGAAGATTTATTTTCTTATTGAGTTCTCCTAAATTATCCTTATAAAAATTACAGTATATGAATTGCAAGTTAAATAATATAATTTTAATTTAATATAGTATGTAAAGGTATGTACAATTTTATGAAAGTTTACTGATTAAAGCATTTCGTAGTTTTTTAAATTTTTGAACCATTTTGAATGTTTATTTATGAAAGCATAGACAAAAGATTTAAGACATTTAAAGTGGCTGAACAGGGTGTGAAAACTGAGAAACCAGAACACAGATCTCATGAAACACTGAGAGATCAAGTAAAGTAAAAACAAAAATAAAGCTCTACTCACCATCACAGAAAGAGAAGAAGGAATATAAATAGGGTGAAAAGGAAAACAATCACATACAAGTTCCCGCCTACTTACTGGGGGTGTTAACTAACATGCTGTAATCAAAGAGATAAAAGCCAACATAGGAATATTTATTACAGCTTTCAGAAGGGCAACTTGAACTACTGGGGCAAGAGTGAAACACTGAAATAAGCATAGTACACTGTATAAGCACGCCGTGAGAAATCAAATGGCATAATGTAACTTCCTCTACAATCACTTGATCTAACTAAAAATCAGTGGGCATTACCACAATACTTGGGCATTTTTAGAATGTTTTATTACTGCAAAATTATAGAAGTGAAAGGTCTATAATTTAATAATTTACTGGTTAATGACTTGGCACACAGTAAGCTCTCAAATCCTTGTTGAATATTAATTGACATGGTAAACCTCCAAATGGCTTGAGGAAAGACATGTGTTTAGAGAAGATACACAGGATCAGGGTATCTAGAGTTCAGTGTCATTGAAACAATGTAAGGAGCTATCCCCAGAGCCCACTCAAGCTGGAAAGTCTCTCGAATTGTCAAAAGGAAGAGTTGGCTGCAAGATATCTATTTCCACGACCTCACTGGATGATGTTATCAGGATGGGTGTGGTGGGGAGGAAGACAGTGCACTGGAACTGTGCAGACAAGTAATGTGTAGACAAAGCATGGGCTTCTTAACGAGAGTGCTGAAGGAGTAAAACAGATATAAGTACTATGGCTAAACTTAGAAATGGTATTGATAAAGACACTGTACAAAGGATGCCACTGCAGAAAAAGTCACAGGAACTCCTCTGTGTAGTAATAAAGGGCTTAGTTAAAGTAAAAAGTATGCCAATGCAGGAAATACACAGACTAGGACTGAAGAAGTTACCAAAGCTACATCTGTTGGGTTGTTGCCCACTTTCCTAGCGAGGTGGGTGAGAGGTTAATAGTTGACATAGTTCTGTACACACAGGGACTCACACAGACATGCCCTCAGAAAAACACACACCTGGTCTCTCTCTACATGTAATTACACTGTGTATATTACCCATATACAATATGGATTATGGCCTCTCAATTCATCCTTGTCAGGGTCCCTTTGTACCATGTTAGTTTATGGTGTGCACAAAGGCATTTAGTAGGAGGGGGTACCAGTGGGTCTGAAATCCTACCATCTTCTTTTCACCAAGCCAGTAACTGGAGCCAGCACATGTGTCCTCGCACAGATGTTGCTGAGCCAGGTGAAAGCAGTGCCTTTCTCAATGGTCATCCAGAGGGGTCCTTTCCATGATTCATAAAAATGCCCCAAATGTGCAAATGGCAGTTCTGATCCTGTGTTTTATAACATACAAAGTAGGAATTCCTTCATGGTCATATGTTAAATATATATTTGCACCAAATTTCCTTTGACTGACAAGCTCTGTGTAGTCAGGATTCTGTGGCAGAGGGACCAGATCAGGTAAGCAGCATACCTTACCATATTGGATAAAGATGCTTATTCCTCTCTGGGCAATGAACTTCAAAGAAATAAAGTAAGAAAGAAAGTACACAGCTCCAAAAATATAAAATATCACAAGAATGCCCACTCAATGTCTGTAAAAGTAGGAATTAGGCATCTATGACCTGGGTGCCTGCCCACCACCCAAGATTTTCTTATACTTTCAAGTCCCTGCTTGTACTCATTTTTACCTCCTCAGCCATCTGGGACTCTTACTACCATGTGAGTCACTTTCATTTTCATAAATATATTTTGTTCCCTGAAGGTCTTTCAGAGACATAAAGTATCTGGACATACCTTTTCTCCTTAAAGATGATGGCAAGGAAAGGGAAATTTTTAAACCAAATGGGAAGAATTTCCGAGAGTGAAACGTCAAGCACTATGGTACATAAGTGGGAATCTTTGTTGGTGAAAGGTTTTTTCCCCCAAACCCACATTTACCCTCAAGTAACCTGTTGTAGGCAAATCGGGAATCCACACATGCTAATTTTTTTTTTTTTTTTTTTTTTTTTTGAGACGGAGTCTCGCTCTGTCGCCCAGGGCGGAGTGCAGTGGCGTGATCTCGGCTCACTGCAAGCTCCGCCTCCCGGGTTCACGCCATTGTCCCGCCTCAGCCTCCCGAGAAGCTGGGACTACAGGCGCCCGCCACCACGCCCGCATATTTTTTGTATTTTTAGTAGAGACGGGGTTTCACCGTGTTAGCCAGGATGGTCTCGATCTCCTGACCTCGTGATCCGCCTGCCTCGGCCTCCCAGAGTGCTGGGATTACAGGTATAAGCCACCGCACCTGGCCCACACATGCTAATTTTTAGTAAGACCACACGAAGGCCTTCGGCTCTTCCATGCCTCTGGCATACAGTTATCTTTACCAAGAATGCCCACTCCCTCTTCTTTCCCACCTGACTAACTTCAGTTTACTGTTCAGGTCCCTTCTTACATATGACCTCTTCTCTGTAGCTTGTTCTCTAACTACTTATTGATTCATAATTATTTATCTCTTAATCTCCCCAGCTGGATAGCTCTTTGCAAAGAAGCATACTCTTTTTAATCTCTGTTACAGGCAGTGTGCTAGATAGTAGAGAAATATTTATTGCAATGAAGCCCATGCAATGCAGTACCAAGTATTATTTTTTAATATTTACATTTTGGTGATTTTATTTTTCTATCCAAATTGCCATTTCACATAGGTCCTCAAGTAAAGGACAAACAGCATAAAGTAAGGAAAATCAAGACTTGGACTCCAGCATAAAATAAACTGTGTATTTGAACACATCTCTCCACCTCATTGTCTAGTTTCCCTATCAGCGAAATCAGTACAGTCGTTTTGGAAAAACTCCTGAGTTTATACATACATATGTTCCAGAACCCCAGTGGACACCTGAAACCATGGATAATACTGAACCCTATGTATACTGTTTTTTTTCCTATACATACATACCTATGATAAAGTTTAATTTCTAAATTATGCACAGTCACAGATTAACAATAACTAATAACAAAATAGATCAATTATAACAATAAACTGTAATAAAAATTATGTAAATGTGGTGTCTCTCTTTCTCGCTCTCTCTTTCTCAAAATACTGTAATATTCTTGGACCACAGTTAACTCCAAGTAACCAAAGCCACTACAAGTGAAACCAGGGATAAGGGGGTAACTACTGTACTTGGTCTACAACAGGATTTCTCAGCCTCAGCACTACTGACATTGTGGGTCAGATAACTCTGTTTGTGGGGAGCAGGGAGTGGAACCGTCCAGCGCATGATAGGATGTTTAGTAGCATCCTTGGATTCGACCCACTAGATGCCTGTAGCACCCACCCAGATGTAGCGTCAAAAATATTACTAGACATTGACAAATGTCCCCAGTGGTGGCGAGGAGATTCTTAAAATTGCCCCAGGTTGAGAAGCACTGGTGTAGATCAGAAGTTTCCCATACTTTCGAGCATCAGAATACTTTTTCCTAAAGAAATATGAAATAGCACTCATTGTAGAAATGTAGACAAAGTGCAGGGCTCTGCTTGAAAGGGGTAGAGAGGGCACTGCTGAAAACTCTCTGCTTTTTATGATTCTTCGATTTTAAAGAAGCACAAGTGAACACTTTGGGAGGCCGAGGCGGGTGGATGACGAGGTCAGGAGATGGAGACCATCCTGGCTAACACGGTGAAACCCCGTCTCTACTAAAAATACAAAAAAATTAGCCAGGCGTGGTGGCGGGTGCCTGTAGTCCCAGCTACTTGGGAGGCTGAGGCAGGAGAATGGCGTGAACCCGGGAGGCGGAGCTTGCAGTGAGCCGAGATTGTGCCACTGCACTCCAGCCTGGGGAACAGAGCGAGACTCCGTCTCAAAAAAAAAAAAAAAAAAAAGAAGCACAAGTGAATATGCTCAGAACATATGCCAGACGGTGCTTTGCAGTTTCTCTAGGATATTTACCGTTAAACATTGAGATTTGAAAAGATCACGTTGAAAATATGCACAAAAAAGTTTAACATCGATCACACAATAAAAGACTGTAAAGTCAAAATATATTTTCTTTCACCCACAGAAGGGAATCCTCTGCTATAGTAACAATAAAGGAAGAAAAGAAGTCACATGTCTCTGGCATTTAAAAAATGTTATTAATTTATACACAAGATTCACTAGGCAATAAACCTCTTAAAAGGCTGACCTAAGTGAAGGTTTCACATCCCCAAATTTATTTTGCAAAATTTATGTTTATGAAATTATATGTCAGTTGTTTGAGGCTAAAAATACAATGATGAATATATATTTATATGTGTGAATGTATATATCTCCATGTATGTACCTGTATGTGCATAAACATGTCATATATTTAATGTAATTTATTTTACTACTAAATATATATGCCAACTTTCTAGTAATAATAACTTTAATTTAGATAAAAGAGATATAAACTTATCACATAAATTTAAAGTGATTTATATTTGCAGTTTATTCAAATATAAATTTATATGAAAATATAAAAGGAAATTATTACTAGGCAAACATATATATTCTTTCATTCACTATGATACAAAATACTGTAATATTTCTGGACTGCATGTTAAAAGTTTTAATCATTGACTTCTGTTACCAGAATAAGAGATTTTAATGTAGAAGTCCTTAAAATTTTTTGCTAATATTTAAAAATTTGCTCTAAATTAAAAGCTTAGCCAACATTCAAATAAATACAAATAATTCAGTTCAAAATTACTCCATTTTTAATAACTGAGAAGAACAAAAATTAAAATTAACACAGCAGGATTGACAGATGTACCTAACTGGAAGGCAGTAGATAAAAATTCAGAATGGAAAGTTTAATTTAACATTCTAACTGTAAAAATGCAGGGGAAATATGAACATTGGCACCCACATTAACTTTCTCTCTATCTATGGAGACCCAGAGCAAATAAGTACTAGGAGAAAGGATTTCACTTACCATATAGGTAAGCGATAAGAAAATGTTCAGAAATGCTAACACTTAAGAGAAATTGAATGATCCATCAGTTCAACTTATTACAATCACCTTATTCCAAGTTTGGGGAAAAAAAACAACTAAGAACCAAGTTACAATCTTTTAAGCTACTAATGTCAAGTAATAGATTTTTGAACCTATCTGCTTTTCAACCAGATGTTTAATCCTTGGGTAAGCAACATTTCAAAATAAACATGCAGATTAGAACTCACCCACTTGTCAAATGTAGCAGAAAAAAGCCTCTCTGCTAAGTTGGAGAAAGACTAATTGTCCCCTAGGGAGCTATGACAAGCTCTCCAGATTTCTCTTCTGTGTTTCAGATTTTAGATGTCTGGACACAACTGTTCTCTATTTCCCTGTGTTTATTTCATCAGTGCTTCCTCTGCATGGAGTGTTTTCTCTAAGGGTAACAACAAATATTCTTGACCAGTAATACCCACTGGCCTCTCCTGTGTTTGAAGGGCTGCAGAGAGGGCGAGGACACACACATCTTTAGGACCCAGAAGTTAACATCACAATCAAGCCCACAGTTTAGACTTTCGTAGCAGTAACATAAGGTGACAGTCTAAAATGGATAATAGTGAATCCTAGTCCCACTTTCAACAGGAAACTAGTCAATTTAGGTAAGTTCTACATTATAAAAGGGGCAACCTATAAATGCTATGACTGCTGACTTAGAAAACTCCAGAAACAGTCTCAGAGTCAACAAAATCATTGTAGGTAAAAGCGGTTCCCAGGAACCTAGTACAAGAAAATATGAAAGGAGGCAAATTAACTAACAGCCAACCTAAGAAATATGAAGGCACTTAAAACCCTTTAGTTACTCCCCATTGCCTTTCAGAATCAAAATAAAAATCTCTCAATGTGAACTATAGGGTCCTTCATGATCTAACTCTATAGCAACCTCTCATCCTCTACAGCAGGAGTCAGCACACTTTTTTTTCTGTAAAAGGCCAGACAGCAAATCTTTCAGGTTTTGTAGACCCTATGGTCTCTGTTGCAACTACTTAGCTCTGCTATTGTAGCATGAGAGTAGCCATATACAACATGAAAATAAAGTGGGTATGGCTATGTTCTAATAAAACTTTATGAACACTGAAATTTGAATCTCATATTTTTCACACATCATGGTATACAGTTCAATTTCTTATTTTTAAAAAATCATGTAAAAATGTAAAAAGGCAGGCCATACAAAAGCAGACAGCAGTCAGGACTTGGGCCACAGATCACAGTTTGCACTGCAACCCCCGACTCACTCAGTCATCATCTCCGATTCCACAGAATGAAAGACTTTGAGTACCCCATTCATGCCATGCTTATTTTGGGTATCAGGGGCCTGTTCTTGTTACCTCTCTTGCAATACTCTTTCCACATCAGTCTTTTTTTTTTTTTTTTTTTTTTTTTGAGACAGAGTCTCGCTCTCCCAGGCTGGAGTACAATGGTATAATCTTGGCTCACTGTAACCCCCATCTCCCGGATTCAAGAAATGCTCGTGCCTTAGCCTCATAAGTAGCTGGGATTACAGGTATGCACCATCATGCCTGGCCAATTTTTGTATTTTTAGTAGAGACAGGGTTTCACCATGTTGACCAGGCTGGTCTTGAACTCTTGACCTCAAGTGATCCACCTGCCTCAGCCTTCCAAAGTGCTGGGATTACAGGCATGAGCCATCATGTCCGGCCTACATCCTCTTTAACAAACTAATTTCAGTTCATCTTTCAGGAGTCATTAACTTCCCTGAGATGCCTTCCGGTCTCCCTCATGACTGGGCTTGAGGCCCCTTCAATATGCCAGATAACTAGGTTTTTAGTATCATAGGACCAGTGAGATTGTGTCTAGTCCTAGACCCAGTATGGGTTGAATCAGAATTGCTGTCCAGTAGATCTCCTGTGTCTAGACAGTAAGTTGGTGCTCAGTAAATATTGTTGAATGCATGACTAAAGGTGGGATCTGAAGAACATTACAGTGACAAGGGGACCCAGGTACATTGGTAAGAAAGTTAGACTAGCCTTTGGGGTGCTGGGGTGCTTTCTGCAAGGTCCCGTTTAGCTGCATGATCACAGCTGTTCAGATGCAGCAGTATGGCATAAGACCCTGACATCAAATTGTCTGATCCCTGGACCCACTACTCACTAGTTATGTGATTCTGGGCAGGTAGTATAAGTGTTCTATACCCCAATTTCCACATCTGTGGGATACAAGTGGCACTGTTTCATAAGAACTAAATGTGTTCATACTAGTGGAACATAGTGGTTGACACACAATAAGCTATCAACAAATCATAGCTATTATTAGTACTGATGTCAGCCAAAAAGGACTCTATTCTCATGGATTCTAAAAACTAAAAGTGGGAACCTATATTTTGTTTTTCATCAATACATTTATTGACTAACTCCACAAACAACTTGTCCAAGCAGAACCAATCCAATTAGGAAAAATGGAACAAAAAATAGAGAACAGATTTCTCCTCCATGCTAGTCTGCAGCTACATAAACACATTTACGATTCTCTAGATATGAATATGTAGTGTATGCTGTTAGATTTCTCATATGGCACTGAAATACTCGAAGTGGCTGACTGAGGGTACAGAGCTGATGATTCAGTAGAACAGCCTAAGCAAAGAGAGATAAGAAGGAATGCTGCCTTCCCTATATCACATCCTAAATTTCCTTTTCCCACCTCTATTCCCTCAATTCCCTGGGTGGTGTTAATAAACAAGAGCCGTGACAAACATGGGGTGCTTTGCATTGAATATGTCCTTAATATAGCCTTGCTGCCATTTGCTCATTTTATGGCATCCCAATCGCTACTCTTTTTTTGTTGTTGTTGTTGCCATTCTAAGGAGGGCAGGCAGGAAACAAGGCTGTCTTTAGGCCCCTTGATCCCAGCGGGGGTCAAGTCCCCATGGCTGATATTGGGGAAGAAGGGACTGGAGATGGCCATTTCTGTATGGTAACTAACTACTGAAGCCTGACTCTCTTGGCACCTCCATTATTTCTACGTGTCCCATCTGTCTCTCTCTCTTGAGCTGTAGTTATGGCTAAACAGAAGAGCATCAGCATCAGAAATGCTATGATAGCAAACCTTACTATTCCCTTAGGCCATAGGAATGAAAAATGCAAGTCATAGTGTTAAAATTTCAAAATAAATTTTATGATGAGCATAATACTACCTATAATACTTTGATGATTATTGCATAGATATGTTATATTCATAACCAGCTACACTGAAATTCTCACTAGCAAGATTAGTTAATTGCTATCATTGCAAATGGATACAAGTTGGGTGTTGATTACATTTGAATAATGTAATGTGTCCCTGTCTTCAGCAAAACCATTCTCCTTACTATGTAACAAGAAAACCAAATACCTCCTGAATTCCTGGCAGCATCTTGCCCTTCCTCACCTGTCACGAGGATAAAATATATATGCATTATATTATATATAAAAAATATGTGATATGTAAATATATTATATATACATATATACACACATAGGTATATAAATATATGTATTATATATACATATATACACACATATGTATATAAATACATATATATATACACACACGTGTGTGTGTGTGTGTGTGTGTGTGTGTGTGTGTGTGTGTGTGTATTTTTTTCTTTTTGGACTAAATTTTCATTGGAAAATATTTCCCGGCTTTTAGCATCAAAATTTTTTAGTTGATTTAAGAAGAAAAAAAATACAAAAAAGATCCCCCCAAAAAGGTCCAAGGTACTGTTGGGATGTCTAACATGGAGGGTCTTTTTGAAAGGTCTCTTAACATAAAATATTTTGATTAAAAAAAAGAACTTTGCAAAGTTGGATCCATATGGGAATACCCCACTTCCTTATTCCATTATTCTATAAATATGGATCTTTGCATAATTTTTATATAGAGACTTTTGGCCTTGAATTTAAGATAAATTTCACCATAATATTGTTTATAATAAGTAGCTAATATTAAGCCCTTACACTGTACTAAGAACCAACATATCCACTTATCTATCATCTATGTGTAAAATTTATTCCTTAAAACAAAAAACAATGAGGTACATGTTTTTATGATCCTCATCTTATTAATGAATCAGGAATGGAAAATTGAAGTAAATTCTCCAAGGTCACAGGGCAAGTAAATGGCAGAGCCTTGCTGTTGCTCATTTACGCTCATCAGTCTATATTTCCCTACTTTGATTTATAATTTTATTCATTATGATTTTAATTTGGAAAGTTTATGAAAACTAGCTTGTCAGTATGTCCTACAGGCATATGGGAAAGGTGGCTTTTTAGTTTTTTAGTTAGTACTACATTTTATAGTACAAAATTTATTCAAGTTACTGAGCCAAATCACAATCTAACAAATAAATGCCAAAAATGTATCAGTTCACCAAAAATCCTGGTCACCACTCAATTTCATCACATAGGAGGATCAAATAGAATTAGGTGCTTTCTACTCACTTTTGATAAACTTCAGCAAACGTGACAGGCTAGTAGAAGACTGCCCTTTACTGCTGTATTGCTGAGATAAATATTCTCAGAAAAGTCTTGTTAGCCAATCTGATCTTAATTTTCTGTTTCCAAAATGGGGATTATGTTTATCAGGGCCAAAGTGTGGAATAGGCTACATTTATCTCAAGATCACATAAACACCATGCACCCATATGCAACATGTACACACATACACACATTCCCTTTTGGTATCTTGCTCTCTGCTTCTTGTGTGTTACCTCATTCCTAAAGAACTATGTGCTGAGTGAACTAGCAAACAATTTTCACTAATATTTTGGGAAAGAATTACCCCCAAATATTATTCTCCTGAAGAGGGGCAAACTTAGTTTAACCATTGTAATAGGCACCCCTCTGGACTAAACAATTATATTGCACGTATAATCATTTTTAAATGTTCTCTTACCAAATGAAATATTATTTGTTGCAACTCACACACTGTGTCACTATTTCAAATTTGAAACACAAAATTCAAGTGGTCACATACAGTGAAAGTATTGAAACGATTCAAGTTCTGTTTTTTCTCCTTTAAAATCCCTGTACTATCATTTTTCCACTTCCAATTTACTGTCTAAATATAGGAATATATAGTACCATTAGTTGTGGAGACATGAACTGCATCCAAACAGAACTTGAACAATTCCAAAATATTAAGAACTTAAACGTACTCTTGAAATAAACACATAGTTTACAAATCAACAGTATAACTCAGAATTATCCAAACTAACTCCCATGTAAAAAAAGTAGTGCTTAAAATATAAAATATACTCATCCGAAGCTTACATATATGTTATCACAGCACAACAGCAAGCGCAGCCACCAAAAATAAATAAATAAATAAAGGTTTCTTGGACAGGAATATTTTATCACGAATACTGTTTAGAATTGCTATAACATAACAAAAATAAAAAGCAAGTTAATGTTGAATGGTTTTGTCATTGTTTTTAAAGTCATTGTTTTTAAATTTTCTAGAGTATACCTTCTTATTGGTTGTTCCTGGGGCAGACTGTTTCAACCACATCCTCTTGTATAATAAGTGGTATGCCACTTATTATGAAGAAAATCTATTTGGTGAGTTTCAACTGAAAAAAATATGTGAAAGTGATGTATAATTTGTAAATCTGTATAACAATGCAAAATACTAATTTTTTTTAACAACAGACTCTGGAAGAACGAAAGGGCTTATTTTAGGAACCAAAGGAATGATTCTACATTGACAAAGTTTCAAATGCTTTGGAGGAGAAAGAGATGTGTTTGAGAATGAGGCTATACCTGGCCTCACAGTTTGGCTTAATGCCACAAAAGTTACCATCCAGAAAGCCAGGCAAGGAGGTCTGCAATGCAATCAAACACTTAAATCACAAACCTGAAGACTGACTATTCTTTGCAACACATTTGAAAAGGCAACTCAAATATGTAATTTCTACTTACATGTGCTTGATATCCAGGAAACTATAAGGAGCTAAACTTGATGGCTTGTGTTGACAGACTGTCAGAACTGCAGGCAGAGTTTCCAGAAGAACATGTGGGTGTATAATACACAAGAAATGGAGATGCATCTCTGATTCTGTTTTTAATGCACGGAAGTTTAAAGTAGCAGTGACTGACTTCAGACGGCAGCTCTACAAAGTTTGTCAGGAGTGACATTGCATAACTATGGAGGAACTATTTTCACACTCTAATTAAACTTAACATTTTGGTGATTTTGGATTTTTAAAATTAGGATTCAGATGAAATTTGGTAAATTCTATTTAAATTGTTAAGACTCATATTGATATGCCCTCTGTTCTAAATATGACTATGAGTTTACTAACTGGCCATGTGACCCTGAGAAAACCAGTTATCTTTGGTCCCAGATTAGAAATCTGTAAAATGAGGGTATTGACTTGACCATTTCTGACCCTCCAACTTTATAATTTTTAGATCTGTGATCTTATTTACCAAATGGATTAGAAGAGATAGCAATTAAAGTCTCTTGAATGTCTGTCTTATGACAAAGGAATCTGAACTCTGTTGAAACCTGCTTTTCTTAGTTCAAAGACCCATACTGATTTGCCAAAATTAAGCTATAGAAGACAAGTCTTCCAACAACAAGTGATTCTCAAGGTACTCTAAAGATTAGAGATGATTCAAATAAGGCTGCAAATCTCCCACATTTGGAATCCCACTGGGTCTGATCTCATTTTCATTGCCAATTCCCTATCGCTAAAACCAAAGAAGCATCCTCCCTCTAGGCCCAGGGAGTACTGCGGAAGAAGGAGATGGGCATGTGAGATTGTAAGTGCTGGCTTTGAGGGATTAAAATTAGTTCAGACCCTCCAAATCAAGGATGGGCACACACATGCCTAAACAACTGAAAGATTGAGAAACTGCCTCTTGGGCCATTATGTGGCCCCTTTTCATCCATGCCAACCGTAAACATTTTCCTGCTTCTCATAGACTTAAAAGACAATTACCAAGAGGATATCAAGAAACCTGTTGACAGAGTCTTCTGGCTGTTGCAGTTCCCAGTTATGGGTTTTATACAAATAGAGATATAAATTTTTAAGCTACCTTAGGACAAATCAGTGGAGACTGCAAAAAGCATTGTGGCACAACAAAGGTCTCTGAATTCCTTGCCTTAAAAGGTTTTAACAGAATGCTTATGTTTTATACAGCAAATGGCTACAAGCCTTTAACTAATTCCAAGATTGCAGTAGCTCAATGCACAGAATTTACAAAGCGACTTTGTAACCTTGCTTTTTGGCTTCGGTTTTTGGCTTTTATATTGTTTGTTGATGAATGCCTACCCACTTCCATTCCCATCTGACCTAGAGTGTTTAATTGGCTGTAAGTCTTTTGGCTCTAAGTCCCTTGTCTATAGGGCTTCCACCAAGGGACAGGATAGACCTGGGGCAGGTAGCCACACCATCCTGGCAATGATATGGGAAAAAATAAAAGTTTAGCCATCAATGCTGCCTCTGGCAAATATTGGCCAAAAGAGAGAAAATGAGAAATCAAAATAAAATCCTAAGCCCCCAAACCAACTGAGCAGACCTCCTCTTGGTAGGGGACCCCATAGTAATCTTGAAAACTGAGTTCTCAGCCAAGACAAGATAGCAGGTCAGACATCCCTCGTTATACACACTGACCCTCTCTAACCTCCATTAACCTTTCTTCTCTAAGGGCTAAAACGAAACCAGCATGCTGCCCCTCCTTTTTTGCCTGATAAGAGACCATGGAGTGGACCTGGCCAGTCTATGGAGAACACACAGTAAGAATGTTCATGTCCTCTGCTTCATGTTTTGAAGACAGAGGGCTGAAAACTCCACTCTCAGTTCATCTTAAGGCTGCCATTTTTTGTACATGGGACCCATGGAGAGGCTTAAAGCTGAATTGCTCATGTGCATTTTCTCCTTTCATAAATACTCATGACTGCTCCTATAGTTTATTGAATATGTATATTCAGCCACCCTGCTCAACATAAATTCCTGTTCCTTTTGCCCATCCCTAGAAGTATTTGTGTCTGGCTTACCAGCCTGTCAGGATAGCCAGCCTGCAGGCTGTAACCCTTCATAAGAAATAAAATCTCCTCTTCTACTTTAAATGAAACTAAAAAATGTGATTCTAATGATTTAAATTTGGTTCTAGGATTATTTTAATCAGTAGTTGCATACACTAAAGTGTGTCCAAGATGACAACTCTGCCCTAACCCCAAGTGCTTGTAAGTGAATGCAAATAAATCCATGACCTTCCAAACATAATGGAATGGAGCTTAGCAGTTTTTTAAAATTCTAAATCTTCTTAGTACTTCTTCAAATGTAACATTAAAAAAAAAAAAGTAATGTGAAAGAGAAGATTTCTTTTCACATAATACCCCAAAAAAAAAAAAATGTAAGGCTTGGTTTCATACGGCCTTGAGACCTCACTAAATGATGCCGCTTTAGGCTGATATAAAGCAGGTAATTTTCCTGTAACAACAGATGCCTGTGTTTTTTTCTTGAGTTTGCCATGAATCACCGAAGAATTCACAACTGAGCAAAGGAGGATCTGTTCTTTTCTAGACTCCCAGACATTGTTAACTCAGAAGTTCTTAAAGACAAAAGAAGATTTAAGGAAGCCACTTGTTCTCTACTTTCTATTAAAATTACTTTTAGTTCTTTATGTGGGGACATGAAAGAATTTAGAACAGTAACTAACTGACACAGCAGAAAAACAGAGAGTCTTTCCAAAAAGTCCTCACTAACATCTAACACTCAAGCAGCCTATTACGATGTCAACAGAATCACTAGATATGATTTGAGGCTTATAATCTGTTATTTCCCTGACATCCTCTATTCAAATGTGAAATTATTTTCCAATGTTAAAAAAAAAACACAGAAATGAAACTTAAATACTAAGTTTTATAAAATATACAGAGTTAAGCTCAAATAGTTGACAAAGAAGTGCATAGCATTCCTTGCTCTGAATCAAAAATAAATTCTAAAACCTCTTGCATCTTGTTTATTATTTCTGGAGAATAAAAGAGCTGGAGATATTATTGCAATCACGATGATGCCCAAACAATGTCAGAAAATCAAATGGTTGAGTGTTTTCTTTCATAATACATTTTTTATTTACTGGATAGTCTAAACACTTTTTTCTTTCTGAACTTTACTCAGCATAAAAAGATGTTATGAATAGTTTTCCTAACTCACAGCCATTAAATGTCTCCCTTAACATTAAAGTTTTATGTGTAACATTTCTAAATTAGGCGACGCAATTTGACAGCACTATAAAAAAACATTAAGTTTGTGGTTGCTGTGAGGTTGTCTAAGTGAGAAGAAGATGCTCCTGTCCATGTCTTTGAATAATGTTACTGAAACATTATTAGTCTATTCATATAAGTATGTGCAAACACTATATGAATAATACAATATTTGTAAAAACACCATTGCTCTCAATTCTTCCTAAGTCATCTACATTGGTACCATAAGAAAATATTCATAACCGTGTACCTCAAGTAGGCTTTAGGGATGCTCTAAAATCCTAATTTTATTTATCCCCATGATTACTTCACAGCTTTTCCTCAATCCTGAATCCAATTCTGTCTTTGCCAACTTTATTCCCTGCTGCTGATTTCCTACATCATGTTTAATATTTCTGGAGAAGGTAGAATGGGTGAGAACATCCACATACCCTATTATCACCTCTGCCCACCACTTGCCCCTGACCTTTATACTCTGACTTTCCCCCATGGAACTTCCATCTTGATCAAGTGCCTGAGGTCCTCCTGACAGCTTTTACCTTCTCACACGATTCCTACCCACCCTAAGTTTTCAAGGACATTGTTCCAGTGATTTTCCCACTCTTTCTTAGAATCATCAAAAGATTTTCTCTCTTCTGAATTATTCCCATTAGTACAAAAACATACTGTATTCACTGATGCTTGTAACTCACTTTGAAATTTGAAAAAATAGATGAAAGAATGAACAGAAAAATGAATAGGTATGTCATGAAGCAAATGCAGCAAAATGTGTAGACTCTAGGTATTAGGGACATAAACATCAATTCTCAAATGCTTTCAAGTTTTCCATAGTTTTGAAAAATTTTCATAATAAAATGTTATAAAAAATCTTAATGAAATTTTTGCCAACTTAAAAGAATGCCTCATCCACTTCTAACACCATCCATTTCTAGTTTCCTATTATTGCCACAAAGCATTGACTTTAATTGTACTTCTTCCCACACATTTTAACTTTAATTGTTCTTCTTCAGTGTAAAAATTTATATCAGGGATGGCATGGAATGTCTTTCCAACTCTTTATGTCTAAATTTTCTGCATCTTTATAATTATGGCATGTCTAATAAGTAGCATATAGTATATAGCTTTATTTTTTTAATTTTTATTTTTTATTTATACTTAAAGTTCTGAGATACATGTGCAGAACTTGCAGATTTGTTACATAGGTATACACGTGTCATGGTGGTTTGCTGCACCCATCAACCCATCATCTACATTAGGTATTTCTGCTAATGCTATCCCTCCCCTAGCCCCCCCACCCCCCGACAGACCCAGTAGGTGATGTTCCCCTCCCTGTGTCCATGTGTTCTCATTGTTAAACTCCTACTTATGAGTGAGAACATGTGGTGTTTGGTTTTCTGTTCCTGTGATAGTTTGCTGAGAATGATGGTTTCCAGCTTCATCCATGTCCGTGCAAAGGACATGAACTCACCCTTTTTATGGCTGTATAGTATTCCATGGTATATATGTGTCACATTTTCTTTATCCAGTCTATCAATGATGGGCATTTGGGTTGGTTCCAAGTCTTTGCTATTATGAACAGTGCTGCAATAAACATATGTGTGCATGTGTCTTTATGGTAGCATGATTTATAATCCTTTGTAATTTACCAATCCCAGTAATGGGATTGCTGGGTCAAATGGTATGTCTGGTTCTAGATCCTTGAGGATATGCCACACTGTCTTCCACAATAGTTAAACTAATTTATACTTCTACCAACCGTGTAAAAGCATTCCTATTTCTCCACATCCTCTCCAGCATCTGTTGTTTCCTGACTTTTTAATGATCACCATTCTAACTGGCATGAGATGGTATCTCACTGTGGTTTTGATTTGCATTTCTCTAATGACCAGTGATGATGAGTTTTGTTTCATATGTTTGTTGGCTGCATAAATGTCTTCCTTTGAGAAGGATCTGTTCATATCCTTCACCCACTTTTTGATGTGGTTCTTTTTCTCTTGTACGTTTGTTTAAGTTCTTTGTAGATTCTGGATATTAGCCCTTTGTCAGATGGATAGATCGCAAAAATTTTCTCCCATTCTGTAGGTTGCCTGTTCACTCTGGTGATAGTTTCTTTTGCTGTGAAGAAGCTCCTTAGTTTAATTAGATCCCATTTGTCAATTTTGCCTTTTGTTGCCATTGCTTTTGGTGCTTTAGTCATGAAGTCTTTGCCCATGCCTATGTCCTAAATGGTATTGCCTAAGTTTTCTTCTAGGGTTTTTATGGTTTTAGGTCTTACATTTAAGTCTTTAATCCATCTTGAGTTAATTTTTGTATAAGGTGTAAGGAAGGGGTCCAGTTTCAGTTTTCTGCATATGGCTAGCCAGTTTTCCCAACACCATTTATTAAATAGGGAATCCATTTCTCATTGCTTGTTTTTTTCAGGTTTGTCAAAATCAGATAGTTGTGGATGTGTGGCTTATTTCTGAGGCCTCTGTTCTGTTCCATTGGTCTATATATCTGTTTGGGTACCAGTACCATGCTGTTTTGGTTACTGTAGCCTTGTAGTATAGTTTGAAGTCAGGTAGCATGATGCTTTCAGCTTTGTGCTTTTTGCTTAGGATTGTCCTGGCTATACAGACTCTTTTTTGGTTCCGTATGAATTTTAAAGTAGTTTTTTTTTTCTAATTGTTTTTCAATATAGTCTGAAAGTCTGTCTTTTAATTGGAGTATTTTGCCTCTTTGAGTCACTATTGTTATGCCATTACTAATATATATCTTACTATTCATTCTTTGCAGAAACTGCAGATGATAATCTCTATGGTATCCACTAAATGAGTACTGAAATAATGTATAACTCCCAAGGAAATGTAGGAGGTCACTGACTAAAAATAATTAAATGATTTGGAAAATAATAAGAAAAAGGAATATAGAACAAATTACTACTTTTATCACATTCTAGATAATGCAGATTTAGGCTAGTTTACTTCTACTTACTGTATGACCACACTTTTTTATGCTCTGTCATATATTTCAGTTCTTTCTATATTTCACCTTAAAGTAGTTATTATAGTTTTACAGAGTCAACAGTCATTTGGAGCTACCCTCATATTTCCTGTTTGTTCTGCATTCTGTATCTCTTCTGCATGAAGAACACTCTTAAGTGTTACCTTTCTTTTGTTGTGTGTGCTTCAAAATTGCATTTATTGTATTTTTTCTTATTACATATGATATCATGTTCATAATGGGTACATAAATTGGATGCACATAAATGCAAATAAAAACAAAATAACCATATTCTCACCACCTAATGCAACCTGTTAACCCCATGTATAAATACGTGAATGTTTTCAGTATATGAACACACAACCTACTGTATAAATTCAAGAAACAAGTGTGATGATGATATAAAATGCAGGTTCATCTCTTCTGCCCCCACTTCCTCTGCAGCCTGGGTGTAAATCCTCGCTCCACCACCTGTTCTCTGTGTGAACTTGGGCAAATCCTTTACTCTCTCTGGGCTTTCCTTTCTCATCTGCAAAATGGGGCGAATAATACATACCTAGCTGATCTACTATAAAGACACATGCACACGTATGCTTATTGCAGCACTACTTCCAATAGCAAAGACTTGGAACCAACCCAAAAGCCCATCAACGATAGACTGGATAAAGAAAATGTGGCACATATATACTACGGAATACTATGTGGCCATAAAAAAGAATGAGTTCATGTCCTTTGCAGGGACATGGATGAAGCTGGAAGTATTTCCTTTCGTATGGAAATACTGGTGACACATTCTAAGGTTTTCTTTATATGAAAGTGTCTTTATTTCAACTTTATTTTTGAGTAACATTTTGCTAGTATAAAAATAATAGAATATCAGTTATTTTCAGTGTTCCAATAATTCTTCCACTGAATTTGGTTTTCATGTTTCTAATGAAAAGTCAGACATCTCTATCACTTTAATCCCAGAATGCTAACATCTTTTTTTAAATCTCTAATTGCACTTAACTTTGTCTCTTTACCTGTGGTTTTAGATATTTTAATATGAAATAAGTACTAATACATGCAGTTTTCTTGCAGTGCCTAGAATTTCTTAAATCTGTGGCTTAATGGCTTTCATCAGATTTAGAAAATCCTTACCAGTTATCTATTGACTTTGTCCCTTTATTTCTCTTTTCTTCTATGGGTATTTTAGGTATGTATATGCAAGATATTTTTAACTATGCTTTATGTCTTATATTTTTTCTGGATTTTCATCATTTTGTCTGTTTTATTCTACAAATTAATGTTAATTCATCTTCCAGTTAACACATTCTTTCTTTAGCTTTGTCTAATCTACTGTTAAAACTATGATTCAAATCATTGAATTATTATAACTTTCAATTCTAGGATTTCCATTTTATTCTTTGCTACAGCTCTCTTCTTCTGCTATAATTCTCCATCTTGTCATTTAATTTCTATAGTATTACATTAATGCATAATTACATCGATCTATTATATTTAAATACCCCTGTAGATATAATTCTAATATCTACATCTTTTGTGGTTTGCTTTTTTGCTACCTTTTTCTTTGTTTTGGCCATTATATATTTTTGCATATCTCATTTTTTATTTAATGTCATACACTGTGTATTAACTGCAGAGCATACAGAAAGTTATGGATGATAATATTTTCTTCCAGAGAGAAATTTTCTTTGCTGTGAGAAGAATATTGTAGAAGGAACATGGCATCTTAATGCATTATGAGACTCAGCTGATTTGAAACTGGGCTTCAGTCCTTGTGATGTCTGATTTCCATGTTTCAGCCATTTCAGAATCCAAAATAAAAGCCCAGAGTCTTGTGACAGATTCTATTTTCCAACGATAATCTGCCTTTAACCATGTCTATTTCCCTTGATCCTGAGTGTATGCTCAGGATCTGTGACAACTCTGTCGATGGAGAATGACAGAAATCCAGACATGTGATTTTTGAGGTTAGATCACAAAAATGCCTTGTACTTCTGCTTTTTTAAAGTGATATTCTCAGCCTTAAAGCCCATGCTGTGAGGAATCCCAAATAAGACAATTTGGAGATACTAGATGAACAGGCCATATCTTGTATTTGGGATGATGTCTTCAGTTGTGTTTGGGAAGACGGATCCCAGCTGACAGCCAGCATCAAGTCTCACACATTTGAATGAATACCCCTCCAGATGATTCCAGTCTTCTTACCCCCAGCCATTGAATCTTTCTAGTTGAGGCCTCAAACACCACGGCACAGAGACAAGCCACCATGCTATGTGCTGTGACTTCCTTAAATTTATAAACCATAGAAAATAGTTTCAGAACACTACATTTGGGATAATTTGTATGCAGCAAGCGTGATGGGAATAGGTGCCTTCTGGACCTTGTTCTTCAATTTCTGTCCCTCCAGATCAGTGAAACTGCCCGAAGCTCTTCTCAGCTTCTCATTGCTCAGTCATTGCTTTAATTGGAAAATGTTCACATTTCTGAATTTATTCTCTTTCCAGAAGAGAATCTTGTTCACTTAGTACTTTTCTAGTGCTATAAAAATGTTTATTATATTTTAAGATTTGGTTATTCTTGGTTGAGATAATTCATCTGGAACAAATTAATTCTCTTTTTTTGGAGCAGATATATCTCATTCTCATTGAATTTTTAATTTAAATCACTACATACATATATACATATAGTGATTTACATATACACATATAGATATATATATTTTTAATTTCCAAAAGTTCTATTTGATTTGTTTTTAATTATGTTGTTTTTAATATCTCTTTATTTGTTGCCATTTTAAAGCCTTAATTCTCAAAACAGAGTACACAAAATTATTTTTTATATTTATGTCTCATAATTCCAATATATGTAGCTTTTATAGATGTAATTCTCCTGTGTTTTGCTGTTTGTTCTACTGGCACTCGTTTATGAGCTTTACTGATATTTTTTGGCTTAAGCCCACATTTCTTGAAATACACCTGTGGAAATTATTTAAGACCTTATAAGAAACTTCATATTTCTAGAAAATTTGTTTCTGCCAACTGTTTATTTCACTACCATCCTGGGACCACCTTAAATTAAATTCTCTATTTGGAGTTTGTTCACACAGGTAGCATGAATTTTGGCTGAAATTTTGTTTAGGGCCAACTCAAATTTTCAGAGGAAACTTTTTTTCCCTCCTCTCAAATCGAAGTTGACACAGACAAGATGCTCTCACTTTATAGTTTGTTGTCCTTTTGTATTCCCACTCTATACGGAGATTCTCCTGTTCAACTTCCCATCTGAAGCACAATCTAGACTTCATATCTTATCTATTCCGGGACATTCATCCTTCAAATAAAAACTGAATCAGGGCTTGCCAGAAACCCTAAGTGTGAAATCCATTTTTGGCGCCTGTATTTCAAGCCGAACATCTTCAGTTAATTTTCAGCATTTTGGGATATCTTATTTTTTCCAAAAGTCACAATACATTCAAAAGATGCTTTTATATTTCATCCAGTTTTTTAAGTTATTTTCATGAAAAGAGTTACCCAATTCAACAGGTATCCTTTTTCAAGATGACAGTCAGCAATACAGATTTATGTGATTTTCATTTGAAATATCCGGTGGAAAAAAAAATGCACTGCAAGGCAAACAAAACAATGTGTATTCAGTTCTGGTGGATTCCAGTGTGTGCCCTCTGGGTAATGCAAATAAAAATGAAAGCTAATCAAAATTATCTGAAGGTACAAAAAAAAAAAAGCAGATCCAAATGACCTTTTATGGATTTTTGCTGCTCCTCAGTACTATAATAGTATCTAAAATATTTTTGTTCTTAACTCAAATTTTCTTTTGTATATTTATAAGCATTGGAGGCTACTGTGCTCCTTAGAACTTGGAAAAGACAATACTATTTTGAGTATCACTTTTTCAGAATTAAGCTAAAATTTAATAAAGAAAACTGCCACCAAAATCTAAAGTGAGCCAGGGTCACCATATTCTCTCACCAAGGGGTCTTTACATTTTATTCAACCAACACTCTTGATTCCCTGCTCACCAAGCAACCTCCCCATTCCCACATAAGCCTGTCTATGAGCACAGAATGTGTCCATCATGCTGTCACAATTATTTCTAGTCTGAATTACAGTGATTTCTCCCAGGAAATTGATGAAGTGATGTCTGACTATGATTTGGCTTCCCATAAAGCTTGACTAAAGAGCGACATAAGACATAAGCTGATTATGCTAACAGAAGCATTTCCACTGGGTGCAACCATTCTATTCCTCACTTTAAATTAATGGAGTGGCATTTGGGGTGTTTCCCTAGTTCATTCATAAGTTCTAATTATCTCTCAGGCCTCTCTCACTCTAGACATTGAGCATATTAGTATTTTTTTCAAATTGGGACACCCACATCATCAGGAACACACTGTACAGTAGCAGGGTGTGTGAAATGCCTTAAAAATAATACAGGGTATCTTCCTGTATCCAATATTTAGATGTTACCATAATATACACTTCCAGATTAATGTCTTCCATCATTTGTTTGTTTAATGGCTACTGTACTTTCTTCCTTATTTATTACTTCTTCCTCTCATTCTGTTGATAAATATATTTATAAGGCTCTATTTTATGTCACTGTAGAATGATTTTTTGTTTGTTTCTCAGGGTATGCACATTATGTAGTTCAATCAATGAGTACGAAATAGAGTAGAAATTCAATTATCATTAACTAAATGAAGTATTTTGCAGCTAAGTAGTTTGTATGAAAACCACATTAAGGTGTATTGTAAGCATTTATATTAGCTTTATTCTAGAGGGTTGAGCAGGAAGTTTTCATATTTTGTGCCTTCCTCCTTCGGCCACAGGAATTAGTGTGGCAGCTATAACTCAGACTGGGTTTGTATAATAAATAGCATCCATCCTTCTCCTGAGTTGAACCCTTGAACAAATCCTTCTTGCCTTTAGAATAAAGTCCAATCTCCTTAGCTTTCAGTAAAGCATGATCTTCCTCTAGCTAACCTCTCAGAGCCTCATTTCTTGTCATGACTTTCCCTGCAATGGGTCTACCAGCCAAACTAATTTTTTTACGTTTCTTAATCACTCTATGCTCAGCCTTATGTCAGGGCCTTCAAATTTCATGCTTCTTTGTCCTCCAACAATTATTGGGTGATTGACTTCACTCTTCAGACTTCAGCCTAGATAGGAAAGCTCCTCTCATCTTGCCTTCCAAGCTTGGGTTAGGTGCCCCTCACATGTGCCCCTCAGTGGTCAGTACGCTGCACATACCTTTTCATTGTATTTCCAACACTGCATTACAAAACTGCCCATTTGCTTCTCAGTATCCTCTTTGGAACTGCAAGGTGGATAGAACAGTCTTTCTTACTCCCTATACCCTTCCCCTGATTAGTTCCTATTTACTCTTTTAGATATTGGGCAGCGAATGCTAATTGCTCTCCTTTATCCAGTCTTCCTTTCTTCTTTGTGGTACCCTCAGTTTCACCAATTACCCGGCTGCCCAATACAGAGTATATTTGCCAGCCTCCCTTGCAACTAAGTGTGGATATAGGATGTGAGCAGAAGACTTGTGTACAACTTTCAGGCTATCTCCGTAAGGACACTTGTCCTAGACTCCGTGTACATATTCTTGATGGCTGGCCTGGAAAGGCAGAGGAATGGAGCTAACCTTGGGGGTCGCATGTTGAGGTTGGTGTGACTACCCCACTAGGCCTATATGCTTCACTTCAGACTGCCGTGTAGGAGTAAAAGAAACTTCTATCTCTCATTTGAGTCAGTTAAGATAATCAGATCTCTGTGTTACAGTGCCCCATTCTAATTAACACAGAGGTCAGTTTGGATGTCACTTCTTCAAGGATACTTATATGTATCTATTACTGGACTATAAATTCCATAAAGCCAGGCACGATTCATATTTGTTCAATGATACATAAATTAGTAAGTGAATGAATGAATCCAGGAATCAGAAATTATATGCTAATCTAGTTTATGAATATAATTTCAAAAATTCCAAATGATATGCTGGCATAAGAAATTAAGTCATATTTTAAATAAATAAATAAATTAGCAATTTTAATTACAGAGTAAAGGAATATTTAATATCAGGAAATCTATTAATAATATTCCATAGGTCAAAGTATATGAAAAATATAAACACTCTAAGGTTGAAAACTTGGAGCAAAAGAAAGAAATTAATCCTCTCTTATGAAGTAGGTGCATTGTTTCCTCTGTCAGCATTGATGTAAGAATTTCCCAGCTCATGATGAACTGGGAAAGAGGGCGGAGCTCACAGAGGCCAGAAGGGATAGGAAAGAGGTCAGCTCGGTAGTGAGAAAGAAAGTTAAACATTTAAAGGAAATTTGGACAAATCTTCAATCTCTCCTACAGACATAAATAAAGAAAAGGAAATGTGTATAGTCATTTCATGGCAAATAAAGAAGCACATACTAATCAATGAACAATGGTCCAAACTCCCCTATGCCGTCTCCAAAACAATTATTCTACATGTTACAGGTGTTGCTATTACCATTTTTTTGGGTTTGGTTTTCAAATAACACAGTAAAGTATTGGAATCCTTCATGAAAATAACTGTCTTGATTTATATATTGAACATAACAGCCAATAACAAATGACTTCATAGGGTGTGCCAGAGTATTTGCTAAGCACTTTACATACATTATGTCTGAAAATAGTTTAAACACAATCCAGTAGATGCCTATCATCAGTTTTGATTCACGTTATTCATATTTAGCTAAATATGTTAAGAATAAACTACAGTTTTTCACACTATAGGTCATGATCTATTAGTGGGTTGCATAAGGAATTTAATGATTTGAGGTCAGATGTTATTTTAATAGCTATGTAGAATAAATTATACAAGAAAAGAACAGGGCAGAAGATAGAATAGAAAATATCATAAAGTATTGCATGGAATATGTATAAATGATATTTCATGAACTTTTATTTTGGTTACATATATTGAAGTGTAGACTGGTCCAAAAATTTTGGAAATGCATCATTCTAAGGTACCCCTACTCAGTTGCGCACAGCCACAGGTGCAATAAGTGTGCTCTTAATTGTTCATTATCCTGGCTCCATTTTTTCACTACATCCTGTCCAGCTTTGAGCCTCATCTGGATGGCTACACCCTGGGTTCAGACTGCCCCCTCTCCTTCAGTGGTATGGAGTAGGAAAGATTAGCAATAGGGCACAGTGCTACGAACAAGTCTCTCCTTCAGTGACAGCAGATCCTATGTCTCTGTGGCCACCTGCTGTTTTCCACCTATAAAAGTAGGTCTTCAAGTTGTGTGACAGGGAACACAAAGACTCCAAGTGCTTTTAAAATCTTGAGCCTGGTTCTCCCACCACTCCATAGACTTGGTTGCCTTTGCCTGTATGCATCTGTGTTGTCAATGCCTTTCCCCCAGCACCTGCAGCTCCTGCAACTTGTGGGAACTCTCTCACAATTGTGTGAAGTTCCACTTCAAAAAATTGACAATGACAGAGGTGAACAAAGGGAACTAACCTGGCAAAGTAGAGCCTCTGGTGAGTGCAGACACTTAACAATGTAAAAGAGTGCTTCTTTGTGGCTAATATGTGCTAATGATCTTCTAAGCATTATAAATATAGAAAACACATCACATACTCTTCCCTGAATGATGGCTGGAGAACAGTCATACTCAACAGAAACAACACTTCTAAACAAAAGAGGCCAGTAGGTGTTTTGGTGCTTACATCAAGCTGGTATCTCAAATTATTTTATCTTTGACTTCCAAAGACGGACTTCTTCAGGGAAATTGAGGCAGAAAAAAAGTACTGTGTATTGTTATTATTTCTGTATGTTTAAGTCCTAAAACTGTAATGAAAATAAACACATTCTAGGAGATGGAAAACCATGGAGCATTCTAGAAAGGCCCTAAGGAGATGAGTGGATCTAATCTCTGAAGCTGTTTCTCAAAGCAGGGCCCATTAACCTCTTGTACCAGTTACCTGGCATGTAGGGGTAGGGGATGGGCCCAGTATTAAGCAGGCAGAGAGGTAGACTCTGAAAGTCTAACTCCCACAGAGGGTTCTTAGTTTCAGGAACACAGATTTCCCACCAAAATAAGGAAGTACTAACACAATCACCAAATTGTAAAGAACCAATCAAGTCATTTCAAAAACCACCAACCTGCATGTATAGACTTTAGTCTAATACTCGTGTTTTAATAAATGCCATTTATACTATTCCTACAACTTCTTCTGAAAATAAAATATTTTGTATTTTTGTTTGTATTTTTGCAAGTAGGAAAAGTAATATTCCTCTTGCTAGTGAACCCACAACTTGGTTTTTTATTTAATATAAGGCTTAGGCACAAATCCACAGGCATTTATGACAATTTACAGAGAGGTAAATGAAAAATCAAAAATCACAAAGCACATATATGTATCTATTTTACTTACACTAAAAATAAAAAATACCAAAGCACAAACGTGATAAGCTCCATTTAAAATTTTTTAACTCAACTCTGAGTAAGTTCAGGAAGGTTCAAGGCTGAATTTGTATATAAATTTTCCCCCTTATATTTCATGACTCATTTATAATTCTAGATTGTTAGAACATTCTAAAATGTTTTATTTATGCTATGGGGTTTTATGAGCATATTTGAAACTGTGAAAGCTACAGAGCCTTTTGTTCAGGCTATATATCTTAAGTCTTGCCAAAAGAATGGAACCACATTACTTCAAACCAATATAGATTCAGATTTTTCTTTCTTCTTTTTTTTTTTTTTTTTTTTTTGAGATGGAGTTTCGCTCTGTCACCCAGGCTGGAGTGCAGTGGCGCGATCTCGGCTCACTGCAAGCTCGGCCTCCCTGGTTCCCGCCATTCTCCTGCCTCAGCCTCCCGAGTAGCTGGGATTACAGGCGCCCGCCACCACACCTGGCTAAGTTTTTTTTGTATTTTTAGTAGAGACGGGGTTTCACCTTGTTAGCCAGGATGGTCTCGATCTCCTGACCTCGTGATCCGCCTGCCTCGGCCTCCCAAAGTGCTGGGATTACAGGCGTGAGCCACCGCGCCTGGCCAGATTCAGATTTTTCAAGCAAATTCTTAGGTATAAATATTCAGCCTAAAAAGTTTTAAAGATTGTTTCATACAAGAAACAGAAAGTAGATATTAATCCAGAGAAATCCAGTCCTCCCTCAAACATTTCTGCTCATTTGAATTTATTAATCTGAATGGTAACTCCACTTCGTAGGAAGAAGAATAAAATTTAAAGTGTAATTTCTCACTAACAAAGATTTTCTAATAAACCTCAAAGATACTTTGTTTAATCCACTGAGGGAGATTTAAAGAATTTTCTCACAGTATTGCTAAAGCCCGTGCCTTTTCCCCTCTGAAGCGGTAAGTTTTTCCCAAATATATTCCATGTTACTTGTACATAATAAGTCTGCTCATTTGCATGCAAACCATATCTATATTAATGAAGTTAAGTAGAAAATGAAGGTACAGAACCATGCAATTATGTCTTAAGAGATGGTTTCATTTGAAATAACAAGAAATTTGGGCAAAGGATTTTGATGCATGTGTGAAGCTGACTTGTTCCATATTTCATTCTGCTAAGAATGCACTAATAACACTTGTGGACATTGATCAAATAGCCATGTTCTTTGTGCTTGTCTCATTCACCTCTTGTAAAACCCAATAGTGTGTATACTATTACTACCACCATTCCCATATTACAGGAAAGAGAAAAGAGAAAGATTACATCACTGGTGCAAAAGTCTAGGGCATGGAGGTAGATGGAAAACAGGTCAGTGTGAGGCCAAAAGCTGTCTACTCAACAGCTGTTCTGATGTGGTCTCACTGGAAGGCGGTCTAGTAACAGAAAAGAAGGTTATTCAAAAGTAGGAAAATCTTTCAAAAGAAATGCCTCCAAAGAGTGTCTATTGGATCAGGGGACAGGAGAAAAATAGTGCCCTCTAAAAAAATTAGTAGAAAAGTGTTAAAGGTGATGGATGATAGGAAAGTGAAACTTGCTTTTTGTGTGTGTATGTGAGACAGGATCTCACTCTGTCACCCAGGCTGGAGTGCAGTGGCTTGATCTTAACTCACTACAGCCTCAATCTCCGAGGCTCAACTAAGCCTTCCACCTCAGCCTCCTGAGTAGCTAGGACCACAGGTGTGCACCAGCCACCCAAGTAATTTTGCTTTTTCTTTTTTTAAACAAAACAAAACAAAAACTTCTATGGTTCCTTCAGTCTCCTGTTGCTGTCCTGAAGTTCCACGGTGGCTAAGGTCCCAGTTCCACACTGCAGCAGTCATTCAGGACAGAGGACGTTTGTGATACACAAGCAAAGCTTTGCTCTGATGAAAAAGCCAGTTTACCTCTTTTCAGAGTTTTACAATGATTCCCTGGCACTAGCAGGAGCAGCAGTAATACTTCACATTTAGGTTGACTTTTCACATTACTGAAAGCAGTTTTAGAGAAAGCATTTAGATCAAGAATGCCCTAAGAGTAAGATTCCCTGGAACTCTTTTGAATCAATAGTACCTCACTGATGAAATTCTGAAACAATGGCCTCCATGAGGCCTAGTAGTGTTTCTGGTACTACAAAAATTCAAGAGGCTCCAGTGAGAAGGTCCTGACTCCCAGCAGCTTAGGGTCTATCTCAGTGTGGTACATTCAAGGAAAAGCCTTCATTTTACATATACACTCAATGTTTTCTTGTCTATCACACATTTTTTTGACACCTCTGTGAACTCTTTTCAATGTGAGAAAAGAGATAAGAAATGCAGGTACATCAGTGGGACTGTCCCCTCCCCTCCTGAGAGGCCCCTAGCAGAACAGGAGCATCTACAGTAGAAAATGTCCTTTGTTGACTGGACTCAAACTAAAAATAACATTCAAGTAACCTACCTTTTCAGTTTGAAAGAATTAGCTGGATCTATATTATAAATATTCATGAAGGAGGGATATCCTAAGGGAAGATAAATCTCTAAATCCCGAGATTTTCTGTTTTGTTTATTTGCTGCCTCATTTAAAACAACACCAAAACCAAAAACATTCATGGTAAAAGTGGCCACCGAGAGGCAATAAGGGTCAGTCCAAAAATAAGAATAAAATAAAAATTTCCAAATCAGGAATATTTTACCATTGCTTTCTCTTCCTCTCTTGCTGCTCATCCCCCTTTCCCGATTTGTTGCAAAACATTTCCAGTTCCTGAGGTGATACCTGGAGGAATCCCCAAGTTGTAACATTTAGTGTAGAAACAGCCTAATCTGGTGCAAAAACTGCCTAGTGGGCCTAGGGATGAGATGCCATGGAGACTGTCTCTGTGTTCCAATAGGGGATCGGGGAGAAGACGCAGGAGGACTTCTCTTCACACTGTATCACAGAGACCTTACCCAGAATAAGAAGAGAGTTAAACACTCACTGGTCCCTCCTGTCTTCCTCCAAACAGAGGTTTTGCAAGCCTACAGTGACGTAGGAAGCAGAGGCTGCAGGACATTGAAAGAGTTAAAATACTAGGAACATCAGAAGACAGTAATGCGACAAACGTTCACCCTAACTCCCCTGGGCGGTGTCAGCTGCCATGGAACAGAAACAGAAGGCCAGGACCACAGAGATGGGAAAGGGGCTCCAGCATGGGGCGGTTTACAGCTGCATGCTGCGGGGCAGGATGGCTGCAATGGGAACAGGGCAGAGACTCCAGAGCAGGAAGTCTTTCATGACCGCCATGGTGAAAGGTGTGAGCCACCTGGGATCTGCCAGGGGATAAAAAAGGGCTCGGGGACATGGTGAGGCTAAGAGGCAGTGGAGTGGGGAACAAGGTGGGATGCCAACCCGCCCACCAATGAGGCTTTTATAATTAACACACCTCTAGTTATATCTCCCAGTTGGTTGTGGCCTAGGGAATATGTGCACATCTGAAAAACAAATTCCTTATATTCATCCGATACATTATTTTCTAGGTGTAAAACAAATAATTTAAAGAAAGTTAAACTATATTTTAGATACACCAGGAAAACCCACTGTTAAAACTAAATTACAGTGAATGCTCTAGGAGGCGAAACACAGTTTTATAATGTTAGTAATTCTCCCTAAATTATTTATTTTATATGTATGCATTTCCTTATCTTAATTTTCTGTAAAGTAGATCATACGGGTATACATTGTTATATAGAGATAAATACAACTGAGCTAAAAAAACCCCACAAATCTGAACAGTGGAGGGAGAGCCAGTGAAAGCAGTGGTGGCAGAAACATTCCATTATAGATGCAGAAAGTGTTGCAGAAGATGCTGTAGATTTTAAGGAGCTGTAAATTGCATTTACAGTGGAGAAGAGAAGCAAGTGAGTATTTTCAAGAATGCCCAAAGGCCTAAGAGAAATATAAACTTTTCTCTGAGCCTAATTTGGAGAATGCTATTCAACGAGACTCCAAGATCACTGAGGCCACAATTCTGTCTTGAAAGATGCAAAAGACCCAGGAGGTAGAGGTCAATGACCCCTTAATATAGGCCCAGTCAGACAGGGAGGGATCTGCAGCTGGGGCAAAATGAAAATGGGAGACTAGCTTCCTGGAACTCAGACAGGGACACAGCCTACCACTGGGGTCAAAGGAAGAAACTATGGGGATAGAGACTTTTTCTTTTTTTTTTTTTTTGTTTGTTTGAGACAGGGTGTGGCTCTGTCACCCAGGCTGGAGTGCAGTGGTGTGATCTTGGCTAACTGCAACCTCCACCTTCTAGGCTCAAGTGATCCTCCCACCTCAGCCTCCCGAGTATCTGGAACTACATCACCACACCCAACTAACTTTTGGATTTTTTTGTAGAGACAGGGTTTCACCATGTTGCCTAGGCTGTACTCGAACTCCTGAGCTCAAGTGATCTGCCTACCTTGGGCTCCCAAAGTGCTAGGATTACAGGAGTGAGCTACCGCGCCCAGCATGGGGATAGAGACCTTTTACCTTAAAATGTGATGATACTTGAAACTGGAGCATTAAAATTAGGAGTCGATCAGCTGGGAACTGTTGCCTCATAATCAGGCAATTTACGGGAAAGCACGAAGTAGTCGAATCTGGAAGTAACTATCTGCCTTCTGTATATAATTTGCTTTCTGTAGACAGTGTCCTTTCCAGACCTTAAAGAATCACCACCACCGTCATGACCATAGCAACAAATAAAAACAAATTGTTATTTACTGTGAACTTACTATGAACCAAGTACTAGGTCAAATTTTTGCTTTGTTTTGTTTAATTTCATCTATTCCTCAGTGAGTTGCAAAACATCTTAAATGTCTTTCCGGAGGACAGGATGCCCATGTTACACATGTCCACACAGTGTCTCCTGAATTCTTTTCCATCCAACACACCTTTTAAATTTATTTTTTACAAATTATTGTTATTCTTAACTCCTCTTCTTACTTTATTCTTTAACATTTCCTTTCAGTGGCTGGATAATCACATGGCAAAGATATTTGGAAAGAAGGCCTATAGGGGGTGGAAGGTTGAGCTAATTCATCTCCAAAGTTCCTTTAAACTCTAAGCTTGATGATTTTATTATGAGAGTTCAGTGAAATCTTACAATTCTGGTACTTTTCAGATTACAGCACAGATGCTTAAAATAAGTGATTTTCCCAAAGGCCATATGGATACTAAGTGGGCTGTCATGTAACCATGTTTAAAATATTAACGTGTGTGTGTGTTTCCTATTACGACTCCACATTTTACCTATTGTTTCTCCCCCATTTGATCCGCCTATGCCATTCTAGATTTGTCATTTAAGATTAGGACGGCTTTAGCAGAAAATAGAGGGAAGAAAGAGTCCAAAGAAGGGACTCAGTGGACAGGCAATAGGCTTGGCAGATTCCTTGAGGAGGAAAAACTAGTCTCTCCATCCCCAACCCTCCTCCTCACAGGACTCCGTAGCCTGAAGGAAGGCAGGGACTTTAAAGGGGAAACAGTGTGTCGCAGTCACAAGACTCTGAGAAAAGGGTCCCAGGAACTTGTCCCTGTCTCTCAGATAATCTTTGAGTATAATAATCATATCATTTATTGTCAAAAGAGACAGTATGAATAACTGTAACTTATTTGAAAACAAGTGCAAAAAAATCCAAAAGTTAGTTGGGTGTGGTGATGTAGTTCCAGGTACTCAGGAGGCTGAGGTGGGAGGATCACTTGAGCCTAGAAGGTGGAGGTTGCAGTTAGCCAAGTGCAAACTCAGACCTGGGCAGGTCTGATGGAGAGTCACCCTAAGCCTTTGAGGATGACAGGGGAATAGCACTTCCCACAAAAGGTGGAGGGAACCTGTATCTCTTTTCTAAGCAAAGCTCTAGGGAAAAAGAAAGACTCCTGAGAAGAAATTTATCTAGATAGCTGATGTATTTATAAAGCTTTTCACAATTTCTCACATCTCAGAATGAATCCTTTCCATTTCAGGGTGGCTGTGAGTTTATTTTCCTTTACAGTGTACACTTTCCTCAAATGTTTGTGGAGTCTTGATGGTGTGCTCCTATTTATAGTTGAAATCCCCTTTTGGACTGTCTGCTGTTTCTGCTTGTGCCATCCACTAGTCAGGCAGAGGCCATAGGGGGCATCTGGACAGAGTATTCAAGGACAGTGGTAGGGTGTTGCTGTTGACGGTCACTTCCAGAGCCGATCACCTAGGCATGGGAATGGGCAGACTGTATTCCTCCAGGCTATGGATATACATGTGCTCCATGAATCTCACCGTGGGTACCACCCTAGACCCCTGAAACCAAGCTCCTACACTTGCTGCTCTCAACTGGATACAGAAAACCACAGTAAGTGTCCGAGTCCAGGGAGGGGTGTGACAGCTGGTATGTGACCTGGCTGCTGCTCCCAGAAGTCAGCCCCTCATTGCCCTGGCTTAGGTCTAATGCTGTTGGCACTCACAGAAGGCCTTCTTCAATCCAGTCCTATCCTTTGAGGATTACTTACAGTTCTTGATCCACTAAAAGTTTCCAATATTTGAACTCAGCTATATAGATATTTATTTATTTAAAATATCTTCTCTATCATTCCCAGCCTTCCAGGAGAGGGAGGCTATAGCATGTGCTCAGTCAGCCATTGTAATATGAAAGCCCAAGGACCAACTCAGCACAGACCTGCATGCACCAAGAGCTGGGACCAGCTGGGTCAACAGGCATCTCTCAGGATGCCCTCACCTACGGATGACCCTGAGGGTGAGACAGCTGATCCAATACCTTGACACTCCACAAACTCCTGAGTACTTGGCTGTAACTCCAGTGGGACATAGGATGTACCTGACATTGATTAGGAACATGTTTTATCTTGCCCAAAGGAATAAGGGCTTAAAATAGAAGTTAAATTTAAGAAAGAAGAACTTACATTTTTTATATCCTTGTAAAGGTAACAGGGTCAGAAACATATTCGTGCATTAATTCTGGAAATTCTTATTCAGTAACTACTACATGCCGAGCACTGTTCTAGGCCCTAAAGATCACACAATGAAACAGACAGACATCCAAGTCTCCTGACTTCCATTCGGTGTTTTTATCCATGGATCCCCAAAAGCACCTCGTTTTACATAATGCAACTGAGTATTTTGATAAAGAAATACCAAATGCTTAAAAATAATTAGAAAATAAAATTTTATGTAGTTAAAACTGCGTTCTGTGCAAATGTTTCAGCAATCAGGTAAAGAGGTATGTTTGGTTTTCTGTAAGTTACAGAGCAGCCATATAATTCCCAAGCCCCCGAAAGTGTTTCTGAGTCATGTCCAGCATACATCTTTCTTAGAAGACTAAGTGCCTTATTTCAATTTACCTAAATGCCTTCTCTACCCTCTTTACCAGAATCCTAAGTCTATTAATATTTTAAGAAGAAATAGGCATTGTCCACCGCCATAAAATTAGGTAATATGGGTTTTGTACAATTTGAATCAATACCAATTATATACCTCCAATTCTCTCCATTATTACAATGGCTTCTATTCAAGCATTAGGCAACTAATTCTCCCATTGTTCTTCAGTTGAAAGTAAATTGTAAAGAAATCAATTCAGTTTGGATAATTAATGACATTTATGGTATTCCCACATTTTATATCATGGAATAGGTGATCATTATTTCAGCTGATCAAAAAGATATATAACTAAAAAGCATTCACTGATAATATCTCAGCCTCTGATTTTTTAAACATAACAACTACTGTTCCATACAAGATATTTAAAAATGAGAAAGCCAATGTCAACATGTCCTGTTAACAACTAGAAATTATTGAAAAGAGCATAAGCAAAATGCAATTGATAAATATATCCTGTGCTCATTTTAGATGAGAATAAACTCAACTGACAATAAAATATAGAAACCTTGGAAAATAACTCTCAGAACAAAGCACTTTTGGAAAATGGGATTGTTTCTTGAATTTCGGTTTTGGTTGCCAATAACAAAAAGTATCAAGTGAAAATAGCTTAGTGTACATAACAGGTATTTTTTGGTGGCATTAACTACCTTTAAGTTGTCTCTCCTTAGCCATTTCCCTTTTATATCTTTCATCTGTTCGCTTACATAGGCGGTCTACATACTAGAGAACTAGATATTTCTATTTACTAGAGATCTTATCACTAGATAACTTTTTTAAGTTCCCTATTTAACTAAGTTCCCTATTATCTAATAGGGTATTCTCATTTTTATGATGATTTAGTGATGGGGTCATGCCATTTAGAAATTTCTTATATATTTTTTCTATCCTGTGAATTATTTGAAAAGTGTTACATTCCTGGATTAGACAATAGAAAACAAAGTCAGTTAATGGAATACAAACAAACTGAAGTTACAGAGGTGGCTCCAATCAGCAAAGATGGAAGATGACAGGGGTCTGTAACACAGTCTGTTTATCCTTAAAATTAACTGTGACCTTCTCTCAAAAGAATAAAATTCTACCCTCAAGGCCCAGCTCAATATCTTCTTGCTTTAAGAAGCTTTCTCTAAAATAGGGCCACTGACATTCACAACCTCATGGAAGTCTAGGGCTCATATTTATTTGAACATACCATTTGACAGTGTGATTCAGGGACCACATGTCTCAGATCGTGCAGAGCAATTTTTTAAAACACAGATTGCCAAGTTTCACCCCAGACCTACTGAATCAGAAATTCAGTAAACAGTGACCTGGAACCTGCATTTAAATGAGCTCCCAGTGATTCTTCTACATATTAAAGTTTAAGAACCAGTGCCTCACAACTTCCAACACAGATCTATGCATGTTTGAAGTTCAATAAATAGTTTGAAGTTCAATAATTAGTGTCTGGGGTCACAGGAAAGAATATATTCAGAAGGAGAAAACATGAGCACAAAGATTGACTGTGGCTTATTAGGAAATAAAACACGGAGCAGAGACAGAGGGAGACTAAGGAAAGCAGACATTAAAGAAGGAAAGTCATTGCAATTACACACAAAAAGGATCATAGAAGTAATCAAACACTCAAAAGAAATGCTAGAACCACACATACACACACACTCTCTTTCTCTAATAGGAAAAAAATATTAAGATAAAACAAGAGTGTTTTTTGAAAAAGGCAAATGGTCATTCATTTATTTACAAAATCATAAAACTGCCAAAAAATGCTGAAAGAGGTAATTGAAGAAAATGTTTCCTTATTTTGTATTCACAGAGGAAGACAAAACAGTTCTTTCTAGCCAAGGTCAATTTTTTAAGGAACGAAATGATTAGATGTTCTTGCCTGCTGCCTTTTACATTTAGCATAGTAAATTTAACCTGATCTCCTACAAAGCTATAATTTATTATTGTACTTTAATCCCAATATATGGAAATTCAAGTTTATATTTTTAAAAAGATAAAGGTAACCGTTCACTTTAAAATGTATTTATAATATATCAGTGTTTTCACCCCCGCCCCCCAGAAAAACCTAAAAGTTTTTAAGGAATCCACTGAAAGAATAATGAGGTATAACTTTGCTCTATAAAGTCAACCAATCACGGCACACACAAAAATATGTTAATTGTACAAAATTTTGTAATAGAGCAAAACTAAATATTCAATCAATAAAAACCCAGTTTAAAAAATCTTAGAAACTAACACAATATAATAACATTCAAACTGAACATTCACACAGAAGAATATTTAATGTCATTGGTAAATATTGACAATATAAACTATTTTTTTTAACCTCAATCATGTTGAAAATGTTGCACAGAGGCCGTGCCCTGTGGCTCACACCTGTAATCCCAGCACTTTGGGAGGCCGAGGCAGGCAGATCACCTGAGGTCAGAAGTTCGAGATCAGCCTGGCCTACATGGAAACCTTGTCTCTACTAAAAATACAAAAATTAGCTGGGCATGGTGGCAGGCGCCTGTAATCTCAGCTACTCAGGAGGCTGAGGCAGGCAAATCACTTGAACCTGGGAGGCAGAGGTTGCAGTGAGCTGAGGATTGTGCCACTGCATTCCAGCCTGGGCAGTAAGAGCAAAACTCCGTCTCAAAAAAAAAAAAAAAAAGAAAAAAGAAAATGTTGCATCGGAAAATATTAGGAAAAAATCTATGTTTCAGGTAGTTATCCTATTTTTTATTTTCTAAGTTTTTTTGATTTTCAACTTTTAAAAAACATACATTAACTTAGGTGATTAAAAATATATGATTAAAATATTAAAAGGCCACAGGATAATTGCAATGTTGACTTGTTGACTTTTTTTAAAGTTCACTTTCCATTACGAAATTTTTCTTTTCTTTTTTCATGGCATTTCATGAAAGTGGCAATTTTCTTAGAACCGATTACAAAAAAAGGGAATAATTGGACATTTCTATTCATGTTCTATTCTATTTAACTTGATTAAATTTGCTTTAATGTTCGTGATTATTGTTAACGATCAGAGTGAGTAATTTATAAAATTCTAGTTTGGTTTGTTTCTAGAGAAATATATTTTTGGTTACCTTTTCATGATGCCAGGGCTAACAGATGTATTAAATAACGGCTGAAAATAACTACGAACTTCAAGAACCCAACGCAGGGGCCAGGGATTTTGTTAACCATCAAGTAATGTCATCTTGACTTCAAGGCTTTTGATGCCTATCAAGTTGAAAAACATATTTTTAAAAGAACTTTTTTTTATAGAAAATAGGCATTTTTGACCAAGATGAAGCACAGCCTAAAAATAAAAATAAAATAAAATAAGAAAATAGGTATTTGTTCAGGTTATAAAGTGTGTATGTAAAGAAAATTGAATTTGCTCATTTGAGCTGTAAATTAACTTTCCAGCCTTATGCTTATTTATGTTCCGCTATACATGTAGATATTGTTAATCTGCCTACAGAAAAGAAAACCTTTTACCTTTAGCTGATAGAATCACCTATGACACAGGTAATCCACATGCAATGTGAAGTTCCATCTCTTAGCGGCTAAACAGTAATCCAGAACAAGATCTCAAAAACTTGGTGACTCTCATATTGCCTTCAGATATCATTTATCCTAAATTTATACTACAAATCATGTGTCCCTTCTTCACCTAACAGCAGCAAAAATGCATTAAGCATTTACTATTTGCCGAGCAGTAAGAGGTTCCCAGGCATTATGTCATTTGTTTCTCATTGTTTCTTCTGGCACTTAAAAAGGAATCCATTGAGAAATCCATTCCTTTTCAAAAGATACATGTTCAAGCCTTAGTCTTGATTCCCTGCTTTCTTCTGAATTTTGCCTTATCTTTTTTTTCCTTCTCATATGAAAGTATCTAGGTCAAAACTATGTGCTTTATTGATAAGAGCTTCTTGCCATCTTTTTACACATTTTTCAAAACAGACAAGTGCATAGGCAGGCTTGAGAGGCAGAGGGTATTGGGGAAAAAGTACTCAGGAACTTGAAGGTGGTACTAGCATGAAAGCATCCATTCTATGCTCTAATGCGATCACTTATCTGAGCTATGCGGAGCTGGAGCTAGTCAAAATGCCCCACAGTGTGATCCAGCCTTGGCTTACTGTAGCATTTCTTTCTCCTTGTAACATTTTAACACATTAGATATAGTGTAAGAAGAGGTCATCAGCCAGGCAACAACATCCTTTCCCCAAGGATCCAGTGCACAGGCCTGCTTCTCTCGAAGTGCCAATCTCATTCACGTGCTCATGACAGCGCCGTGCATTCACTGTTCCTGTCTGTGCTGTAGGCAGTTAACAGTCGCATTCTTGCTTCTTAGAGGTGTGAGGAAGAAAGATTTCACCTTACACATATTCCAATTTTCAGCCTTTTATTTATTGCGATGATTTTTAAAATATCGGTCCATGACTTGTGAGAAAACTTCTTTACAGTCTTGATTTTGAGTGAAGAAAAGGAAACATGAACTACAAAGCAAGGCGGTAAACCAAAATGAAATATCTTGAAATCGAAATAAACCTCCAAAATGTAAGCAAACAGAACATGATAGAGTTAAACACGTGATCCAGAGCAAAAGCGTTAATCACAAAACTCAGCTTCAATGAACCAAACTCAAATTATCCAGAACCACTGTGATGATATATTGGTTTTTGCCAAAAACTAAGTATTAGGTTTTTAAAAAATTAAAATTATGGAGATATAGAAGAAAATCCACTAAAGAACTCACAAGTAGGAGAAATAAGGCACCCAAACTGGTAAACCACAATTATTATTATATTTATTTCTTCATTTATTTCAGCCTGTTAATAATGGCAGTGGCTGCTGCCATCATGCTGGCTGCAGCACGGAAGCGCCCTGGGTCTGCACACTCCATGGAGTCAGTCTTCTGAGTCCGGACGGGAGCTCCCCCTGCCGCTGCAGCCACCCAAATCGCAACTGCAGACCCAGGTCTTTTGTTCCACGGAGCAGTCAGGAGCCCTACCCAGGAGGGCGGGGCTACAGCTCCCTAAACTGTAGCTATGGATCGAGCCTCCCTGTGCTCTTGTAGGGAGTGAGGAATGGGCAGGATCTGCCCTTCCATGTGCAGCCGCAGCTGCTGGACACCCGGCTGCAGACCTGGGCTTCCCACTCCAGGAAGCAACTAGGAGCCGGGACAAGTGTGGGCCCTGCCTCTTCCAAGTTGGCAGGGCGTGAGCTCCCGGGTGCAGCTGTGGCTGCCCTCCCAGGCACAGGACTGGGGCATCTCTGCAGCCTGCACCCTCGGGGGCCCCAGGAAGTATCCCCCAACCCTGTTCCTGCAGGCTCAGAGTTGTCTGCTCCCACAGCCTGGCCTCTCTCCTCCCAGCGTCTGCTCTGATCTTGGAGTGGGGTTGGGGTCCCCAGTAAGGCCCCACCCACAGGCCACGGAATGGCTGGGGGCTGGGCTGCCAGTCCCACTGACAGGAGTGGAGACTTCTGGTGCCTCTTGCTGGCCGCCCATGGACCAATGGGCATGCACTTCCTCCCCTCTGCGGTCAATAAAAGCCCTGGGCTCAGCCAGAACAGGGCAGAGCATGGCCAGAGGACAAAGAGGACAGAGAGATGACAGGACCATCCTTGACCAGCTGCAGAGAGGAGCACCCTCTTCACTGAGAGCTGCAGAGACGACCTGCCAGCAGAGAGGAGCTACCTTCTCTGCTGAGAACTTCAGAGACCTGCAGAGACATCCAAATGACTTGCCTGCAGTCAGCAGCCACCCTCTCCAGGGCCTTCTCTCTGCTAAGAGCTGAACACTCGACTGGACAATCTGCCTATAGAGCGGAGCTGCCCACTCCTCTGAGCTCGTCTAACACTAAATAAACCTCTTCTTCACCCTTCAATTGTCTGCGCACCTCATTCTTCCTGTATGCAGGACAAGAACTCGGGCAAAGGTGTTTTGGCCACAGAGGTTTCCAGCCAGAAAAATCGACACCCCAGAGGTCTCGTAACTTTAAGAGACCTGACTAGCCCGCATGATCAAATTTTATTTTCTTTCAACAAGCTATATTAGAGTGGAAAGTAGCAGTGGGAAGAAACTTAAAACATTTGCATCTGGTGGTTTCAACTAGCAGATATTTGACTGATCCTATTACCAACATTTCTCCTGCTTTTCTTCATTTAAAAATCTTAAGAATTACTATCATACCGGTTTCATGGCCCTTAAAGATAGTCCCCAAGTGGGGCATATCTAAGAAAAGTTAAAATTATTAAATATTTCAAAATGTACTAATGCTTCCAACTGGAATCAGTATTTGTCAGTAGATCTTAAGGTTTACCCTGCAAGATCTCCACGTGAGATACCATCTACACACCTCACCCAGCCTGCTGGGATTAGCACACAGTGGTTGAAGGTGAGACTTGCAAAAACTACATCCACCTTTCTCCCAAACTGCATGTGATTATTTATTCCTTATGATTAGAATAAGGAATGTGTTCCTCTGTTTGATTGGAAACTTTTGGTTTAAATGATCACACAATATAGAGTATTTACAAATTGAGAACAGCATAGCAACCAAGCTGCTATGTCTTATGTTCTAAAAATAAACCCACAATTTACAGATTGTGGCTGCATCTGCATTCTGAAACAGCAGGTATTTTTTGCTCACTTAACTTGGTGACACTGTGTTATTTTTAACATCAAAAGTTTAAGTTTTTTTTACTAGAAAGTGAAATTGTGGAAAGAGTTATATAAATAGTGACTCACTGTGTCCAAGAGGTGCATTTCTTTATGAGAAAAGTAAGTAGAATACTATCTTGAGAAAAGAAAGGAATATTCAAGGAGGTGGTTCTTATTCCTTACAACCTGGATTTAAAGCCATGCTGAACATTAATGAGAAACTTAATACTATCATTCACTGATGTAGATGTATAAATGCAAAAGGTAGTAAGTGTTAAAAAAAACTAACAGAGTTTTAAAAGATGTGAGGGAAATGAATTAGCTCATACATTCATTTAAATATCTTAAATCACAAAAAATCCACCTGGCTAGAAATAAATGAGGAAAGAAATTCCATGATTTTCCAAAATGACAGAGAAGAGAAAGTTGTTCAAGTTTTTTTTTTTTTTTTTTTTTTTTTTTTGAGACGGAGTCTCGCTCTGTCGCCCAGGTCGGACTGCGGACTGCAGTGGCGCAATCTCGGCTCACTGCAAGCTCCACTTCCTGGGTTCACGCCATTCTCCTGCCTCAGCCTCCCGAGTAGCTGGGACTACAGGCGCCCGCCACCGCGCCCGGCTAATTTTTTGTATTTTTAGTAGAGACGGGGTTTCACCTTGTTAGCCAGGATGGTCTCGATCTCCTGACCTCATGATCCACCCGCCTCGGCCTCCCAAAGTGCTGGGATTACAGGCGTGAGCCACCGCGCCCGGCCTCAAGTTTTTACTAGTATGAATTTCAGTTGGTATAGGACTTCAGAATAATGTATGATTAATTAAAATACTACAAACCATGCATTAAAGTTTAATCACCCCTTTCTATAGTTTTCATAGATGTACTTAATTTGCTGTGCAAACCTGAATACATTAATAAATGTCTTCTGGAAATAACTCAATATCTAGTAACCACTCAGTATGCTAGGATTGATTATGCTTCTACATGAATAGCTAGTAATAAAAGAACCTGCTATTAGCATACAAAGATATAATTCATTTTCATGTTACAGAATAATATGACTTCAATGGTGAACTATAATTCTATTTTGAGGATTTACCTTTTGTATGCCTTCCCATCATAAAGTTTTTGGACTTAACCCATTCCTACCAGATTGTGTTAGGTATAAAAATACAGATTTTTCATTTACTTAAAAACAATTCAATAAACTCCCAATGAGTTTAAACTGGAGGACCATTTATTCAAAAGAACTCCAAATACATGCTAAAGAGCAAAAAAGAACCCTCCAGGTAAAAGCAACCTATTGGATATTCCTTTGAAATACAAGTCTATATATCTCTCTGAATATGAATACAAAGACACACCAGAAAACCAAACAACCAACCAAAAACAAAAGAAAACACTGATTGCTCTTGCTTTAATGATCTCCTGCAAGCACACAAAAAGTTAACCTTCATGACGGCCCAAGAGGGACTACTCTCAAACATGAAGGCTGCCACCAGTTACTACATTTTGCGCTGCTCTATTGTAAATCAGATATAGAAGAGATGGCTAGTTTATCTTTAAAAGAAATTTCAGATATTAAATTTTACCAAAGTTAGTTCTGGTCATCCAAGCGATGACTTTGAAGAACCCAGCTTTAGGGTTTGCATGGCAAAGAAGTGGAAGAGTGACCTTGTTGATCTTTAAGTATTTTTGCTTCTTCTTTCAGACTCCTTCTTGAGGTTCCTTCCTGATCTTAAAAAAAAGGAGACTTAGAAGCCAAGGTCTTGGCCCTTTCTTCCATCTCTGGAGGTTTCTGTAAGAGGACACCATGCTTGAGAGGTGGCCATTCTGTCTCCAGGAGAAGACAGGTGAACTGGAGATGTACTCTGCTCAGATGCTCAACCGACCTAAGCTAAAGTGAGCAAAACAAACCCCTCTTATGTAAGCCACTAAGTTTCTTATTCTATTATCAAGTATTTCTTACTCCTGAAGTTATCAACTTTCCAGCCAGATCTTAGCATATACATTCCTTAGCCACTTTGCAACCTAGCTCAGTCTCAATGCAAAAAGAATTTGAAGTAACGTCTGAAAATCTCCTGTGTCAGCACTTATCAAGCACCATCCGTATTTGTGTGGTTAAACATCTATGAGATTCTGAATAATGATGACAATTCCAGAAAGCACACACGAACTACAATGAACAGATGAACGTGGTATATGGATATCTAAAAGAACAGTAAAAATCTAATAATGAATAGAACAAAGACAAAAATGCACATGAAAATACTAAAAAGAGTCCCATGACATCAAAGTCAATCACAAATTCTGCTATTAATAAACTGATTATCTATTAATGCAAAGAAGTTCACAAAAGAAAATAAATTTGGCAACTTTAATATTAATCTACCAAAGTGGTCTGATAGGAGCCACACTAAGAAATCATTTTCTACAATTAAAACATTGATTTTCTATAATGTTTAATGATTTTACATTTTTGAAACTTTATTAAATTACAGAGCCTGTTTTTTTCTGGGAAAGAAGCCCATATGAAGAAAAAAGTTTGGAAACCATTTTTAAAAAATGCAAAAGTCACTAAAATATCCTGAAATTTTTAATAGTTAAAGGAAAATCATTTTTACTGTGCTTGAAAAAGTCTGCAAAAGAGATTTTTGTGTCATCTCTATAAAATTCCCCTCGGGGATAAAAACAAGCTTGAGAAGTTTCAGTCAACAGTGTAAACTGGGAGTTCGTGTTAAATAAGCCATTGAAAACTACAGTTTAGAATGAAATTACCATTTCAGCCATTACCACAGGGCTCCATAGTACATTTACAATAACAGCTACATTTGGTAATAACATCATATTCAAGTAGTTGATACTTCTTTACATTTTTAAATTTAACTAACATGTTCCAGGAGATTCTAAAAATAAAAAATAAAGTGTGTTTCCTACTCTTTCCTTTTTCTAAGCCCAGATAATAATATGGCAACATTATTCAAGATAATCAATACTCTTAAAATTATAAAGCACAAAATTACTAATAAAAAGACTGAACAGTTAAAATGACATTCTGCTAAGCCCATTAATGTTTAAAAATATTTTTAAAAGATAGTATAATTTTCTATTGCTCCAGAACTGTATCTTAGCTCTACTTAACTTGGTGTCTTGCCTTAGTGAAGACAGAGAGACTGGGAAACAAGAGACAGTCCCATTTCTCAGAGGAGGGCACTTTCATGTGTCAGCAAAGAAATCATTCTTCTAGTCATTCAACAGAAATTTACTAAATCACTATTATATGCCATTCCGAGGCAGAAATATTCAGAAAATTTATGGTCTTATGGGTAATAAATGTAACACATACAAGTATGCATGCATACTAAAACATGCACATACATGCACATTTCAAATCAGGAATCAAAACACTGTGAGATAACAGGGAAGGTGCACAAGGTCTGAGAGCAGAGCAGAGACCACGCCCAGTTGTGTGGGTGTCAAAAAATCAGAAGGCAGCATCTAACATAAGAACAAAAGGATGCATGGGTGCTGGCCAATACAAAGGAAATGAAATAGGAGAAAATTTTCATACACTTGTGAAATGAGAGACCCAGGGTTTTAGAGATTGAAAGAACTTCTTTCTGGATTGAGAGTGGAAATCAAGGTAGGAGTGACAAGAAAGGAAACAAAAAGAAAGACAAATGAGGAAAAATCTTAAAGAAGAATGTGGGCCGGGAACGGTGGCTCACGCCTGTAATCCTAGCACTTTGGGAGGCCGAGACGGGCGGATCACGAGGTCAGGAGATCGAGACCATCTTGGCTAACATGGTGAAACCCCGTTTCTACTAAAAATACAAAAAATTAGCCGGGCGTGTTGGCGGGCGCCTGTAGTCCCAGCTACTTGGGAGGCTGAGGCAGGAGAATGGCATGAACCTGGGAGGCGGAGTTTGCAGTGAGCCGAGATCGCGCCACTGCACTCCAACCGGGGAGACAGCGAGACTCCGTCTCAAAAAAAAAAAAAAAAAAAAAAAAAAGAAGAATGTGAATTCTCCAGAATTTACAAATTAGCAATATATGGTTTCAGAGATGAAACTACAATAACAATTTATTTTAGTATAAGTATGTTTCAAATATTGCATAGAATGTAATTATACAACACATTGGCTTATTATTTATCTGACATTCAAATTTACCTGCGGGTCTTGAATTTGTATTTGTTAAATCTGGAAACCATGGTCAAGAGGTAGTCAAGGGAAGATTTATTTAACTAATGAACTAAGTGGCACAAAAGTGATAATGAATATATATTGTCCCTGTATTCCAGTGCCAGTTGGAATAACAGAAAGTTCATAATGGTTGAGAAACTTTAATGATGATAATTTTGTCTAACATCATATTTAAGGTTCATAAATTCCTTTGAACAGTAATAATTAAAAATGAAGGTTTCATTCAACAAGAGGTCAAGCAAAACTAATTTTTAAAGAAAATATAGAGATTATTTATAGACAATGTGAAAAGACTCATTAATTTTGTCTATGTGGACACATGCATATGCAATATATAAGAAATGTATTTATACTATGCCTTTTATTATGAAGATAAAATATTACACATTTCAACATACAAAAACACATTTCATTGCTTAGTGAGGTCGCTGAGTATTAAAACATTCATACACACTTTTTAAAAGCTAATAAATATATTTATCTTTTAAAATGCACAATAAACAATTGTTGATTGTCAACATCTTCGTAAAACAAATACTGCAACATACAATTACATTTTACTACTAGCTAACTTTAGAAGAAAACGAGGCAGACTAAAAGAGAATACACAAGTTGCATTTTTTGAAAGAGAATGGTTTATTTAATCGTTCAACAAATATTTATCAAACACTTCCTGTGTCAAAGGTACTGGAGATAAATGTATGAATTAGACTAGCATCATTTCTATCTACATGAGACTTCCTGCTTATTGGAGGAGTCAGAGAAAATTCACACACACAAATACACATTAATACAATTACAAATAGTAACAAGTGTTCTGAAAGAAACACAGAGAACATATAAAAGGTGGGGCAGGAGGCATGTACTTTAAAAAAAAAGAGTGGTCAGAAAAGGTCTCTGTGAGGTCGGGAGAATGATACATGGTAGCCGAAAGATGTAAGGGAGCCAGTCACAGCAGTAGAAGGGCAGCATCCGCCCATGCAGAGAGAGCAGCATGCACAAAAATCCTGAGGCCAGAGAGAACTCAGTATGTCCAAGAAACTGAAAGAAGGGCTCTGAGCCTTGAGCATTGTGATTGAAGGGCCACCAGCATTAGGTGATTACAGCAAGGTACAAATCAGGACATGGTTAGGAGTGTTAATTTCATCCTCAAATGCAATGAAAATCATTTGCAGATTCTTAAGAGAATGACATGATCAAATTATGCATTGTTTTCAATGATCACTCTGGTTGCCGAATAGAGAATGTATAGGTAGTGAGTAAGAATGGGATTGGTGGATAATTTGGTGACTGTACTGATCATGATGAGAGAGGACTTGTGTTTGGAACCAGGACTTTAGCAGCAGAGTTGGAAAGTGGCAGATCTGAGCAAAGAAGAGCTAAGGAGAACTCTTGGGTGTGTGACTAGGGCTCTGTGAAAAACTGTGGGCTGAAGATACAAATTTGAGTGCTGTCAGCATATCGATGATAATAAAAGCCATAGGGATGGGTAGAATCACCTGGGGAGAAAATGCAGAAGAAAGAAAGGAGGAGTACCAACCAAGTCGGAGGCCTGAACAGCGTGAACATTTAAAGGCTAGGCCAGGAAACAGTAAAGCAAAGAGAAGGCAGAGCTAATGGGGGAGGAAATAAATCCCATGAGATGGTGACACCAAAGTCAAGATATCCATGTTACAAGAAAGACTTAGAGTTTTGTTTTCAGAATGAAAGAAAAATCACTGGTTAGTTTTTTTATTGCTTGTGCTGGCCTTCCCTCTTTAGTTATGTGAAAATAGGGCTTACCTTTCCTACTTTCAATCGGATGACAAGAAACATATAAGCCAGTGTGTTGACATGCCCCAATCCTTTATCTCAGATCTCTGACAAGCTTTAATTAGTTTGCTAGTTGAGAGCTTCCTGCGTAAATTCAATTCTGTCACTTCGTAGGCATTTTCCTGCTTGGTGTAATGGATTTTTTGGTCTCCAGTTCAGATAATATTTCTACATTGTCCAAAATAGTTAAAAGCAATTTTGTTAGCTAACCGCCCCCAATCTTTCCCTTGAAATTTTTGAATTAGCATGCATAAGATTTCACTAATTGTCCCATTTCAAGCACATAAAGATATCATTATTTTTCTCTGACATTACTTGCATTTTAAATGTAGTTTTAAATTCCATTTTTTTCCCATTGACAGTATTTGCTAAGTATTCACTGAAATGGAAAATACTTTTAAGGTTTGATTTTATCGCAAAACAGAATAAAAGGAAGAGTGCATATTCATATGCATTAACCATTTAATAGGAAAAAATGGGTTTTAGTTTAATATATTCATTTGAATGTCAAGGGATTTGTTTAGGAATTGTGTGCATGTCAGCAAACAGCAGATTTGGACAAAGATTAGGCGATACAAACAAGAAAAGGTACTAAATCCTTACTCTAAACATCTGTTCCATCTTCTGCTTGTTTCCTTTCCTTTGTCTGTTTAATGTTGGTAGCTCTTCCCTTCTCACCTATTTATTTCCTTACTCTCTTCCCTTTTACCCTTCACATTCTCCATGGTTAATGTACTCCCAACTTACCATTTCAGTATTTTCAGTCCACATTTTCCTTAGGAGCTTCAGATCTACTCAGTCTAACTCACCTTAGACCTTTAATTATGTGATCTATCTTTTTTTTAATCTGTAAGAAAATAAAACTATACTGACCTTACCAAGTTGACACAAGAAGTAATGGAAATGCCTAGGTCAGCACCAGGCATTTAGTACCTACTCAAGAAACATTAGCACCTTTCCCCTTTTTCTCTTCAAGGATTATCTGTGGTCAGTTGCATACTCATTGAGAGGAGCTCCTCCTAAGACCACAGCAGTAATGAGTGTGCAAAGCAAAGATTCTAATCAAAGTAGTTTTGAAAATCTAGTCCAGCATCTTAGATCACCCCTATGGGTGAGCCCCAACCTATAACTTGTAAGAGGAATAAGAGAAACCAGGATTGGTGAACTGGGCCTTAGTATCTTGTGGGGGAAACCCCAAGAATGTCTTTTTAAATTAAAAATAAGATTTAATCAATTGAGTAGTACATTAAACACAGTCATTTCATAGACTCCTCTTTTATCTTCTACTAAATGGCATTTCTCTTATTAGCATTCATAAAATAATCACTGTGTTTATACTAGAAATTATTTAAAGTAAATATTTTGATGGAAGAATAGGTAGTTTTATCAATGTTAATATAGTTAGCTTGTATTCTAAAACTATCACAAGTTTTGCTACTTAACTTTCATCTCCCTAGGCTAATAAGAAGGGAAAAAGGGCAGATGTCACATGTTAACTGTGAAAATATTTATGCTAAACAGAGTGCAATGATACCATGGTGCACTAAATAGCTGTGATTTGCAGTAGGTGGTTCTGAAGGTGAGGAAAGAAGTGACTTATCACATGGCACAGGGTGGTGTGTGTTCACCAAACACAAAAGACAGGGAGCTAGAGCAGTCACCACCAACATTTACATCATACACAGTGATTTAATTTCAGCAAAACAGTATCATCCATCAAGTTGATGTTGATTTTAATTGCTTTGTTTTTGTATTTTTTGTACTTATTTTATAAATTTCTTTATGGATAAACATACATGCATTACATAATTCCATGTTTATACTAGTTTAAGCCCACTTTGGAATTTGGGGCTTTTTTCCCTTTTTTCCTTATTTTAAAAGGGTTCTGTACATTACTCAAGTTTCAAAACATGGCCAACACAGCTGGCCATATAACAGAAAGAGTATCACTCCCATCTGGTGGCAGACATTAAAATATTGAGCATAATCCCAAAACAGAAATTAATCTAATTCCAGACTACACACTGGTTAATTAAACTCCTATTTCAGAAGTGGAAACACACTAACTACTGAACAAACTACCAGAGGACCTCAATTCAAAGAAGTGTTTCCAATATATTAACTACTTTGGGTATACATACCTACTGTAAAAACATAGCAACTTAAGAAATGTTTATATTAAAATACAAAACCATATTTATAAAACAATAAAAATATTTTATAGTCTTTCAATTAAATATTAATATATGTAATACAGGTAAATTTATAAATCACAACTTAGTTACTTATATTCAAATTCTGTTCACATATGTATGTGTATACTATATATGTGTATGTATTTAGTATACATACACATATGTATAGTATACATACACATACATATGTATATACACATACATATGTATATACATATGGATACACATACATATGTGTATATACATACATATGTATATACACATATATAGTATACATACATATATACAAATATATACTATATATACATAGTATTTGTATTTGTAAACATGCTATTTGCATACATACATACTACTTGTGTGTGTATATTGCACATGCTATTTGTATGTAATATGTATGTATATATACATATGTATTTATTTGACAAGGAAAGATGCAGAGATTTAGCAGTTTTCAATAAACTTATGATACTTAAGGTACTTCATTCACCCCCAAGTTTTATTATTATTCTTTTTAGAGATGGGATCTCATGCTGTTGCTCAGGCTGGAGTGCACTGGCACCATCATAGCTTACTATAACCTGGAACTCCTGGGCTGAAGCAATTCTCTTGTCTCAGCCTCCAGAGCAGCTGGCATGTGCCACCACACCTGGATAACTTTTATTTAAAAACTTTTAGTAGAGACTGGTCTCTCTGTTTTTCCCAGGTTGGTCTCGAACTCCTGGCCTCAAGTGATGCTCTTGCCTTGGCCTCCCAAAATGTTGGGATTACAGGCATGAGCCACTGCTCCTGGCCCCAAAACTTTCTTTAAAGACACATAATCTGAAATACTTTTCAAGGCAAGAAAAATATCATTCAAAAATGAAAATGGAACCTAGTATGAAAACAAAGGTAAATAAATAAAAATGGGAAAATATACTTGGAAATGGGTTAATCACACTATACATGAATTAGATCAAACATCAAACAGTCTTAATGGAGTTCACATCATTCACTTTTAGCACATCCTTTACCTTTCATGCAATTTCAATTCTTTGACAAAAATGCATGCACAACTTATGGTAACACTGTAGTGCCACCATAGAAACCACCCAAATGTATTCATTTATCAATATCATGAATAAACCATGAATTAAGGTGACTCTCAATAATGATATTCTCTGGATAGATGGAAAAATGACTATAATGATGCCTCACTTTATATTTTGATTATTTCAGTAAATTCTTGCATAAAATGCTATATTTTGTAAATTCTATAAGAAAGTGTATGGTGTAGCAAAAAAAAAAAAAAAAAGAGGCACTGGATCAACTCTCAGAAGTTACTTTGCTTCTAAGTGTTCATTTATTTCTGGAATCACTTTCAGCTCTAAATCTTCTAATTTTAAATCTGAACCTCCTGTTTCCCTGATTTTAATTGCACCAAAGTAATGAACTATTGTTGTGACTCACAGAAAATTTACTCCTGTTATAATAAATTAAATATAAAGAGGGAGAAAATTGATTACTTTTTAAAAATATAAAATTGAAATTTTAACTTTTAAAATGTTTTTAAAATATATAAAGTGCTAATTAGCTTGAGATAATTATTAAATTTTGGAGTAAAATTTAAAATGGTTCAACTATAAAATTCACCAGAGCCTAATTTCACAGGGCCCCACGAACATTGCTCAAAATAATACTGGAAATGATTAAAGAGAGCTCCTCTTCTTAGGAGGTTCCTTCCCTATTTGGCTACTTTAGAACAGCTCATTAAACATCAATGATATTCTTTTATCAGATGTTTAGTGTTATTTATTAAGTTTCAGGTTCATCTTCTATTAAAAAAAAAGAACAAAATTTCAGCAAATTCTATTCTGATGGCCAACTCATTTTGATGGCCAGTGCTTCATTAGCTTCCTGAAAAGGTAAAGGTTGAACTCTCAATAACTTCACAGGTTTCCGTTTTAATTATCTTTTGTTAATGCAATAAGCAAATCCATGTTTTTATAAATCTCCATTAAAATATTTTTTCTAAAAAGTATCCAAATGAATCCCTGTATTAGATATGACACCTATGTTTTATTAAGCGAAAGCCATTACCATTAAATGGTAAAGAAAATGGTACTGAAAGCAAGCCTGTATTACTGTAAGCATACCATTAGGCATTTCTAGTCCCTTTAAACCATCTCACTTGTCCTTTCAATACTGTTATGATGTAGAAATTATTATTATCTATATTTTACATTTAAGGAGCGGTTAAGTAAACTACTGAAGCTATCACCATGAATACAGGATTTACAATTGAGCCTCTCTGACTCTAAAGCCTATGCATCCACAATCTCTGCTCCAATGATATAATAAATTACAAAACTGCAAATGAAATTAAAACATCAATATGCACTTCATACAGAAAAAAATAATTGACCTTATAATTTTTCAATTATAAAGAAATATCTTTGTTTTGAATTCTTTCCCTTTGAATAGATACAAAATTATTTTTTGTATATTTATCTTATATCTAGCAACCTAACCTCATTTTCATATTACTTGTAATGATATAAAAATTATATCCCAAAGAGGGCTTTATTAGTCCTTTTCCAAAATTTACGTGGTACATTATTTTAAAAGATTGATCCTAGTCTTAGAATTTTTATTAGAAATAACTGCAAAATTCTATTAAATATCTTTTTAGTATCTAATGATATAATCTATTGATATACTAAAGTATTTTTATTTGTTTTCTAAATATAGGCCACCATTATATTCTTTAAAAATCCTATTTTTTTTCACACTTATGCTGATCTTTTCATATACTGCTGGGTGCTATTTACTAATAGCTTAGGTAGGTTTCTTTTTTGCATTTAAATTTTCAAATGACATAGAATCATCACTGTCTTTTTCTTTAAAAAGTTTTAGAATGTGACTTAAACTTTTAATGTTAAAATTATGATTCTCTAAAAAATGATTAATGTTCTCTATATTTTTCTATGGTTGGAATCATTTAAAGAACACTGGAATATCAGCGCTACAAGCGTCTGGTAATATTCAACTAAACATCCATCTGTTCTGGTGCTTTTTTGATAACTGATCTTTAAACAGCTCTAGTATTTAAATGGAATACTACAGTTTTCTACTTTCTCTTGAAAATATTTTAGTAATTTATTTTTTTCTAGGAACTGATTCCCTTCCTTTAGATGTTCATGCTTCATCACTGCAGAGCCACACCTAATATTCTACTATACTTCTTTTAACCTTTCTTGTTTCGGGATTTACTTCTGCTTTCTCATTTACAATTTTATATATTCTTTCTTTATATATTTTCCATAATTTGTGCCTCAAGGGGTTTATGTTGGCCATTTCAAAGAATCACCAAATTTTGAGTTTATTTAGCCATTTTTACATTTGCATTCTATTCTAGTGATTCCAGTTTTCCTTGTTATTAAATTCTGTTTTCCTAGTTTCTTTTGATTTTTTTTAATTCCTTAAGATTCATAGTTTATTTTTTATATCTTTTCTTTCTTCAAAGCTATCTAAAGCTAAAATTCTATACTGATGATAGCTTTTACTGGATGTGCCTATTTTGTTAGGAAGGGATCTTCTTTTTCATTAACTCATATATAGTTGTAATTTCCCTTTGGTTCTAAGAGTTATCTAAGAGTGTTTCTTAATTTCCTAATAATTTTTTTTTAGTTTTGTAATAAAGTTGCCTAATAAATTGTGTTAGTTTTCTAATAAGGCTTCTTAATACAGAATGTGACCTATTGAAACTCCTTCCTTTTTTGAATTTATAAAAAGTTCAGACACTTTCAAGGACTAAACTTCCTAAGATGAATATCTCTTCTCATTAGCAGTTTCATCATTTTAATAATGTACAATTTCTCCAAAAGGAATCTTGCCATTTCAACATTATACAATAAATGTATAGGCCTCATATATATCATTATTGATATAAGGTAAGGTTTTGTGGGATATTTTAAATATTAATCAACAGTAAATTCCTAATGTCATTTTTCTCATGACAGTGAAAGAATTCTACTCAGAACCCCATAACTTCTGTTTTTCATTTCATCCCTTATCCATCCTTATTAGAAACTGTGGGATAGCTATGAGCAAACTGTATCATTGCATATTGCTATGAATTTTGTTCAATTCATAAAGTTGTGTGTATGTGTTTGATACAACTGGGGCCTTGGTTTGGTTCCCTCTCACAGTTCCAGTTTGCTTTAAATGTTGAGTAAGAAGTTTATAGCTAATATTCCCTTATCTCTTCTTCCTTATTCATAAGTCTTTTAAGGGTCAACAGTCACATCAGTCCTATCATGAAGGTTTAATTCCAAGGGAAGAATTAGTTAGTATTGATAACACAGTCATGTATTGTAGGGAAGTAATATCATAAGGAAAATCCCATCTTAAAATTCACATATTTAATTTTTTTAAATCAGTATGGAATACTAGGAGGAAATATAAGGCATATAGATAGGGGACTGGAAGGATGTTAAGACTACTTACAGTGCCAAATCTCTGTATGAAATTCAAGAAAAGTTTTAAGCATTCTACTGTATTATGTGAACAAATATGAATTAGCCACTTCACTGTCCTTAATTTGAGAAAATATTTTAATGCATTGCTTTTGTCTGCAACAGAAGGACTTTAGATAACTGGACTAAAAGGTATATGAAAAAGACATTTTTTTTTTTTTTTTGAGATGGAGTCTCGCTCTGTCGCCCAGGTTAGAGTGCAGTGGCATGATCTTGGCTCACTGTAACCTCTGCCTCCTGTGTTCAAGTGATTCTCCTGCCTCAGCCTCCTGAGTAGCTGGGTTTACAGGCATGTACCACCATGCCTGTCTAAGTTTTGTATTTTTAGTAGAGATGGGGTTTTGCCATGTTCGCCAGGCTAATCTCGAACTCCTGACTTCAAGTGATCTTCTTGCCTTGGCCTCCCAAAGTGCTGGGATTACAGGCATGAGCCACCACGCCCAGCCAAAAAGAATTTTTAATTATAATCTTAGATGTGCTATGATTTAGATAAGCTAAATTCAAGGGTAAAATATAAGTACATAAATTTTAACACATAAGGCTCTATAAGTGTAATATTGTGCTAGCCCATGCCTAATTCACTTACATCCTTCTCATAAATTACACAGTATTGGTTTATGACTAGCATGAGCCTGAATATATAGCCATCAAACAGGAAAAACAGAAGCTACATTTACTCAATGTTTGTTTTATACCAGGTACTGTATTCTAATATTTTCTTTCATTTAATCTGTATGATAAGGATTAAATATACTTATAGGTACTCTTAAGTGTAAACTCCAAGGCTAGGAAAAGGTCACTCACTTTTTAACTGATCTGGCAGAAGTACCTTTTAGACCAGATTGTTCTGACTCCAACATATCTCCTAAGCCAGTCTTTCTCAAGCTATCTGTGATGAAAGGCTACATTTTTATTATTCCAATATCTCACAGACCAATATTTTATAAAACACAACATCATGAATAATTTTAAAAATTAAACATATACAATTATAAGTCCATATTTTATATTTAGGTTCAGCAGACAAAAAATTACTGTCAAATTCCTATAAAAATTTCAAGTGTTTATCCTCAATTTTGTTCTTACTGCAGACCATAAAAAATTCATGAATCAACCCTAGGCCACAGGGTACAATCTGAGTAGGTGGCCAACATACTTCCTATCAGTATTAGGTAAGCATATCAGTATTAGGTGCTTCTTGCAGAAATTTTTATAGAACTAACAAGAGTCATGACTGAATGAAAAATATGCATGAATCTCATAAAATGTTCTCCAATTACATACAAAGATGTCCACATTCTAATCCCTGGAATTTGCGAATGTGCTACCTTAAATGGCAGAAGGGAATTTGCAGATGTGCTTAGGTTAAGGATGTCAAGATGGAGAGATTATCCTGGAATATATGAGTGAGCCCATTGTAATCACAAGGATCTTCTTCATAAGAGAGAAGGAGTAGAGTTAAGATTCATCGAAGGAAATATAACAGTTTAAGCTGAAATCGGAGGGATCTGGAGCATTGTGCTACTGGCTCTAAAATGGAAGAAGGTGACACAAACAAGGGATGCAGGTGGACTGCAGACACTGAAACAGGCAAGGAACTAGATGCCTCCCTAGAGCCACACTGGTCTTAGAACTTTTCACCCCCAGGACTATACAATAAATGTGTTTTATATTAAGCTAATACATTTGTGAAAACTTGTTATAGCAGCAATTGGAAACTAACACAGATTTTGGTACTTGGAAGTGGGGCGCTGCTAGTAACAAATACCTAAAAATGTAGACAGTGGCTTTGGAATTGGTAATGAGAAAAGGCTGGAAGAATTTTGAGAAGCATAATACAAAAATTATAGATCTCCTTGAACAGACTGTTATTAAAAATAAAGATTTGGTTAAAGGCTCTGCTGGTGCAGACTCAGAAGGAAGTGAGGAGCATGGTAGAGAAAACCATTAACTTCTTGGGGAGTATCTAAGTTGCCATAAATAGACGTTGGTAGAAATGTGGACATTAAAGGAGATGCTGGTGAGGCCTCAGAAGGAAATGAGAAACATGTTATTGGAAACCGGAGAAAAGAGAATCTTTGTTTCATAGTGGCAGAAAGCTCAGCTGGACGGATTCCTACAATTACGTGGAAGTCAGAATTACAAGTGATGAACTTACATATTTAGCTGAGGAGATTTCTAAGCAAAGTGTTGAAAGAGTGGCCTGGTTTCTTCTTGCTGTTTATAGTGAAATGTGAGAGGAAAAAGATGAATAAAGGGAATAACTATTAAGCCAAAAGAAACCAGGACTTGATGATTGGGAAAATTCTCAACGTATGAAGACTTCAAAAGGCTAAAATTAGGAGACGTGCTTTCAAGAAAGCATACTTGAAGAGAAAGCCAATTTTATGTCTGGATAACATTTTCCTAGTGCCATATAAGGATTAAAAGGTCCAAGTGAAAGGAGGGCTCTTTGAAGTGATTAGGCATGTAATTCATGGATCCCCTCAGCCACTTCAACAGAGGCCAAAAATGGAGATGAAATTATCCAAGAAAGATCTGTAGAGGAGCCTGTTTTTCTAATGGAGTGAATCCTGGAGATGTGCATAGTAAAATCACAATGTTCTTGAGAATCCTACAACGGTGGTAACACCATCAGCTTGGACTGATACAGGCAGAAAAGGGATGAAATGCACGAAGGCTGAATGGACACTCAAAATTCTACAGGTAGGAGATGGATGACAAGAATACCTGGTTGAAAATATGTGCAACCCTTCATGAAAATGAAGAAATAATTCTGAACTAGGCCCAGAGAGCAGACTCAAGCCACAGAGGATTATTCACAGGCCTTGAAATCTAATGGAATTTTCCCATGTAGATTTCTACATTTCTTGAGACTGGCAACTCCTTTTTCCTTCCACTTTATCCCTTTTTATGTAGGAATGTCTGTAACTGTTATCCTATGCCTGTCCCTCCATTGCATTTTGGGAACATATAATTTGTTTTGTAGTTTCACAGCTACACAGATGGAGAGGAACTCTGCTCAAGGACAGATTATAAAGAGATCCTCAGCCATATCTAATTTAAATAATTTGGACAATGAGATTTGGGACTTTTAAGCTGATGAAATTTAGATGATATTTTGAACTTGAGTTGATGCTATGATTGGTTGAGACTTTTGGAGACCTGAGAATGTGGTGTAATGTGTTTTGCATAAAGGAAGGATCTGAATCTTTGGGGAGCCAGAGGGCAAACTATGGCAGACTGAATAATGGTCCTCAAAGCAACTCCATCCAAATCCCTGGAAACTGTAAATATGTTACCTTAAATGGCAATAGAAGCCTTTTTGGATGTGATTGGGTTAAGGATCTTGAGATGGGAGGATTTTTCTGGAGTATTTGGGTGGACCGAACATAATCACAAGGGTCCTTATTGGAAGGAAGTAGGAAAGACAATTTCAGAGATGGGATGCAAGGACAAAAGCAAAGGTCAGAGTGCAAGAGAAATTTGAAGATGCTACATTGCTGGATTTGAATATAGAGAAAGGGGTCAAAGAAGTGATGTGGTTTCTAGAAGATGGGAAAAGCAAGAAAATGGATTTTCTTCTAGAGCTTCCAGAAGGAATGCAAGCCAACCAATACCTTGACTAGGATATTTGACCTCTAGAATAATAAATTTGTGCTGCTTCAAGCCACTAAGTAGATAGGAATTTGTTATAGCAGCCACAGGACAATACAAATGCCTCTATTATAATTTGGTAAAAAAAAAAAAAAAATCACATCCCAGGAATCTCAGAGTTAAAATAGCAAAGAGCATGCTTAACAAGACACTAAAAAATAACTTATAACACTTAAAAATCCTGATGATATTTTTCTGTTGACCGTTATCTTGTGGAAATGTGACAACTGTGACAACACAAAAATGGAACATCTCATCACTCCAACAGGATGAATTCTGCTTTGTAAACTGAAAGAAAAGTAATTCAATAAATATACATTGCTGTTGTATAGTCAACACAGTTTTTCCTAATGGTGCATTAGCATCTGAAAGTGCAGGAGGAATAGTTTATTTAGACTTTGAACCCATTACCGTAAATGAGGGCCCCCTTCACCAAGGACCCCTCTTCAATTATCTCATCAACTTAATTTCAAAAATCATACAAATAGTTTTTAAAAGCCACTTCAAATGTTATAGGGCAATGAGATTGCCCATAGTTCAGGCAGTAATATATATTCAGTAATCGGAATCATGGCATGATTTATTCTCTTTTAAGGATGTCTAAGTTTTTCCAAGAGTCAGGATATAATCACAATAGAAACACATATATAACAAAGTGGTTTCAAAGCATCCCTTACCTGTGTAACAAGTGGCTCCAACAGCCTTTCCACTGTTAGCGTCCGGATTTCCAAACTTTTGGGGTCCCATTTCAGAATGATAGGTGAAGTTGCCGAAGTCATGCTCCCTATGGGAACACATGTAATCAGTTAGAAATAATCATCTTTGAAATAAATTGTAACTTTGGTGATTCAAAATGGGTAAATCACTGAAACTTAGAACATACTGGAAGATAGCCTCTCTGGTCCAACCTGGTCAAATTAGAGATGGAAAAACCAGACCAGTACACTGTGAGGTGGCAATGTTGGAATCAGATTAAAAACTGAGGCCTCCTCAGCATACTGGTGTACCTTAGGCCTGCTTTTGGGACCCAATAGCCACTGAAATATTTCATTTACTCAACAATGAGTATGCATACCTATCTGCTATATGCTGCGAAAGGTTTCAGTCTTGCTTTCAAGTAGCTTAATGTTTAAAGTTAGAGATAGCCAAATATGGGAACAATTAGGTCTCAGTGTGACACATGTTGTGATTAAGAAACACAGAGAGTTCTAGATCCCTGAGGAATCGCCACACTGACTTCCACAATGGTTGAACTAGTTTACAGTCCCACCAACAGTGTAAAAGTGTTCCTATTTCTCCACATCCTCTCCAGCACCTGTTGTTTCCTGACTTTTTAACATGGAATACTATGCAGCCATAAAAAATGATGAGTTCATGTCCTGTGTAGGGACATGGATGAAATTGGAAATCATCATTCTCAGTAAACTATTGCAAGAACAAAAAACCACACACCGCATATTCTCACTCATAGGTGGGAATTGAACAATGAGATCATATGGACACAGGAAGGGGAACATCACACTCTGGGGACTGTTGTGGGGTGGGGGGAGGGGGGAGGGATAGCATTGGGAGATACACCTAATGCTAGATGACGAGTTAGTGGGTGCAGCACACCAGCGTGGCACATGTATATGTATGTAACTAACCTGCACAATGTGCACATGTACCCTAAAACTTGAAGTATAATAAAAATAAATACATTTAAAAAAAAAAAAAGAAACACAGAGAGGACTATGGGAGAGGTGAGGAAGGGGCATCAATGTCAGTCTGGAGAGAACAACAAAGAATAGCAGGAAGCAAAGTAAATCCACCAATGATTACTAGATGTAGGAACCCCTTTATAACAAAAGGCTACTTTTTTCTTCACATCATAACTGACCCCTGAGAATATCATACTCCTTGGGACAAGAGTTTCAGTCTCTTAAATATGAAAGACATCTTCAAACTAAGTGCCAATGTTCTGAAAAATTATCTGCTACTATTTACATGCTCTCTGATTACTCACTACATTTACATTCTTGTCCCATAAAATCAGTGACTGATAAGGTTATTTATTTCACTCTAAAGCAATCCTCTCTTACCTAAGAACCACTGACATGCAGGTAGCAGTCTCCACACAACAAGCAAAAAATTACAGTTCTAGCCCCTCCCCCCCCCCCCCCGAAAAAGTATACATTCTATCAGGGGTTTGTTTCTTTCATCAAGAAATTGCTAAATACATTCTGACATCTAACCACTGGACAAGCAACCTTAGATTGTACAAACCGAATCTGAATGATTTGCCTTAATACCAACATAAATCAAAATGTCCATGGCTGTTCTTTTATTTTGAATCAATGTCCCCATTCAATTCCAACCTTATAAATCAATGTAGATGATTATTTCTACTAGAATTAACACGACAAAGAAGGCCTATCACAATAGGCACTAGTAGAAATGTGCCTCTTTACTGGCTCTCTTACAGCTAAAGCTTTTGCAAATAGACCCAACCAATTTGCTTCAGAAAAAAAGTAGAGGCAAAGACACAGTGTGCTGGTATTTTAACTCTCTCCAAATGCCATGTTTTAAATAAACTAAGCATAGCAATCCAACCATACAGACCGATTTAGATTTGGGTTTCTTCATCACAACAATAGTTGGCACCGACATGCTGCCTGTCCTCCAAAAACCTAAAAACACTTTACACATTTTCCATTCACACTACCAACTGCCATAGAGCAGCTCTGTCATATACAGAATTCTGCCGCTGGGCAACACACCTTCTCATGCCATAGAAGGATAAAGATGCCAGATGCTTCCTGCAGACACTGGGATACCTTCATCCCTACTGAAGCCAGACCTACCTAAGTGATCTTAGTCCAGTACTTATGATACAGCTGTTGCAAGTTTCTGGAGAAGTTCCCTGAGAACCTTTTTCAAACTCTAATGGAATCACAAGTGGCATAATAATGATGATGAACACGGAAGTTCTGTAGGAAAGCTGGATACTCAGTCATGGTCATTGTAACATGATAGTGACAGGTACTGGGTAAGACTGCATAGAGAATTTCCATTATAACATGGGCATGCTTGTAGACATACGCTGATAGATCAAGGAAGGCACATAAAATTATAGCTGTTCCATTATGTAACTTTTAAAACATGACACAAAAATGCTGGGGAAGTCACAACAGAGACATGAATCTAGCATGCATCAAGCAGAAGTGAAAGATACTCCTTAAACAAAGATCTCAAGCCAACTATGAGCCAAGAAGCAAGTGTTAGTTAGGGCCTTCAGTCCTGAAGGTCACAGAGCCCTTCTAACTCTAAAAATAAAAGAACAATAGTTCCCAGACAAATCACTCAAATTAATTTATTCCTTTGAGGATCAATCTTTTTAGTCATTTCTTGTGACAAAGGTAAAATTCAGTAGCAAAGAAAAGGTTACACGGTACTAATTTGTTGAAGTGGAAAAATAAGTCATAGAAATGTGAAATGCTGTTTTCCAGCCATGCTGTTTCTGATACAGTTGAGACTAAAACCAGGAATTCTGTCTCTACCCCATAATCTTTTCACCATTTAGTTTACTAACCACATTAGCAATGAACAAAAGGAGTGGTGGTGGGGACCGCAAAATCCCCACCTCTAAACCCATGATGTTGATATGTAAGATTCCCTTTGAGTTGCCTCTAAGGGGCATTTTAGCTTCATATCAGCCATTGAGCACAAGGTAGAAGAAGGTAAGAAGCTCCCCTGCCTGTGATACCTCAGCTGGTATCATCTTTACAGTTTGCTGTTTCTAGAAAAAGTATTCCCATCCTGCATGTCCTGCTACTTGTAAAACATTGGATTGCTTTCTGCTGTCTGTATTAGACCTTGTAGTAGGAACATTTTCCTTAAAAAATCCCTTGGCCAATTGGAATTGCATGAAAACAGAAAAAAAAGATTCTGTTCCAGGATAGTAATCATAACCATAGTCTTCTAGAATCACTCATTAATGATCTTTGCCTCCAGAGTTCTAGTATGAACAAATTAGGGCAGAGAAGGCAAAATGAGTCAAACATCCTCTAGAGCAAAAAGGGAGGCAATGGTAGTCAGAAAATATGAATTGATGATTTGGTATGTGGCCCCTCTGACAAGCACACACAATAAGGTGACTCCTAACTGAGAATGTCATCCCGCCTGTACATTCAATATTTATGAATTAGGAAGGACAGAGAAAATGCACAGGCATTTGAGGTAGATTGGAGGATTTTTCAGTAAATAGTCATTTCCTTCCCATCCTCACCTCCATGAGAAGAGAATATTTTCCTATTCCATTGCTATTGAGCTTTGGCTAGAGGAATGTTAAGAAATATGACGTGAGTAGACATTTGGAATGTGCTTACTTAATTGGGCTTCTCCTCTGTGCTACTGCCTTCTGCCATAAGAGTCACATATAACCTACTGGTCCAAAACGAAAGAAGGACACATGGAGCACACCTGAATCCGAGCTGGAGCTGGAGCCAAGCACAGCTAAGTTAAGCCTAGTCAGCCAACTCCCAACCAAACCATCAACACATGATCAAGAAGTAAATGCCTGCTGTTGTATGTTGCATGCCACTGAGATTTTGCCATTAACTATTAATCAGCAATAGCTAACACAATGGTATCAAATAGACTTTTGTTTAAATTGAAGCCCTGCCATTCAAGTATTTATCATATACTCTGGGCCAGGCATTGTTCTAGGTAGCAGGGCTACATCAGTGGACAAAACCAGCAAAAATATCTGCTGTCTCGGCAGAGATCACACTCTGGAGGGAAAGACTGAAAATAAACAAATAAGGAACGTATACTGAAAAAAAAAACTTGAAGCCTTGCAATTTATTAGCTCTGTGATACTGTTCAATTGCCTGCCCTTTCTGAGTCCCAGTTTCCTCAAATGAAAAATCAGGATAATAAGGATTTTATAGGCTTATTGTGAGGATTAAATAACTTAATGGATAGAAAGCATGCTAACATTCCTGGAAATATTTGTTATTATTGTTATGTTGTCATTATTTTCCCAAATTTAAATTTCCTTTTTTGGCAATTCTTTATCTCTGAAGTAACAGGTAAACACTCATTAAAATAGAGATCCAGATTTACACTCCTCTATGTGGAACAACCAAATTGACACAAACGAGAAAACAAGAGAACAGATCAAGTGTGCAGTCTCACGAGCCCTTCATCTTTCTGAGGATAAAATGATATATAGTCTCAATCCCATCTGTGCAATTAATACCGTCTGTTTGCCCACAAAAGAAAATTTACATAAAGCAAATAAATTTCTTCTCACTGATTTGAATTCAAAGTAAAAATTTATATTTTACTTACCTTTGGTAGAGAGACTTAGAATACAGACTGGATACAGTCAAAGAGTGAAAAACAAGATTGTAAATAACAAAAGACAACAAGTTTGTCTTCTTCCATACAGCACAATGTTACAAGCCTATGAGAAAGCTCCTAGAATTTGAATTTCTGAGGAGAGTTTCTTCGTGAAAAGTTTTAGCTGGGCACAGTGGCTCATGCCTGTAATCTCAGCACTTTGGGAGGCCACAGTGAGTGGACTGCTTGAGCCCAGAAGTTTGAGACCAGCCTGGACAACATAGTGAGACCAATATCTACAAAAAATACAAAAATTAGGTGAGCATGGTGGCACAATATTGTAGTCCCAGCTACTGAGGAGGCTGAGGTGGGAGGATCACTTGAGCCCAGGGATGTCGAGGCTTCAGTGAGTCATGATTGTGCCACTGCACTCCAGCCTGAGCAACAGAATGAGATCCTTTCTCAAAAAAAAAAAAAAAAAAAAAAGACAGAAAGAAAAGTTTTAAATTGTGTTTCCATGTAAGGTAATAATACAGCCCACCTGGTAATACTTCAGATAATTTCATATTCTTTCTGTGGTGGTAAGAAAGAGGCACAGGCCAGGATGCTATCAGCTATTTGTCACTCATGATAGAAAATACAAAACCTGACAGAAAAGAAAAGTCAGAGTAAAATGGGCTCCTCTGTGAAGCAGCCAAGGGTTAAGGGGCTTGTTTCCTTGGACAGCGTCCTGATAAGGAGAAACTGACTCGAGTTCCCATACCCCAAGGAATGCCTTCAAATGCCAGATATGTTAATACAATGCATCGTTCACTGCAGAAATTCTCCTTTTCAAACCTTCCTGGAAAATGTCTTTGGAATTCTCTGCCTCACCTTTCTAAATTATCTCCATTCTTTCTACTGTTCTATAGCAGCACAATAGCCCAGGATGCTTTCCAGTTGCCAAGGGGACCACCCAAACCTGTTTTCTCTCCATGGAACTCCAGCTTCAGATTCTCCTCATGAATTTTTTTCTTCACCAATACTGGGCACTACTGCCATCAAACTCCACGAAGCTTTATTATATGATAGGCTAGCTTTAGTTGATACAAATTCAGAAGAAGCTAATGACTGATAATGCCTGTCATTATCATAGAGCTGTGGAGATAATTCACCTACCTCTGCACGTATGATGTTGAGTCAGTTATATTACCTAAGCTTCGGTTTCATTGTTTGTAAAACAAGGATGGTGATAACATTATATTATTAAAAGATTTGTTCTGAAAATCGGTAGAATAATTGCACATGCAAAAGTGATGGTTTTTCTTCTTTGCAATGTTGTCTACATGAGTATCATCCTAAACTTCAAGACACCAATTGGGGTAGGGATGCCACTGGAAATCTCACAAGACAAGATGCCTCAAAAACAGATCTATTGAGAAAGGGAGAGAGATGAGATAAGGTGAATTTTCTAAATTTCTTCAGCATTTCAAGAATCAAGTCTGAAAACCCTGAATTGCTTTTTTCTCTGCCTTTTTTGCATTTATTTTCTTTAAATTTCTCCCCTATTTAGGGTAGTTGGCAGGTATTATTAGTACTGAGTCTCCTGTACATTAAATTGCTTTTTCCATGAATAAAATAATACTGGCTTAATGACCTTTTACTATTACCTCCCGTTTATAAATGAGGGAACTGCAGTATAAAACAGTAGAGAAAGTTGCTCATGGTCATCAAAGTTGAACCTCAGCTGGGTGCGATTGCTCTCGTCTATAATCCCAGTACTTTGGGAGGCTGAGATGGGAAGATTGCTTGAGTCCAGAAGTTTGAGACTAGTCTGGGCAAAAATGATGAAACCCCATCTCTACAACAAAAAATACAAAAATTAGCCAGGCATGGTGGCACGCACCTGTAGTCCTACCTACTCCGGAGGCTGAGGTGGGAAGATGGCCTGAGCCCAGGAGGCAGAGGCTGCAGTGAGCCGAGATCATGCCATTGCACTCCAGTCTGGATGTTAGAGTAAAACCTCATCTCAAAAAAAAAACAAAAAACAAAAAACAAAACTTGAACCTAAATTGTCTTGACTTCAAAGTTTATGCTCAAAACCACTCTGGCGTACGGCTTTTAGAGAAGAATCCCAAGGCTTAGTTACACCCTGGAGCTTCTGAATCATGGGAGGCAATAGAGGTAAGGACACAAATGAAAAAAAGAGGAGCCAGCCATTTCTGGAGAATGAGAGAGGAACAGGCAAGAGAGAGATATAAAGGAATGTTAGACTAGATGAGGGAGACACCAACAGCAGGTGTTCTAATGCATGCGTGGGGCTCATGTGCAATGTGGCTGCTTTCCTGGTGAGACAGAGCAGGTCTTGAGGTCAGTTTCCCCAAGTTGCCATTGGTCTTATATGGTGAGAGTAGGATGCTGGCTGTAAAGCTGGGCCAGCTAGTGAGCAACACAGGGGCCTGGCAAAGTCAAGAGAAGGAACCTGTGAGATGTAATGCAAAGTAGACAAAATTTTGGCCCAGTGACCTCAGCCCCCTTGTGTTATGCTTGTAAATATCTTACATTACATGATCAAGGGGATTTTACAGATGTGATTAAGGTTACCAATCGGTGGCCTTTAAAAAAGGGAAATTATCCCGAATTATCTGGGTAGAACCAATGTAATCACATGACCCCTTAAAAAGCAGATCTTTTGGCCAGGCACGGTGGCTTACGCCTGTAATCCCAGCACTTTGGGAGACCGAGCTGGGAGGATCACAAGGTCAGGAGTTCGAGACCAGCCTGGCCAACATGTTGAAACCCCATCTCTACTAAAGATACAAAAAAATTAGCTAGGTGTGGTGGTGGCCACCTGTGATCCCAGCTACTCGGGAGGCTGAGGCAGGAGAATTGTTTGAACCCGGTAGGCAGAGGTTGCAGTGAGCCGAGATTATGCCACTGCGCTCCAGCCTGGGTGACAGGGAGAGACTCCATCTCAAAACAAAACAAAACAAAACAAAAATCAGATCTTTCTCCTGGCTATCGGTGGAAGAGAACATGATAGAGATACAGCAGAAGAGGATGTAAGACGGGTAGGGCTAAGGGAAAAGGCAGAGGGATTTGAATTGAGAAAAACTTAACCTAGTTGCTAGAGGGGCCACATAAAAAGCATGGAAAAGAATGTGGGTGGCCTCTGGGAGCTGAATGAGTTCTAGCTGAAAGTCAGCAAAGAAATGGAGGTCTCAGTTCCACAACCACCTGGAACTGAATTCAGTCACCAGCCTAAATGAGGTGAGAAGTGGATTCTTCCCCAGAGCCTCCAGTAAGACACAGCCCTATCAATACCTTGATTTCAGCCTTGAGAGAGCCAAAGAAGGAGACCCAGCCATGTCTGCCTGAACTTCTGACCTTCAAAAACTAAGTGGTAATACAATGGTAAGTTACCACATACTAAGTTTGTGGTAACTTTTTTACTGCAGCAATAGAAAACAAATACAAATAGTTCTCAGATTTGTGTGTCCATGACAATCACCTAGAGGCCATGCTAACACACAAATTCCGGGACCCACCCCAAGAGTTTCTGATTGATTAGGTCTAGGGTGGGTTGGATAATTTTCATTTGTGACAAATTTCCAGAGGCTGCTGCTGCTGCTGGTTCAGGAACGACACTTTAAGAACCACTGTTGTAATCAGGAACCATCACCACACATGCCAGTGGGGGAGTAGTTATATGGGATATCTCTGCTCAGACCAGATGACCAGTAAGAACAATACCTCTTTATTTGGGGACCATAAAACTAAGTCTTCCAAATATGTTATCTGAACTATGATAGTGGTTCTAATTTTCTGTTAATTTTTTTTTTGAGACGGAGCCTTGCTCTGTTGCCAGGCTGGAGTGAAGCGGCACGATCTAGGCTCACTGCAACCCCCGCCTCCCCAGTTCAAGCGATTCTCCTGCCTCAGCCTCCCGAGTAGCTTGGACTACAGGCGTGTGCCACCATGCCCAGCTAATTTTTGTATTTTTAGTAGAGGCAGGGTTTCACTGTGTTGGCCAGGATGGTCTCAATCTCTTGACCTTGTGATCTGCCTGCCTTGGCCTCCCCAAGTGCTGGGATTACAGGCATAGCCACCGTGCCCGGCCTGTTAATTTTTTTTTTAAAGTACCTCTAGGATGTGGATACCCTATTGTAAGAGGGGCTATTTTCTGGCGCTGAAGAGAGTATCTGTGTGTATGTATCACAGATAGGAGCAGAAGTTGAGGGAAAAAAAAAAAACAGGAGAAATCTTTTGTATTATTATCTACATAGCCCTAGAGAGTAAAAGGCATCCTGGCTCCCACCAGAATACACTCTGCCATGACAACACCATGTCCAAATGGAGGTGGGAGGAAGATGGCATTTGTCACTCTTCCTGGTGCTACCATGTGTATGAAAATTGCCTGGTCTGGTGCCCAAACTATGGGAAAGCCCTGCTTCTTATCTTCCTCCATTAACTCTGCTCAATCTAAGCCCATTTCCCCTAACTTTGACTATAACGAGGTAGTGTATCACCCATCACTATTCTTTACACAATAACCATTCAAAGCCCTGGCTCAGTGAACTGAGAGGGGATCCAAGATGTAAGCTGCTGCTGTAATTACAGGATCTGTCACCCCTTTTATTCAAAATTGCAGTGATATGCAATGTCTAAGTAGTTTTTGCTATTTGCAGTGAAGGCAGGGTGGGGTGCGGGTATCTCCGCTATTGCTAAAGTGTAGTTAAGTACTTTCCTCAAATATTACAATATTTGCAAGACTTCTATTTTTGGTAAAGCCACACCTTTTAACAAAACACTCAAAGAAGTGCTGCTGAACAAAAATATCATTGTAATAATTTGAAAATATTACTGTAATAATACTCAATGTCAAAGCATAAATGCATATTAAAGAATGCTTTAATAAACTTATCAAACTAGTATACCCTTTTCAGAATCTCCTTTTTCTTCTACCCAAATAAACAAAATGTTACCACAAATATATATACAAAGAAAGCTCCAAAGCCTCAAGTCTTTCAAGGTGATAAGTTAAGACTAATAATACATGGCCTAGAGTTTGCTGAGTAAAAAGAAATAACCATGTCCATATCTCACTGAAATGGGTTTTTATACTTACAATAGCACACTCATAAAATTTAATACTCCGTGCCAATTTTATAGAAATTCACCACTCCTGGAGTATGCTAATAGAAAGCCAGTAATTTGAAATTGAAAATAAAATTTAGTATCTGTCAAATTCATTTCCTTGCTTTTCACTGCATTCACAGTCTTATCATTTTAATTCATTTTGGAAACATATACAGACTCAGTCTACTCCTAAATTATGGGTTGTTTTCCACTTGAGTATCAACCTATGTGATATTCAGGTAAGTAGTGCTTACTCTATATGCCATGTGAGGTGTCCAGTGTCCCACCAGGGACCCAAATTGTCTAAATGAAATTTCTTGACCAAAGGTTAACATTGTTCAACTTGCTTATTATCCTTCAGCAACACCGCAATTCAGATTTGGACAGTAGATTCCAACAACTGAAAATCAGAACTGTTAGTATGCCAGGTAACATATCTTGAGGAATTATCTTTACAGTCCAAAAGTAACTTTAAATTATTTAATAGGAACATAGCTTCTTTGGCAATTAATTTATTCTTTGTTCTTCTGCCTATAAATTAGAATTTCTTGTGCAATAACTATATATCTCAATTCTTCACCAGAATCTCAACATTTCATATTTAGATTATAGCAAACTAGCCACCAAACTGCCTTCCTTTAGTCTCACTGTAAAATTTAGCCCAAACTAATTATCCTAAACATTGCTTTTCTAGAAAACCAAAACAACTGCTTAATTCTCTTTTCCAACAAGCCCCAACTTCTCTTTGTAACCAGGCAGATATTCCACTTTCTGACCCTGCTCTATTGGATCTTATTTCTTTAACAAAAGTCTTCTACTCCGATCAGGGTATAACATTACAACACATGGTTCATGCCTCTTCCTAAAGTTTCTACCTGGGACACATTCCTTCTCATCCTCCAATATCCAAATACTGACATCCTTAACCTGCACCTTCATAATCCCTGAATCAAGACTGTATTTACAGTCAGTAACAGAAGATCTTAACATTTTTCTTAACTGGCTCATTAAGAAATTGACATTAGTTTGACATAACCCACCAGGTTATAAACTCATTAAGACATAAATTCAGTTTTTCATTTATTTTCTGTCATCTGCAGCATATAGTAGAGAGTTAGGCCCTTCCTAAATGTTGTTGATTAAATGTGAACATATGAAATATCCAAATATTTATTTGTACTTTTCAAGTATCAATTCTTTATCTTTTCAATTGTGGGTCTATTTCCTAGAGAATAATAGCTTTTAAAATATCTTTCAGAAATATTTTTAGACATATTCTTAGACATATTCTTTGTTCAGTACTTCCCCAGACCCTGAAAACACATGACATCTTGGTATTATTTAGAGAACGTAATTTATACTTCAGGTTTACTTTTATTTATGTATTTCAGAAAAATGTATAGTACATATTAGAACAGGATACTAGCTTATTTAACATGTGTTAAATTGTACCCCATTTTTGTTCAGGAAAAAGTAACTTTAAGACTAGTGATATTTGATTCAGTTCTGATTTCCACATGAGTAACTTTGTGCAAAGTATAGTTCAAGCTGTGCAGGTTAGCCCACAATGCCTCCTAGGAAGTCTTCCTTCTCACTGACTCAAATTCCATTTTGTCTTCAAGACCCTCTCAGGTCCCAACCTCTTTAGGAAGTCTCCCTGTTTACACAAGCCCTAGTGACTTTTCTTTTCTCTGAATTCCACTGGTATTTAGAACGACTTTAAGTCAATTCTAATTCAAATACATGATTTGAATACAAGTTGCCTGTGTTGTTATCTATTTGATTTACCTAAGTTTTGTGCCTTCTAATGCATTCAGGAACAGAGATCTTCACTTTCACAATGATTAGCAGTGTTGGGCGTTACTCAAAATGCTATGAGTACTCATGGGCTTGATTCTTTGCCACGTTCAAGTTTCTCTCTCTCTCTCTTCACACACACACACACACACACACACACACAATTATAGTTAAAATAAAATACAAATGTTCTGATGCAGGAAGGAGATTTTTTACTGAATGCACCACTTTAGCTGCTACAGACCTGGAAAAATAAGTGTTCTTCAGAATGCCTTCGATATTCTCTCTTTAAAATGTAGCTTTTATTTTGTTACTAGAGTCATTTGAGTTATACTAAAACTAATCCTTTTGAACCCAACCCAAATTTCCTACAATAGTTACCACAATATAATTTGAATCCCATTCAACAAGGCATTGAAAACCCTCAAATTATAACCAAGTCATAAAAGTTAATTTTTAAAGTAATTTTCATATTAAGATATCTTTACTTAAAAGTTAGACAACCAATTTTAAACGAAAAAAAAACTTTTAATGAGGACTTATGTCCAGAATGCATTAGAAACTCAAATTTAATTACAGTGTTTTCAAATAATTTATATAAATAAATTTTACTGTTAATGCAAGAATCTAATGCTTCTCAATTATTTCCTTGAAAGCCTTTGATATTCTAGCCAAAAAGTGCAATCCCATAATGCATTGTTAAATAAAAGTTTTCTGTCTCTTCCTTCATTCAGTTATCCATCCATCATTCATTCAATGCCTATATACTAACTACCCATTGTGTGCAAGCTCCAGTTAGGTGATGTGGTAAACATTAAAGTGAATTAGACATGCTTAATATTGATTAGAGAGATGAGCTTTGTTCTGACTCATCAGATTGTAAAAGCAGGAACCATTCACCAAGAGGGCAGCCCTCACAGAGTGAGCTCTGCTGGAGATGGGCATCTCTGGGACCATTAAATCATTTCATTTCAACTTGGCATTTAGATCAGGCAGTACCCAGGTAACCAATGGCAGCTCCGAATTTTGAATGCCTTGATGGAGCCATATTAAGTAGTTTGTGCAACAGAGTAATGGGAAAATAATCAATGATCTTTTGAATTGCTGCCAGAAAAAATGCAGGAAACAAATTAACCGAGGCTATGAAAAGGCATCCAAGTAACTCTAGGATGGAGAGTCAAGGAGACAAAGTAATCATGATATAAAGAAAGAAATGCAGATATTTAAGAGCTATTTTCAACAGTTAAGTGGTTATAAAAATACTTAATTAGTACCTAAGGACTTGTATTTTTAAAGCAAGCAAGCTCTAGTGAATTATTATATTTTATTTTAAAAGTCGAAGTTAAATCTACACATGTGCTGGTGAGTTAAAAAGGAATTAAGTAGCAGAAACTCATAGGGAAATTATTTAAGCCTAATAGACCTGCCTCATGCAGTTTCCTGTGTCATAGACTGGCTGATTCACTGGATCTAAAGTAAACAGGTACTGCTTTGCATCCAGTGGCAGCTACAGTAAGTGGGAAATGATTCTCCTGCATTTAATTAGCCTTGCCCCTTTCAATTGAATTATGAGTCTTGAAAGGTCGTAACACATTACAGCAATTATATTTGCCTAGAAGTCTTTCACAGTGAGGACTGACATTTCAGCACGAGTTGTGTTCAGCATATATACTCCTTAGTAAATCATCTTATTAAGCTTTTGATACAGAAAATCATATGTAAAAAAGAGAAACAATGACCTAGCTTTCCTTCTGGTCATCTGTGGGATTTAATTTTGTATTTATGAGCCAAAAAATACCTCAGGTAATATGCTTCTGTAAATATAAAAAAATGAATCTACATGGCTTTAGGAAATGCAAATGAGGCCTGTTAATTTTGTACATCTCAAGATAGTATAATCCTTTCCATTAATTTCATGATATTTACATTTCAAAACAACAATGATTCCACTGAACACTACAGGTCATTGGCCGAAGTTTATTATAATTAGCAATAGTTTCATGTTGCTATCATCAAGTCCTGGTATGCTGGAGTGAATGGGAGTCCTTGGTCAATCACTGAGAGTAACAACATGTGTATCAGACAGTCATGGAGGAAGGCACTAACACATGCTGAGCACGCTGTCTCAGCAGTTACTGTTCAGGCACTTGACCTATGTTACCTTATGCTACATTCACACTGCTGTCAGGTCAATAGTGATGGTATCCCAATTTTACCCATAAGAGAACTAAAGCTTGCTTTTCCAAGGTTAATGGAATTCAACCAAAGTTTGTTCCAAATCTGTTTTTTTCCAAGATAAAATTCAACTTCCTGAAATGTGTTCAATATGTTATTTCACGGGTGGTAAGTCTGGTGGGGCAGAACAGGCTAAGAAAATACACAACTTTAAGAAACTTCACAGAAATATGTGGATAATAAATCCTTAAGGTATTGTTTAAGATAACTGAGTGTTTAGGGGCCATTTTTGACCTTTCAGTTTGTCAGAGAAGACTAGACCTTTCTAGCATGCATCTCTCGATACCACTCTGAAGATAAAAGTGAACAGATAATGGATCTAATCCAATATGGAAGGTCTTTGTTTCCTGAAAGTTCAAAAAACCATCAAATAGCTCAATACATGTGGGCATCAGCCATAATCATTCTAAGGTGACCAGAATCACCTCAGGTGACACATCTACAAATGTATGAAACTATCTGTTTCTACCCTTAACTCCTTCCCAATTGCCTTATTAGAAGATGGGGCTTGGTTCTTCTTTCCTGCATCCCATCCCTTCCTGCCTCCTGACTGAGGCCTCACTCCATCAACTGTACTCTCTCTTCTGTATCCTCAATTTCACCCCTTTTCTGGCTCTTTCCAGGCAGTGGAAAGTATTGTCCAATTAAAAAAGTAAAATACAAAATAAAAAATATATATATCCTTCACCATCCTACTCCTCACTTGACATTCTATACTTCCCTTCTCCTTCACAGCCTAGCTTCTTGAAAAGGTAGTCTATAATGCCTGTTCCACTTCCTCACTACCTACTCATTCCCCATCCCACAACAATCTGGCTTCTGCCCTCACCATTCCACTGAAATTAGCCTTGCAAAATTACAAATGATCTTCTAGTTACTTAATTCAATGGACATCATGTGATTTCCCAGCTTATATACTAAAATTAGAAAGATGTGGAGAAGATTATCATGGTCTCGGGGAAGAATGACAAGCAAATTTATGCAGCATCCAATATTTTTATAGTATGAACTCATTTTGTTATATATAGACATATATCTGGATATAGAGAATATATTTGCATATAGAAAAAGTCTGGAAAGATATGCATCAAAATTTTAACAGTAGTTATGCTGGGTGGTGGGATTTAGGGTGATTCTTAAATTATTCAAAATTATTCAAAATTATATATATTTTTCACCTTATACATTTATATATATTCTAGTTACATAATGATCACACATTCCTTATCTAAATAAAAATCAATAAGTAAATCATTTCAACATACCCAGGGTCCTCTTTAAAAATCTTATTTCATCACACAGAAATATTTGGCAATGTTGTTGTTTCTTTTGTTTCAAGAATAGAATACTATACTCTCCTGGTCTTCTTGTACCCTCTCAACATCTTATTCTTAGTCGTCTTTGTACCCTCTTCTTCTAGACCCATGCCCTTCATGGTTCTGCTTTGGACTCCATCACTGTGTCTCATCTCTGTCTGCTCTAGTGCCCGTGTGGTCTCATTCATGTCAGTGTCTTACTTTATGCTGAAAACTCCCACATCTATTTCTTTTCTTTTTCTTCCTTTTTTTTTTTTTTTTTTTTTTTTTTTTTTGAGACAGAGTCTCACTCTGTTGCCCAGGCTGGAGTGCAGTGGCGCGATCTCGGCTCACTGCAAGCTCCATCTCCCGGGTCCACGCCATTCTCCTGCCTCAGCCTCCTGAGTAGCTGGGACTACAGGTGCCCGCCACCACGCCCGGCTAATTTTTTTTTTTTTTTGTATTTTTAGTAGAGATGGGGTTTCACCGTGTTAGCCAGGATGGTCTAGATCTCCTGACCTCGTGATCCGCCTGCCTCAGCCTCCCAAAGTGCTGGGATGACAGGCGTGAGCCACCGCACCCGGCCCCCCACATCTATTTCTTTAGTTCAGCGCTCCTTCCTGGTTTCCAGCCTCCTATATACAACGAGTTACTAGGTTTCCAAGCACTTCAAAATGAACAGGCTTAAAAGTGAACTCATCTTTCCACAACATTGGTCCAACTCCTATGGTCATATGTCAATGAATAGAACTATTATGTATTGGCCGGGCACGGTGGCTCATGCCTGTAATCCCAGCACTTAGGGAGGCCGAGGCAGGCAGATCACCTGAGGTCAGTAGTTAGAGACCAGTTTGGCCAACATGTTGAAACCCCGTCTCTACTAAAAATACAAAAATTACCCGGGAGTGGTGGCGGGCGCCTGTAATCCCAGCTACTTGGGAGGGTGAGGCAGGAAAATTGCTTGAGCCTGGGAGGCAGAGGTTGCAATGAGCCGAGATCACACCACTACACTCCAGTCTGGGCGACAAGAGTGAAACTCCATCTCAAAAAAAAAAGAAGAAGAAGAACTATCATGTATCAAGCCCTGTCAGAAATGCAGTAGTCACTTTTTTTTTTCTTTTTTCTGTGACGGAGTCCAGCTCTGCTAGCTCTGCCACCCAGGCTGGAGTGCAGTGGCACGATCTCGGCTCACTGCAAGCTCCACCTCCCGGGTTCACGCCATTCTCCTGCCTCAGCCTCCCGAGTAGCTGGGACTACAGGCGCCCACCACCGCGCCCGGCTAATTTTTTGTATTTTTTAGTAGAGACGGGGTTTCACCGTGTTAGCCGGGATGGTCTCGAATTCCTTTCCTTTCTCTTACCTCCTACAATAAAAAGTTCAAGTCTAATAAATTCTATCAGCACCTGATTGACAACCATCTCTTCTTTCTCTCTCCACCACCGCTGCCTTAATCAAGGCTCTTGGCATTTCTTTATTAGATTATTGAAAGACCCTCTTGGCTGGTCATGTTGCCTTCAATCTTACCCCCTCTGATCCCTTCTTTATCCCACAGCCATAATGGTTTTCGCAAATATGAATGACATCATGTCACTGTCCCATCGAATAGCCTCTGATGACTCCCACTGCCTAAGAATAAAGTTCTAAATATATTAACTCTCCCCCAGCACAGTCCCATTACTCAGTATTTGCCAATTGTGCATCTTAAGTCTTTGTGAACTCTAGACCTAGTGAACTGCTAGCTGTTCTCCAGACATCCCATATTCTCCCATTCCTCTAAGACTTTTCTTGTGTCATTCCTTCTAAGCCTTTTCTTGTGTCATTCCTTCCATAGGCCAGCTTCATCCCTGTTTTCCTTACTTGACTTACTTTGGTTATGTTTTGAGACTCAACTCAGGCATCACTTCTTGACCTGTTCAGTGTCACCCTCGATCTTAAGAGGACATAATGCTTCCCTCGACTGTGCCATAAATCTCACTCTACTTTAATTGTTCGGCTCATTCTCTTTCACACTAGAATACTTAGAACCTTGAGGATGGAACAGTGAATTCGATATGTTTGAATAGACACATAAGTAAATGATTGGCGTTAAAGGAGCAGCCCCTTCGAAATTGAACCAATTACATGAGGGAGATGCAAAACAAGGTCTCCTGAACAAACCTATCCACAAAATAGTACAGGATCATTCTCCAAAAGTCACTACAATAAATAGAGTTGCATCTAAAGGTATTTGTTCAACCCCAGTACTGACAGCTTAAAGAGCTCAACATTCAGGAATAGCTCCAGGAAAAAAAATCAGAACTTGAGTCAGAGCCATCCCTACTGATAAGCATAAGGTCTCTTGCAGCCATTTTGCTGCAGGAATACCATGATGTAATTCAGGGAACACAGCACAACAAAGTGGGAAAACCAGCTTCTAGTTATATCTGTACCTCTCAGCCACCAAAATTATTCTCTTGATAAATCACCTGCTTCATCTGAAATTGTAGGGCAGCAACTTTATGAGCTTAAAAGAATCCATTGGTCTTCTGTATTCCCTTTAGCACTAAAATGATTACATCATTTCAGTGAAAATGCTTTTCAGCAAATTATTTTCAACTCTTATAAATCAAATTCTATACTAACTATTTATGATTAGCTAGGGCTTATTTGAGAGGTTCCTTAAGGACTGCTGAGTGATGTTTGTTAAGCAAGTCCAAACACTCTTCCATATACTGGTTTTACTGACCTCGCAGAAGGTGAGCATAGGCTCTGCAATGGTTCTTCAATAATAGAGACAGATGACCTGTCGTCAGTGGGTAGAATGCTGGTCTACACTCCTCCCTCTCCTCTGACCAAAGATAGGTGGAATGAAACGCTTCCTTTGACTAGCTGGGAAACAGAGGGAAACAAATGGACTCAAATACCGTCTAAGACAGAATTACATTTGAGTGTAATTTAGTTAACATGGAAAACAATGCATCTCACAGACATCTTTCTTCACTCACCTCTCAAAGGCCCCTGCTCTTTCTTACCCGTGTAATCACAGCTCATTCAAATATTGGTCATCTACAGGTATGGGTTAAGGCTGAATCTGTCTCTCCAGGCTAAGGAGGAGAATCATAATTATCCTATGTAAAATATGTGGGATATTTTCCTTTTTCTATTTTTTAACTCAAGTTTGGAGATGCAGCCAAACAAGATGTGATAGCAACTCAGCTGGGGACTTCTGGGAAAGGTTTTCCTGGACTATATGGACATGTCCTTCTCCCCTGTGCACTGTTGTAACTAGGCATGACACTGTTGCATCTATCTGTGACTATGAGGGGAGATAATAACAACTGAGAATAACAGAGTAGAAGGATGGAAAGCGCTTATGTCTCTTATGATAATCATACATTAAATTAATCAAGACTGAAACAACCCTATCTTTAGAAACAGGAAATATGATTTCATATTATTTGCAGCCCCAAACCCTCCTAACTAACATAATACGACTGATTGTTTTTCAAATAGCATTCTTTGTGTTCAGACTGATGGACTTGTGGTACTTTTGAAGGGGCTGGCAAACTACAGCCCCCCAGTGAAAATCTGCCCAGCACTTGCTTTTGTAAATATAGTCTGTATTGGAACACAGCTACTCTTTTTCATGCCATCTATACTCTAGTTGCTCTTTCACCACAATAGCCGAGTTGAGTAATTGAGACAGAGACTGTATGGCCCACACATATGAAATATTTATTATCCACCTCTACAGAAAAATTGTGCTGGTTCCTATTCTGTATCAGTGGATTTCAGGTAGGGGCTGTATTACTCACATAATATTTTCCAGGGGCCATTTTGGATGCCCCAATCATTGTGAAGTAATTAAAAGGCCAGCATTGTTTAATGGAGTGCAATGTTAAAGTCCCACATAACAACGGATATTCTCACTCAAAATACCAACAGTGATCCTACTGAGAAATACTACTCACCATCAATATAATAACCCATAACATAACTTGGGCCTTGGGCCACGTGAATTGTTTTTTACATTATACCTACTACCATGGAAACTGTAGGTCTGGTAGATTTATTAGCATAGGTAAATGGCAATCTAGAAGCATCGCACTATAAAAACATTATTGATCCTCATTAGCTATTTGTCGATAAACAGAAGAAATATATTTATTGTTACTTTAGAGGATTTTTTTTCATTAAAATTTTCTGGTTAGGAGTTTATTTAGACAAACTGAATATTCCAAGTTCTGTTCTAAAATACAAGTTGTCTATGCACACAATTTTTATCGAGGAATATTTTATTTTATACTCATGAATTTTAAGTGCTTTTTACTTTCAATTTTACAAAGTGGTTATAATTTCTTTGGAGTTCTTTTTATGTTAAGCAGTATTTATAAATAATGATAATTATTTTAATTTCTGCTTTAATAAAAAGACCTTAAAATATTTTATTGGAATGAACTAAATTAGCCTCACTACGGAATTTGGATTTGAAAGAAAGACAAAAGATACACATCTAAAACCACTGCGACTGTTTCACAATCAAGAAATATATACCCTTAAACACACAGTCTGCTAAAATATATGAAAATTACAGGGATTTTAAAATATGTGAATTGCCTTTATAGAACAATTTAAGGAATATAAAACAAATATATCCTCAGAGGAATAAACCATAAGTCCAAAAAGTCATAATTCACCTAGAACTGTTATTTTTATCCAGAGCTTACAATACTAATAACCACAAAAGCTAGGGTGAGGCATGCTTCAGTAAGGCAGTGGGGTGAAGGAGCAAGTGGTTTGGTCCTTTAGAAAATAATCAAATGGCACTTCAGCTTTTCAGATTTTAACTACGTACTTTTTTTCTGCTTTAGAAAGTACACATGGTGATAAGAGGAAGGCACTGGGTGCTCTAAACTTCGTGTTGCAAATATTATTCCAGTTTATTCAATCCTTTTTTGTATACTGAGAGTTAGCATTTCTTGTACATGTGTAGAACAAAACCACCTAAAATTCTCCTAAACATTCAAGAAAGACATGCCCCCAGCTCCTCCGTCTAAAATGTGTATGTTACATATACATATGACAATGAGTATGTAACAACCCCCTGGCTATTCAGCAAACAATAAATACTAAGGTACTGCTATCTGGGAGACGCGTAGTGGTTTGTTGACACTGGGCAGTGTCAAAGTTCTTTCAGCGTGGGCCCCAAGTATGAATGATCCTCACATACGAAATGAGTGTAAAATATTCCTCAGTTGGGTATACAGAGAGCACTGATTCTACAGAGCAAATCTCTGGCAGAGAGATTACATACAGGACTACACACCCAAGTAGACAACTATTTGATTCAACAGACAGATAAAAGGAAAATCAAGAGTTACCACATAAGGCGTTCAACATTATGAGCACAGCACACAGAGGAAAGGAAAGCCTCTACAATGACTGTGCTTAGAGGAAATGCTGAGCAAATATACTTGAGAAACTCTAGGACCTGATAAAATAAATGCAACAGAAAAAAAAAAATCTGCCAGGGGGCACATAAAACAGGATCCTGTGATCAATGAGAAAAGAACTCAGGAAGATAGACTTCACAACGAAGGGTTTCAACCAGCTTTCAGTGAAGAAGTGGAAATTGTTATCTAAATATACTATAGACTTTTCATACCTTATCTATGTATGCATACAATAAAATGTACATTATTCTCAGTTTAGAGCACAAACTCAGCCATTTCCAAAAAACGTCTGTGTTGGTTGTAGAAATAATTTGTAGGCCCACCCATATAGCATTGTTTAATGTGTGTGTCTGGAATTGATGGCTCCTACGTCACCATCGCAATCAAGGTTCTAATGTCCAAAGGAGCAAAAGATACATAAATGACACCACGTTACAGCAAGACTTGGAATTACACAAAATAATTCACAATACTTGGAAGATAATTTTTAAATACAAATAAACAAAGTTATCCCAAATTCTTCTTTTAGCACTTTGGGTATTTTATGCTGGACTATTTGTTTCTGTGTCTTACATTATGTATACTGAAAGTTTTTCTTTATAATTGGGACCAGTGTACATACTGTTTTAAATAACCCATTTTTTTGGTCTCTTTTACGTAAATCAGATTTCAATGTCAATGTGTGTTTCTGTGTATAAATATAGCTACATCATAGACTATTAATATTTAATTTTCCTGCCCAATTCTCTGATGGTCTCCCACTGTTTTAAATGTTCTTGGAATTTAATTCATAGAGGTGACTGAGTAACAACACAAAGACGTCAGTGCCATTAAAAGAAGTTCTGTTACTCATAGTTAGGAAATCTGTGACTCACAGTCCCCAACAGGAGGGGGCATGCTATGCCATGCCTTACAGTGCCACTTGGGGAAGCACCTGGGTGAGTGAAGGAGGTGGCAAGGGGAGAGCAGGTCCCAGGGTCTATATTGTGGTACGGCAGGAAGGAATGAATAAAGCAGGGTACGTTAAGTGTGAGCAAGGTTAAGACTGGACAATCTGAATACTTTCAGCATGCTCTGAGCTGTAGAGGTGATCCTTGGTTGTCTGATACCTAGCCCTAGGATGATACAGGGCAGGGGAAATATTGGCTTAGGGTGTAAGAGAGTTAAAGAAAGGAGCTGGCTGCTTTGACTAGGATATGGGCTTTGGATTTGTTGGTTTGCAAGTGAAAAGTGTGCTCCCAGGCAAGTTGTTTGATACATTTGGGAATCTGCTAGCTCTGGAGGGACAGCCTCTCCAGGTTCAGCAAGGCACAAAGATGCCAAGATATCACAAAATTCAGAAAATTAAAAAAAGTCATTAATATACCCATACAGACAGCTGCTCACTGAGCTTCCCTTCAGCATCCTTTCCTCCCTCTCCCATCTATCGAGACACTGAGATCATAATGCCTGTGGCACCTGGCTCCCACTCTTCCTTACCCCACCTACTTCTGGTGTTATTCCTGATGATCTCAGCATCCTTGTGTCTGAACATCTGACCCCCCAACCTGTCTGACCTTTCCTTTGCTCCATCTCAGCCACACATTCCCATAACCACATCCTAGGCCTACTAATCACCAGAACCAGCACCACCTCTAGAGAGCAGTGTTTGGGACCACGATGGCAAAGGTTTAACTGCTCAGAATTTTTAAAATAATTAATCCACTCAAAGCTAGGTCCTACTTATGTTAAAAAAAGATGGCCAATATGTGGCCAAGATCAAAAAGCCTGAAAGAGCTTCATTACAGGTTTGGGAAACAGATACTCTTTATTCTTCTTTATATTCTTTATAAACAGGTGCTTTGAAGATAGGTCAGTACCTTTCAAAGGCAATTTTATATTAACCATTAAAACATTTATTTTCATATCTTTTAACTTAGAAATTCAACTCCCAGCAATTTATCTTGCTGATAAAAACTTCGAGAAAAATGATTCTCACAATATTTGGGAAACCACACGAGGGCCAATATGGCTGGCATAGGGGAAGCAATAAGGGGAAGGGACGGAAGTGGAGAGTGGGGAAGGAGACAGGAGGTCTCAAAAGTCCTAGGAAAGACATAGATTTTATTCTTGGTACAACAGGAAACAAATGTGGAATTTTCAGCAGTAGAGCTAAATCATTAATCAGCTTACATCAATTTATATTTTGTCCTCCACAGTGTACAGTGCCACTCCAAAGGCAGAGTTGCTAAGGTTTCTGAAAAATTAACTAAAGGGTCAGGGCTGCAAAGAGTGGTGAAGAAAAAGGAAAGAGGACAAAGCTTCTGCCCATGAGACAAGAGTCACAGATCGTGAAAAATGTCTAAAATGCCAGGAATAATGTGACCTTAAGAAAATAAAATTAATAAAGAAATTGCAAGTCAGAGGCTGTCTTAAAGCTATAGGAGAAAAATTCCATTAAGGAAAAATACTTTAACAACAAATTAAGTGATATTTATGGTTGAAATTAGAAATCAGCAGGAATCATCTGAACTGCTTCTATGGAGCAAAAAATAATTCAGTTAGGACTGCACATTTAAATGTTATTAATTCTTTAAAAGCACAAATACTTACCTATCCTGTAAGATTTTTATAATGAAAAAATTTCGTTGTTCTACAGTTGACAACCGGATATTGAAGCAAATTCAACAATTTTTTTTTTTTTTTGACAGTCTCATTCTGTTGCCCAGGCTGGAGTGCAGTGGCTCTACCTCGGTTCACTGCAACCTCCACCTCCCAGGTTCAGGCGATTCTCCTGCCTAAGCCTCCTGAGCAGCTAGGATTACAGGTGCCCGCCACCACACCTGGCTAATTTTTCGTATTTTTAGTAGAGATGGAGTTTCATCATATTGGCCAGGATGGTCTGAAACTACTGACCTCAAGTGATCTGCCCACCTCGGTCTCCCAAAGTGCTGAGATTACAGGCGTGAGCCACCATGCCTGGCCAACCTCACCAATTTTTTAATGTGAGTGTTTAAAAAACACGTTTCTGGAATAGGAAAAACCTAGGTCAAAATACCAACTAATTTCCACAACACTTTCTCAAGAATGACTTAAAATCATGAACATGCTTTTTAAAATAAATGGACTATCTATACTTATGTGTACACTATAAAAATATATATTCAAAGAATATATATGCAAAGAATTCATCATTCCACATTACAACACTTATGAGCTGGCACAGTGTCAAGGCTATTCAAAGAACAGTATATTTCCCTTCTTAAATAAAATGTCTGTTTTGAAAAGTATACTTTTAAGGCATCAAATATCAAAAACCTTGAACAAATAATGTTAACCCTTTCATAAAGTGTAGTCATACACTAAATAAATTAAAAATAGGCTCCAAGAATAAATCATCAATTGAATATTTTGGAACCAGGATTTACTTATGCAAAAGATTTCTAAATCATTTGAAGCACAAAAGATCAACTGTAAAAGTACACTATAGTAGAATTCCATTTTAATATCAACAACAGAAAGCAAGATTTAATAGAGATGTACCATGATATTACACGGGAGATAGACCATATGTTTATAAAGACAGAATTGAATTTGTGTTGTATTTTCAGTTATGGTATAATGGGGCCTGAAATAGTGAAGTTGCACTTTATGCGTTCTACCGGATCTGTCACGCAGGACAGGAAATCTGCTATGAGGGGGAGGCAGCAGGCAGCACTCTGCTGGGTATTTACAGGATGACAATCAACCCACAAACTTCCCTTAAAGTAGCTCTGAGAACATGGATGCCAACCCCTCCATGGCACATTTCAAACAGCTCTGGGAGCTTCTTCACTCCCTGGATTCGTACTGTAACTTGTTTTATGGTTTATAGCAAAATAGAAATAACTGAAGAAGCATAGGCTTTTAGAGTTGGAAGAAACCTGGTTCTTTGACACAACACATTCTCTATTTGATGGCAAAACCATCTACATCTTTAGAGGCAAGTCTGTGGCACTTGCCTTCATGTTTGGGTGGTGATCTCACAAGATGATAACGCTAAAACGCATTCCCAGAGCTGTCGCCCATAAAGCTTTTGGCTTCAGAAGCTGTCTTGAAGAGAAGCAGTCATTTAGGAAATGAGACCTAGGGACAGGCAATCTTAGAAACCTGAATCTAATTATACTTCTTTATCAGAGTCACAATCGATGCTCAGGACCTCAGCAAAAATTATTAAATATTTTAAATTTTATTGCTATAATATTTCCATAAGCATTACGGGAAAATTGTTTATTTTATTAGTTTCTATGTTCCAATCTCCCTGCCCTCATCTCAGACCCCTCCAAGATAACCCACCACACCAGCTCCACAGCAACCATTCTAAAATATAACGCATGTTGTCTCGCTACCTAAAACCCTTCAGCAATTCCTCCTCTCACACAAGGCTGTTTAGCCAGCCCTGTTTAGCTTTCCAGATTCATATTCATTTCCCACACCTTTCCCATGTCTTCTGGACTCGACACACACACACACACACACACACACACACACACACATACACACACACACGCACATACACATACATGCACACACACACACTCTAACCATCTTGCCATTCCTAGTGTGTTTTTGAGAAAAAGAACTACATATGCACAGGATTGGTTAAATTTGCACAGAGCAAGTTCAAGAAGTTTGGAAAGGCTTTACTATCAGAGTTTGGTGAACGGAACGGTGAAATTTCAGGCTAATGGTACAAACTTGGTTATTTTTCTCAAAAACATACCCCTCTCACTTCCCCACCCAGTGGTCCTGTTTCCTGGCTAACCTGTAATTAGGGTTCAACATCAAAATCACACATCCCTTATCCTGAAAAGCCTTGCCTGAAGCCTCTGTTCTGGGACCACTGCTCCCTGGTTGTGCCTTCTGCATCTAAGAACAGAGCACATTGTATCACAGTTGATATCAGGACCACCTCAGAAGGCCACTTGCTGTGTTCTATTAAAATGCTGCTTGAGGAACTGATTCCTAGGATTCAACTTCTGGTTAGCAGACATAAAAGATGATGTAGCTCCCACAGGAGATTTGTTTTCCCACCATTTAATCAAAATAGATGAAGTAGAAAATGGTCAAACGTCCCTCCTAACACACACCTACAACCACCCATTCCCTCATTCCCCCAGGCTGGACCAGAAAAAAATACAGACCTGCTCCAAGAAGCCCAGAAATCTCCAAACCCTGCCAGAGGGCCAAAGAGAAGTTTCTGTAGCTGGACATTTAACTCATCAACTATTTACAAAGGGCAAATACCTACCTTGAGCTAAACATTATTCTCAATTTATCTATATCACAACACCAAGGAGGTAACTGGCAGGTTTATGATTGTTGTCACCTTGGGACCAAAGGCAAAGTATCAGTGTTTTCACTCTTTTTGTCACTGGGCCCTGATGCAGATGATTCTTTCTTTAGGCTCAGGAGCAAGAGCCTGGAGTCTGTCTAGTTCCTGGTCTTTTTGCTGCTTCTCCAGGCCCCTCTCCTCAGCATGTAAACACACCTGAGAAACTGGATGCTTCCACCACAGCGACTTTCAGGCTTCTTTAACTCCAACCCACAGTAAGAAATACAATTTCCATGTTTTATCTGCATGCGAGGCATACAAACATGTAGCTATAAAACTGAAACAAAAGTTTCATAGTATCTATTTTTTCAGATGCCCTTTTCTATTATATTCTACCATTGTTCACTGGACTTCAGAATATTGATTTCCCAGCCCCCTAATATGACTCTACACTCTCAAACATTTATACTTTTTGTAGAGACATGTAAGTACTTCATTTTAAACTATTAAGAGCCATAATCTTCCAGTTCTCAATTATAGCAATTATCATATCACCATTAATTCATCAAAAATTGAGTCTCTATCACATTATAAAATGTGTTCCTTTTGGTCAGTCCCTCTTTTTTCCTGTGTATCTCATTTTATAATATCCCTTCACCAATATTAGGATCCAGTAACACTGAAGTACTTAAAGTTCTTTCCTATCTTTTGAGATTTTATTCAAAAAATTATGGAAAAATCTCCCCAAATACATCAATTTGCACACTCATGCCAATCCTTCTGGACTTGGTTTCTATGTCTTTTGTGTGCCTTCCATGACACATCTATAATAAAATGGAGACTCCTACTATGCTCTCAACGCAGTATCACAAATTGCCACTAAGAGCAAAAAGTATGCTCTGCCATAATTATTTGCATACCTGGCTCCGGAGACAAGAACAAGGGATACATTGCTGAGCCCATGCCCAGACTGGGGCAGAAATCCCTTCCCCTACATCACACATACCCACACAGTTCTGCTCACAGTACTCTACACTTCTCACCAGAACTGATCTTAATTATGTTTTATTTCTATCTCCCTTTCTAGGGTGTAAGCTTTATGATTACAGAAATGGTATTCCCCTCAATTATTCTCACAGAATCTGGTGCAGAAGTCAAAGCACAATATATTTTCAATCAATATTGATTGAATTAACTAATTAATTCACTCCCACCACCAAAAAGATGCTGGTGACTGAGCTTCTACAGGCCAGTCTTGAACCAGCAACATCTATTTGATTGCAGTCCTCCCCGGCATTACCTTTCCTAAAATATCTTCCAAATTGCAGAGTGCTTCCTGAATTGCCCTTCTTTTCATATTTTCCAAACCTTTCTCCAGGCTTCTGTCATCAACTTCCCTCACCTGGTAAACATTCTTCAATTTTAATTACATGCTTATTGTGGGTGAATCACAACTGAAGTAAATTTAGAAGGTGAGCTATTTGCTAACTGTAGACAAAAAAAAAAGCCTAATGAAATTCAAATATCTTTCCTTGCTTATTATCCAAATTTACAGCTGTTTGCATTGCTCTTCTTAATGAATATAGCTATTTTCATATCCAGCTGAATCCCCAATCTCTTTCTTGATTCTCTTTAAAACTGTCTATCCTCCCTCAGAAATCAGGGATAATCTTTTCTTTTTTTAAACTGGATTTGCCCAGAGTTTCTCTCATATTTGCTATGAAAAAGAAAATGGGGAAGTTCCCCTGCAAAGTAGTAGAAGGAAAGTATAGAAAACAGGGAGGGAAAGAGAAGTGGGCAAGGGGAAAGAGAGCATGGGGGAAAGAGAGAGACTGTACGGGGGAGAGAGAGAGAGAGATGTCTTCCATATGACTCAAGAATTCTTTCGCAAATGATTTAAGTCAAGTTACAGAGCTACTACTCAGTATGAGTCTGAGACAGATTGGTTCAGTGGCAAAGCTCTGATAATTTTACTATAATATTTGAAACAAAGTAAAAATATGGTGAAATTAATATCCAAGCCATTTTATGTATTTTGACCTAAACTGATTTTCTTTTTCTTCCATTTACAATCATGAAAAATTCAACTTCTCACCTAAAAATAATATTTATAGACTGTACACATGCATCTGAATTTTGTTGCATGCTTTCTTAAAATAGGGGACATCAATTACTTGAGATTACAGGTCTATATTCTAACAATTTGAATAATTTTCCCAATCTCCATTTGGAATCCGGAAAGCACATATATAAAATTGAACTATGATCCATGTGATGATGATAAGATTTTCTACATCAAATTCATGCAAATTGCAGGCTCATGTCATTTCAGAATGAATTCTCATTACCATTTACTTAGAAGGGAAGAAATAGATGGAGTGAGGTGGGAGAGACTCTTACAAGAGTCTAGATCACAAATAGCTGATTAGTGTGGCTGTTTCCTCTCCAAAGTGACTGGTTAAAATTGTACATGGGCTACTTGCCTTTGTAAGTATATATGCTCAAGTCTTTATGAATAACTCTGGCAAACCTCCCAGAAAAATGCAGTAGTCACAACTGCACCAAAAGGATGAGCACAAATTTCTTCCTACCATCAGAAAATGGCAAATAACATATACAAGGTTCAAAACATCCTCTTTATAGAGGACAGCTAACATACCATTATTATCTCTAAAACAACCAAAGGCTTTTCACTGTAACAACAACAAAAAATGCTGATAGACTATGATTCATGAACATCTATCTCCTACAATCACCTCCTAAAAGGCTTATTTATTTCAAAACAATAAAAACCTATTAAGATAATTTTGTGTTGTTTATTGAACTCCAGTGTCAGTCCTAGCTCTTAGTCATCTGTTGGTGAGTTATAGAACTTGTAAGCAGTTAAAAACAGATGCTATTCTAAGAAAGGATAATGCTTCCTTAAAAATTAGTTTCCTTCTATTATTCAAAGTACTATATTTCAGTTTTATATATACATGGGAGTAGGAGTGAAATATCCCCTACAGACTCGGCCATTAAAAATCTCCATTACAGTCCTCTCAACTTTACTCCATCCTGCCGCTCCCTGCATCCAGAAGGCTGGGAAAGAAGAAGTCCGAGGCCAGAGGGAATGGCTAAGCCATGAGAGAGAGAATGTCTAGGTCTCTGAGTCACCCTCATGAACCACTATCCACATCCAAATAGAAAGGCCTGTGTTGAACTCTGCCTGTGTTGAAATAAACTGAAGTGGTGTGAAGTGGGGTTATCAAGCATTTAATTTTCCCTAACCTAATATACCAATTGAAAAATAATGTTTTCTTATCATTGTCATTTGGATGGTTTTTTTGCTAAGAGGAATGTTAAAAACATCATTTATCAAACAACCATATTTTCATCACAATTTAAAGGATCATTACATAAATTCTTCCTCTTTCTTTAAAGCACTGCTACTTTATTCCAAGAAGTTAAGTTCCTTATCTGTTCACTGTTTCAGAGTTTAACGCATCCAGCTTAAAAGGATTGAAAATTTTCAGCACCATGTAAAAGGAAGAAATATAGAGGGGGATTTTATAAACAAAACAAATCAGGAAATTTAGGAAAATGGAAGGAATTCTGGACACTGGTTCACTCATCATTTCTTAAAGACTGAGGTACAGCCAGTCTTCAAATTCAAATTGAACTTTGGTGAAGATCGGAATGATTGAAAAAGACTTTGCCATTCTTAAGGAGCCATTTTTGTTTGTTGTTTTAACTAAAGTATGTACTTTTATTCAGATTTCCTCAGTTTTTGTCTAATGTCCTTTTTTAGTTCAGGATCTTGTCCAAGACACACATTACATTTAGTCTTCATGTCTCCTCAGGCTTCCGAAGGCTGCTACAGTTTCTCAGACTTTATTTTTGATGACCTGGACAGTTTTGAGAAATACTCATCAGGTATTTTGTAAAATGCTACTCATGTGAGAGTTTTCTCATGGTTATACTGGGGTTATGGGTTTCTGAGAAGAAGACCATGGATGTAAAGTGCCATTCTCATCATCACATAAACTGTCCACATGGTTCATCACTACTGGTGTTGAATTTGATCACCTGGCTGAGGTAGTGTTAGGCAGGCTTCTCCACTATAAGCTTACTCCCCAATTCCATACTGTACTTTTTAGAGGTACTCGCAATGTGCTTAAGGAATGGAGAGTTATGCTACATAAATAATTTGAAATTACTCTGCATGGGAAATTTGTCTACTTTCCCTCATTTATTTATTTATTCAATCACATATTTTTATTAGTATGGACTTACGATGTTTATTTCATACTTGGGGCTATAATCCAATACTACTGTATCGTATTGCTCAAATTGTCCCAGCTTTGCCACTGGGAGATTTCGCAATTGACACTTTTTAATTGTGTCCCTTTGACATGTGTCCCCATCATTGTGTTTGATTATATCCTTACTTTATGGCAGTACAAGATGTTCTAGGTTGATGATGTGTATTGCTAGCTCAAACCCATGGACAATAACGGAGAATAAGCCATTTCTCCGAGGAGCCTGGTTCCTTTTATTGGAGAATGGTATTAGAAATCACGTTCTGGATGCTAGAGGTGCTCATTGCTTCTAGGTCCTCTCAGCTAAGGGAGCACAGAAAAACATGTGTGTAGACTAACTTGCATATATACACGTCTAAAGCATAACAGTTTTACGAAAATGGGGTGAAACTACTCTTCCTGAAATGCATTCATCATCCCACAGGGAGACACCACAGTAGCCACTTTTACCCACACATGTAAAAGCTTAATGCAGTCAATGAGGGTCACCACTGTGATGGGTACTGTGTTCATCAGTTTAACAAAAGGAGGTTATGGGGAGGGGGCTTTCCAGATATACTCCTGTAAAGCCTGCAGACCAGTGATTTGTCATCCACTGCTGATCAACTGACCTGCTTGCTGCTGCACAATGTCATTTGCACAAAGGTTAATTTTTAACGCTCTAGTCAGCTTTTTATAACCGGGATTTTTATACTGTCCAAGTCTGGCTCCCACATGATGCCCTCAGCTTGCCCCCATAGGAGTGTCTGCCTCTATTATACATATCTATGGCTGCCTATGCACACCAAAACTGTAGGCTCTAACCTTCAGATCACATCAAACTGATTTGGGCACTGGTTTACCCTAGTTTTCTTGAGGGTCAACAGAACCTCCCTTAGCCAGCCTTTTGCTACAGCATGAGTCCTGACTCAGGGTCCTTAGAAATCAGTCTATTTCTGTCCTATTTACTATTTAGTGGGTATGTCTGTCTACTCAGGTACCCTGTTAGGGAGACATCAGGCACTAATGTGAACAAGGCCTAGGTCCTTAGCCCTAAATAAGTTATGTGCCACTGAAGGTGAAAGACACATATGTGTATGAGTGGAGAGGGTGGAGTGTGAAGGATTTCACATATAAGGTGACATTTCACTATCCTGAAAGGAATGTAGGAATTTCCCAGACTAAAAGTGAGCAGGACAAGGAGGTTCCAGAGAGCAAAGAACACTAAAAAAATATAGAAGCAGCAATGAGCCCAGTGTGTTTGAGCATGTGAAGGACTTCAGAAGTGGGACCCACAGGCGAATGTACAGGGAAGGGCAGTTGGAGAGCTGGTGGGGGCTAGTTGAATGGGCTTCCTAAACTGTGATCAGAAGTTTAGAAATTATTCTTGGGTGATGGGCAGCAACTAAAGAATGTTAAGCCACACACTGACATAAATAGATTTTATGCAACTCTTGGCCACAAATATTTTTCTGCTGTGGCTATAGCCTCAGACCATGATAAAGACCTTAGAATCTATCGCACTCATTTTTTTTGTTTGCTTAATAAGAAAAAGTCACATAGTTTAGCATCTCATGCACATTGTTGATTGTAGATTGTTGTAATTTAAACAGAAAAAAAGCTACGAAAATCTGAAAATCAAGTGAGTCAGCAAGAAAAAAAGAAAATACAAGGAAGAAAATCTGAGTTATTTTTCTTTGTAAGAAGACCGCATATCTGCAGTGGGGAAAATGTGAATGTCTGGATTTAAGTGTAATATTGCTGTGCAAATTTTCGGCTCTCATATGAGATGCATCTACTTTTAAGTCAGTGAGATTATGAGATGCAAAATCTGTCTGAGCCATTTAATATGAGTGGAGTGGTGATGGCAGCAGAGGTATTTTTCATGACACACGTATTGAAATATGAGGCTATATTCAAACACTTTCTTAATGACAACCATTCACCCACAATATTACGGAGCTTCAAAAAAGGCGTTTTAAAATCTTGAGACTCAAAGCTTGTGTCAAAACAACTCAAGGTATAAAGTAAAAAATCACCGTTTCAAAAATAGCAAAGTAATAAAATTAGAAATATAAAATAAATAATGTCAGCAGGGCCCACTGCAGCCAAGGTTAAACAATTGGTTCTTCAGGAATTATTAAAGCAGTGTAACTGGATGTCATGCTAATGTTGCTATTGCAGGTGCCAGCTTGGACAGCTGGAGCTAATACTCAATTATCACTCTTGGTGGAGGACCTGGCCACTGCAGTGCCCTTCTTCTTTCTTAGTCTTTTCCCACCACCACATAAGGATAGAATATGCTCATTCTTCTCAAAACTGATAATGTATGGTGGCCACTGCTTTTGTTTGTTTGAGACGGAGTCTCACTCTGTCACCCAGGCTGGAGTGCAGTGGTGCAATCTCGGCTCACTGCAACCTCCGCCTCCCAGGCTGAAGTGATTCTCTTGCCTCAGCCTCCCAACTAGCTGGGATTATAGGCGCCCGCCACCACGCCCAGCTAATTTTCGTATTTTTTGGAGAGACTGGGTTTCACCATATTGGCCATGGTAGTCTAGAACTACTGACCTCAAATGATCCACCTGCCTCGGCCTCCCAAAGTGCTGGGATTACAGGCGTGAGCCACCACACCCAACCTGGGCACCACTTTTAATTGGGTGCTCATACCCATATATTTATGTGCATATCCCTTCTCTCCAATAGCCTGGCCCATGACTGAGGCAACTGGAAACTTCTACAGTGTCTAATATGGAGATGGGGCCTTACATGTACTCCTACTCCATTTTCTCTCAACAACTTAATTTTCTGATTAGAGTTTTTGGATTTCAGAATTACGAAGTGAATATAGATAGATGTTCTGGCACTTGGAGAAGAAAACAAGAATGGGAGTTGGGGAATCCACTGAGGGACTTAAGTTACAGAATGGGACTTGGAGAAGAAAAACAAGAATGGGAGTTGGGGAATCCACTGAGGGACTTAAGTTACAGAATGTAAATTCAAAATCTCTTAAGAGGTGACCCTGTTTCCAGAGCTTCAGAGGCTTATCTTGGGCATTTTATATTTTTTTCTCATCAGTGAACTAAACCTCCCATTAAAAAAAATAAATTCTAATACCTCAAAAGTAACCTCAAACTAGCAACCTAAGAGCTGCTTCGGAACATGGGGCCAGAAGGAGCCAATCCAATAACTATCATAGAAAGAGAAGTGCTTGTAAGAGAAAGAAACAGGATGAAAAAGGAAAAGAAGAGAAACATAAAATTGCAAACAAAACAATTCAAAGTACACTGGGAAAATTCACCTCCAAGGAAATTCAAATGAAAGACAATCTTCTGAAAAACATTTAAAAATAAGGACATGGCAGACTTTGTTGGTTGCTGCCCAAAGGGCATCACCCCTTCCTCCATGCTCCACTGGGCACTGGGTGCCCAGCCTTGGCACATGGCTTAACGCTGGATTACCTAACCTATTCCTGCTTGCCAATCATTGGTCCAGGAGTGTGTGTGTTGGTGGTGGGGATGGGGGTGTCCATGACTCAGCTCTCTGATCAAAGAGATATGAGGGAGGATTTACTGGAGCCTAATTGGAGGTTTTCGTCTCTGGTTGCAGAGACAAAATCCTTTTTGACAATAACCTTACTACTTTGAACCCGACTCTCATATGAGGACAGGGGAAGAACTGAGACAGACATTTTGTGATGCATAAGAGGAAAAATCACCAACACCCTGAAGTAGCGAGGGAAAGAACAAGAGGAGGCTGGGCACCTGATGGCCTCAGGGAATCTTAAATCTGGTCTGCTTTCCTCCAGGCTTCTCATTAACGAATAGGAAAAGCCTCATGATTTTACCACTATTGGTCAGGTTCTCTTATTTGTAAACAAAACTGAGCTTATAAAGTATATGTTTGAAATCTTCTAAAATATTCAGAAATATGAAAAAAATTCATAAAGCAAAACTAATGAATTATGTAACAAAATGGTGAATATGAATCAGACATAGCTGTATATTAAACAGAATCACATAGACATCTGAAAATGAAAATGTAATCACTAACAAAGTAGACTGGATAAATAACAAACCAGAGAGAAAGTGAACTGAAAAGAAGATATGGTGAAACTGATCTAAGAAATAACATAGAAAGATCAATCCATGGGAAATAAGAGAATTTAAAAGACAGTAAATTAAGTAGCTAACAAGAATTCCAAAAATGAAAGCAGAAAGAAATATTGATAAGGTATTTCCTGAAGAGGAAATGGCTGACAAATTTACTGAATTAACAGAAAATTTAAGAACTGAAAATATTTTCACTCCTAGGCAGAGGATGGGGAAAATGCAAAATATCATAGATAAAAGAAAATATTAGGGCTGAACGCGATGGCTCACACCTGTAATCCCAGCACTTTGGGAGGCCAAGGTGGGCGGATCACGAGGTCAGGAGTTCGAGACTAGCCTGGCCAACATGGTGAAACCCCGTCTCTACTAAAAATACAAAAAAATTAGCCGGGTATGGTGGCGCACACCTGTAATCCCAGTTACTTTGGTGGCTGAGGCAGGAGAATCGCTTGAACCCGGGAGGTGGAGGTTGCAGTGAGCCGAGATTGCACCATTCTACCCCAGCCTGGGTGACGGAGCAAGACTGTGTCTCGAAAAAAAAAGAAAGAAAGAAAATATTAAATATTATTGGGGAGAAAGAAGAGGGGAAAATGACAAACGCCAAAAGACAAGGATTAATGGTTGCAAATTGTATAGGGGAAATAACCACTAACCTAAAATTCTATTAGTAAGTTAAATTCTCACCCAACAGTAAGGGCAAACGGAAAGTCTTTTCAGAAACATATAAACATAAAGTCTTTTCACTGAAATATCTACTAAACAAGAAGAAAAGTATACCAAGAGGAAAGGTTGAGATGCAAGAAGCAATGAGATGAAGGCAGGCATGAGTAGGTGAATTAGAAGGTGATGGGTGGATGGATGAAAGACGAGGGTGGCTGTGGTTTTTACAATGGTAAGTTGTAGCTTCTTTACAGTACCTGTTCTTGTTTTTATTTATTTAACAGTTAGTTTTACATTTTAATAGTAATATATGCTTGCTGTGATAAGCTCAAACTAAAAAGTGAATAAACAAGACTAACATTCTTTAAATTTCTCTACCGTAAATAGTGACTGTTAGCATTCTGTTTTACATCCTTCCTAAAGTCTCTATAGATTTTAGTCTCTATAGACCTTCCTTAGGTCTCTATAGATTACAATATGCATAATGATTTTAGGATTGGAAGGTGTCCCTAAATGTTCTTACTATGCATATTGAATTGCTACTTTAAAAAAAATCTAGCAATATGCCAAAGATACACTTACAAGCCAATAATTTAGACCTATCCTATTACTTTTAACTCATGCTTTTAATCATGCATAGAGCAGATACCACCCAACTTGTTCTGCAAATGGCCAGATAGTAAGTATGTTTGGCTTTGAGAGAGATAAGATCTCTCCTGCAACTTCTTAATGCTGGTGTTGCATGAAAGAAGCCACAGAAAACATGTCTCCTTCCATTCAGCTCTGTTCTTCTCTCTGTCACAGTGCTCCTCATAACACAGGCATGGCAAGGCACGCAGCTATGGGGAAGCTGACTTGAGGAAACACTTAGTTTGGGCGCCACAGAATATTTTTACGTGATTTACAAGTCACCTGCATGTATCACTGAGTTACTGTTATACAACTCCCCAACACGCACATACAAACACACACTTCATATTGCGGAAATGGTTCCCAGGAATTCTCCTCACACCCACTTGGTGAACTCATCAGTGCTGTGACAGGAAGGCACATGGCCAGAGGTCTTATAGTAATATGAATATGCCTTACAGAAGCATGTGTATAGTGGGAAAAACAAAGTTTGAGAGCCAGAACCTAGCCTGAAGAAAATTCCTTCAAATACCAAACGAGCAAAACTGCAAAGATGTAGTTTTCATTGACCCTCTCGTCAAAACAGTTCCCTCCTATCAGGAATATACTCTTTCACACAACCATGTATAATTTAAAAGGTACTGTATTTTTATTATCTTATTGACAGAAATGAAATAATAAAGCTCAAATATTCCACTGTAAATGAAATTTTAGAATATTCCAGTTAAAGCAAGACAGCTATTATAAACTCTTAATTTGTTTGTGTAGAAAGGCTAACTTTTTTAGTCATATTTAAATGCATTTTTTCAGAAAACTGAAATTTCAGGAAAAAATTTAACAGATATTAAATGTCATAAATATGAGTAATGAAATCAAGTCAAAAGAAATTATTCTAACATTTAGAAATAAATTATACCAAATTTGTTTTCAGATCACACTAAAAGCTGAATTTATTAAGAGAAAAATATTCTTTAAATAAAAATAATTAAAAGGCACTTTGGTTATTTGGTAATCCAATTAAAGAAGAGGGCTATATATAGACATGCTGAAAAGAACCTTAAATTTCTGCTGATTTTACACAACATGTTAGTATCAACAAATATAATGAAAAATATTAAATATGCTCTCTCGTCAACCACACACTGGTTAATGAGTCTCATAAGTTCAGAGTATTTAGGGCTAGTCACTGCTCAGGAAACCTTGAAATTCCCTGAAATCTAACAGCCTATGCATGAGAGAAACTTTATGATAGAGGTTTGCCCAAATTTGAAAACAATCTCATAAATTCATATACATTATCAATTATCAGTTGTAAAGCTAAAAGATATTTTTCTAAACTGGTAATAATCAAATGCACACACATACATTTCAATCAACCATGCTACAGGAAAGACTGAATTGTCATTCTATTTTTTCTACAGAAAATATAAAAACATTTTGCATATGAAGAGATAATCAAAGACTATCCAAAAATATTGGGAAAAAGCATAACTGTGTTGTTAGGTAGTTAATAAGAATATCATTTTATTTTCTGAATCATGTGACATTTTGACACTGTAGTACTTAGAGCATTTTAAAATTTATATTTTGGTGTGACTTGTTCTCATTCTCAATAAATAGTCACATTTCTGCCTATTTCATTTTCATAATTCTTATCATTTTTCTTAAAGATGGCCCCAAATTGAGTATTTTTCCAGGTCCCACAAAACCTGGATCTTTCCCTGGTTATAACTATTTCCTAGGAAAAATTATTGCAGGTATTGAAACAAGATTTTTATATCAGGACTTTTGATAATATGTCAGAAAAACGATTATGTGTAACATAATCCAAAGTGATTTCCAGTCAGGAGAATTCACAAACACAAAAATACCTCTGAGATTCCTAGTTATTTTCTTATTTTTTAACATCAGGTTATCCTTATATTTTGACTAACCAAAAATAACTGATATAACATATTAAAGAGGAGTAGAGAAAACTGCTTTTAATGTTGAGTTCATTTTTTATTGTGCTATATCCACCATATTTATATTTAAATATTGCTCAGTATATTTAAAAAAGAATATCTCAATTTGATAAATTCTAGAGCTACGTCACACCAAATTGCTGATTAGCAGCAGCAGAGCCTACTATAAGGAGCACAGGCTGTGGAGTCAGACTGTCTGTTCTTGAATGAATCCAGGCCTAGCACATGCTGGCTCACTGACCTACGGCAAGTTATTTAACCTGACTGTATTTCATTGCTCAACTATAAAACAGTCAAACAACAGTATTGGCACCATGAGATTGGTGTGGAGACTAATTTAGATAATCCACGCACGCATATTGCTTAAAAAAGAATATGTAGCTGGATACGGTGGCTCATGCATGTAATCCAGCACTTTGGGAGGCCAAGGCAGGAGGATCACTTGAGATCAGGAGTTGGAGACTTTCTGGGCAACACAACAAGACCCTGTCTCTAAAAATATTTTTAAAAATTACAAATTGTTGAAAAAAGAATATGATACTTAGTACATCCTTAATAAATGTTAGTTATGTTATTATTTTTGTTATTGTTGATAGTCTATCCTTCTCTATCATTTCGTCTTCAATTATCTAAAGTAGTTGAAGAAAAAAGGCAAGCACAGAATTCATTATCTGAAAGAGAAGCAAACACAGGAAGTCTGTTTTAAACACAGTAGATCTGATTCAATGTTTTCTATTTTATTATTATTATTATTTTACTTTAGGATTACAGGTTCTTGATGACAAGTAGTAGAAGTCTCTTTAAAACTTGTAGTTGTCTCTTCCTATTTCAAGAAAAAAAAAAAAACCAAAGAATACATCCACATTAAGAAAACTCGGAAATTATCTAACTGAAACAGCATGGTAACAAACGTATCCCAGAAAATCTGTGAGTCTGATATGACTTCCTGAGGTTGAAGCTTCACTACACATTTTAATTTCACAAGGAGAGATGACTCAGCATGTATGTAAACAAACATCGTTTTTTTTTTTTGCTCTGAACGTTAAACACTGTAAACATACTAATGGTGATGTTTTCATCTCCGCAAAATTGGGTGGCCAAGTCAAGCATTACCAAAATTGCTTACTGAAAGTATTTGTGAAGAAATCTACTGAAGTCAACTCGTAAGAGAGGAGAATACTATGAAAATAATACTGCACAAAGCATATAAATAGAAATATGTCATTTTCAAAATCCTTAACAAGAATATCACAATTAACTTCTCTAAACAAGAAGTTTAAATTTTTCTTTTGAAAAATCTAATGTCAGGCTTCCTTTTAAATACTTCACAGAAAATGTAATTTTAAAAAAATTAAACTATGATTTTCTTTGGTAACAGTTAAAACAGGTAAGCAATGCCAGGTTTTCTTAGTATTTTCCAACTTTGATTCATTCTTTACATTACTAGGTAATTTTTCTATTGTTATTAGGGATAAATTATGTTGTAAAAATCAAGTCATACAAATGCTTTCTTTCTATGCTTTCATCCCCACTAAGTCTTAAGTCATTAGAAACAGAGCTCATTCTACAATCATCTGAATTTTTTTCCCCAAAACAAATATAAATTAAAATTCAATGTAAAATCCTCACTCAGGCCAAAGAAACAACGTTTTAAAAGTGTACGGCATTGTATTCTAATAGTGAATCATTGGGGCTAGAAAATGTAGATTGCCTCTATAATAATGAGGGAGGATTCTATAAAGCAGGTGCTCATATGTTGGTTTGTTATGAAAACAGTCTACCTAACAATGAAACATTCAAACCTCCAACAAAAACAAAGCCATGGATTTTGATTTAGAAACTGTTGTTCAAAAATATTTGAGGTCAGCATTTATTAAAATTCAAACGGCTTCCCCTTAGTTGACAGTAAAGCAAATATGAAACATTTGCTACCTTATACATCTGTCTGATATGGATTATTCTAAAAGAATACTGGAGCACAGCAACCATTTGGCCAGCTTCTGACATACAGAATATTGCACTCAGGATTCATTTGTTCTACCAGGACTGGCTACTAACCCATAAACTTGTTTTTGAAATAATCAAACAGTTGCTAAGCTCACAACATTGGCATAGTGGAAAACGTGCTGAGCATAAAGCATTCTAGAATAACATTTAGTGCACAGTAGGTGAAAACTTAGCAGATTCTGCAGGGTTCTAGCAACCTCGTTAAACTTTGGTGTCTATGGGAGATCTGCTAGATGGGAGAAAGGTAACAGAGAAGTGACATTTAAAACAGCCCTTCTGTGTCAACGTACTGGTGGTTGATCCACTCATTTAACTCATAATGACATCTGTATTAAGCAAGTCAAAGCGTGGTTATTTATATCGCTGACTTTGTATAATTCAAGCAAAAAAGTAAAATTCATTTTTTAATCATATCAAGGTTTATGCTTCTCATACTGCAGTAAATCAGATGACTAAAAAAGAGACTAGCTGCAGGAAAGCTAGGCAAACAGAACACGCATTGCAATTTCCTCTTCAAACATCCCTGCCTCAGAACTACCCTGCCCAATAAACTCCTCCGCAGTGGCTCACCTTAAACATTCCTCTGCACAGAAGCCCTTCCTGATCCTCAGACTTAAAAGCAGCAATATGTTTTCAGGATACGTTCACTGTAGAAGCACTTTTCATGAATTTAACTGAAGAGTTATTTGTTTAATTCTGTATTTAATGCCTTCCTCGTGCCTAGTCGAGAGACCCCTTGAAGGCGGGAACTGTGTCTCTCTTTTTCATTGTACGAAAGCTCTGAACAGAGAACCTTCCTTGCACAGGTAGGTTGGCTTCCTTGTAGAGCTGGATGACTACTAAAAGTGAAATGTGTGAAACAGAAAAGTATGGAAGTTAACATAATAGGAGCCCAGCTACATTCCTGCCCTCAAGATTAAAAAGATATTAAGCGTGCCAAATTCATTTTAAACATTTTAAAGAAAAATATTTCAGAAATAACTCAAGTTTTATCCCATCTTTTCTTCCTCCTTCCAAAGAGTAACTGCTGTGTTCACTTGGTGGGTATCAACCCTGTGTTTTAGAGTAAATGATTTCCAGCATTTAATCAACGCTTATATATTCATTAGGTATACATACTATTGTTTTGTTTATCTGAAACTTTCATATAAACTTTTGTACAGATGGTTTACTACATATATCCATTTGCAGTAATGATTACGGTTTTGAGATTTATCAGTGTTGGATACCTACAGATCCATTCCATTGTTTTGTGTGCTAGTGTTACTGGTTCTTCAAGATCATATTGTACTCACCAATTTGCATGTTACTTTATTTTTAACAACTTTATTCTAGTACAAAAGAACACATTTAAGGTGTACAATTTGATAATTTGCGGAACATGAGAAATCAGAAAAAACCGCAAACAAGATAATGCACACTACCCTCAAAGGTTTCCTTGTGCTCCTTCATCATTTCCTCCCTCCCTCCTCTCTCCATCCCATCCCTTCTTCACAGGAAATCACTGATGCATTTTCTGTCAAAAGTTACTTTACATTTTCCAGAGTTTTATATGAATGGAATCCTATAGTATACATGTGCATTCTTTTCATCTGCCTTCTTTCACTCTGCATAATCATCTTGAGAGTCATCCAGGTCCTTAATGTGTATCAGTAATTCATTCTTTTCATTGCTGAGTAGCATTTGTGACATGCATTATATATTCATTTGTTGATGAACATTAGAATTATTTCCACTTATTGGCTATTATAAATAAAGCAGCTATAAACATTCATCTGCAAGTCTTTGTACAGACATATGGTAGATGTATATTTAACTTTTTATGAAAGTGGAAAACTGCTTTTCAAAGTATTTTTACCACTATATTTTCCCACCACTGTGGGAAAGGGGAGTAGAAGAGAAACAATTCTCCACATTCTCACAAAAACTTGCAGTTGAATCGGTTTAATTTTAATTGTGTGAATAGTGTGTATCACATTAAGGTTCTAATTTACATATCCTTAGTGACCAATGATGCTGAAATTATTTTCACGTGCTTATTTGCCATATTTATATCTTCTTTGATAGATGCTATTTAAATTATTTCTCCAAATGTTACACTGTTTTGTTTTCTTATTGATTTTAAGAGTTCCTTATACATTCTGGACATAAGTTCTTTATCAGATATATACTTTGCAAAGATGTTCTTCCAGTCTATGGCTGATCTTTTCCTTCTTATAACAATGTCCTTCAAAAAAACGAAAGATTTTACTTTTGATGAAGCTCAATTTATTGATTTGTTTCATGGATTATGCTTTTGCAGTGTATCTAAAGTCACAAACATTTTCTCCTATGTCTCCTTCTAGAAGTTTTAGAGTTTTCGATTGTATCGTCAGAATCCATTCCATTTGTATTTAATTTTGTTATATGATGTAAGTTATGGATTGAAGATCATTTTTTTGGCATATGGATATACAACTGTTCCGGCACCATTTGTGGAAAAGACTATGTATGCATCCTGCAAAGAACTGCCTTTGCACCTTTCTCAAAGATCAGTTATCCATATGCATGCTGGTCTATTCCTGGACTTTCTATTTTCTTATGGTCTATTTGTCTAGCTTGATGTCAACACCACATTGGCAAAATTACTGTACCTTTATAGTAAGTCTTGAGTCACATACTGTTAGTCCTCCAACATACTTATACCTTTCCGAAGTTATTTTTGCATTCCCGGATCCTTGGAATTTCCATGTAAATTATCAAATGAGCTTGTCAATTTTTGCCAAAAATCTTACTGGAATTTTGATTGAGATTGCATATAATCAATTTGAAGTAGGGTGAACAGATACAGCACATAAAACCATAAGATGAATATACTTATGCTAAAAATTAGTTTTTTACAGAAAATTTAAAAATAACTGGCTGTCGTATATGTTATCTGACAGCCTTAATTCTAGGAGAATTAACAGCTTAATAATATTGGGTTTTTATATCTATAAACAGAGTTTATTTGTTTACTTAGATCTTTGCTTTTGTTCAGCAATATTGTATAATTTTTGGTGTACAGATTATGCACTTCTTTTGTCAGATTTACCTCTAAGTAACTCATATGTTTTGATGCTATTATAAATATTAATTTTTAAATATCAATTTTTGATTTCTTCTGTATACCACAACTTCGCAAAAGTCACTTATTATTCTAGTAGATTTTTCCTTGATCTCACCAGATTTTTTTCACAGACAACCCCATTTTCTCCAAATTAGTATGCTTTCCAATCTACATATTTTGTTCCTCCCTAATTATACTGGCTAAGTCCTCCAGAACAATACTGAATAAAATCAAGGAGAGTGGACATCTACATTTTGTCCCTGATCCAAAGGAAAATATAAGACTCATCTGTCTTTTAACATTAAGTTTATATTTGCTGAAGGATTTATGTAGATGTTCTTTATTGGTTGAAGAAGTTCCCTCTGTTTCTAATTGGCTGAGAATTTTATAATGAATGAATATAAGTTTTCAAATGCTTTTTGCTGTTCCACTAAGGTGATCATGTAGTTTCACTTTAATCATTTTTAATATAATGATTACACTAATTGGTTTCCAAATAGCAAACTACCTTTGCATTCCTGAAATAAATCTCACTTAGTCATGATATAGTCACATTTTTCTATATTGTTGGATTCAATCTGGTACACTTGGTTTAGCATTTTGCATGTTATGTTCATGAAGAATACTTCCATGTTTTGTATTTTCTTTTGGTATTTTCACCCTAAAATTTGGCATCAGGTAATGCTGGCCATATAGAATGAGATAAAAATGACTACCTTATCTTCAATTCTGTAAGATAATTGTATAGAACTGGCATCATTTCTTCTTTACATGTTTGGGCAAAGTCAATGATAAAGCCACATCACATAAAGTTTTCTTTGTAGGAAGATTTCTAACTACAAATTCCTTTTTTAAGAGATAGAGAGCTATTCAGTTATCTATTCTTCTTGAGTGAGCTTTGGTAGTCTGTGACCTTGAAAGAATTTTCCCATTCCACCTAAGTTGTCCAACTTATAGGCATATAGTTTTTCAAAATATTCTATTATCCTTGTCATACCTGAAGACCTGTTCATGATGAAACCACTCTCATGCCTCCTGCTGCTAATTTGAATCTTTCTACTTTTCGCCCCCCTCTAAGTCTGGCTAGAGACTTACTAAATTTATCAGATTTAATTAAAAAAAAACAACCTGCCTTTGTTTTCACTGATTTTCTCTGCTGTTTTTCTTTTCTACCTAACTGATTTCCACTTTGATTATTTTTGCCCTGCTTTTGTTTACATTTAGTTTAATTTGCCCTTCTTTTTCTAGATTATTAAGGTGAAACTGAATCAATTAATTTGAGATATTTCTTTTTTCTTATATGTGTTGGGTGCTGAGTTGCCCTTCTAAGTGCAATTTCAGAAGCATCCCAGAAATGTGCATATCTTGTGTTTTAATTTTCATTCAACTTAAAACATTTTATAATTTCCTTTTAGAGTTGTTCTTTGGCACACGGATATTTACAAATATATTATTTGCCACCCAAATATTTGGGGGATTTTCCAGATTTGTTATTGATTTCTAATTTACTTCCATTGTTGTCTGAGAATATACTTATCAGTAATCAACTTACCAGTTTATGCCTTAAATTATTTTTATTTTATTGAAATTTGTTTTATTTACTACAATATGGTCTATCTTGGAAAATTACCTGTTTGTATTTGGAAAAATGTATGTATTCTGCAGTTATTGAGTGGAGTGTTCTATAAACATCGATTAGGTCCAGTTAGCTGATGGCATTGTTCAAGTCTTCTATGTCCCCGCTGATTTTCTGTCTACTTGCTCCATTCAATTAAGCACTAAGATTTCTGATTATAATGTAAATTTTTCTGTTTCTCCTTGCAGTTCCATCAGTTTATGTGCCACATATTCTAATGCTTTTTTATGAGGTGCATATGTAAAATGTTCTTCTGATCTCTATATCACTATGAAATGAACTTCTTTATCCCTAGTAATAATACTGGCTCTGAAATCTACTTTTTCTAATATTCGTGTAGTCATTCCAATTTTCCTTTGGTGTTATCATGGTATATCTTTTTTCCATCCTTTTACCTATTTCTATCTTTAAATTGTGTTTCTTATACAAAGTATACACTTCGGCTTTGCCTTTATATACAATCTGATACTCTCTGCTCTTTAATTGGATTGTTTTAAACCAGTTATGTTCAATGTAATCGTTGACATGATTAAATTTAAGTCTATCATCTTGTTATTTGTTTTTACTTTGGCCCATCTATTCTTTGTTCCCTTGAAAACTCTTTTTCTGCCTTCTTTTGAATTAAATACTTTTTAAATTGCATTTTATTTTCTTTGTTGGCTTATTAACATTGTTTAGTTCATCATTTTAACAACTACTTTCAAATTTATAGTATGTTTTTAACCTTATCACACTACACTTTCGAGTGATACTATACCACTTTGTAAGATAGGAATCTTAAAATAGGGCACTGACATTTCTATTCTTATGGACTTATTCAACTGGCATACATTTTACTTTTATATATTTAATAAACTCTATACCATGATGTTATTATTTTTGTTTAAACACTCAATATTGGCCAGGCGTGGTGGCTCACGCCTGTAATCCCAGCACTTTGGGAGGCTGAGGCGGGAGGATCAGGATGTCAGGAGGTGGAGACCATCTTGGCTAACAAGCTGAAACCCTGTCTCTACCAAAAATACAAAAAAATTAGCCAGGCGTGCTGGCGGGTGTCTGTAGTCCCAGCTACTCGGGAGGCTGAGGCAGGAGAATGGCATGAACTCGGGAGGCAGAGCTTGCAGTGAGCCGAGATTGCGCCACTTCACTCCAGCCTGGGTGCCAGAGCGAGACTCTGTCTCAAAAATAAACAAACAAAAAAACACTCAATATTTTCAAGAGACTTGATAAAATTCTTACCTATTTACTCTTATAGCTACCATTTTCTTTGCCCTTCATTCACATATGTTGATGCATATTTCAATCTAATGTCATTTTTCTTCATCATAAAATATATATTTGAATACTGTTTTTGTAATGGGCAAGATATTATTGATTTTTTCACCTTTTGTATGTCTGGGAAAATGCTTTATGTTTCCTTTATTTTTTAAATTATTTTTTGCTGAGTATAAAAGTTTACATTGATTTTTCTTTCAGCATTTTAAAAATGTAATTCCACTGATTTCTCTCTTGTATTATTTTATTTTTATTTATTTATTGAGACAGAGTCTCACCCTGTCACCCAGGCTAGAGTGCAGTGGTGTGAACATAGCTCTTTGCAGCCTTGAACTCATGGGATCCAACTATCCTCCTGCCTCAGCCCCTCAGCCTTCTGAGCAGCTCAGAGTACAGGCATGTACCACCACACACAGCTAGTTTATTATTATTATTATTATCATCATTATTTGTAGAGATGGTGTCTTACAATGTTGCCCAAGCTGCTCACAAACTCCTGGCCTCAAGCCATCCTCCGACCACAGCCTCCCAAAGTGCTGTGATTACAGACATAAGCCACCATGCCTAGCCTTATATTGCTTTAAATGAGAAATATACTGTTTCCATATCTTTTTTACACTGTACACAATGTATTTTTCCCCTCTGACTGCTTCTAAAGTATTATGGTTATCCTTGATCTTGAACTATAAGATTATAATATATTCTTCGGTGGAATTTTCTTTATGTTTCTTATGCTCAGTTTGTTTCACTTCTTTGATCTCCGGTTTTATAGTCTTCATCAAATTCAGAATATTTCTAGCTATTATTTCTTCAAAATTTTTTTTATGCTAGTTGACATTGTCCCACAGCTCAATGAAGCTCTTTTCAAAGGTTTGGATTTTTTTTCTGCTCCATCATGATGTTTTTATTGCTGTGTCTTGAAGTTCACTAATCTACTTCTCCTATCATGGCGAATCTACCACTAGTCCCATCCAGTATATTTTTCACAGCAGACATTGTAGTTTCCATCTCTAGGAATTAGTTTGAGTCTTTTAAATTTCTTCTATGGCTCTATTTGACTTATTAAAACATCTAGAATACAGTCATAAAGCTATCTTAATGTCTTTGCTAATTTTAACATTTGTGTCCATTCTAAAATTAGTTTTGATTGATTGCTTTGTGTCCTTATTATGAGTCATAATTTCCTGCTTCTTTGCTTACCTGGTAATTTGTGATTGGATGCCAGACACTGTGTATTCTGCTGTGTTAGGTTCTGGTTATTTTGGTATTTCTATAAATATTCATAAGCTTTGTTCTGTGACACAGTTAAGTTACTTGAAACAGCTTCATCCTTTTGAGTCTTGCTACAATTTGTCAGGCAGGACAAAACTGGTAATCATTCTGGGGCTAATCATTTCCCAGTACTAAGGTAAGAGTCTCATCCTATCTCCAGTACCTCCTAATTTATGAGATTTTCCAGTCTTGCTGGTGTAAACATTTGTTAGACCCAAACGTATGTGAATACTCAGCACATTCCCTTCTAATCCTTTTGAGTGGCTCTTTCACCAGCCTCAGGTCTCTTCCTCACATGTACACACTGATCAGTACTCAGCTGATTACAAAAGGAGGACTTGCTGAAGATCTCCAGAATTCTCTCTCTGTACAGCCCTCTCCTCTTCAGTATTCTGTCCTGAAAGTCTAGACACTTCAGATTCTCCCAATTGCAACTCAGTTCTTCAACTCAAGGAATCCACCAGGATCTGACTGGAATGCCTTTCCCCTGGTGTTCCCCGAAAACTCCCTCAGTCTAGTAGGCTGGGGCAGTATTATGGCTCATCTCTCAAAGATCACTGTACATTGAAGCCTAGTGGCTACTGCCTTAAAAAACATGATTTCATATATTTTCAGACAGGGTTAAATCTGGCCTCATGCCATCTTCCCACCTCCCTTACTCCATAATTGACTTTCAACTTACAATCTTTCAACTTTAAGATGGTGCAAAAGTGATACACATTCAGAAGTGGTAATTCCCACTGAATAACGACACACAGACACACAGACATACACACTGAGAATATGTTTTGTTTACACTATTACAAATTGCACTGCAATCAATATCACTATATATGTAGCTGGTTCCTGCCCCTAGTGTGTTTGACTAGGAAAAGAATCTTAGGATCATAGGATTCATACATCTTCATCCTATTTCACTGCTGTCCCCCAAGTCAGGGTCCTCCAACCCTTCTTTGGTGGACTCGCTCTCTCAGGCTATGGAGCTTTCATGCCCACACATGACCTCACCATTTAACCAATGCCAGTTGCAGAGTAAGAAAGCCCAGCTCCCTGGCTCAAATCAGGACAAACTTGTGGGGTATGTACATACTATAGCTCCTCAAGCTACTCTCCTAAGGGACATGGCCTGAGGTCACATGATTTTAACTTTATTTAGCCCTTACTTTATGTCTTTCAATACAATTTGTATTGCCACCAACAATTTCAGGCAGTTGCTCTTAAAATGTACTTACACTATCAGTCTTATGATACGTATGACGCTCTAATTATCAGTTAGTTTAATATGTATTGGGGTTTTTATTTCCTATGACAGTTGCCTGTTCTGACGGGGTATTCAGAGCTTTGGCTCGTTTTTAAATTATGAGATTGCTTCCATTATTACTATGGAATTCTTCACATAAGATGAGTGAAAGTCCATTAGGAAATATATGTTTTTTCAACAATCTTCTCTAATACATGATACTTTTTTCACTTAGTTTTTGGATTATAAGTTTTGTCATTCCAAAGCTTTAATTTTGAAAATAACTGAATACACCATTTTCCCCTTTATAGTCTAAGTTTGTATGTTTTATGAACGAAATCCTTCCCTAATTCAGGATCTTAAGGATTTATCTTCTAAGTTTTCTCTAAAATGTTACACTTTTTAAATTGGGTCTCTAATTCATCTGTAATTAATTTTTAATATGTGGTATGAGGCACATATTTCATCTTTTTTCTTAAGGACAGTAAAAAGTTCTAGCATCATTTACTCAGTAACTTTTCTATCTTTTTTTTCCCATGCATGTGATGCACTCATTTATATGTGGGTTCATTTATCTGCTATTTTGTTCATTTGGTCTATTTGACTTTCCCTGCATGAATATCCCTTTGTTTTAACTACTGTGGCTTTAAAATAAAGCCTCCTTACGAGAAAAGTAAATTTTGACTATCTTTGGGAATTTTGACTAATATGTGAACTTCAGATTCGTCTTACCACAGTCTATGAAAAATCTGTTCCTCTTTTTACTGAAACACCATTGAATTTATGGATTAATCTTTGGGGAAGTGACATCTTTACTATATTGATTTCTCTCATCCCAAACATTTTATAAATTCCTTATTTATTTAGCTGTTACTTTATGTCTTTCAATAAGGTTTCACGATTTTTTCATGAAGGTCTTATGAAACTTTTGCTAGCTCTATTCAGAGGTTTACAGTCTTTGATTCTTTGTTTCAAGTACAGAGGGGTGCTGTTGTGTTTTATATGTTGGCCTAATATCCAGAAACCTTTCTCTTTCATTATATTAGCTCTAATATCTTGTTTGTACTTTAAACAATTTTAAGAACACTGCTATCATTTAATAATGGTAACAGTTTTGACTTTTTGCTTCTAATTCTTATAATTTTCTTTTCCACGTATCACTATCATGTGCAGAATATCAAGTACAGTGATGAGTACAATAAGTTGATAATGGGTATCATTTTCTCCTGATTTTAAAGAAAAGATTCCTTGCCTTTATAACTGTATTTATTTGCTGTAAATGTTTAGTCAATTCCTTGTGATACCTACTGTTTTAGAGTTTTTTTTTTAAATCATGAATGGGTAAACTGAATTTTATCAAGTACTTTATATGGGCAGTTAACAAGATGATCACGTTATTTCAAACCATATTTTAATCTGATGAATTATGTTAAAAACCATTTCTAAAACCAAACCAAACTCACATTCCTGAGATAAATCCTACTTGGTCATTACATCTTTCCATTTTCTGTACCTATAACTCTAGATGGTCTCTGGCTTAGGATGGTTCAACTTACGATCTTTCAACTTTAAGACGGTGCAAAAGTGGTACACATTCAGCAGACACTATAACACAAATACCCACAGAACTGTTTTTCAATTTCAGTACAATATTCAATAAATTACATGTGATATTCAACACTGTATTTTAAAAACAGGCTTTGTGTTAGATGATTTTGCCCAATTGTAGGCTAACACGAGTGTTCTGAGCATGTTTAAGGTAAGCTAGACTAAGATGTGATGTTCAGTAGGTTAGATGTATTAAATGCATCTTCAACATGTTATTTTCAACTTATGGTGGGGACATAGGTCAGGGAGCATCTGTGTATCTATCTACCTTTACAGTGTATTTTCAGTTGTAATTGTGATACGCATAGTAGTCATTATCTGACAGCTTAACTCCTATGGAAGTCTTCTGTGTCACACCGCTTCATAGCTGGAAAGTCTGTATTTTACCAGTGTTATGCTTAACACGTTTGCTTTCTTAAGCAATGTGATGTTTATCATGCAGTGAATATTTGTACTAGTAAATGCTGTTGTTCCAACCAGATATTCTTTTTCCAATTTTGTGACTTCATGAAGCTTTTGCTTCTAACAGCTGATACCCACAACCCTTCTTTGGTGGACTCTCTCTCTCAGGCTATGGAGCTTCCAAGCCCACACATGACCTCACTCCTTAACCAATGCCAGTTGCAGAGTATGAGAGCCCAGCTCCCTGGCTCGAATCAGGACAACCTTGCAGGGTATGTACATACTGTAGCTCCTCAAGCTGCTCTCCTAAAGGACATGGCTTGAGGTCACATGATCTTAACTATCCTACTTTTCCCATTTCCTTACCAGTCATCCAAAGAACAATTGCTTAGTAAGTGACATGCAGGTGAAGTGCTTATCTTGGGTTATGTTTCTGATAAGCCAACATCGAAGAGTAGTCTTATACATAAGAACGTACCTCCTGGAAATGTACATTTCAAGGCTTTTGACAAATTTCTTCCCATAATAATTGACAAATTCATATTTCTATCTGCAATGTGAACTATTCTTTCTCTTTATCCTCCCTAACATTGGAGGAGTATGTGCACATGTGTGTAGGTGTGCATATATACATACACACTGTTACGAATTGAATGTTTGTGTCCCCCTAAAATTTATAGGTTGAAATTGTAGCCCACAATGTGATGGTATTAGGAGGTGTGGCCTTTGAGAAACAATTAGATCATAAGGATAGAGCCCTCATGAATGGGATTAGCACCCTTATAAGAAACAGCAGAGAGATGATCTCTCTGCTCCCTGTTGCGTGGGAACACAAAGAGAATATGGCAGTATACAAACCAGAAAGAGTGCCCTCACCAGATATAGGATTTGCTGCTGCCTTCATCTTGGCCTTAACAGCCTCCATAACCGTGAGAAATAAATGTCTGTTTAAGCTTCCCAGTCTATGGTATTCTGTCATAGGAGCCCAAACTAAGACACATACATATATATTTTAATTTTTCTTAACTGAAAAGTGAAAAGGATATTTCATTGTTATTTATATTTTCTACGTGTTCAATAGTGAGGTGGAACATAATTTATACATTTATAATTCCATACAGTGAAGCTTTCACCAAATATATGAATCCATTCCATACATCAGGTCACACATCTGCTTTTAACAACCAAGGGGTGGCCAGGTGCGGTGACTCACACCTGTAATCCCAACACTTGGGAGGCCAAGGCGGGTGGATTGCTTGAGCCCAGGAGTTTGAGACCAGCCTAGTCAACAGGGCGAAACCCTGTCTCTACTAAAAATAAAAAAAAATTAGCCAGGCATGGTGGCACACACCTGTAATCCCAGCTACTGGGAAGGCTGAGGCACAAGAATGGCTTGAACCCAGGAGGTGGAGGTTGCACTGAGCTGAGATCATGCCCCAGCACTCCAGCCTGGGTGACAGAGGAAGACATAGTCTCAAAAATAAAATAAAATAACTAAGGGGCAAGGAGCTCACTATCTCTCGGTGTAGTTCAATTTAGGGTCCAGATCTTACTGCTATTATTCTCTTCCTATGCGTAGGAAATTTTATGCGTAATTAGCGCTTAATTTGCATTCTGAAAGTAACAGAAAATTAGCCTAATCTGTCTTTAACAAAATGACTCTTCAGATATGTGGAGAAACTTAGACCTGTTTCTGCAATCTCTCTGTTCTACTCCCTCAAGACTTTTCTTCTCTAGACCTAAATTCTTCTGTTGCTCTTCACAAGACATGGTTAGGAATTCAACCAATATCTCTTCACTAGTTCTGGTCAGTATGGTTCTAAATAGGATGCTGTTTCAAGAAGTCAAAGTACGAATGGCAAAGAAACTTTCCCTTGGTATCAGAAAAAATGTGACTTTAAAGAAATTTTTTAAACGTTTTTGAAATATCTTACTTAAATTTCTCAGATTTTTCTAGACTGAGTTTTTGTGTCCTAAGATATTACTCCAAATGTCCTAAACTTCCAGGTACAGTTTTCATTCCCATTTTTCTGACAAGATACTACTCCAATTTTATTAAAGAATGCTGAAGAAGGACATTCAGTTCAAAGATATAATTCTATTTAGCAATAGTGTCCAAACAGTCTTATTGCAGGAAAAATCTCATATTAAGTATCATAAAATTAATAGGCCACAGAGAATCTTAGGGTAATCTATAATAAAATAAATTTAGTTCTGTGCATTATGTATTCATAAAAATATCCATGAGATTTATTTTTATGTTCAATGGTATAATATCCATAGAGAAGCAGACTAAATATTTATTCATATTTCTGTTTATATCCTTAATACTTATAGGTTTGTTTTTCTCATTATCATAATACAGTGTTAAAAAACATTTTAGATCCAGAAGAGCCAACTCATTATTGAAGGAGAAGAATAAAGTCAGAGAATTGACACTACCCAACTTCAAGACTTACTATAAATCTACAGTAATGAAGACAGTGTGGTATTAGTAAAAGGAGAGACAAATAGATGAATAGAACAGGACGGAGATCCCAGACATAGGCCCACATAAATACAGTGAACTGACCTTTCACAAAAGAGAGAAGGCAACAGAATGGAGCAAAGATACTCTTTTCAAAAAGTGGTGTTGGAAAAACTGGATATTCACATTAAAAAAAGCGGTCTAGATATAGACCTTACACCTTCATAAAAATCAAATCAAAATGGATCACAGATGTAAACATAAAATGCAAAACTATAAAACTTCTAAAAGATAACATAAGAGAAAGCCTAGATGACCTTGAGCATGACAATGATATTTTAGATACATCAAAGGCATGATCCATGAAAGAAATAATTGATAAACTAGACTTATTAAAATTTAAAATGTCTGCTCCAAAAAAGATAATGTCAAGAGAATGAGAAGACAATACACACACTGGGAGAAAATATATGCAAAAGATACATCTGATAAAGAACTGTTATCCAAAATATCCAAAGAATTCTTAAAACTCAACAAGAAAATGGATAACCTAATTTAAAAATTGGCCAAAGACCTTAAAAGATATCTCACCAAATTAGATATACAGATGACAAATAAGCATATGAAAAGATGCTCCACATCGTATGTCATCAGGGAATTGCAAATTAAAGCAACAAGATGGCACTACACACTTCTTAGAATGGCCAAAACACAAAACACTGACAGCACCAAATGCTGGCGAGGATGTGGAGCAACAAGAACTCTCATTCATTGCTGGTGGAAATGCGAAATCATACAGCCACTTTGGAAGCCAGTTTGGTAGTTTCTTACAACACTAAACATACTCTTACCATACAATCCAGCAATCATGCTCTGTGGTGTTTACTCAAATGAAATGAAATCATGTGTCCACACAAAAACCTGCATATGAATGTTTATAGCAGCTTTATTTGTAATTGTCAAAGCTTGGATGTAACCAAGATGTCCTTCATTATGTGAGTGGATAAATTGGTATATCCAGACAATGGAATATTATTCAGCACTGAAAAGAAATGTGCCATTAAGCCATGAAAAGACATAGAAGAAACTTAAATGCATTATTACTAAGAAGCCAATATGAAAGGGCTACATACTGTATGATTCTAACTATAAGTTCTGAAGTTTAACTGTATGACATTCCATACGATTCTAAGTATGTGGCAAACAGTAAAAAGATTAGTGGTCAGTGCTTGAGGTTAAGGGGGTGGGAGGTATGAACAGGTGGAGCACAAAGGATTTTTAAAGGATTTTTAAGGCAGTGAAACTATTCTGTATGATATCAGTGGTAGACACATGTTATTATACATTTCTCCTAATACATAGAATACACACCATCAAGAGTGAACCCTAATGTAAACTATGTATCTTGGATGATAATAGGGCATCAGTGTAGGTTCTTCAATTGTAACAAATATACCACTATAGTACTGGGTCTCACTGGGGAGGCTGTGCACGTGTGGGGATGGGATATTTGGTAACTCTCTATAATTTCTGCTCAATTTCTCTGTGCACCTAAAACTGCTCTAAAAAATAAAGTTTGTAAATTTAAAAATATTTTATAGGACCTTGCAATGGAAGAGATCTAAGGCCCCTGGGTCCTCCTTTCAGATCTATCACGGCCACAGTCCCACTGTTGCATATTTTCCATCTGCGAGACTCTCTAAGGGGGCAGCTAATATTTCTTTTTTTTTTTTTTTTGAGACCCGCTCTGTCGCCCAGGCTGGAGTGCAGTGGCGCCGTCTCGACTCACTGCAAGCTCCGCCTCCTGGGTTCACACCATTCTCCTGACTCAGCCTCCGGAGTAGCTGGGACTACGGGCGCCCGCCACCACGCCCGGCTAATTTTTTGTATTTTTAGTAGAGACGGGGTTTCACCATGTTAGCCAGGATGGTCTCGATCTCCTGACCTTGTGATCATGCCGCCTGGGCCTCCCAAAGTGCTGGGATTACAGGTGTGAGCCACCGCGCCCGGACGGGGGCAGCTAATATTTCTAAGGCGAAAACAAACAGAGAATGTTTCAGTTGTTCACACACAAAAGGCATGTGCATGCATATACGTACAGTTTATTTTGTGAATATTTAATACTGTTTCAAACTGACCTATATATATGAGGCCACATTGGCACAAACAGTGGAAGTTCTGTGCAGCTCTATGCAAGGTGGATGTGTCCACCCCACTTTACAAAACTGAGAAGAGTGATTCTCATGACTGTCCTGGACTTATCTTCCCCAGTACCTTTCAGGAACAGGAATAATGGTCAACATTCTACAGAACATCACTTTGTTTATTTTCTGCAAGAAAAGCCCTGGAGAATAGCAGAGCACTGGAAGGTTTCTGCATAGGATACTAGCTGTAGGTCAAAGATGTTTTCCATACAGCTAAGGGCAAATTACAGAGAATACAGCTTGGTCTCAGTGCTCTTTGAAGGAGTTTTAGAGAGAAATGGAAAAATGTGTGGCTTTGTAGCATCATTACTTAGCAGAAATGTGCAAAGCAGTTGCAAAGAAAGCTCTCGCCTTTCTTTTGCAGAAAGCTCTCACCTTTCTTTTGCAGATGCTCTCTGACAATCTGCGCTGCTCAGGCTTTTCTTTCTCACAGGGTTGCCCTTTTCCTTCCACTGTCATTGCTGTCTGGTCATTCCTTGGGTGCACTGGTTGCCAGAGCTTTATTTATATTCTTTTTTCCTTTTATAGTGCAATTTCCCAATATTCTCTTATACACAAGGTATATTTCTTCATGGTTTCTTCCTTTTCTCTTCGTGGGGAACTTATATATATTATAACATTTGGGCTCCCTACAGTCTTCCTTCTTCCTTTGATGCCCTCCTTTTTTCCCCATTTTCCCTACCTTGACTCTGAGCTCCAATGAGACAAACTATCTCCTGTAACTTTCTAAAATACTTAGTTCAAATTTCATTCAAACATTCATTAAGCACCTGCTAAGTTCCAGGCAGCGTCCTGAGTGTTGGGAATATAGGAATGCATAGAGCCATTTGGGAATTCAAATAGCTCCAGGCCGATGTGATAACTGCCATCTAAAAAACACTTTGAAAATTAGAGTAAATAAATGTTTGAAATTCATGAATGATTGTGAAAAGCTTCCCCAAGATAGAGCAATTGGGCCAGGTCTGGAAAAATAAATAAAAGTTTTCCAGAGGACGGGAATAGAAGCATGTAGGCATTAAAGAGAAGAGTATCACATGGCGGAATGGATCTGTGTCATACGCTCACAGAGGGATTCTGACAAGAACTGAGGCTGGTTGATAAAGAATACTGCATAAGAGTTGGATTATAAAATGAAGGCAGTTGGAAACCATCTAAAAAGTTTAAGCAAAACAGCACATGATCAGTTTAATGTTCTAGTATGATAATTGTCAACTGTGTACAGTATAGATTAAGTAGTAGGTGACATTAAGGAAAAAACCCATTCAGAGATTCTTGTAATAGCTCATATAAAGGAAAACGAAGGTCTAAATTAAGGTAGCGTAGCGAGAGTTAAGACTAAGGAAGAAACAGATGTGAGATACAATTTTAAGCATAGTGATATCAACAGGGGCTTGTATGCTGAATAGAATGGAGAGGAAGAACTCTAAGATAACTACCTGGTTTTCGCCCTGGGCTATTTGGGTTGATAGTGCAGGCATCCACTAAGATAGAAATACAGAAGCAATACGACAATTGGGAGCATAATGAATTTAATTTTAGATGTACTGAATTTGGGATGCCTATGGGTGTTCACATCTAGGAAATATTTGGAAAGTGGTCTGAAGGCTCAGGAGAGAGTTCTGGGCTAGAAATAGAGATTTGTGAGTCACTGGCACATACAGTAAATATAGAAGATAAATCACGGGAATAGATTAAATTACCACGGGAACATACGTAGAACAAGGGATCACGGTGAAAAATGGGACCTGGAGGAAAGCATATATTTAGGAAATAGAATGAAGACCTATGAAAAAAGACAAGGCTAAGTCAGAGACAAGTGCAGAACCGGGTGAGAGTGGAATGGTTGACCACAAGTGCTTATGTTATGACAGTCGAAACTGGCTAACTGTGAAATCCAGAAGAGAGTCCGAGTGGACTAAAGAGAGAAAGCAAATCCTTGAATGTCACAGTCATCTAATCATTAGGTTCCTTGATCAATATCAGCAATTATAGCCAGAAGGTAGTGCACCTTGGGGGAAACACAATCTTTCAAAAAAAAAATCTATATAAGAGAAAAAAAGAAGAAAGGACCTGAGAAAGCATATGAGGAAATATCAGAGGAATATTCTTTTTTCCTTCTTTTGTTGTTTCTGATAATGATGTAGATGATAATAATGATAATGATGATATAATTTTTAGAATGGAAGAAATTTTAGTATGCTTGTGGGCTCAGAGTATAGATTTCACTTCAAGGAATAGATTAAAGATATATATAAAAAAGAGAGATAAACATGAAAGTAGGCTAGAGGCAGAAAGAAACAGGAAGAGAAATGCCCTCTTAATGTATCATTTCTGAGAATGAAGGAAATACACTAAGATTGAATGGGTTATTGACAAAACTGCAGATATGAAGGATCAAAACGGAGAGATATGAGGTCTAACAGCCTCAATGTTCAATAATAAAATAGGCAGTAATGACTGATACTTACAAAGTTCCTACTATGTGCCAAGCGCTATTCTAACTGTTTTTAAGAAATACTAAATCATACAGTCTTCACAATGATTCTATAAGGTAGGAGCCATTATTATTTTCCTTTCACAGATGAAGAAATAATAACAAAGAGAAGTTAAATCACCTAGGATCATAAAATAGCTTGCAGAGCAAAGGCTTGAACACAGTCTGGATGGTGAGTGTCTTCTCATAACCTCTGTGCTACACAGCTGCTCTAAGCAGGAAGGGATCCAGTGGAAGTGGATGGCAATCAGTAGGGGGGTTTAGAAAAAAATCCTAGGAAATGACTGAGCACATAACAATAAAAAAGAAGTAAAAGAGGCCAGGTGCGGTGGCTCACACCTGTAATCCCAGCACTTTGGGAGGCCGAGGTGGTGGATCACTTGAGTTCAGGTGTTCAAGACCAGCCTGGCCAACATGGTGAAACCTCATCTCTACTAAAAATACAAAAATTAGCCAGCCATGGTGGTGGTCGCCTATAATCCCAGCTAGTTGGGAGGCTGAGGTGTAGGAATTGCTTGAACCTGGGAGGCCGAGGTGGCAATGAGCTGAGATCGCACCACTTGCACTCCAGCCTAGGTGAAAGAGCAAGACTCCATCTCAAAAAAAAAAAAAAAAAAAAAAAAACTAAAAGAAAGGCAGCACTGGGGCTCAGATGCAACTGAAGACCATGTGTTAGCAATGATACCAACCTGTATCACTGTATGATCGTTTTTTAGGAAGTGTTCATCCCATAGGTATAGGAAGAAGAAGGTAAAGGAAGTAATAACAAGTATCGGAATTTTGCTGTAAAGGTGAGGCACAGAAGCAGGGGAGTGACAGACACAAGAAAGATGCTGAGTCAGCATTTCAGCCACACTGCAAGAGAGAGAGTCAAATAGAGAAGAAGGACGGCAGAGAAACCAAGGACAGGATGACATGGTGGGAGGAATTGACCAGCCTAGAGGTAGGCTGGAAGGCAGGCTGTTTCTCTTGAGGGAAAAAAGCTGGAGCAATGGGAGTGAAGATAAACTAGACCAAGTGGAAAGAAAGAAGGCTGTGGTCAGAGCAAGATACTACACCGGAAATGTAAAGCTTAGAAAATCTAGTGTTAAGAGTTACATATTAACTGAGGACTGTTCCATTGTGTTCTACAACAGTATCTCAACTGTGACCATAATTGTCCTCAACTGTAGCAATGTATCCCAGGCTCAGGAGATGGTCAAGCAAAGGCTGTATTATCCTATGGTTGAGAAACATCACAGTGAATTATGCTGAACATGCTGATGATGGAATTGAAGTGCCAATGAGTACTCATTAGAGTCATTCAACTATGATGTCCAGGCAGGATGAGGAAGAAAATGAATTTGAGAGAGTTCTCACAGAGATGGAGCTGGAATTAGAATGTTCTAGTAGGATTTTACACAAAAGTAAAAATATATATATAATTCCATTTTGTCAAACTATTCCTGCATTTACTTCCTTTGCCCACAGATGGACGATAATCTCCTTTATAGACGGAAAACTATGCGTAGCTTGGCTTCTCCATACCCCACATAGTTCTGAGGATTGTTGTGTATTAAACAAATACTTGCTAGGCTGCACACATCACTGAATTTACCTCTGAGAAGCTCCTTAGAAAAAAATCACTGAGGTGTCAGTTCTTCTTGCAAATCAGAAAGAAGTTTCACAAAGGACTTGACCAAGGCAGAAAAATTAGCTGGATAGAGTCAGATCATATGCATATCATGTGGCAATCAATGATTATCTCCTAAGGGCCAGCAGAGGACTGGGCACTGTAGAAAATATGTTTTTGCTACATGGATTATAAACTTTTTTCACTGGATGCATACAAAAATTAATATAGCATTACATGCCACAAGCCAGGTTTTTTACTCACAAAGGCAAGAGTTTGTGTGGGGTATGTGTGTGATGTTGTGTTATTATGCTGAATGCGGAGAAGATAAGAACAAATTAAACAAGTTAAAAAAACAAAAAGCACCCCCCACATCTCAGAAAAATTTCACTATAAAAAATGAAGAAATTTTCCCACATGATCAGGTGTTCATCTGGCATCACTACAAGATGTAATTAATCGGCCAGGCATGGTGGCTCATGCCTGTAGTTCCAGCACTTTGGGAGGCCAAGGCGGGTGGATCACCTGAGGTCAGGAGTTCGAGATCAGCCTGGTCAACATGGTGAAACCCCATCTCTACTAAAAATACAAAATTAAAAAAAAAATTAGCTGGGCGTGGTGTTGGGCACCTGTAATCCCAGCTACTCGGGAGGCTGAGACAGGAGAATCGCCTGAACCCGGGAGGCAGAGGTTGCAGTGAGCCGAGATTGTGCCAATGCACTCCAGCCTGGGCAACAAGAGCAAAATTCCATCTCAAAAAAAAAAAAAAAGCAAAAAGAAGTAATTCATCTTTTCACACTCTTTCAAAGCAGTCAGAAAAGTGTGAGTGAGACTAAGTAAGAGGAAAACAGAAAGATAAATGATTGAATTTTTTAATCTAGAGGAGAAATATGGAAACCATCTCAAATAAGCATCCTTTGGGAGAAAAAATTAAATGAATGTAAAAAAGACAAAGCAGTCAATTTCAAAAAAAAAAAAAAAAAATTTTTTTTTCAAAAGAAACAACCGATAAAATAAAACAGCTTCCAAAATAACAAATCAGGTGCAGCAGGACCAAAAAAAAATTAAAAAGAGAACATATGTATTAACATTCTCCTCATACGTAAGACACAGATTAGATTTCAGAAAGCAACACCCCCATTTCTCGCTCTCTCTTTCTCTTTCTCTAAGACTTTAAAAGAGACCAGTATCCCCTCAGAACTGTTGGTCTTCTGGGCTCAGAAAGATTAGAAAAACTAAAAATAAGATGGAAACCTGATGCCCTGAGCACCAGCCAGCAGCAGAGCTCTTTCTATGTATGATTTGGTTGTGAAGGGACTCCATGTAAGAAATACATAACTGGAATATTTCCATAAACAAAGCAAAGATGTGAAGGTTAAAGAATTAAACATGAATCTTATGACAGATTCTGCTGTTTTTCCCCCTCAGGGTTAGTCTTCATGAATGAGTCTATGTTATGGTCAACCAAGTCATTAGGAGTGATAATGCATCAATGTCAGGAGCATTCTATCATATCACTTGTCTTAATACGGTCTTCAAGGTCATGGTTTAAAATGCCACAGGATAACATTTATAAATATAGTCTTCACAACCCATTTTCATATAAATGATCTTTTGATACAGCCTTTCCTAAATAATATTCTGACCCAAACGAGAATGGTTAAATTATCCAATATGAAGTCATTAAAATTAAAATTTCACAGGGAAAATTCAAATTACCACATTTATTGATAGTAGAGATTTATAGTAATTTGCTTCTTATAAATAGCAAAACCTTGTTGTTTAACTTTCATTCAGCTTCTTAGCCTGGACATTTGAATTTGTACACCAACATAAAGATATCTCCCATGTCTCCTAAAGCATTATATAAAATACATTATAAGAGAAGACAGAAGAAGGGAGAGAGAAAAACAACACCTCACTGCCATTCAGTCCTTGTGCTTAGAACAAAACAAAATGGTAAAACTGATTATTCAGGAAGGGCTGTTTTCATCTGAAAAGAAAACAAAATTAAAGTAGTTATTTTTATATGTTAAAAGGTTTTGGTAATATCTCATTTTCCATTTGCTTTTCAGATAAAACACAGTGCTGTTTTCTCATCAGATAAGTTGTGGAAAAGCAAACTACTGGTATTGCAAGACAACAATGTTTATTGCAGCTCTAGTTACCTGCAACATGAAAAAAACGTAAAAGGGCCAATATTTCATATAAACAGGACTTTGTCAGCCATAGAAAAGGTTGTATCCTAACACAGCAAATCTGATGTTTTTTTTTAATAAAGGACGAAAGCGTAAGTTTTAAAATATGACTATATGTACTTATGGAAGTGTGTCAAATTGAGAAAATGATAGATGAGAATAAAGGAAGGATATTTTTTAACCCTGTCATTCCTTCAGCAAGCAAAGTTCTCCATATCAATACTTTATCATAATCATCTCCCCATTACTTAGAAAGTATCACATGGCTCCTGACTATCTGAAGATATTCTATAGACTAAACTGCAAGAGATTTTCATCATATTTGAAAAAATAAGAACAGTATCTGAAGAACTGTTGAAAATATAACAATTGTTTCATTCCCTGAAAAGTATTACAAAAAACACAGGAACAAGAAAAAAGTCTTTCCATATATATGTTTGCAAAATATGGACCAGCAGAGCATGGTTAAGTATACATGTTTCAGCAAAGTTGCTAGAGGAAAAGCTCACCCGCCTCCTCAAAGGAGCAGTCACAGCAGGCATGACAAAAGAAAACGGTTTTCATTGGGATTTAAAGAAATGTTTTTATTCCCTTGAGGTTAAACTTAAAAGAAAAACTGAGACACATGATCCGGTAACAGATAATAACCCCTGGAAAAACCATGTGAAACGTTAATCTCTCAGACATCCTAGTAACAATTACGGAAAACAAAGTGTCATCAACAGTAAAATCATTGACTTTGATTGTGTATACCTAGAAGAGGGAGCTCCAAGCTTTGCTTTTTAACTAAATTTTTAGGCTGAACATTTTTGTGCTAGCCAAGATCATTTATCTAATTCCTAGAGAGAAGTTAGAAGACACCTGTAGCTTGGTGCGATAGTAAACTTCACCAATTTGATTTAAGTCTTCAATAGTCATTTGTTAGTTTCCACGCCGTCCTGATGCTCTTAGGAGTAAATTCGTGTCTCGGGGGGGGGAAAAAAAAAGATCTGGAAAATGCTGCAGGAAAGCACCTATGATTCAGGCCATACATCGTTCTCTCCTTAATCCACAACAGTGCTGTCTAACATATAATTCACTTTCTTCTTTATCATATTAAGTATACTTTCCAACTTCTCATGTTTTTAGCTAACTCTAGTCTGGGGAAAGTCTTAAACAGATCTTCTCAATAATGTATGTCTTACCTTCTAAATGGCAATGGAGGCTAATGAATTTTTAAAGAAAAAAAAGGACAATAGTGGAGACAACTTAAAACATTTTATTAAGTATATAAAGGTAAGATTTAGAAAATTTATAAGCCAGTGGGTATTGTAATGAAGAAAACTGACCAATTATTTCTTTTACGATAGAAAAGATAAGTAATTTCTCCAGGCTAAAATTATAGACATCTATTTTATTATACAGAACTCTGGCCTTCTAATCATCTCTCCAAGCAGTGGCACAGACCCCAAAAACCACTTCTGGTGGACTGCCTTGGCCTGCTGGTGGCACGGCCTTAGATCACTTTAGAAGAAAAGGGTAATGGCCTTCTATTCAGGCATGTATTCTGCTCAGATTGCTCCATTTCAGGACAGAATGTCATTCCTCCCAGCTAACAGGTGAAAGTGTACAGCTAATAACACAGAACTAGGACTGTTTCACACCATTGCCCTTCAGTTATTCCCACTGATAACATGTATTGAGCACTCAGTAAGTGCTAGGCACTTTGCCTGGTTAGTCCTCCAAATGCCTTATGAGAGGAGTACTGTTAATAGTCTCAATTTATGATCCCTTCATTAATTTACCCAAATTGCCAAAGGCTAAAAGGTCTTACCTCCATTTGACTACATCTGTTATTCTGTGAACTTTCTATACGGTGCTTATCCTAGATTACTTGTTTCCCAGTATTTTGTGTGTCAATCTTAACCCTATGCCTACACCAAGAGGCTTCAAGTCTTGGAAAAAGTGCTCTATAAATACAGGAAACTCTAAACTTTTTTGAATGGATGGTGCTTCCCATCCTTTTTCCTCCTCAGTGATTATTCTGGCTTTTTTCTCAGTGTATTTTCTATACAATTATTTATTTCAAAAAAAATCCATATACTTTACCAGAAAACTTATTTTTTTCCATTCTATAAGACACTATGGTTTAATTAATTTCTGGAATGGATTATCAACTTCAAAGATATCATTTAGTTATAAGAAATTTGAGACTGATAGGAACTCGAGATATTTTCATGATACTAGTACAGATAGCAATGCTAAAATAAATGTAAGTATATCTTTATCCAGAAAGCTCAACCCAAAGCTAAAGATTATTACAACAAATAACTGTTCTTACAGTAAATTAGTGGTATGAAGTAATATTATAAAAGATGATGAACAAGATACTGAAGCTCCGTCCAAGTGAAATACTGTCTTACAAATGTAAATGGTGTTCAGAGGTAGTAATGACTCTCAAAAGTTAATAAAACAATGAAGGAACTTCAGAGTCTTTGTTCACTAAATCTATGTGGGAAGATATCAGATATACTCAAGACCCTTAAAACTCAGTAAACACATTTCCTCCATATCCCCAGGATCTTGGCACTAAATGTGTGAATATGTTCATCTTAGAATGGCCTGAAACAATCTTCCTGCCCTTCTTTCTGAAAAAAGTTCTCTGGCAAGTCTCTAAGCCTACTATAATGTGCTTTTAAGACATCACTTTATTTACTTTGAAGGGCATCCATCAATCATGAATCTAGGAATCACAAGATAAACGATCTTAAATCAAGACTAAAAAAAAATTAAGACCACAGACCTGAGCTGGGCCAGATTGTGAGCATATCATTTTTGTGTTTATTGAGTTTATTCTTTGAGAAATGGGCCCTGCAATGGCATTGACAGGGAGTATAAGAGGAGAAAGATGAATAGTTTGAGCTGGGTTTAGAGAGGAAACCCAGGCGATGCTGAGGAACTGCCCTTACAAAAAGTTGCTATTCTTGGGCTGGACTCCCATTCCTAGCAGCGTCACCCTGAGTGGCTTTTGAGCCATGATGTAGAAAGCAACACTTGGTAAAGGACCTCATAAAATGAGGACCAGAGCATGGAAAATGATGGTTTTATGCACCTGTGTGTCAGTGACTAGAAGAGTGGACATTAGTGCCATGGAATGAAAGAGAAAAGAGGAAAAGAGCGAGAGAAGTGAGAAACAGAAAGAGGCCAGGAAAGGGATGAGGAAGGCAAGGAAGGAATGAAAAGAAAGGAAGTGTGCATGGGCAGCATTCAGCACAGTGGTTAAGGGCACACACTTTGAAGCCAGAGGGCTGGGCATGAATCTGCCTCTCTGCCTTGGGCATGTTACGTAACTTCTCGGTGCCTCAGCTTCCTCATCTCATTAAAATGGGGTTTAATAACTCAGCCCACGGTTTCTTTCAGGCTTTCCTATTAAATTAATTCAAATATGGTACAATCACTTTGAAAAACAGTGTGAAGATTCCTTAAAGGACTAAAAGTAGAACTACCGTTCCATCCAGCCATCCCATTACTGGGTATCTACCCAAAGAAAAATAAGTCATTACATAAAAAAGACACACGCGCACACACGTTTATAGCAGCACAATTCACAATTGCAAAAATATGGGACCTACCTAAATGCCTATTAAACAATGAGTGGATAAAGAAAATGTGGTATATATACATCATGGAATACTACGCAGCCGTAAAATGGAATGAAACAATGGCCTTTGCAGCAACTCAGATAGAGTTGGAGGCCATTATTTTAAGTGAAGTAACTCAGCAATGGAAAACCAAATATCATATGTTCTCACTCATAATTGGAAGCTAAGCCATGAGGATGCAAAGGCATAAGAATGAGAAGATGAACTCTGAGGACTCAGAAGGAAGGGTGGGGGTGGTGAGGGATAAAAGACGACATATTGGGTACAGTGTACACTGCTCAGGTGATGTGTGTACCAAAATCTCAGAAATCACCACTAAAGAACTTGTTCATGTAACAAAAACCACCTGTCTCCCAAAAACTGTTGAAATAAAATTTTAAACATTAAGTTAAAAAAAATTCAAATCTTTCCAACAGAGAGGAAGCTGAGACTAGATGTAATGGATAGCATGATGTGAATGGTTTAAAAATAAAATTCAAACTTAAAACAGAAACATAACAAAAAAAGAAAAAGTGCTAAAAAAAAAGAAAAGAAAAGAAAAGAAAACCTAAACACCTAAAAGAAGAAGGCTTTGTAGAAAAGAAAAACTATGAGCAAGGAAAATAGGGCATAAAACACTGGCATGCAGTTAAAGAATAGGGAACTTGCCAGAGGCCGAGCGGAGAAATAAGCAGCAGCAAGCCAGATGCCAGATTATCACACATCTGACCACAAGGCTGACAGAGCTCACAGTAATAAATAAGAAGGGAGGGCAGAGTTTTAGGAGGTGACACTCTTGACAGAAAGTAATCAGAAGAATGCAACACTCTTGACAGTTTGATAGTACTTGAAGATGTACTACACCACAGAGAAGAGGAGAAGCCGGTGATGTGCTGAGGCCTACGAGTGTTCAGCACCCGGTGCAGACAGCAGAGAGAAAGGAGGAGTACAGGATGCCACAGAGGCCAACAACCCCTTCAGGGGTTCCATTTCCCTCCATGGGTCGGTTTCAGACTAACATCGACACTTTTGTTCTTCACAGAGTTTTAGGTCACAAATGCCCTTAAACTCACAATTTTCTGAGTCTTTTTTAGGTTCATCTACCAGGAATGCTTACCCTTCCCACTCTTTCTCCAAGCGTGGTTGTGACTCAGAGTGACCAGCCTGAATGAGTGCTAAGAGAACACAATGCTGAGCTCACACCCCGGAAACAGCACCCAGGGATGAGCTAGCACTCTTGGAAAGCGGGCAGCAAATGGATACTGAAGGGACCTGCAATGTAGACCAGAGGCAGGAGGAGAAAATTGCTCCTAAGGGATGTTGGCCATGTTGTCCGGGGGAGGGAGGGAGGGGCTGGAGCAGAGGAAGCCAGCATGGAGTGCAGGCCAGGGTAGACAAGGGCACACACTGTGCAAATGCATTCATTACCAGGAATTTAAAAACTAAAAATCTCATCACTGATAAACTTTCTAATGTAAAAAAGCCTTTTGTTGTTCCTGGCCAGCTCTGAGACAGAGTACCATATATTAAACCAATCTTATGTTTCCATTTTTACATATTATAATAATAATATTATAAGAATAAAAGCCAAATATATAACAATAATAGCTAAATTTTATTCCAGAAATACTATAAAGTAAACTCAGAAATAGGAAAAATACATCCACTATTGTCAGTACTACTTATTTAACATTGTCTTGGAAGTGTTATCCAATACAGTTAAACAAGGCAAAGCAATTAGAGACAGGACAATTAGAAAAGAAAAGGCAGAATTATCCCTAATTGTAAATAAGTGTCTGAATAACCAAGAAAAACAATTGAAAAACTACTGCAAACATTAAGAGATAAAAGTAATATAGAAAATGTAAACATTAACATACAGAAAAGAAAAATTTTATATATACAGAAGAAAATACATCTAAAAGATAGGCATTTTCAAATGTATATTTAATGAACCAAAAGACCTCACTTATAGCAGGAACCAAAAAAATATAAACTATGTATACAGAAATGTGCAAGAGGAAGATATTTGAACACCAGTGGAAGATCCAAAGACTCAAAAAGATAGGAAAAACTGCGTGTTCTCAAGTAGGAACACTTTTCCCCAAATCATTAATTCATATAAACCCCATAAAATACTACCAGCTTTTAAAACTACCAGCTTTTAAAAAATTGTTCCGGATGTCTATGTGAGACTGGTGCATACACAGAGCCAGAAAATAAACTGGTTTCAAGTGCATATGAAAATCTGCTTGCGCCGGGTGCGGTGGCTCACGCCTGTAATCCCAACACTTTGGGAGGCTGAGGCAGATGGATCACCTAAGGTCAGGAGTTCGAGACCAGCCTGGACAACATGGTGAAACCCCATCTCTACTAAAAATATAAAAATTAGCCGGACGTGGTGGTGTGTGCCTGTACTCCCTTTGGGAGGCTGAGGAAGGAGAATCTCTTGAACCTAGGAGGCAGAGATTACAGCGAGCTGAAATCGTGCCATTGCACTCCAGCCTGGGCGACAAGAGCAAGACTCCGTCAAAAAAAGAAAAAAAAAAAAAAAGAAAATCTACCTGCTTCTACATTTTTATTTTTTATCTCATTATATCCTAAATTTGAATATCAACAAGAATCACTAAAATTGACTGAAACACACTGAATATATTAAAAACCCAGGAATTCATAATGACACTAAAAGAAAAAGACAACAAGAAAAAAAATCACCACAACTACCCATTAATTATGGCTGGATACTTCTAGGAAACCATCCTCCAGAAATTAGCAATTCTAATTTTTCTGTATAACCTCTTTTTATGAACCATAGGATAAACAGGTAGTCTGAGTAGATGAGGCAAAGTCTTCCTTTACAGAAGAAATCCTACTGATAAATCCAGAGGAAGAGTAAAATTAGAATGCATCACTATTTTGTAGCACCCAATGAAATAATCAATTTAGGAAACGGTAACTAGATAAAGAGTTGACGGGCAACTTTACGATGGAGGCAGCATCTGAACACAATGTCAATCAGACATTCATGTCTCCTAAGTGATGTAATGTGAAATAAATAGCCTACAAAGCATTTCCTCAAAACAAGCAAACTTGAAATATAACCAAGTGTTACAAGCGTATTTCCAGTTTATGGGAATAATGAATGCTCAAAGATCAGGTTAAAGAAAACAATGAAGAAAAAAATAGGACATCCATTTCAGTTTCCTCAGTCAATGTAATGGAAAAACAAATGTTTTGGAGAAGTCTTGACCAAAAGGTCTACGAAAAGCAAGGACACTATAAGAGTCTCCAAGTCATTAGTAATTAGGAAATGCAAATTAAACTATGAGATACCACTTCATACCTATTAAAATGGTTAAATAATTATTTTTAATTACCGAAAATAACAAGTACTGGCAAAGATGTAGAGCAATTGAAATGATCGTATATGGCTTTGGAGATGCAAAATGACATAGCCACCCTGGAAAACAGTTCGGTGGTTTTGCATAAGGCTAAACATACACTAACCACACAGCCTAGTAAACCTAGGTCAATACTCCTAGGCATTTACCCAAAAGAAATGAGATATACATCCACACAAAAACATATATATATATCAACAAGAATCACTAAAATTGACTGAAACACACTGAATATATGAAAAACCCAGGAATTCATAATGACACTAAAAGAAAAAGACAACAAGAAAAAAAATCACAACTACCCATTAATTATGACTGGATACTTCTAGGAAACCATCCTCTAGAAATTAGCAATTCTAATTTTTCTGTATAAACTTTTTTATATGAACCATAGGATAAACAGGTAGTCTGAGTAGATGAGGCAAAGTCTTCCTTTGTTGATATATATATTTTATATATATATATATGTGTGTATATCAGATTTATTTATAATCACACAAAACAAGCCAAATGACAAAACAGCCCAAAAGTTCATCAACTGATGACTAGATAAACAAACTGTGGCAACAACCATGTGGTAGAATAATGCTAAGCCATGAAAAGGGAACAAGCTACTAATATACAATAACATGGTGAATTCAAAAATAATTATGCTCAGTGAAAGAAGCTAGACTCAAAACACAACACATTACATGACTCCATTTTTATCATATTCTGGAAGAGATACACAAAACTACAGGGTCAGAAAAACAGATTTGTGGCTGCAAGAAACTAAGGTGAGTGGGGAAAGGATGAACTTAAAAAAGCATGAGAAAATTTCCTCATTATGATAGTGGTTACATTGATTGCATACATTTGTTACAATCCACAGAACTGTGCACCTAGAAGAAATACATTTTACTGAATGTTAATTATACCTGAACAAACCTGGCATTGAAAAGAGGGAAGAAGGCAGAAAAACCTAGAAGATATGGCACATGCAATATGTGGAACTTGGATGGATTCTGATTCCAACCAACAGCTACAAATATATATATATTTAAAACAAATTAGAAAAGAATCTAATTGTGGTTTGAGCATTAGACACCAAGGAGAAATTACTTTTCATTTCGTAAGGTGGGAAAATGGCATCAAGGTTTTCTTAAGCCCATATTCCATATTTTTAAGAGATCCATATTTGAGCATGCGGAGATAAAATGGGAGCTTTAAAATATTCAGAAAAAGGTAAGAGAAAAAAGAGAGACATCTAAAACATGGTAAAGTTTGTGTAGTTCTAGCATCTATATGATATGTATATGGTAGGTAATTACTAAAAAGGATCCAGATACTGATATAAGCAACTCTCTACTCTTGTGTACGTTTGAACACATTTAAAATTAAAACTTAAAATAATAGTCAACATTTACTGAGTATTTACCTTGTGCCTGGAAATATTCTAAGGTTTTACATGTTAACATATTTAATTCTTATGACAATGATAGAAAGTTAAGTACAATTATAATGCCCATTTTACACACGGAGGCATTCTGCCAAGTTTAAAAAATTCCCCCAAATCAAGTAGCCAGTATGAGGCAGGCTGGCACAAGGCTCACATTCTTAACTAGTCCAGAACCCCCTTTTAAATTATAGTCTAGACTACATGGTTTTCTTACAGTCTGTGTATATTATCTCTCATGCTGGTTATCAGGTTAATACCTACAGCTGTATTTCTTCATTCTTATACATTTTTCAGTTCTGTATTTGCACACCAAAGTAAAGGCACCATATTGACTGCCTTCCCCAAATCATAACAGAATGAGTTAGATTAAGAAAGAAACAAAATGTGAAAGTTAGCATAACATTTAGAATTTAAAACATTTATTTGAAATACTTTAGGTTTCTTTTTGCCAGAAGAATGATTTAGTCATAATAATAAATGTGATTACGCCACTCGTTCCTTTTCAGTTTTGTATGCATACCTTCAATCTATTTTTCTCTAGGCCTTCTTTTTCTATTGCTGATAATGAAAAGGCATACTGTTGTGAACAGGCTTATGAATATTAAGATGTTTTGTACAGAAATGGCTAATCACTATTAGGTGAAAAAAATGGGAAGAGGCAAAATCAAAGTCATAAGCAGAAACTAGTATGTTACCTTTTTTTTTTCTTTTGAGATAGAGTCTTCCTCTGTCCTCCAGGCCGGAGTACAGTGGTACCATCTTGGTTCACTGCAACCTCTGCCTCCAGGGTTCAAGCAATTCTCCTGCCTCAACCTCCCTAGTAGCTGCGATTACAGGCATCCACCACCATGCCCAGCTAATTTCTGTATGTTAGTAGAGATGGGGTTTCACCATGTTGGCCAGGCTGGTCTCTAACTCCTGACCTCAAGCAGTCCACCTGCCTTGGCCTCCCAAAGTGCTGGGATTAAAGGCAAGAGCCACTGCGCCCAGCCAAAACTAAAATAAGTTTTCATAAATTTATCTTCACCAGCATAATGTTAAGAATAACCACAGGACCATATATTTGATCCTTCTCTGAGTGACATGCTCCAAGGGGAATGTTTAACAAGATTACCAAGGGACTTAATTTCCAAATGAAAGGTCAGCCATGATACATTCATCTTGGCAATAACGTAAGGGAATCCTAATAGCATTTTGCTTTTCAGAGTAGCTATTAAGAAGGTAACCAACTAAAATTCCTTGGAGAAACAGGTTAAATATAGCTTCTTTTTTGACAGAAAAGGAAACATGGTGGTAAAATCAAGTACTCCACATTAAAATGCAAAGCTATAAATGAATTTTGACTTGAATTGAGGTTTCTGATTTTTTTTCTCATGCATATATACCAGTAGCAATTTGTCACCATTATCCATTCATCAGGAAATACTACTCTAGGAAAATGATTACTGAGCTCAGATTACAAAGGTCAACCAGAGCTTTGGTCTTCTTCACATAAGAAAAAGTTTTACTAAGGATCACTTGTCTTCATACATTTCCTTATATTTCTCCTTTGTCTCTATGACTATTTAAAAAGAAAAATAATTATATTTGGTATTGGTTTTATACTGTGGCCACAACAAATTACCACAAAAGGAACAAGTTAAGCAATGCAAATTTGTTACTTTACAGTTCTCTAGGTCAGAAGAAGTCCAGCGTGGGTCTTACCAGGCTAAAGTTACCACTTTCATTTTTTTCTGGAGGCTCTAGGGAAAAATCCATTTCCTTGCTCATTGGAGTTGTTGGCTGAATTCAGTTCCTTGAAGTTGTAGGACTATTTGCATTTTCTTGCCGGCCGTCAGCTAAGAGTCATTCCGGCTTCCACCACTGCATTCTTTGGCGCACAGCCCTTTTCCAACTCAAAGCCAATAGCAGTGGGTGAAGTACTTTTCACATCAGATCTTTGTGATCCTTCTTCTGTAATTACCTCGCCCTCTGACCACAATAAGGAAAGGTTCTCTGCTTGTCAGGATTCATGATTAGATTGGGCCCACCCAGATAATACAGGACAATCTCCCATCTGGAGAAAGTTTCTCCAACGTTGAGATCAAGAAATAGATCCTAAAAAACACTGCATTCCAATATCTAATCAAGAGATGGGGTTGCTACAATGGACACCTCTTGACCATAGGACCAGCTCAGACCCTACTTGCATTTCCTGAAACAGTGAAGAGGTCTGTGGTAACATCCAAGAGAAGAGCATTTGCCATTAAATTTTCCTTTTTCAGTGTCAGATGGTCTCCGAGCTTGTGGCAACTTTGTTCAGAAGAAATGTCCTTCACTTGAGGCCAGGTGCGGTGGCTCACACCTGTAATCCCGGCACTTTGGAAGGCCGAGGCAGGTGGATCCCCTGAGGTCAGGAGTTTAAGACCAGCCTGACCAACATGGAGAAACCCCGTCTCTACTAAAAATACAAAATTAGCCAGGCGTGGTGGTACATGCCTGTAATCCCAGCTATTCGGGAGGCTGAGGCAGGAGAATCGCTTGAACCCAGGAGGAGGAGGTTGCAGTGAGCCAAGATCGTGCCATGGCACTCCAGCCTGGGCAACAAGAGTGAACTCCATCTCGAAAAAATAAAATAAAAAATGTCCTTTACTTGTGCTTAAGAGCAACCAAAGATTTGGAGGTTAGATCATACTGTCCTGCACCCCAAGCAAATACATTTATATTTTAAAAGCTTAATGTTAAAATATTTAATTTGAATGACAAAGGGAGGGTGAGGAAAGATTATATTAAACTGTCCCACCGATAGAGAAGTTCAGGTGTCTAATTCTACCTGTAAGCCCCTTTAAACACAGAATTAAATCCTTCATAAAACCTTGAAAAAGTGGTGAACCTCATTCTAGGGCCACAGGGGGGATCCAGGTAGCAGATAAAAAAAATGATTAGAATTCTAGGAAGAAAATAAGTAGCAGGGGAAGGAAGGAAGGAAGGAAGGAAGCGAGGGAGGGAGGGAAGGAAGGGAAGGGAAGGGATAGAGGGAGGGAGGGAAGGAGGAAGGAAGGAAGAAAGGAAGGAAGGAAGGAAATTAAGAAAAAGAAAAAAGAGAAGGAAAGGAAGGAAGGAAAGACAAGGAAAGAAAAAAGGAAAAAAGGAATAAAGGGAGGAAGGAAAGAAAGAGGAGGAAGAAAAGGAAAGAAAAGAGAAAAAAGGAAGGAAGAAAGGAGGAAGGAAGGGAGGAATGAAGGATGAACAACCTAAGTTATTAGTAGTAATGTCAAATATGACAGGAATACCAAACAACATGATGTAAGTAGACTAAAATAATAGTTATAAGGCAGAGAATGCCAGGATGGTTTTTAAATGAACAGATATATACTATTTAGAGGCCCCACATTTAAGACACAAAAAGACTACAGGGAAGGAAGGAGATAATATTCAAAACATACCCAGCTGAATATTAAGGTTAAATATAAAGCTATAGCAAACTTTAGTTAAGACAAACTTTAGTGACTTGGAGACTGTCAAACAGGCCCCGGAAACAGAATAGAGAGTCCAGGAACAGGCCTGTGCTATATAGAAAGCCAATGTAAGGCAGAGAGTGCAGGGCAAATGAACTGGGAGAAAATAGTCTTCAAATGCTACTGAGACAACTGGTTACCCAAACAATAAAAAATAATCAGATCCCTACTTCACCCATACAGAAAAAAATATATTCTAAATAAATCATAGACTTACATGTAATGAAAAATTTAAACTTTGAGGAGAATATAGAATAGTTTCCTTTCTTTAAGATTATAAACTATTCCTAAACAAGACAGCCTTTGCCTGAAAAAGAAACCCACAAAAGGTAAGTTAAAATAATTATTAATTCACTATCTTGAAAGTATTAGTGTCTGAATATACCGTTAAAGAATAAATGGCAGGTTATTCTCTGGGAGGAAATATTCGAACCTTATATAACATACAAAGGGATATTATCTTGAAAATATAATGAAATTCTACATATTAAAAAAAGACCTATTAACTAATAGGAAAAAAAACACACCAAATATCTAAACAGGACATTTACAGAGCAAAATAAGTAATCAAATATGTACTTCTAGTTACAGAGCCAGTTAGATGTTGCTATGAAGTGTTATAATAGCTTTCGTTCATTTACAATTTTCATTCAAATGTTGGGCTGTCTGTGCCCACTATTCCACATAAGAATCGGTAATTTTTGCACCTCAGTGATTATTCCTTATTGAAGGCAGTGACAACCAACATTCACACGTATGAGCTTTGTTTAAATAATCTGTTTGAATACTTTTCAGTTATCAAATGAATTTATAAAAAGTTATTATTTTCAGTAAAGGTATTGGATTAAAAGGACACATAATCAACTTCTTCCTAAACATAGGGAATGAATTAGACTCAGATTTTCTCATTTTTAGAACAGTAAATGTATTCACTTGCAAGGGATTTCAAGAAGGAAACGGTTTCACAAACACATGCAAAGAGACAGCACTATTGAGTTGGCAACACCTTAAAATGTCACTTACTTTTATACACCTGACCTAATAAGGTTTCAAAATCATGGGAGGAAAAAGTCACTGTTATTTTAAAGCACCAAAGTAATTAACATTTTAAGATAATACTTAGACTATCTACAAAAAAAAATTTAGAATGGATAGGGGTAATTCTCCCAACAATAAAAATATTATACCATTTACTTTATTATTTTTGTGCAATTTTTGAAGCCTGAAATAATTTGTAATAGCCTCCTTCAAGCATCAAAAGGTAGACATCACTTATTTGCTTGTAACTTGTCATATCATTGTAAAGTGACCCAAAATAACATTTCAAAATGAAAACCATGTCTTCGATATAAATCATTATCTCATGAAACTTGACTAAACTTACATTGTTTAATTTCTAAATATATTTTGATGTAACTAATATAATATTAAAAATGCTTATCTGGAAAAATAAATAGAATAAAAGTTAACATACGTCATTTATTCACAGAATGAAGAAGGCATTAAACATTTTGAAACTACTTGGGGGTAGTAAACAACAATCATACCAGGAATATATATTTCTTAGAGTCCAGTTATAAGAACTTTCAGATGAACACAGTATCTTAATACTATCTAAAACACATGAATTAAGCAAGTGAACTATGGTTCTCACATGAAAATTTTAACTAACTTTGATTCAACTGCTAGATAGATCAAAGAGAAAATAATGAACTGTTACAAGCTTAAAGAAAACTTAAAACATAAAACCCCCATGAAGAACATGGCTGCAAACTTCTATCCTCACATTTTCACTAACTTAAGTAAAACGTGTTTATGTTAAACTGGATGTTATGCTCGAATAGTTTTTAGTAGGCCTTTCTTTCTCAAATGATCCATAGTAAAGTCATTCCTTGGCAGAGAACAATCCCTGACCTTCTTCACTTATGGATGAAAAACGATAATTTATTTTAAAATACATTGTAAATGCATAAGACTTTTTATTTAAACTCAAGAAACAATTGTTCTAAGTATTTCACAATGGGGCCAATGTAGAGTGAAGTTACAGGTTCTAGCATGAGAGAAAAGCAAACACTAAAAATGAGTGATATCGTCTAACAAGAAGCATACACACCCCACACGCCCCATAAATTTAATTTGGCATACTAATACCTAGTCTTACAAGCAGCACTTAAATATATGAGCCTCAACTAACAAATCGATGAGACTCTTGTTATGAAGTCCTTACAGAATCAAAGTGAAATAGAGACTATAACTTTTTTGAATAATATTTTAAGCAACATGGGTACTTTAAAAAACCGAGCTACAGGTAAGATAAAATTAAAAAGAATAGATATTTAGTTCATTGAGTTTTGAAAGCTATATACACTGATACAATTACCACTCAAAACAAGACATCAAAAAAGGTGAAATTTTCATTCCCATAAACTCTCCTTTAACTCTTTTTGTAAAATTCTTCTCCCTTCTCTCAGGTAAATTCGATTGATTTCTAACAGAGCAAACACAGCTAGACATCTAAATATGTATTTATTTGGAATCTATTCCATTGAAATTGCCACCACTAAATTTTGGATATCATTTAGAAATGTTTTTGGAGCCTGAATGGTGACAAACTTCATCTTTTAAGTGTCTGATTTTTGAAAAAAGTCCAAAGTCATTCATAAGTAAGTCCAAAAAAAGGAAATGAATAATTACAGGGAACAAAAGGTGGTGAAATAGTCCAGATACCTAAGAGCCAGTCACTGGGCTAACCGCTTTAGACTAATATTCTCATTTGGTGTTCACAGCAGTCCTGAGAGATAGTTAAGATTATCTGTCTTTTGCAGATAAGGAAATTGAGGTTCAATAAGGTTTAGTAACTTGGCCAGGCTTCTTCATTTGTAGAGCCAGCATTTAAGTCCAGATCAATTTCTCTACAACAGATACTCTTGTACTTCAATCCAAGCAGGCTCTTTCCATTGGTTAATATTGTTTGGAATAAAAAATAAATTATCAGGGCTTCCTGCTTTTTCTGTCTACACTTTGCATGCACTTAGCTGCATTGTGATGAGTATTGCGATGTGCAGCAGCAAGTCCAAGGTGATGGACAAGTGTCTGTCCTGGGAAAAGACAGGCCTACATCAAGCAGCCTGTGAAGATCCTGCTATGGGCATAGAGACAGCAGCAATTCCACCTTCCTGAAGCCACTGTGGATAATCCACTGGCAGGATTTTGACCTGTGCACACATGACGAATTTCACCCCACTCTCTATAGCAACGAGATCAAAAGTATGAGGATGCCAGTAGAGAAAAAAGGAAGTTTCATATTCCTTGAGGAGGGCATTCAAACCAACTCAGTGGAGACAACACGATGGCATTTGACATCCTGTCACCCAAGGAGGCACAGGGAACCAGGAAATGGTGGAACCTCAAGGTTGTTTTATTTTGTTTATAACATCTTTCTGCTATGAGAATGTTATGGGCAGACACAGGCATGAGGAATCCCTATAACCAGTGTGGATATTTCAACTGGGTGAACATGTAAAAATATTTAGTGATAATGGATAAACTTCGAGAACCAGATTACATTCCATCATAGGATTCTGCTTGCCAGAAGCCCACCAACAGCATTCATGTACAACATTGAAACTGAACATGTTTCTTTCAAACTTAAAGAAATAAACAAGCAAAAAACAAATGACTTCACCAAAAAGTGGGCAAAGGACACGAACCAACGCTTTTCAAAAGAAGACATACACGAAACCAACAAGCATATGAAAAAATTCTCAACATCACTAATCATTCAAAAACTGCAAATCAGAACTACAGCAAGATACCATCTCACACTAGTCAGAATGGCTATTATTACAAAGTCAGAAAATAAATGATGGTGAGATTAGAAAGAAAAGGGAACACTTATACACAGCTGGTGGGAATGTAAATTAGCTTAGCCATTTTGGAAAGCAGTGTAGCAACTTCTCAAATAACTTAAAACAGAATAACCATTTCACCCAGCAATCTCATTTTGGATATACACCTAAAGGGATACAAATCATTCTACCATAAAGATACATTCACATGTATGTTCACTGCAGCCCTACTCATGAAAGCACAGACATGGAATCAAACTAAATGCCCACCAATGACAGACTGGATAAAGAAATTGTGGTACATACGTACCACGTAATACTACACAGCCATAAAAATGAAGGAGATCATGTCCTCTGCAGCAGCATGGATTGAGCTGGAGGTCATTACCCTAAGCGAGCAAACACAGGAACAGAAAACCAAATACCACATGTTCTCACTTAAAAGTGGTAGTTAAACATTGAATACACATGGACACAAAGAAAAGAACAACAGATACAGGAGCCTACTTGAGGGTGGAGGGTGGAAGGGGGGTGAGGACTGAAAAACTACCTTTTGAGTACTATGCTTATTACGGGTGATGAAATAATCTGTACACCAAACCCCCATGACACGTAATTTACTTATAGGACAAACCTGCACATGTATCCCTGAACCTAAAATAAATGTTAAAAGAAGAAAAGAAAAAGAAAATGTTCCTTTCAAAATGTTTGATGTAGCTGATCAAAGATCAGAAAGGAAACATTGGATTGAATGTTTTGCTTCCACAGTGAGACATCAATACTTTTCCTTGTCTCTGCTAGTGAATGTGACCAGATGCTTACAGAAGACTGACTGACTGAATCACTTTACAGAATCTCTGAACATTTTTAAAACAATTTTCAATGACCGGGTTTTCAGCAATGTCTCCATAATTCCCTTCCTGAACAAGACAATCTTGCTTGAGAGGAATGTGCAAGTGTTGATCAATAAAGACTATTTCTTGGAATTTGGAAAGAATCCACACTGCTCTTAAGACATCCAAAAATTTCTGGTAGGTTATTTCTGTAATAAATGCCAGGACCTAGAGGAGTAGGCCTTATACCACCAATTCACAAGTGCTATCAACATGAAAACACCCCCATTAATTTCCATGAAATGAAGATACTATTATTTAAGATAATCTGAAGCAGCTTATATAGTTATACACAAAATATTTATTATTATTTTCTTGTGTTGTTAAAGGTTTTCTGTTTAGTTTTCTAAAATAAAAGTGTAAAACAGGAATTTTAAAAATCGTGGTTCTATGTTTAATTTATTGGAAATGTGAGTCCCTCATCAGTAGAATTTGGTTTGCAGCTGAAACCTGCTGAATAGCAGCATGCTGCTAATGTCTGCTGAATTTCAGGTGTTCATCTGTTTCACTATGGCTTCTGTTTGAGTCAAATTGTAACTTACAGACTTCAGACTAGGTATATTTCAGGCTTTAAGTTAGTCCACTTTTCAAATAAAATTCTCCTGCAGTGACAATACAGGAGATATCTTTAATTGCATTTGGGTATGAGGCTAGGAACAAATAAAACTTACCAGTAAGATATGTGTTGTCAGCATTGGCGATGACACTTGTTGCCTATCGTTATGGAGACTTCCTACTTTGAAAAGGATATTGACAAAAAAAGTTCGTTGTAAGGAATAGCATTCTCTTGCTTTACACAGATTCAGCCTTCACGGTTTTTATTACTTGAACATCCAACAGTAATTTTGTTTTAAAATTCTTCTTGTTTTAAAAAATAGATAAAGATTTCCAGTCTGACGCTAATGAAGAGTTCATAAGCGGTATGGAGGAACAAAAGGCAAGGAAATGCCGTATAGAGTGTTTTGATCAAGACAAAAGTGAAATGTAATTTGAATTTTTCATATTTAATTATCATATAATTAATGTGCCATATGTGAAACATTCTGGCCGTGGCAGCAACTAAAAACTGCAAACCACTTGGTAACAGAACTTCCTATGTAAACATACCCTTCTCAGAAAAAAGAAATTTAAAATTAAGAATAAATGTCACTCTATTTTAATAAAGCTAATTTTCTGATCATCACAGACTTTTACAATAAAAGGAATGTAAGATCATATACACTGGCCTTATAATTTTTTGTTTTTTTAAACAAAGTCTTAGTGTGTCACCCACGCTGGAATGCAGCAGCGTGATCTTGGTTCACTGCAACCTCCACCTCTTAGGTTCAAGTGATTCTAGTGCCTCAGGCTCCTGAATAGCTGGGACTACAGGCGTGGGCCACCACGCATGGCTAATTTTTGTATTTTTAGTAGAGACAGGATTTTGCCATGTTTGCCAGGCTGGTCTCAAACTCCTGACCTCAAGTGATCTGCCCGCCTCGGCCTCCCAGAGAGTGTTGGGATTACAGGAGTGAGCCACTGCACCTGGCTTATAATTTTTTTTAAATGAGGAAACTAAAGCCCAGGGCAGCAAGGAGCAGAGCCAGAAATAAAACCCAAGTACCTTTATTCCAAGTCCAGGTTCTTCTCCTCCACATCTATAGTTTTCAAACATTTTCAGCTTAACTTATTTTTCTCAAAAATAATCAAATACAGAAGTTCAGTATAAAACGAAAATCAAAGCAGAGATGTTCTGCTTGAAGCTGGTGGAGACCACAAGTCTCAGTCCACTCCCTTTCCCTTCCCCAGCAAGACGTACAGAAATCGCTCAAGGTTGGTTGAATACTACTTGAAAACCATCTGCTTTATCATGCCATCTCATAAAATTACTGGAAGACAGCCAAGTTAAAAAGTGTGAAAAATTAAACGTCAATACAAAAGATAAACTAAAGTTCAATAAAACAATACAAAAACTGTCACAATTCAGCTCATAATTAAGCACCAAATCAATGAGGCCGAAAATGGGCACGCTGGGAGTTCAGAAAACAAAGACATCACAGTATGGGCAGTGTTCTGCAGGCAGCTACCAAAAAGAAGGACTGACTAGGGTCTTCAAGTATAGACAGTACTAAAATAAGAAGGTGGTCATAGTGAAAGAGGGAAAGGTAAGGGAAATAGCATCTCCAAAAGCATTGAACAAGAAAAAACAATATAATTTCAATAAAAGTGAGTAGATCAACTAAGGCCAAGTAAATGGCTGAGGAAGCTGAAAGGTGAAGTTAAACATGTTGGGACCAGATTAACTCAAGTTAATGAGTTCTGACTGTATCCTGCAGGCTATGGGGAATTATTGAAGGTTTCTGATTAAGGTAGGAATATGACCAAAGTGTTTTTGGAATTTTAGTTAAAGTGTGGTGTCAAGATATTCCAGGGGAAAAAAATGGAGAAGAAAGATCAGTTAGGAAGCTATATGCAGACATCCAGGCATGATAATTATCAATATCAGTTTAAAAGCTGAAAAGACAAAAAGAAAGGAACAAAGAAAATAGCAGGAAGCAAGATTTGAAAGGACTTAGGATGCTCCCTGTCATTCCAGGTATTGACAGCACACTCTGGGTATCTATCAGGGATCATTTAAAGGGGATTCATATCTCAGAAGACAATTAACTATAGTCCCTTTCCTGTTCTGAAATTATAATTCATTGTAACAGATGGTTGGGATGGTGGGGAGCCAAGTACAAAAGTGTGGGTGACTACAAGAATGATAGATACAATTTCCAAGGTAAGACACTTGTTACTGACCATTCCAAATGAGAAATGGAAAACAGGCCCATTTCCTTTTACCATGTTGAAATAATTTAAGCCAAAAAACCAAGTAGCATACTATGATGCATAATCCTCCAGAATCAGTGCTTCTAATGATTTAGTGAACCACATTTTTCTAGGCTATTCATAAAAGAGATAGTTCAGAAGAAAACAAATTGGGTTGTTATCACTGCAGATATAAAATATTGCAAACATTTGGTCTTTTCAAGAAGCCACACAGGCACAGAACTCAATAGCAGGCACATCACTTTGGCATATGAATGTAAACAATATACATACTTTGGAGTTTGGATGTTTCATATTTACATTTTCTCTGCTGTGGTCTCCTGAGGGCAGGAGTATATTATTTCATTGTATTTGTAACTCTGTATGACATTTAATCTACATATTTCATGCCATAGAAAAGAGCTGACTAATTCATGCTCTATTTTCCTCTGCAATGATCTCTGAATCTGTTTTCTTTTTTTAATTTAGTAAACACATAGTGGGCTATCCTCATTTTGTAAATTTATAGCTAAATGTTATTCTAAAGTATAGTTTTCTGAATACCCCCAATAAAATGAGTTTCTCATCTTTTTTCCTCTTTATAAAAGTGTTCTGAATTCTAAACCTAGTGTCAATTATTCCTAGTGTGATATACAAGTACTGTCATAATCTCCTATGCTGATAGGTTACAATCGGCAAATTTCATGTACAGATTCTTAATTCCCTTATCTAAATTGGATGACAACAATTTGTAAACAACAATCATTTGGAAGAAATTCTTTTCCACATTTACAAAGGGTCCATCAAGAATATTTCATCATATATCCCAGAAATGTTTAAAGAAAAAAATCATTTCTAGGCACCTGCTAAACACCTGAGACTGTGATTTTAAGAGCTTTCCCAAAAGATACATAAGAGAAACTAGCTATATTATCAGAGAGAAAACTGGCTGCAAGAGGAATAAAACACTGACCTGGTCCACTGGAGACAGTGATGAAGTTATATTCCTGAAAGCTTTTCAAGAAATAATATATTACAGTGGGTAACTTAGAAATCCATCTCTTTAGGGTTACTGAGAAATCCATCTACCGTAATTGCAATATAATTGATGCATGTGGATACAAATTTATTCACCACATTGAAGTTCTGGTTTAAGACATTAAGGAGTCAAGATATAGAATAAATTCTCTAAATATTATAAGGTAATGCTGTTGTACTATGAGGACTGTTCATAATGATTTCTATTTACTGCATTCAGGAGGACACAATTGCAAATAAATTAGTCATAATAGACCACAGTCACATTTTAGTTTAGCTATGTTAGTTTAGCTTTTAGAATGTATGGCTGAGGTATCTCCACAATAAATATCAGTACATTCAATTTCCAAAGAGATTTGGCATAAAAAGTATTTGTAATATTTTATATTTAACTTACTTAAAAAAGTAAAGCCTGAGCCTACATATGTTTTAAATCTGACACTGAATTCAAATATGCCAAAGGAGTTATTAAATGGGGAAATAGAGTTTCCAGTGCAAATACCACACTTAAGTGACTTTGGTAGTTACATTTTTGGCGCTGGTATCAAGTCCTACATTGCTGCTGTGGTAAGACCTGACAGATCCTACTAGCACCTGTGAGTTGGAAATCAAAAATTAAGTAGAAGGTAAAGCAGCAAAGAATACAAGAAAGGTACCTGAATCCCTTCATATATCCTTCAGTGCTTCTCAAGGCAAAGAATAAAACTCAAACTGTTTAGTATGGCATGTTTTCATGACCTGTCCCCTCTCTGCATTTACTATCTTCCATCGTTTCTCAGTCCTCAGGACATTCAGCTACTGAACCATTTCCCTTATAGCCGTATGCATTCATACCTCAAGACCCCCCAGCCGACCCTGTTCATTCATCTACTTAGCTAAAATGGACTCCTTAACCTCTCCCTGAGAGAACAGCTACTCCCACAAGGACTCCTGTCATTCACTGTGCATTCACCTGTCACGCTACCTAACACAATCATGCTTTCTCTTCTGGCTGGTGAAAGAAGCAATAATAGTGTTTTCTGTAAAATTCTCAAGACACAGTAAGAAGTGATTTGAAAAAATAAATCAATGAATGATTAAATAGACTTCTTCATATAAAAATAGAAACGTTAATATTATGTCATTTTTATTTTTTTGAGACGGGGTCTTGCTCTGTAACCAAGGCTGTAGTGCAGGGGTATGATCTCACCTCACTGCAACCTTTACTTCCTGGGCTGAAGCAATCCTCCCGTATCAGCCTCCTCAGTGGCTAGGACTATGAGCACATACCATCATGCCTGGCTTTTTTTTTTTTTTTTTTTTTTTTTTTTTGTAGAAACAGAATGTTGCCATGTTGCCCAGGCTGGTCTCGAACTCCTGAGCTCAGGTGATCCACCCACCTCAGCCTCCCAAAGTGCTGGGATTACAGGTGTGAGCCACCGTGCCTGGCCCTATGTGATATTTAAATACAAAATGGGTTCAATATTTACTCAATAATGAAATATTGTTTTTTATTTCATCATGAATTCTTTAATTATAAACCTGAAGGTTCTTTTCTTTTCTTTCCTTTTCTTTTCGTTACTTTTCTTTTTTTGAGAGGGAGTCTCACTCTGTCACCCAGGTGGAGTGCAGTGGCGCAATCTTGGCTCACTGCAACCTCTGCTTCCCAGGTTCAATTTCCCACCTCAGCCTCTTGAGTAGCTGGGACTACAGGCACGTGCCACCACTACTGGCTAATTTTTTGCATTTTTAGTAGAGACGGGGTTTCACCATGTTGGCCAGGCTGGTCTTGAACTCCTGACCTCTGGTGATCTGCCCACCTGGGCCTCCCAAAGTGCTGGGATTACAGGTGTGAGCCACCATGCCCAGGCTGAAGGTACTTTTATAAATTGAAAAAATGGGAAATTATGACTAAACTTCACTGGGGGCATGTACAGGAAAGTACAGTTCAGAATGAGAGTTAGCTATAAATTTACATAATAAGAATAACTCTGAAATAATATTTATTTAGCACTTACGATGTGCCAGACATTATACTGCTTGGGGAATAGATACAAAGGAGAGAACACTGAAAACATGACTTTGGAGACATTGGCAATATACCAGGTGAGAAAAAAATTTACCAACCTACAATCCATGGTGAAATACTGTAATAAGTGTTACATGATGAATTAAACAAAGATTCGGTGTCCTCCTGTGGTCAAGGTCTTCAATGTCTACCTTCTGCCCTGCCAAGTCTGCAGGCATTCTCTAAAAATAGTCCAGTCTTCTCTGGCTCAGTAATTTGTCTTCAGGTACCAACTTTCTCCCTCAATTTCAAACCATTTTTTCCTGATTAGAGCCTCCAGTTTGGATGGTCCCTGAAATTTTAACCATTCAAGTTGATGATTCATTATCCGAGTTTGGCTCTTTCCCACTATGCTGTATTGTGGAATACATCCCTTGGCTCTACCTTCTGTGGTCTCAACACAAGCAATGCCCACCCAATCTCAGGCTGCAACTCCAGGGAACTCATCTAACATTGCTGCTTCTACTTGTATGGGGAGGAAGGGTCATCAAACCAGAATAAAGAGGAAGGTGAAACTCATTTTGACTGGGATGAGAGGTGAAGGCTATACAAGAACAACAACAGTTGAGTTGGCCCTTACATATTTGGGCAGAAATATGAAAGAAAAATAAGGGAAGGGTAGTCTAGGTAGAAGGGTCTTCCTGTTGGAGCAATGGCATAAAATGTGAATCTCAAAGGCTTACTCAGGTGAAGTCAAAGAGACTACTCAGCATTAGTCATATTAAGTCTCATATCTAGTAAATGTAGAAATAGATAAAATACATTACAAATAGCTAAAAGTGCCAGTTTAAGATTTATTTTAAAAATCAAGGAAAATTCCATCTTTTGAAGAAAAGAAGAGATAAAATCCATTAGGCAAAGAGATCACATTACAAATGACAACAACTTCAACAACAACAGCAAAGGAACCACAGGACTTCATTAAATTGCCCTCATGCAATCACAAAGCTCGTTGAGTTCCTTGTTAAGGTATTTAAGTCAAATACATTTCCTTCTTCCAACTTAATTTTCTCTTCTACCAAGAGAATCATTTACTTCCTCAGTGGCAGTTGTTAAAGTATCTACTTTATTGAATGTGTTATGCTTTCTCTATATGTTTACCCAAATGTGTATTTGTTGGGTCTAGTATCTTGTTTTCATTTACGTTCTTGTCAACGTTGAACATTTGATATTTTATCATGAGTTTCATTGATTAAATCATAAAGATGCCATATCTGTTTTAACATATACTGTTAATGAGAGTTGTAAATATAGAAGGAATTCTAGCAACAAGAAGTTAAAGTAGGATTCAATTTCAAAAGAGAGTATAACTCAAAAGGTATTTCATATTATCACACCGGGCACATATAAATTGAAACTGAGTACCCAAAAAAAGATAAGAAAATAATATTATAATTGGACTTTCATTTTTTCCTAGAGTTTTTCCAGTTACATTTTTTCATCATTTTATAAAAAGTATTGTATTTTCTTTCACTCAAATAATCATAATTATCTCATATGACTGCCTCCCTAGGTGCAGAGCCAACAACAAGAAAGTAAAATGAAAGAAACCAGCTGAGTGTGTCAGCATTTCATCTTTTGGGTATCTGCATATCAATATACAATTTCAATATGCAATAGATTTGACTTCCCTGAAAATAATAGTGGAGAGCCACTTTGTTTGGCAACATTAAAAAAATTTCCATTTTTCTCTTAATGAAATCATTTTTCATAACAAAGAGTGTTTTTTATAAATCATGCATTTGGATCTAAATAAAGAAAAGCTTCCTTTATTTATTTTGCTCCTGCAACATGGGAAAGGTCTTTCTTTGTGGCTTCAAACTTTCAAAGTTGGAAAAGGTCAGAAGGCACAATCTGGATTAGGTTATCAGGAATTAATGGTGGTAACTTTTTCATGAAATACTTTGAAAGCTGGTAGCTGGCATTATGGAACTGTTTGAAGACCACATTCACATAATAGACCCTAGACAAATGTTGTTTCAATTAATATTTAATAGGTATCTTTTAGTTCTTCTCCTGCTTGCTTCTTCTGTATTATCTGGCACCATTGCCCACAGACTTCTGGATACATTCTCAGGGCACCCCACTCACCTGGTTCACTGCATATCTTTGTGGCTACTCCTTCATTTTGTCTTTTCGGGCTGTTTCATCTGCTTATTCTATGTATGTTAAAGATCCTCAGGGCTCTAGTCTTAATCCCCTATTCTGTCTATATTTTTCCTGGAAAATCTCTTTTACTATGGTCTCAATAACCATTTATGCATCAATAAACCTAAACACGCAGAGATCTCTCCACTGAGCTCTAAATTCCTATCTCCAACAACCTCCTGTATGTTTCTTCTTGAAAGCTTTCAAGAACCTCACATGAAACAAATTTGTAACTGAGTTACTTGTTTACTATACAAAATAACCATTTCTCCTCCTGTATGACTTCAACAATTGCACAAAGCCTGAGAATAACCTTGACTCTTCTTTTCACTTACCACTAGCATGAGTGAAGCACCAAGCCTCAAAGGTTCTATCTACCTCCTGAATAATTGCTTAAATACTTCTGCGAGTTTCCAGCCTACCACCAATATCCTAAATCAGGCCATCATCTCTTACTGCATCAACTTTCTAAGTCTTCTTCCTGCCCAGACATGCTCTCACTGAGACAGCCAAGTATAAAGGGGTCCCTGGAGAACTTCTGACTGGACCGCACACTGAGAGAGGAGTGTGCACTGGGGTGGGGCCTCAGGAAGTTCGTCCATTTGCAGTGGGGAGGAGTCTGGCCCCTCCTCTTCCTGGATAGTACCTGAGATTCAACCTGAGGTGGGAAACCAGCTAGGAGGACTCTCGCTTTGCTGAGAGTCCCTGTTTCCTTTTTTTTTTTCCTTTTCACCCAATAAATTCAATTTTTCTCACCCTTCAAAGGGTCTGCAAGCCAAATATTTCATGATCGTGTGACAACCCGGCTTTTAGCTAAGGAGAAAGTCCTACAACACCACCACCACCAGACCATCAAGATCATTTCCAAAATTAAAATGTAAATCCAATCAAGTCATTCCCTCACTTAAATCCTTGCTCTCCCCAACTGCCCAAAAATATTTACATTTTAATATGTTCTGTTATATCCTTTATGATTACTGCAAGTCCATACCCTTATGGAGTTTACTATTTCACTGAGAGAGGCAGAAAATAAACAGAACGCAAGTAAATAAAACAGTGCTTAATTAAAATAACTGAAATAAATATATGAAAGGACTGAAGGACCTATATGCTAATAGCTCTTAATAGCACTAGCATGAAGCTGGAATCCCAGAGCGAAAGAAGAAGAAGAAAAATATAACTTCAGGATACGGCATAACTTCAGAAAAAGCAAAGTATGACATATATTCTTTCTACTCTTTGCCACACATAATAAACCAAATTCAGGCACACTTGAGAAAAAAATGTGAGTTCACCAATTTAAAAAATTTTAATGTGTGCTACAAAGGTGTTATAAACTAGACTAGTGTGAAAAGGTGTGAATTAACTTCCTTTTTATGCCATGGAATTCAATGCAAATGTGCATGATCCCCAGAGTAGGATTTCTAAAATAAGCTAAGAATGCGTAAGCCCCCTCCATTTAAAAAGAAAATTCAATCATCTTCACCACTACCAGCTTAAAATATTCTGTCTCCTAAGGAACCTCTGTAAAAATATATCAATAAGCAGTGACTATTATTAGTTCACCTTTTAGAGACAGCGTTCCACTAATACGCAGTTATATCATGGAATATTAAATAGCACAGAGTTAGGACCTGAGTTTCCCATTGACATTTATTTCAAAAATATATAATATACTTTAAAAAATAATATTAATTTAAATTTTAAATTTAAAATATTAATTTTTAAAATAATATATTTTAAAAATCTTTAAAAGTATATAACAAAAACAATACAATGAAATTTAATAGGATGTTCTTTACAATATCAGCTCAGCATGCGGTTTTTATCACCTCCCTGTAACGAAGGCAGCTGCATTCCTATTTTGGTAATGCTGAAAGTAGGTGATACGCAAACCCACGTGTGGCACAGCCAAACTGGGATGGTGGAAAAGGAATGCTTCTTGTGCCATCTCCATCTCCATTGGTGCCCTCAGGTCAGACCAGGCTCCAGTAATGCATCCTGGAGATGGTCTCCATTATGAGGATGGAAAAGAGCAATGACCAGGCCCTATGCCAACAAACAATGTAACCTGGGACCATTAACATACCAGGCAATCTAGCCTTTAATGGCATTTGTTATAATGACTTTGAATGACAAATGTACAATGTAGCAAAGTATGTTTTTTCCAAATTAATGAAAACTAAATACATGCTGCACTAGTATACTTGGTAAGTTCCACATAACATAATTATGAGTTAGCTTAAAGAACAGTATGCAATTCAAAACATTTTCCACACTTTACAGAGGATTTTCAAAACATTCATAAATTATACATGAAAATAATATTTGCATAATTAGCATAAAATTTTATATGTCTATGTTCCACATGAGTAAAATAAGATTGTTTTGACCAAATATGGAACCTGCCCCACCCAAACTCCTACATGTGGACTGGAGATGGCAGCCCATTAGAGACAAGCAATGATGTTGAGAGAAAGGGACGCAATCTAAGTAGTGTTAATATGCCTTTCCCTATACAGTGAACCTGAAAGAGAAACAACTAACTATAGTGTATTGTCCTGATTATCATGTATAAAACACAACTTTTGTTTTTGAAAAGTCACTTTTTGTCCTAAGGAGACAAAGGTTATGTTATTACCTAGAGCTTGGTGGATGTCTATCTGGACCAAAAAACCCTGAATCCCATCATAAATTATATAAATACTTTTTTATGTAAGTATATGCATTTATAAATGTATCATATGCACATCAAATAGAAAATAGTACTGAGAGAATGAAGGAAAATATATATATATATATATATATATATACACATCTTTATTATTAGGTGTTTTCCTTTTTCCAAATGCCTAACAAAATATTGTCTGTAAAACATTATGAATCACATATTGGATCATGTCAGCTACGTTTATACTTTAGCTATCATAATGCCATGAATACACACCTTCTTGGTTAGACAGTGCATATATTGTTTGCATATTTTATATTCACATTCCTATCTTAGAAAAGAGGAATATATTAGAAAATAAGTTTCATTAGTATTCTTTTCTCTCTTTATCTCTGTCACACACAGACACACACAGACATACACACACACACCCAAGTTTAGCAACAACACTCAGCTTTTTTTAACATCTAACTCCAATTTATCTAGATGTATTCTTTCAAATTAATAAAAAGTAAAGTGATATCATGCTGTTCAACAGAGCAAGTTTCACATTTGCATAATTGCATGAGTGTGGCTAGAAATACAATATATACCCAAAGCATTTCTTTTCATGCTACACACGTGTTTCTATAAATGTTAAAGTTAAAATAACTTTTAGAGTATAATTAGCAGCAATAATATTCAAATTGTAGATGCGAAATGCTGGGTAATGTTTTATTTTTTCTAGAATTTGTATAATCTCAGTCGTCAATTTCTGTTCAAACAGATTGTAGGCAGCTAGGCACTTTTCCTCTGTCTCCATTCAGAGAAATTAGAGGCTAAAAAACCCTATCAAGTAAATTTTCAGTCAAGATGATTAACTAAGAACATAAATGAACAAATAAATTTACCTAACTACATTATTTTAAAAACACAAACTTTAAAATGGCAACCATAAATGTTATAGTAGTTAAGAATAAAAGAGTTATTTCAAAATTTACCACAAAGCTACTGTAATCAAAACAGTCTAATAATGATATAAGGATAGACACACAGACATTTTGATTAATAGAATAGAATTAAGATTCCCCAAATAACCCTTACATTTCTATCAATGGATCTTTGAAGATAGTGTTGAAACAATTGGCTATCCACATACAAAAGAATGTAGTTGGATGCCTACCATATATGAAAATTAACTAAAAATTGATCAAAAATCTATAAATATAGAAGTAAAAACTAGAAAACTCTCAGAAGAAAATACAGGCATAAATATGTGTGCTTTTGGATTAGGCAATCATTTCTTAGATATGACACCAGAAGAGCAAGAAACCAAAATAAAAACAAATACATTTGACTTCCTCAAAATTAAAAACTTTTGTGCTTCAAAGCACACCATCAAAAAACTGAAAAGACATTTCACAGAATGGAAGAAAATTTTTTCAAATCATATATCTAGTAAGACTCTAATATCCAGAATATATAAAAAACTATTATAACTCAATAATAAAAAGACAAATGCAAATAGCCCAAGATGGGCAAAGATCTGAATAGATATTTCTCCAAAGAAGCTATATGAGGGCCACCAAGTACATGAAAAGATGCTCAACATCATGAGTCATACTAGAAAAATGCACATCTCTAAAATCATTAGACATGTGGTATCTCCACAAGAAGATACCACTTCACACTCACTACCATGGCTATAATCACAAAGATAAAAAAACAACAAGAATTAGCAAAGATGTGGAGAAACTGGAATCTTCATACTGCTGGAGGGAAAGAAAAATGGTGCAGTAGTATTAGAAAATAATTTGGCAAGTTGCTCAAAAAATTGAACTTAGCGTTACCATGCAACTAAACGATTCCACTCCTTGGTGGACTATACATACCAAGAGAAATGAAAACATATGTTCATAAAAGAAAACTTGTGTACTAATGCTCATAGTAGCATTATTCATGATTGACAAAAAGTAGAAACACCCAAATGCCCATCAAGGGATGAATGGATAAACAAAATGTGGTATATGCATAAAATAGCATATTATTCAGCCATAAAACGAAATGAAATATTTATAAATGCTACAACATTGATGAGCCTCAAAAATAGGAGGCTAAAGGAAAGAAGCCAGGCACAAAGGTCATATATTATATAATTCAGTTTACATAACATGTCGACAATAAGCAAATCTGTGGAAACACTGTGCAGACAGTAAGCCTAGAGATGAGAAAATTGGAGAATGATTGCTATTATGTATGGGGTTTCTTTTGGGGGTAAGGAAAATATTCTGGAATTAGATAGTGGTGATAGTTCCACAACCTTGCAAATATTCTAGAAACCACTATATTGTACACTTTAAAAGGGTGAATTTTATGGTATGTTAATTATATTTCAATTAAAATGTAAAAGTATTATTAAAATGATACAATTTAGAACAAAAATCTCAGGAATTATTAATACTAGGTGAAATCTGGGATGCTTCTTCATAAATGGACAATCTCTGAGGTTGAGTCAATAGCTGATGGTGAACATTTTCTTCGATCTAAGGCGTTTCCAGGATATATTCACAACTCAGCTTCTGTAGCTCTTTAGATCATTTGGTATTTCATATGCTTTTCCTAACATATTCATACTCTTTTCTCTGAAATTTAGAGGCTTAAGAAATCTGCTTTTTCTAGGAAAAGACATTCTTTTGCCTTTCTAATATCCATCCTCTTTTGCTTCCTAATGGCCATAGCATACAATAGAGAGACACATCATTATCTATCCAACCTCTGCACCTGCCACATACTCCTATTGTTTTTCCTATTCTTAGAAGCCAGCAACCTGAATTAAAGCCAACTTCAATAACACTTTAAAGTGGTCTAACAACCAGATTCTTCCAAGGCTATTTCCATATTCTAAGTGTATGGACATTTTCACCCTGAACATTCAAACACAGCCACCTGTTTATTCTTTCCATGACCACCACCAACCTAATAGAGCTGCTACACCCAATCTCTCCTGGTCTCTGAAAACAAACTTCTAATGCCTTGTAATTCATCTTTTTCCATCTCCATTTCACTTAATTCTAACCTCCAAGGTTGTTAATGACCTCCTAATGACCAAAGCCAGTAGATTTTCCCAAGTTTTGATACTAATTTACTTCTCTGAAGCATTTAATACTGTTTAAAAAGCCACTTGCTCCAAGTTGTCATTTTCTCTTTTAACTAAGATTGTCAAAAAAAAAAAAATGTAGCTGACGTTTCTTCCCTGTTCTGTTTCTAATGCACAAAGACTTTCTTGGAGAAGTGAGTCAGGCGCTAGAGATGTTAAATATACATATCATACATAATAGCTGTTTGATCACAGGCAAACTAACTTCTAAGAGCCCCAACTTTTTTTTTCTGTAAATCGGGTGTTTTTCAGAGTTTCTATAAAAATGATATGACATGTTACATATGAATTTATTATCACTAGCCTGGCACATAAATGGTAGTTTTTTCGTTATAGTTAGTATTATTTTATCATCTTCACCACTATTATTATAACCTCCTTTATAATAATTAACTTTGAAGTCTTTATCTCCAGTTCTGCCCTCTTTTCCAAGCTCCTGTAGAATTCTCTGCTAGATAGAACTACTAGTGTTCAACCTACTTCCACGTACTCTCTGTCCATCCAAAGTGCATTTGATCATCTTTGTCAGGTGCCAAGAAACACCACTACTTCACTGATGATATCACCATCTTCACAGTTTTATGGTTTGAAAGCCTGGTTTCAGCTTTCATTCTTTCCTACTATGGGGAAAAAATATATTCCCAAGTTTACTCAACTATGTCTCTGCAATATTTCTTAAGTGCATTCCCTGCCCTCCATTTCCACACAGAAATGAAGCCGGGCCTCTGTTATTTCTCACTTTCATCAGTGGTTCTCAGACATGGCAAAATATCACAATCAAAATCCAAATCCTTGGAACCGCCCCACATCTACCCAATCATAAACTCCAAAGAATAAGGCCTAGAACTCAACCATACTGAAAAGCTCCCAAGTGATTCACATAAACTGCCAGATTTCAAATTCAATGGCACATACCAGGAAAGCACCCTCTGATAGTCTAATTCCAGTATGAGCTCTTTCCACTGTTTCTTTTTACCCGGTAATGCCAGCTATATTCTTTAGAAAGTTCAGCTTCTCAAATTACTGCTCTAAAACACACTCTACCTCTCCACTATCTATAAAGTTCAACCTTAATTATTCAGCATTCATTCATCAAAATTTTTTAAGCACCTACAATAATAGGTGCTGAGTGTATGAAAACCGAGGATAAAATAAAATATTTGAGTGGTTAACAACCTAAAGATGGGAAGAGAGAAAGAGTGATGGGATGGGAGGAGACAGAGAAAGAGAGGAGAGAGAAAGGAGCAGAGAGTACCAGCATTTATTCAATACCTCTATCCTGCTAGCCAAAGGATCTACACTTAGAATTAATTTTCTTCTTAGTTTGGCACCACTGTCAGGTTTCATTCTTATTCACCACCATTACCCAAGCTCCAATGAAAATAAAAAGCTCCCATTGTTTCCACAAAAACGCTGAGTCTTTGTGCATGTAGGTTTGGGCTCATACTTACTTTAAAAGGGTGTAGAAAGACTTTCCCTATACTATCTCATTTCACTGTGTCCAAATCCTTGTCATCTTTCATGTCCCAAGTAAGCCAATCCTGATTGACCAAACAGAAAATTGGTTTTCTGAGTATCAGGCACTCTATAAGGAACTGAGGCCCTTCTACCACATACAATAAATATTTTACATTTGTTATCTTCCCTATTACACTGCACGTCCCTTTAGGGAAGGATTCATAATGGATCTTTCATTGAATCTTTACAGCACTACTGTATGTCATAAAAGCTTTAAACTAATGCATATAAACAGATAGAGTGACAAATAATGAATACTTTTGTAAAACCTGAATTTTGGTACCTATTAGGCGTGTTATCAGACCAGAAGTTTACTAAGATGGCATTATTGATATAAAATAATAGCTGATTAAATTATAGTTAATAATGAGATATGCAGTCATTTTTGCATCACTAAATGGCAGAATCAATCTGTAAAAAGATATCATGTTCAGTGTTGACTTAAGAACACTTGTGGGCATGTTCAGTTTTAAACTAAGCTTTTATTAGCCCAGGAAACTACCTGAACATACTAAGAATGTTATCTAAATTTCTTTAGAAAAATTTATGCAGAACTAGAATATGCTGATAATCATAGTCTGGTCTAAAACATGGAAGTGTCTCTTTGTGAACGTTTACGTATGTATAAATCTCTATGTGTGTAAACGCTCTGGAGATTCTGTACAATGCTGTGAAATATGCATTATATTTAAAAACAAAACAACATCAAGCCCAACTGTCACCAGGAGAATCCTATGCACAGCTAAACAGATAATTCTACTAAACTGAAAGTTTTCATTTAATTAGGTTCAGTACCACAGTAGTACACTGACAAAAATAATAGATGTCAATACCAGTTTAGGAAGCCAATCCTATGTAGACACATCTGCAGAGAAGCCAATTCATCTCAATATATGAATCCAGGGTGAAAACAAATGAATTACATTATGGATTTTAGAGTCACATCAGCTCATATGGATTATGCCACCATAAGCAGAGTCATCATTTTGAAAGAAGAAAGCCAGCCAAATCTAAAGAAGTTAATATAATTTTCCAAGGGTTTAGTACATCCCCTAAAAGTCTTCCACACAGAGAATAAGTAGTTCAAATTTTAGGTAACAGAATGGAAATGAAACCATTAGAACAGCATTGAGTTTAAAACTAAGTAGGCAAATTATAAGTGTAGGTCATTTTTTTTTTAACTAAGGAAACCTAAAAAGTGAATTACATTTAATTTTCAAATGGGCATCTCTGCTAGCTCCTCCAAGATGTCTCTTGTGGATACTAGCTTAAATTCCAGCATTCAGAGCTCACTCATCACATTCTGTTTCCAATTTCTGAAATGAAGTACAACTAACACAATACACAGCAAGAAAATAAATGCATACATCAGAATTAAGAGGGCCACCTTAGGCCCTGAACTCTCCTAACGGGCAAAAGTTGTAGGTTATGAAATAAAGATAACTCTGCCATAATTTAATTTTATGTATTGAGGGCTATTGAGAGAATAATAAACAAAAAACTGACCTATTCTACTTCCCACAGGGGACAATAAAAGAAGAAATGAGCTTAAATTCCAGCAACAGAGATTTTGGTTAGATATGAGAAAAAGTTCCCTGACAGTGAATGCTGTAAGGATCTAGAATAGGCTGCCCAAAAAGGCTGTAGAATTTCCTTCTCTGAAGATCTTTAAGAATCAGAAAAAATGCAAGCATGTAGGGTAACTTAACTCAGGAGATAGAAAAAGATGGGTAAATTAAGTGACTCAAAAAGGTACTGCTGATTTATTTCCTATGTTTTAAAACCAGTACTTCAAATAAATCTTATATTGACTGTCTGCAATAAAAATGAACATTTCCAAACACTGCTTTACCAGCTCCAAATTTAAAAACTGAGACTCGAAGAGGTTACATAAATAATTAGGGGAGGCAGTATTTACAGCTAGGCTTCGCTAATTCTAAATTCCATTTAATGGCACTATTTTACATATAAGAAGACAAAAGGTGTTAACAATTTTGTGTTTATATTGACAAGTACCTAAGTGTGGTATGGGCTGCATTTCAGAGAGGCATGCTTAAGCACTAAAACCTGAACACACATATTTTGTGCACAACAATGTAACTAAGAATGTATCAGGGGACTGGCTTCAATTCAAAAAACTAGAAACCGTCAGAATCATCTCATGTTTGTTGAACTAGATGAAAAAGGCAGCTACATCTTCCTCTTTTCATATACATGGTGAACCAAGAATAAAAGTGCTAGCTGGGGTCAGTACACATAATGCTGCATTCTGCTAGGGAGGTCCAAGTCACCACTATAAAATCTTCTATGAACCAGATAAATTTACATGGAGGAAATCCTCTGATCCTCAACTAAGGGCTCACTCCTAACCCTTCCCAGTTACTGAACAAATGCATGAAACCCTGCCAATGGTGACAGGACAGAATGAGAGAATAAAGAGGGTTCAATATAAATCTATCATTATTATATTAACAAGCCATTATTACTAGAAAAATAACTTCTAGAACTTGTTTCATTAATGAGTCAGCAGAATCTTCAATTTATATGGAGGAGGATATATTACTCAATCATAAAAATAAGGCAACAGAAAATTAAAATAAAAACAAGGACTATAGTCTAATTCTCTTTGAAACTCGAAGTTAATGTGTTTTGACAATAATTTTAAAAAGGTACCTTTGCAAAAATTATAATGGACCCATTTATAGAACCAAAAAGGTATCTGAGCAAGTAAATTTCTTACATTTCACTGAGAAATTAAATCCTCAAAACTGTCAACAACAATATTTACATTTTTCACATTTGTTTACTTACTCAGCTCAGTCTTTGAATAAGGAGCTGTATGAACTTTTTCTTTAGTCAAGGTCAGTGGGTAACACTGAGATGTGTTTGCAATATGAACATTTCTTGTATCTTTTGAGTAATTATTATATCATTGACCTTGGTAAATCCTAATGTGAAATATGGAAACGGCACATAACTAAGAATAAGAAATTCAATGCTCTAGTCAGAATTCTGTTCATGATACAGAATTCAGTTCACTATAAATCTGCTTCTTGCATGAAATGTTTTAATAGCATTTGAGAATAAAATAATATATTCTAACACAATTCAAATAAAATAGAGCAGTTAAAATGTTAAAACACAGGAAATTTCTTAAATGAGATCCATGACTGCCTCTTCTAAATTCGTAGTATGTAAACTCATATTAACTATTGAAACTTACAACATGAATGAAAGCTTTTGAAGTAAAACTGTCTTATTCCTTAAAGTGATGCCAGTTTCACTCTCACCTTTCCCTCCCCATTCAAGAGGATGCTTTTGAGGGAAAGGCTCAGGGTGGGGACTACTGGGTGTTTTCTCAGCTACACTATATTCCAGTGTATGGCCTTATTCAATAATTTTCACATTTTGCTTTTGAAAAGGCAAGAGTAAATTTGCCAAGAAAGAGAAAAGTGATAGAACAGTTTTTTGTCACCTAGGAATCCTAAGGATGTCACCTGCATCTCAATTTGCATAAAAATAGGACCCACAAAGGAATGTGCCCTAAGGCAAAAAGAGTGCTAGACTCTTGACTGTGAAATCTGCTCCTAATTCCTAATAAACTTTTAGCCAGGTGGGTGGCACTGGGCTTTAGCCTCTAAGGGCTCTTTTGTTTTGCATCTTGAAAATGAGCAAATGCAATTAAATGGCTGCTAAATGGCATTTAAAATATCCTGATACCAACTATCAATAGGCTTAATACCCATTTTGCTCTGTTTGGATTTTCTATTTCATGCCTCTTGGATAGGACAGGGTAAATTCACAAAGAAAGAAAACAAACATAAGAAAACTATGACCATGGAAGTATCACCATTCTCCTCATTTATGAAATAATGACAATAACCTCCATTTCTGTGGAACTGTTTTGAGAACAGGATTAATTTAATAGAGTGTCTAGCACAATTTGATGTTGGGTATGAGGTGTCTGGAGCCTTCTATCTTAATGATCTATTTTTCACTTTTTCTAGAGGTATTCCTGTAGGAACCTTGAAAATCTAACAGACATTGGATCCAGAATCATTGGGCTTTTTGAAACATCCTATGGCCTGGCAATGGGTATGACAAAACTACCTTAATAATTAGATGTGTCAGTCCCACTGGAAGATAAGCTTCAGAATTACCCCTAAGCTAATGTAAGTGCTCTCTATAGTACAGTGTATAAAATTATATGGTAATACTATATAGCATATGTCCTCTCATAATTTTCAGGATCTCCATCTACAGTTCTTTTCCCAAACAATCCTAAGGAAGATATTGTGATCAATTAATACAAACTAACCTTGAGTGATTTTCTTCAAATAATGTTGCAAAGTAATTTACCTCAATATGTAGAAGGCTATCGTATCAGTTCCAACATGTATTCTGAGTCTTTCAAATACAGATTTGTGTTTTAAAAAAAAAAAGGTTTCATGTGCCATCAGGTATTGATGGCTACAAGAGGGGCCAGCACATGAGTGATAAGCAATTCTCCATCCACCTTGGCTAAATGGAGACAAAGCTTTACATTCACAGGTCATTGCATGCAAGAATGATACAGCAGATCAGATGTAACCCTTCAACAGCCCAAATCTATTTGTAGTGTGAAAGGAAAACAAAAACCTTGGGACCCAAACTCACTATGTCAAATGGAAAAGTCAAGCTTGAGAACTGAGTTGCAAAACTGCCTCCTATTTTGTTCCTAAGTAGATAGCTGCAAAGATAGAAGTCCACATACCTCCCCAGGTGGCCTCCCTTACAATGTGCTCACAAGAAAATTCTTTGTGAGCCCCAAGATATTTACCCTATTTTATGGTTTGTATTTGTGTCCCCACCCAAACCTCATATTGAATTGTAATCCTCAGTGATAAGAGGAGAAGCCTGGTAGTAGGTGAATGGATCAAGAGGGCAGACATCCCCCTGTTGTTCTCATGATAGTGAGTGAGTTCTCACAAGATCTGGTTGTTTAAAAGTGTATAGCACTTCACTATCTCTTCCTCCTTCTCCAGCCATATAAGATGTGCCTGCTTCCCCTTTGCCTTCCACCATAACTATAAGTTTCTTGAGGCCCCTCCAGCCATGCTTCATGTTAAGCCTGTGCAACTGTGAATGAATTAAACCTTTTTTCTTTATAAATTACCCAGTCTCCAGTAGTTCTTTACAGCAATGCAAAAACAGACCAACACAGAAAATTCATACCAGGAGTGGGGCACTGCTATAAAGATACTTGCAAATGTGGAAGCAACTTTGGAACTAGGTAACGGGAAGAGGTTGGAACAGTTTGGCAGGCTCAGAAGAAGACAGGAAGATGTGAACAAGTTTGGAACGTCCTAGAGACTTGTTGAATGGTTTTGACAAAAATACTGATAGTGATATGGACAGAGATGGCCAAGCTGATGAGGTCTCAATGGAGAGAAGGAACATATTTGGAAATTTGAACTTGAAAGTAATGATTTAGGGTATGAGGGGGAAGAAATTTCTAAGCAGCAAAATATTCAAGAGCTTATATTCAAGGGCAAAAAAATGATTGGGAACTGGAACTCATATTTAAAAGGGAAGCAGAGTTGTAAAAGTTTGGAAAATTTGCAACCTGGCCATGTGGTAGAAAAGAAAAACCCATTTTCTAAGAAGGAATTCAAGCCAGCTGCAGAAATTTGCATTTGTAAAGAGGAGCCAAATGTTGATAGCCAAGATAATGGGGAAAAGTCCTTGAAGGAATTTCAAAGACTTTTGTGGCAGCCCCTCCCATTACAGGCCTGGAGGCCTAGGAGGGAAAAATGGTTTTGTGGGTCAGGCCCTGGGCCCCACTGCTCTACGCAGCCTCAAAAAATAATGCCTGGCATTGTGGTTGCTCCAGCTCCAGCCTCAGCTAAAAGGGACCAAGGAGCAGCTCAGGCTGTTGCTTCATAGGGTGCAAGCCAAAAGCTTTGGTGGCTTCCATGAGATGTTAAGCCTCAGGGTGTGCAGAGTGTGAGAGTTGAGGCTTGGGAGCCTCTATCTAGATTTCAGAGGATGAATGGAAATGCCCGGATGTCCAGGCAGAAGTCTACTATGGGGCAGAGCCTTCAGGGAGAACCTCTACTAGGGCAGTACAGAGAGGAAATGTGGGGCTGGAGCCCCTACACAGAGTCCCCACTGGGGAACTGCCTAGTGGAGCTGTGAGAAGAGGGCCACCATGCTCCAGACTCCAGAATTGTAGATTTACTGACAGCTTGCACCATGTGCCTGGAATAGCTGCAGACACTCAATGCCAACCGGTGGAAGCAGCCAAGGGGGCTCCCAGTGCCTTGGGAGCCCACCCTTGCATCACTGTGGTCTGGATGTGAGACACGGAGTCAAAGGAGATTACTTTGGAGCTTTTAGGTTTAATGATTGTCCTGCTGGATTTCAGACTTGCATGGGGCCTGTAGTCCCTTTGTTTGGGCTGATTTTTCCCTTTTGGAATGGGAGTATTTAGCCAATGCCTGTACCCACATTGTATCTTGGAAGTAACTAACTGGTTTTGATTTTACAGGCTCATAGGCAGAAGGGATTTGCCTTGTCTCAAGTGAGACTTTGGACTGTGGACTTTGAGTTAATGCTGGGATGAGTTAAGACTTCGGGGGAATGTTGGGAATGAAATGTGAGAAGAATATAAGATTTGGGAGGGGCCAGAGGTGAAATGATATGGTTTGGATTTGTGTCCCTGCCCAAATTTCATGTCAAATTATAATCACCAATGTTGGAGGAAGAGCCTGTTGGGAGGTGACTGGATCATGGGGGCAGACTTCCCCCTTGCTGTTCTCATGATAGTGAGTTCTCACAAGATCTGGTTGTTTAAAAGTGTGCAGCACCTCCCACTCCCTTCTTCCTCCTTCTCCGTCCATGTAAGATGTGCCTGCTTCCCCTTTGCCTTCCACCATGATTGTAAGCTTTTTGAAGCCTCCCTAGCCATACTTCATGTACAACTTGTGGAACTGTGAGTCAATTAAACCTCTATTCTTTATAAATTACCCAGTCACAGGTAATTCTTTATAGCAATTTGAGAATGGCTTAATACACCCTGAAACAGAGTTCTGTTGAATTTCACTCTGACAATGTAAATTGACAGCTTGTCTCCACAGTTTTGGGACTAACGCAGGTGTAGAGGTTATCCTTCTGCTCTCACCTGAGACAAATGTATATTTGACTGCTTGCTTGACTCTGCATTTACTTTATCTTATGTAAAAATGTAATTCCCTGAGCACCCTCCTTTCACAAGTAAAATGTGGATTCAGTAAATATTAATCAAAACCTTAAAAAGAATGTAACCTCTTGCCTCTTTTATCTACCCTCCCCCATTTTTCCATTTCCTCTTTCCCCTGTTGCCTTCTCTTTCCCCTTTAAATACTGAGGTCCTCAAAACCTCTTTGGAAAAAGCACAGATAATCACAGATGCTCCTGAGGTTTTGTTTCTTTTTCCTGGGTCTATCTTCAACCTTGGCAAAATAAGCTTCCAAATTTGGTAGAGACTCACCTCAGTTTTTTTCTTTGGTTTGCAGCAGCTATATAGTGACGAATAGTAGAAAATATTAAAACAGACACAGCTATAAGAACAAGCTGCAAATTTTTTCTCACTTCCTACAGTAATAATTTTTATTTATTGAAATGTTTTTTATTGACTTATCAAATTATCACAGATTCCATTATTCCTCTATTCCTCCACTCTTCGGTGATGAACCTGTGGTTAATATTCCCTGTAAAGGTCTTTAGATATAGTGGGAAGGGCACAGCAGTCCTTGGAGGCAGAACTGAGTCCCAACTGCAACTCTCCCATTCATCAGCTAGGTGACTGTGGGTATATTAGGTTTCTCATCTATGTCTTAGTTTATTCACGTTGTAAGGTCTAAAGGAACTATGCAGTCCTACTGGAACATAGCTGAGATTCAGACAATGCTAGGAATCCAAACCCTGCTCGCAATGCATGGTATTTGGTATAAAAAGATACTGAATGAAAGAATAAAGGAAAGAATAAGTAAATGAGTGTTGCGCTTAATACAGATGTAATGGTCATACAACAGGGGTAACATTTGGGCATTTTAATATTTGGCCTTCTCATCTACAATATTTCTTTACTTTTATTTCATAACATTCTGCCATTGCAATTCGGCTATGGCTATGGAGTGGATGATGTGGTGTGAGGCCTACATCCTCCTTTCAATACCAAGATACTGATTCCCTCACATGCTAAGAGTGACGTGCACTGGTGGCTCATTGCTGAGTCTCCCTCAGGAAATTGTCTTTGACTGCAGAAATGTGCCTTGCCCAGAGTCATGGCCTCTTCTCAAGGAAACACAGCATCCAGTGACTGCTCAATTTAAAGGTCCGAAGTTCTAGCCCTTTTACCTCAAAAAGAATAACTCTGAAGAATCATTTCGTCTCCAGAACTCCCAAGGGTATCAGCTGAAGATCATAAAGGTAACCAGAGTGCAGAAAGGGGAAATTCAGACATTTTGAGAATAGTTAGAAACAGAATTTCACTTGACATTGATATCCAGGGAACTGAAACATTATTGTGCCCCCTCCCTCACCTCCTACCTCTAATTAGATTGGAGAATGCAAGACAGTCAGGCAATAAATGGAGTTCCAGCCCAGTTCTGGCTCATAGTGGGTCCACTAGGTCCACGGATCTAGCCAGTGATTATTTTACTGGCCCTTATATAATTAAAACAAACATACCTGTAAATAGCAGAACTCTCGGTTTGGCTCTTTCATCTTAAAGTCAAGCATAAGTCTCAGATATTGCCCTCCTCCTAGTTCTTTCAAAATAGTATATCAAAAACAGTATCATATAACAGGGGAAATAGCAGATAAAGAAACCAGGGGTAGTGGTCCTCCCATGATATCCCCAATTAATACACCATCTGGCACTACAAAAAACAGATGAGTCCTGACAGATGACAGTAAACTTCCACAAACTTAACCAAGTAGTAATCCCAACTGCAGCTTCAGTGTCAGATGTGGTATTTTTTTTATTATGACAAATTAATATAGCTTCATGTATTTAGCCATTGAGCTGATTAACATATCATTTTCCAAAATACTGGAAAAGAGTTTTGTAGCAGTTCATAGTTACATGACAAAGAAAAGAGTATATACTTATAATCTGGCACTAGGGTTAAACCAATTCTCTAGTCTTTTGTCATACTGAACTCTGAAGGGATCTAAACCATCCTGGATGTTCTGCAAAACATCACATTTGTATACTATGTAAATGACTGTAAGTTAATTGGACCAGATGAGCAAGGAGAAAGCGCAATGCTTTGCATTAAGCTCATTCCACGTGTGTGAATACTGCCCCGACCCATGTGCTAAGAGGCATGAAAGTTATAGGAACCATGGGAACTAATAATAAAGCTCCACCAAAAGACATTTAAATTCTATTTGTTGAAAAAACAGTCTATGGCCAAACCAAGTTTCCAATCCCTATATCTTTTTTAAATGATATAACGGAGGAAGGAACAGAGAATTTGAAATAATAAAGACAGAATTCAGCCTTACCTGACTTCTGAGAAATTTGTTTTTGGATGGACAATCAGAAATAAGCCTGAGTTTCTGAAGTATTACTATGCACCGTATGCCCTGTGGACACATAACCATTAAGCGGCAACGGACCTTCACCAAAATGAACAGCCTTTTATTTGAAAGACATTTCTATGTGGGTTGGCAGCATCAGACAGGGGTCAGCTCAAGTGCCTGGGATTGGGAGTTGGGTACATGATGAACAGAGTGACATGGAGAAGGCTGCAGCAGCTGGCCCATCATACATGCAAGTCAGGTAAAGAGGAGCAGGCACTGTGGGGCAGGCCAGGCCAGCTGAACCTGGCCCAACAGAGAGTGTTGCATTCACAGAACTCTCCACTTACTCAAGAAATCAGAGAAGGGAATATAGAAGCTGAGTCATTAATGGTCCAGTCCCAGACATGGATCGCCTTCTAGGATATGGTTGTAGATTTCACCAAATTCACTTCTCAGCAGAACATATACAAATAAGTGATGCATTAGTACTATGAGAACCCAGTTTCCTTTGAGTGTCAGCTTCCCAAACAGATGTGATTCTCTAGATGGAGAAAGGTAAAGAATCATAGCTGGTGGAGAACTGGCCAGATTCAGTGACTATCATGGAAATCAAATCATCAATTTCTAACAATAGCATTTCTGAAGATAAACAATTCTATGACATTAAAATGGAAGAAATGGAAAGGAATGATTTCTCATATTTGTCATTAAAAATGGAAATGTGAAAACAAACTAGACAATTATCAGGAAAATGAGAAGAAACATTTAAGATAAGAAACATTCACACAAAACAAAGTGCTTAGGAGAGTCTGTGAAAGTGATAAATACTGGGGACACTGTATCTTTCATGCTCATTAGTACTTAAAGAGTATTTCCGTTAAGTATGATTCAAATGTTAAAAGTTTAAAACATAATTTAGTTTAGTGGTCATCAGGCAAACTATGTCAGTAACAGTAATAAACGTACTAAAACCTTTTGTTAAAACATTCACCTGATTCAATTTGCGAGAACTCAAACAGGAGATAAACCCTACAATGATAGCAATAAGTTTCTTACTTATAGTACATCCCTTGGTATACCTAAGGGTGTAAATAAAAAGACAAACACCATGAATATCAAGAAGATGCAAAATTCTTCAAATGCGGTTCTCACTACATTAACATCATGTAACTCACACTGGTGAGAAATCATAAGTAGGTAAATAATGCATAAGCATGTGAAAAAGTCTTTAGCTGGTTCTATCACTTTTTTTCTATATTAGAGAACTCATACTGGAGACAAACTGTATATATGTAATCAGTGTGGAAAAGTGTTTGGTATTTTCCATGTGGTAGTTTCATTAGACTTGAAAGAAATCATACCAGAGACAAACTCAGTGATAGTCCTGAACTTGGAAAATCTTTCAGACAGAACACTCACCTCATTATGCATTACAGAACTTTCATAAGAGGGAGGCCCTACGAAGATAATGAATTTAGGAAGTCTTATATACAGAGGTCTCATGTTATTATGCATCAGATAATTCACAATAGGATGAAATAATACAAAGACTAAAAAATACTTCAGTTGAAGCTGTCACATTTTCTTCACATCAGAAAACCCTGCTGGAGAGAAGCCATATGAATGACTTGATTGTGGAAAATTCTTCAGCCAGAGCTCTGACCTTATTGTGTGTCAAAAAATAGAAAGAGAGCAATCATATGAATGTTGTCAATGTAGAAGTCTTCATCCAAAAGAATAACTTCATAAAGTATCAAACAATTTCTCATATGGGAGAGCAATTCTTAAAATGTAATCATTGTGGGACAGCTTTTGTTTATATATCTAAATTTATTAGGTACCAGATGAAGCATATTAGAGAAAACACTCACTAATATACTGAATATGGAAAATTAGTCACAAAGAGTAATACATTTATTTTGCATCAAAGAGTCATTCTGGTGAGAAGCCCTGTACTACCTATGGAGAAATGTTTTAAACCCTATTATGATCCCTATTATGTACCAGAGAACTAGTCCTAAAGAAACACAAGCACTCACACACACACAAACACACACACACGCATGCATGCACATTACATTTTAGTAAACAAGTACATCAAGCGTTCTTTTCACAAATTCCACAAATTTCTAAAAAATTAGTTGGCCTGGAAGCACTGTTGAGCAGGCCTTAAGGCTTGAATCTGGAAAGGAATCATTACATAGGCAAGTTGTTGAGATACAACCCAGCTTCCTTAACTTCTTCAAAATAAATAAAAATGCTATTGTAGGGAGAACTGTTGCTGAGAAGACTAAAATATGTATATAGTTATTGCAACAGAAGTTGCAATAATGTACAATCAATCAGTATTCCAGTGAGTTAACATGCCATTGCTTACTTGATTGCTCCACCCCTGGGGACAGTTGGTAGTTTTTAAACTGTTGTATGTGTCTGCTATAAACCACATTTTGGTTTGTAGCAGGGCAGTGTAAAGCAATCAAAGAACAACACATTTATATTATTCTTAGTACCTATTTTTAATATATTTGCATATTGGAAAGAATTAAAAGAGCAGCTACAGATTATAAACAGAAGCAATTTGCCAGATAAAGGGACTATAAGGAAATTACATTTTTATAACTTATTCAGTGCTACGGTAATAATAATTTGAATACAATTGTAAATACTTTTAAAAAGATGGTTTCTCTATTCTACTCTGAAGGATGCTTGGATACAACTGGCTGGAAAACTTTCCCATGAATTCTAACCTGTTTTAGGTTGGAGTTACAGTTCTGCTCTAAGACATGGTTTTAAAAGTTCCTGAGAATTTAAGGATGCTAAATTCTCTAACTTAGGACCTAGAAAAAACACTGGATGACTCAGGGGAAGATGCCATCTGAGTGAGAGTATGTGCCTCACTCAGTATTGGCAATATTTATAGCAACTCTGCTCACATGAAAAAAACAAACCACTCACTGTACAAGGCTAACTCTAATGTTAGTCTTGTATCTTCCTAAAGAAAACATGGTTAAGAACAGCAACTAGAGTTTGACTGCTCAGGTTCAAACCCCACCTCTTCCCCAACTAGCTGGGCAATCTTGGGTATGGTACTTAGCTTCTCTGTGCCTGACTTACACACATCCTTCTCTGCTAAACTGAGATAATAGTAGTACTTACTTCATATGATTGTTGTATTAAATGAGTAAATATATAAAGAGCTTAGAATAGTGCCTGACACATATGAAGTGCTTTATAATTACTAGTTATATTTATTCATATTATAAGTATTGCTCCTATCTAATTTAAGCTTGTTTGAGTACTTATATTATGAGCATAAAAAAGTAAGCTTTTACTTCACTTTCAGTCACTTCACTTTCACTCCTGATTTGCCTAAATCGAGAGTTATCAACCTGGGAAATCACTGACACCTAGTGGGTGTATGGATTCATTTGTGAAGATCAATAAACTCACTTTGAATAATATTTTTTTTAAAAAAAGAAAACAACATCCCCCAACTACACAAATGTGTTTTCATCATTTTATCATTTTAGTGTGTTTATAGTTAAAGTGTTTGATGTAATTAGGATATGAGGCCACCTGCTATAACAAAAGCCAACAGATCAAGGAGTTAAACCAGTTCCTTTTTCTCTCGTGTAACAGTTGGCATATACATAGTTCATATTTGATGTGGCTGCTCCATATCACGGATGTGGGCTCCATCTATTGTATTACTGTGGCATCCTCAATGTACAGCTTCCATTTTGTAACCTAGGTCCTCTTACTGTAACTCAACTGAGCCTATGGACAGGGAGTGGGGAAGGAGAAGTGAAGGCATGCCGCTTCTCTCTAAGCATAGGGCCTAGAAGTTGCACACAAAACTCAGCTCCTCCTTCACTGGATATAACTTTCTGAATAATCACATGTAGCTGTAAGGGAGGCTGGGACATGTATTGCACTATGTCCAATTCAGGAGTTGTATTACTAAAAAAGTATGTGAGAGTGAGTAAGGGGGCTGACAACTGTCTCTGCAACGGTGCTATCATGTGATGCTGAATTTAAATATTGTGTAGATATTTGGAACTGTGAAAAATATTGTGTTTTTCCTTTTTCTTATCTTTCTGGATAGCCCCGGCCTATTGCTCCCTCAGGTTATAACAAAACAGAACCATTATCATATGCTCCAATTGGGCACAGAATGGGACTCTCTCTGCAAGTTAGATGTCCTTTGAATGGAGTTTTAAGATTGACAGTTGCTTGCTTCCTCTTCCAAAGTCAGTCTACCTGAGCTGGGAAGTTCACCCAGAGCTCAAGCAAGGGAGGCCAAGGCAATATTTCTTTGTTAGGCCACTTGGGCTCTAAATACCTGCTAAGCATTTTCCTTGGGTAACTCCTAGAATTTAAGAAGTGATTCATCTTCATTTTGGGTCTCATGAAAAAATCAATATTCTTTGTGTCACCAAGAAAAAATTCTGAAGCTAGACATATTCTCACCAAGTCACTAAAACCTAATATAGCTATGTCCCTGCACTTTCATAAAAAGCTTATTTTCAAAAACTGCCTTTATCAGTTACACAAATTTGTCTTACCTATCTTCTATGCTACAGAAGGCCTCTGAAGTGGCACCTAGACTAGGAACTGGTATAGTTACCTTCTAGACCCCAGAAATCTTCCCATTCCCTTTACCAAGAAAAGTTTGTTTCAATTGCTTCACTTACAAAAGAAAAGAAAAGAAAGCCATGTTCATGGCTTCCCAAGCCAAAATAGTCATTTTGTGGTTTGTCTTTCAGCTCAAGAGATTATGGACTGACTTCTCTAGACTTAACCTACAACTCAACTGATTTATTGCAACTACACACTATTCATTCAAAAATTTCCCAAACCAGCTGGGCGCGGTGGCTCATGCCTGTAATCACAGCACTTTGGAAGGCCAAGGCAGGTGGATCACTTGAGGTCCAGAGTTTGAGACCAGCCTGGCCAATATGGTGAAACCCTGTAACTACCAAAAATACAAAAATTAGCCCAGTGTGGTGGCGCACGCCTGTAGTCTCAGCTACTCAGGAGGCTGGGCAAGAGAATCTCTTGAACCCAGGAGGCAGGGTTTGCAGCGACCCGAGATCATACCACTGAACTCCAGCAGACAGAGTGAGACTCCATTTCCAAGAAAAGTCCCCAAACCTGGATCTTGTTGACTAATTTTGTCCAACTCTTCCCTTGTCCAAGAATACTTGTTGTCCTTTTCTACTTTAATATTTTATAACGAGAAATTTAAATCACAAAGTCTTTTTTTATTCTTTAATATTTTCAAATTGGTGTTAATGAAATTTTGGTATCATGATAAAGGCATAAAATGGACTTTGTAAAACAGATGGACACAATGTTTTATTTCCAGGTAGTTCTGCACTATTATATAGCCTATGAAACCATTTTCATTATAAATCATATTTTCATATATAATCATCTATTAAATGATCTGTTCATTGCTAGTGAAGCATAAAACCAACACATTAAACAAGGTCCAATTGGGTGTGACGGAAGCAGTGGAGCTACTAAAAAAAAGTTGTCAGATTGAAAACCATCAAAACAGTCAAAATAATAAGTGAGTCAAAAATGTATTTCTAACTGCTGCTTTTATAACCAGCAAGCTACAGCTGTCTATCTTTAAAAACATCTTTAAAGAAATATTTGAATTAAGGTAACACTAAATTTACATATTAATCTTCTTAAGAAGAAAGGTACAACAATGCTTAGTTACTGAAATAATAACTTGATTTCACATTTCAAAGTAAAATAAAATCCTAACACTCTTTTATAGGATATCCAGCTCATAACGATTGCTTTGTCTTTTTTGGATATTACACGGTTTTGTTTCAATGAAACTTTACAAATATTTTACCAAACTTCACAAATATGTTTTAATGGAAAATTATGAACGTGTTCCGAAATAGTAAAAGTATATATCAAAGATCTAATGTCGTACTTGAAAGTCAATTTTACATCACAAAACAGCCAGGTTCCAGACAATTCACTTAACACTGTAAGCTAAAGTTTATGAAAATACTTCCCAAGAAGAAAAACAGAGCATTTATAAATGGTTGAAAATGAATTTGAAATTTTAAAAACACATGAGTTGTTTTTAAAATGGTAGAAAATGCAAACAAACTATTAAATTTATTAAACTTACTAAGCCCCTCCATATTCTCATAAGTTGATAAAAATTCTTAGTGACACATTAAGCAGAGAAATGCACTACAGTGAAAAAAATCAGGACATTAATATATAAAGAAAATATTCATTTTTGATAGTTTTTAACCAGTTTACAGGAGATAGTGAAATGGTCTTACTAAAATAAATAAATATGTGTGTGTATGTGCATGTGAGATTTCCAAAATTAAAGCAGCTCTGTTCTATGCTAACATTTGTAAAATAAGAATTTGCTAATAGTGTTTAAGGTACTACGCTATAAACTTTATGTGCATTATCTTTAATCCTTTATAGGTTAGTACTATCATCTCATTTTACAGATAAGTAAATTAGGGCTCAGAATGCTCATTAAACCTGCCCAGTTTTAGTGAGCAATGAAGCTGAGATTCAAATCTGGGAATTTTGCTTCAAAGCTCAACACAGACAAAAAAATTGAGACATTCTGTTTAAATGTCTGCAACCTAATTTCAATGCTTTGAAATCACAAAAATACAAAAGTCAATTACATTCAAAAAGGAAAAGTAACTTTTGCTGCTTAAGTTTGCAAAACTCATAAAGAATACTAAATAGAATAGTTATTTTAGGATAAATCTTTTACTTTTAACATCAGATAACATAGTGCATTTTGTAATACAAAATTTCTTTCTTTCGATTTTGAAGGGCTGAAGAAATAGCCCATACTAGGGGATGAAAAATGGGGATTAATACTGGCAGTAGGAAATTGCAGCAGCCAGACAAAACCCTTCAGGTTATCTTGGCAAGTTTAGCAGTGCTGAGAACATTCACACAATATATACTACTTTCGGGCTAAAAGGTTCGGCACATTTCAGTTGCAGAAGTATAAAGCCTAGTTTTTAAAAAGCTAAAGAGAAAAAAAAAGAAATTATAAGGCCAGAAAGCTCTCAGTTGAAAGCATTATTAGTTTTCTAGCATTATGAAAAATTATCACCACAAGCACCATGTCACACATTCCATAAAAATTATGAAGACTGGGGCCAGGCACGGTGGCTCACGCCTGTAATCCCAACACTTTGGGAGGCTAAGGTGGGTGAATCACGAGGTCAAGAGATCGACACCATCCTGGACAACATGGTGAAACCCCGTCTCTACTACAAATACAAAAATTAGTTGGGCGTGGTGGCGCACACCTGTAGTCCCAGCTACTCAGGAAACTGAGGCAGGAGAATTGCTTGACCCCAGGAGGTGGAGGTTGCAGTGAGCCAAGATCATGCCACTGCACTCCAGCCTGGCAACAGAGAGAGACTCTGTCTCAAAAAAAAAAAAAAATTATGAAGATTGGGGAAATGCAAATCGTAAATGTTCTAATAAGCTGAGACACCAGCCACTATTTAACCTATTAATCAACTCCTAAGCCATAAGAATTTGGGCTATATGGCAAATATTTCACTCTGTAGCTAAATATATCCTTTAGTACATATTTTTACCAAGTATATGAGTGTATATATATATATATATATATATATATATATGTGTGTGTGCGTGTGTGTATGTGTATATATGTATACAAGTATATGTATGTATTTATACATATGTGTAAACATTGTGTGTGTGTATATATATATATATATAGGATATCTGTGTGTACATATAAGAGCTCCAAAATTAAAGCAGCTCCATTCTATTCTAACATTTGTAAAATAAGAATTTGAAAAATTATTCTTGTGTGTGTGTACATATATATATATATACACACAAACTCATATATATGTGTAATATATATGTTTATACTTATACACATGAATATACTTTCAAGGTTAAAAATGTTAACAAAAGACACATAGGGATAAGCACAGTTACATTGCAGACTTAAAACCTAACAAAGAAATGTTTTTTCAGGACATGTCTCATGGACATTTTATACAAGGTATGAAATGCTAAATCACAAGCAAACCAATCAAAACAATTTGATCAACACAACATTAAAATTTGACATTTAATCACACCAATCCGATAGCTATTAAATAAAAGCTACCCATTTCCAACTCTCCATACCATGTTAAGTTGTTTCAAGCAAATTATTTGATCAAACTTACAGTAAGTAGGAAAAGTTATCAACACTTCAAAGTACTCAGAAATAAACAAATCACTGAAGAGTTAAATGGTGTCCAAAAACTACACAAAGCAAAGTCACGGAATCAAAGATCTTTTTTAAATGTATAAGCGACTTCATTAATATTTAACAAAATTGAATCACATTTGGTTCACTTATATTTCATGTGCTCATTATAAATACATAACTATGACTTAAAAATGTGTTTGTCCTGTGAATCAACTAAAACAATTGAGTCATCCTACATAAAGCAAGTGGCATTCATGCCACACTTTAGGAAACAGTAATGTAAACGATTACAGGAATACAATGGGGATTAGTATAATTTTGGGTGGGGAGATTTAAAGGAAGGATAGTCCAAACGGAGATGGAGTCAGCTGAGGGGCAAAACTCTGCTTCTCTTCTATTTATTTCAAGGGCATATGTTGCACTTACTCGGTGCCAGACACTGTTTAAGGTGCTCTGCAAATATCCAATCATTGATTCTTACTGTAACCCTATGAGGTAAGTAATATTGTTATATGCATTTTACAGATGAGAAAGCTAAGGTACGGTGAGGGTCAGTCACTTGCCCAAGCTAGTAAGTGGCAGAGCCAGGTGTTGTACCTAAACACAGCCCACACCCCTAACCACTAAGTGGTACTGCTTTGAATGACCGAAAACTGCCCCCTTTGGATCCTTTTTCTCTTACTCATTCCCTTTTGTGATATAAGTTTAATTATTCTTTCATACAAAAAAATATATAAGGTTCTGGGGAAACATCAGCAAACAAAAGCAACAGAGTTCCTGTTCTCATGAAGGTTGCAGTCTGGTGGGACAGAAAGGAATTTAGGAATTATATACAAATTAGTGTGTAACTGCTAATTAAAATAAATACTATTTAAAAGCCAGGTTTTCTTAATGCACGTGACAAGAAACAAGACCTGGGTGGGGCAGTCACAGAAAGACCTTCCAAAAAGAGACACTAAGCAGGAGGAGCTCTAAAGATACTGTCATTAACCAGGTAAAGAAGTGCAGGAGCTAGAAATGCACAGCCCCCCTAATTTCCATGCAGTTGTGGTCAGCCTCATTTATTGATGTGGAAGTGGAAGGACAGATAGTTCTGGTCCACAAGAGTCTTTCAAACACTGACAGGCTTGAGGTGACCAGAAGGGAAAAATGAGATCACAGGATTCAACAACTGAGGGCAAACACACTCCCAGCTGGGGGTAAAAGTAGCATTTCCAAACCTCCCTGTTCCTGTCTATCCTAATAATAAAGCCACCCACAGTTTATTACAATATAAAGATAAAATCAGAGTGATTTACAAGTAACATTGTATCTGAAAGTAACATTGTATCTGAATTCTTTGAGCTGCTAGAATTCACATTACTGCTTCCAAGGGCCTCATACAGTCAAAAAGGTTTACAGTGATTTAGCCTTCATGACTTTATATCCAGAGGACCCAGGACCACAGATATCACCTTCTATCACCTCCAGCATTTCCAATGGCCTTCTCGAGGCCTTTCACACTTTCTAAACACGCTCTTGATGTGTGAAGGCCAACAGAAGACACGAGGAAAGCAAAAGTTTCAACAATTATGAATAGATCAGAAAGGCTACTTCCTGCCATTTGCATGCCTCACTCCTATTAATATATTTCCCCATAGTGTTGGTTCTGTTTTTTAATAACAGCACAACACCGCTGACTCACATTCACCATATGGTCTTCTTGGACTCCCAGGTCTCTGTCTGCTGTACTTGTGCCTGCCTAGCTAGTCTTTTCTTAACCATTATCTGTGCAATTATTTGGATATTTTCATACCAAAGAAAAGCTTGGATTTATCCTTATTGATCTTGATTTTGATGTAAGCAGATCACTTCTCTAGGTTATTCCATTCTCAAGTATGCTGCCCTCGTTCAGGTCTTCATAAGGCCTCACCTGACTTGCTGCAAGAGCCTCCTAATTGATTTATCTGCCACCACCTTTCCCAGTTATGATCTTCTGTTTGCACAGTCATCATGTCATGCTTCAGACATTAGAGCACACTAATTAGACAGCTTGCCCCTGGAATAGAAATAAAGCTCAAATCTCTCAGAATAGCATTTAAGACCATATAAAATCTGTTCCCAGCCTTCTTCTGACCAAACTCTGACCCCATGTAATTTAAATATGAACCACACATGCCTACTCACCTCTCAGCAATATTCTCTGAGCTCCCCTACTTTGGGTCATGCTCTCCATTCCCATAGAATGTTACTATTTCCAGCCCTACCTGCTATTTCCACTCTCAAAATCTGCTCGATAGCAAGGCCATATCTCTGGATTTTCCCCATTCACCCCATCCAACATGTCTCTCTGTCCTCCATGCTTCCACAGTATTTTGTATCACTATTACAATCCAGTAATTCCTCAACAATTCCAAAGATAACTAAATACCACGTTTGCAATAAACAAGGCTGGCATGTTCAAGTTCTCAACAACAACAATAAATAAATAAAGGATTAGAGAAAAAAATCATAACAGCTTTAGTCTATAAAATTACAGGCGGTATAAGGTTTTTCAAAGACACTTGTTTCTGATATATTGTGGTTAAAAGTATACCCTGATAAGGTTTTTTTTTCGAATAATCATCTTTATTACTAATGCTGCAGCATAATCCTTCCAGAAGCTGATATGTTCACAGTATTTATTAATAGGTTATAGAGTTTGAAACAACAAGTTTGAGTTTGTGTTTTATCTTTGTTTTTTACAAACTATCTTAGTGTTTTAAAACATGTTTTTGTGATCCTGGTCTTACTCCTCTACATTGAGTGAATGGAGTTTAAATAGATCTTCCCTCTCTTGGAATGAACAGGGTCACCATTTTTCCTTCCAAAAGTAGAATCAATAATGTTCATATTCGCTAAATGAAGGAAACTGAAGTAAGCCATGCATATGTAAAATGATGTTAGATTTTCAACTTGGGGTATAAAATTATAAAACCCAAATGTCCAAAACCACAGATCCTGAGGGGCTACTGGTATCCAGGAAAGTTGTATGCATAACTTTCTCTTGAAAAAAAAAAAAAGGCATAGTAATTCAAGAAACATGTGCTAAACAAAATTATGTTCTAGGATGCAAATATAACTGACATGGTAAGTATTTATGGTCTAAAGGTAAAAGTGGTTCTGATGGTTTCTGCATTCTACTTTTACATAGTGCGGGCAGCAAGCAGCCTTTGCTACTGGGTGAACCCCTGAATTTGAGCAAGAATGAAAACTGATTACCAAGACGGATTTGGTTCCTAAGGGGAAAATACCTTAACCGTTCTGCAAGGAAGCCAGTCTTCTCCTAAAGTTGGGTTTTCCTAAGGTCATACACATGACACCTCTCACCATAACTGGAAAATGCAGAAAAATGAACACCCCAAGCATAGACCCTAGCAGCATAAGAACAAAGGGATAAAAGAACTAAATGTGATGCAAGAGCACGGGAAAGGGCATGAAAGGATAGGAGTGCAGGAACTGAGCATGAGCAGAGCATTCTGAGACAAGAAATGTTAAAATCCCAGAGTAGCAGAAATCTAGGGGGAAACATTTGCTTACAGGCTGATGAGCATTTGATTCAAGGGCTTGTTAATTTCTAGAAATGGTGGTCATTACATAACAAGGCAGACTGGTGGATCAGGCAGGTCAAATCAGTCAGTTAAGCAGTCATTTTTTCAACTCACCAACAGAACGTCCTTCAATGGGGGGTGGTTTAAGCCCTCCACGTGCAAATAAAAAGGGCAGAGACACTGAGGAGAGAACAGGCAATTTTGCAAACAGTGGCAAGTGAGGTAAACAACATGAGAACCCTGAGTGAAGAACAAAAGGCAAACAGGAAAACCAAGAGACACAGATGTAAGTACAGTAAAATCCATGGGGAGGCGGAGGTGGGCGGATTGTCCGAGCTCAGGAGTTCGAGCCCAGCCTGGGCAACACGCTGAAACCCCGTCTCTACTAAAATACAAAAAGTTAGCTGGGCATGGCAGCATGCACCTGTAACACCAGCTACTCGGGAGGCTGAGGCAGGAGAACTCCTTGAACCCGGGGGGTAGAGGTTGCAGTGAGTGAGCCAAGATCGCACCACTGCACTCCAGCCTTGGTGACAGAGCAAAACTCCTTCTCCAAAGAAAAGAAAAGAAAAGAAAAGAAAAAAAAAATCCATGGTGAAAGTGACGACAGTAGAGTAGGGGATGAGCTCAAAGCAAATGCATGCATGTACCCCACCCTCAACACAAACACACACACACACACACACACACACACTTCTTTAGAGATATTTAGGTGTATATATGCTAACTTAGGAAACTTTAGAAAACCTTGTTATGATATTATTAGTCAAAAAATATTTAAGCCACAGTTTCGCAATTTTAAGATTGTACTACTGGTATCTGGAGTATCTGAATCTCTGGATCTTACTTGCCATTTCATTATGAAGCTGTACACTATTAGCTAGGATGGCCAACTGGAGAATTAACCTGAATGTGCCTATACTTTTCCTACCAATCTGGATGGTGACAAACCATACAGCTTGCACCTTAATAGAAACAGATATATGATCAGAATCAACCAAATAGCGATCATGCTTTCACCTCATTACACAACTCAGCTCTTGACAAATTAAGAAAACCTAGCCACTTGGGAAAGTGAGGCTGGCAATGTGAATCTAGGTATGGCTTTCTTTGTATATCTCTGACTTTTTGGTAACTTCTCTTCCCTGTCAGCAGACCCCAATCAGTGCCTCATTACCTTGACCGAATCTTCTTCCCTGCTGTGACCCCTCTGAAAATTATCTGTCTACGTTGCATCCCTTCAAGAATTTGGGTACCATCCAGTTAACTTATAAATGTCAAAATCAGAAAAGAGCTTGAGAGCTGTTCACGTACGTGTCCATTCAAACATTCCACAAACATTAGTGATATTTTATGGCAAGGCAGATCTAATCATGGTAATTGGGCTGGCATTTTTTTCAACTCTTCAACAGAGCTGACAATGTGCAGCTATACAAGAGCCTTGAAGATACAAAAATCTTAACTATCTCCCTGCTGTTATCTTTAATTCTTTCTGGGAATACCTTCTAAGCACCTTGATTTTCCTCCCCCTTCATATTTGACCCGTCCCTGGAAGCTAAAATTCTGATAGCATTCATACCTAAAAATACATTATTATTTATTTAAATTATATATATGATTATGTAATTACATATCCAATGGGATAGTAAGGACAAATATAAGAATAAATGATTTTGAAGGGCATAATTTTTTTAAATGTCAAGTTTTACATTCTACTTATAATAATTTCTAAATTTATTTTGCCTGGTTATAAAAGCAAAATATGGGCCGGGTGCAGTGGCTCACCCCTGTAATCCTAGCACTTTGGGAGGCTGAGGCAGGCGGATCACGAGGTCAGGAGTTCGAGACCAGCCTGGCCAACATGGTGAAACCCTGTCTCTACTAAAAATACAAAAAATTAGCTGGGCGTGGTGGCAGGGGCCTATAATCCCAGCTACTCCGGAGGCTGAGGCAGGAGAATCACTTGAACCCAGGAGGCAGAGGTTGCAGTGAGCCAAGATTGCACCACTGAACTCCAGCCAGGGCGACAGTCTCAAAAAAAAAAGAGCAAAATATGTTCATTGAAAAATAGTTTATTCATTTTTCTGAAAGATTTAGGGTTTTTTATTGACTGATAAGAGCTCATTAGCTATTAAACAGATTAAGATTTTGTCTATCATATGTTAAATTTTTTTGCATGAATAGTTTATCTCTTTATTTCACCGCCTTTTAAAGTAATTTCTTAAAAATTATGTCATACTTAATCTGTCAGTTGTTTACTTTTAAATTTCTTCCTTTTTATGCTTGGAAAGGCCTTCCCTACTCAATATCAGATTAAATAGTTATGTGTATTTTTTTCTATTTGTTTTGCAGGAGTTTTTTTTTTTCACCCTTCTTACCAACTAACTGGCTATAAAAATATTAACAGCAAAAATCAGAAATGAAAAAATATTTATCCAGAACTTGACATATTTGAAAGGGAAGCCAATAATCACACAAGTGGAAAGCTATATAAAACACAGCTGAAGTTATCACAAAGTCAAGAAAAATGTTGTATTTCAGAAACTGGGGACAACAAGCACAATATCAAAAATGAAAAAGAGGAACTCAGGAGAAAATATACTATCAGTACTAGAATAAATATATCTGTATCTAGGTGATCATGGGTTAAGAGTAGCAAAAATTATCTATAAATCTTTTTTATAATAAACTAACGTTCATTTACCTCAACTCTATGAGGCTTACAGGGAAAAAAAAACTGTTCACAAGTTTTCATTTTAAGATAATTAAATTGAAAAAGAATACCTATTATGAGCCTGAAAGACAAGGAACTGGATATAATTAAGTACTGCAGGAAGCTATATAAACTTATCCTAGCGTTATAACAAACAATATGGCCATAATCACTAGAGCCTTCAACTCGGTATCTATACTCTTAGGATCCTTAAGCTCAGTTTTTAATAGAAAGTAATGCGCCCAACGGTGTTCATTTCTAAACTGTTTACAAATAAAAGCCAAAAATAATAAAAATGTTTAAACATGTAATAAAATGTAGCCATAAAATAATAATTATTAAATATAGATAACAATTGGGAACTATGACTTTTTAAAATGACATAAAATCATATGTATTCTATGACTACAACCATGTTGAAAATGAATATAAACAAGCCTGAAAAGAAACACAGAAATGCAAACAACATACATCACAATTTTGACAAGAAGGATAACACTTCTCTTTTAAGAAAAATGTCCTTAGTTATAATATTATTTGTGCAGCAAACATAGTTAATAAAAAGCTTTATAAAGGCTCAGATCAGTATTTCCTCTGGTGGATTCTGCAGGATGCCAGTTGTTATTCCAGCAAGGCCGAGCAGGAGAGGGCAGATTGGTAGAGAGATTTTGTGCCAAATTAATGTAGGATATATGGATATATGATATTTAAGTGTAGTTTAATTGTGTTTTGTTGTTTCCTCTTTGGGCTATTTGTTTGCCTGTTTAATGGCAGAAACTCTCAGACACTATTTTAGAAGAAAAAGCAAGTCGTTTCCCAAGTTTACCTATAAACAGAACCTGATCGATAAAGCATTCCTTAGGACTAGTATCCCACAATAGGTGCTCCTCTAGATCTCTGAATCCATTAGGAACATGTGCCATTATTAAGATCTCAATCAGTTTAGGGGCCACTTGTGTCTCTCATCATCTATAACACAATTACAAAATTGTATATTATTTAATATACTCTAGTTAGTTGATAAAATACAACCCATGGGAACTCAGTGTGTTTTTTTCTAAGTCTCAAGAATGTCTTAATATACTTTTAGATACTGTAAAATTGATATTTCCAAACATACCAAAACTTCTATAAACTACCATTCACTTCATGTTTTAAAACAGTTAATATATTGAAACTGAATAAGTTTACTGAATACCTGTATTTACTGACCATATGCTAAATTCTGTGATACACATTGTAAGGTATACTTAGATGAATAAAGCTTATCCCTGCTTTAAAGACATTCTCAGTCAAGAGTACAGGTTATGTAGCGGGTATGGAGCCTGGACAACAAATACAACAATAACTCTAAGAAAAGGTGTAACAAAAATGGGGAACAGATAAAGGGATATAGCAGTTAGGAGGAGAATGAGATGGAAGCATTTTAAGGGATCAGATACAAATTCATCAAGGAGCGAGACTGCATATTAGATGAACTTCAATGACATGTAGAAGGTCTCCTAGGTAGACAACAAAAAATGAGTCCAAGGTGCCCTGAAGAAGAGCCAGGGGTATGGGAGAGGAATATTTCAGACTTGTCAGGGAAGAGGGTTCCCTTAGAGGAGCATGATAATGTCTTTTTGGAATGGGAGCTATGAGCTTGAGTCTGGAACACAGGACCCGTGAGTTACGGTAGGCTAAGGCACTTACAGTTAATTAGGTAGCCAGAGAAACACACTGAATGCTTTTTCAGCAAGATTAGAACTTCAAAAATTAATCAGGTGCAGGTGCATCCAGATTAGGGGTTTTAGCATTGGAGAAATGACAACTCAGGAACACAGACAGAAAGACAGAGACAGAGACTGAGAGAGCAGATTAAATTCTGTGATGAGAGGACAGTACAGAATTAAGCAGCAGCTTGGCGGTTTTTGGATGTTCCAAAATATGTCATTCAAAAATACATCAGCGAGAAAAACAAAGAGATTAGAAAGTTCATTTGTCAATAATAGCCAATGATGGTGAAAGAAAAATCAATTAGTTAATCAGAAGAATGCATTCAGGAAGAAAATTTTTAAAGTATTAAAGCACATTCAATGAATCCACCTATACTCATCTTTAAATTGTAATTCAATCACAGTAGTACTATAGCAAAATAGCACAATTATAATATAAATTTGGAACATAGGCTAGAAGGAAATAAGACAAGTGAATACTCTCTTTTACCTCCTAAATTCACAGGGGTCAGAGTCGTCACAAAGCTTATTTAAGCATCCCATGAAGTCACTCCCCTAATGACTAGTACAGAATTACTTTCTAGGGACAGAGCCCATCCCTATAATTTTATTTTCTGAGACCCAGTGGGCTGAGAGAGCCACATTACTTTATCCATTAATCCTGACTGTTTTTAAAAAAAGTGGAACAGAAATTGGTCAGTTCAGCATCTTCAAGCATACCATAATATAATGGTAGAATTCTTGAGACTGGAGAAGTCATTTACCAAACCAGCGTCTGTAACAGAGTTCAGGAAAACTCTTTAGGCCTTCTCAATTAACATTATTCATATGGAGGATTTATTTTTAAAAATATTTACTAATGTCTGGGTACGGTGGCTCATGCCTGTAATCCCAGAACTTTGGGAGGCCAAGGCGGGCAGATCACGAGGTCAGGAGTTCGAGACCAGCCTGACCAACATGGTGAAACCCCGTCTCTGCTAAAAATACAAAAATTAGGTGGGCATTGTGGCACGCGCCTGTAATCCCAGCAACTCAGGAACCAGAGGCAGGAGAATCACTTGAACCTCGGAGACGGAGGTTGCAGTGAGCCGAGATCATGCCATTGCACTCCAGCCTGGGCAACAGAGTGAGACTCTGTCTCAAAAAAAAAAAAAAAATTTACTAACATAATTTTAGCCACTCATGTCATCTTTGTAAATCCAATAACACCTCTGTGTGTATCTTTTGTGTCAATGCTTACACACCTTGCCTCTTTTGGACCTTAAGCTAAAGTCCTTGGACACCCTGCTGTGTATTATTGCAGGCATAAAACAAGTGTGCAAGGAGACTGTTTCCGTTGCTATGGAAATATCATTTAATTTCCTAATTAGTAGGTATATAAATGCAAAACCATAGCATTTGATTATTTCTGAAGTTTGGCAACAAAGTCTATTGTTCATGTCTGAGAACAAAGTCTCTATGTTTTCAACACTGTTATTCAAAGTAAGAATTTAAAACTTAAACTGTCTGGCATTTTAATGCTTATAAATTGATTTGCTGCACATGAGAGAAATGAAAGAATAAACTAAGAAACCTATGTAAGTCATTTATTCTTACCCTCAAGCTATATATATATATATATATATATATATATATATATATATATGAGCGTATCTATTTACTAATAAATAAAAACTAGTGGTGGCATTTCCCTTACAAAAGAACTTCTTTAAATCATAACTTCCCTAGTGGTTATAATTACAAAGTGAGATTTTAGCAGTCCATCTATTATATAAAGCAAAGCATAACTGACATCTTCTTTTCTCCCCTCCATCAAATTTTATCTAATTTGGGCTTTGCAATAAAGTAAGAAAGAATATAAATTATTCAGATGAAGCACAAAGTTTTAAAAAGTGTTAAAATTCTAAGACCCATTTCTGTCTACCTACTCTAGGAAACTAATTCACCAATGAACTCACTATCCTGAGTGTTCTGTGCTCAAACTGCTCCACTTAAAACAAAGCACACTAAACTGAACCTTCTCTTTATGCTTCCCTCTCACTTCCCTTTCAGCATCCAAGTCTGCTAAATATCTTTGGAAACATACAACATCTAATTTCTGTTTCACACTGACTCTTCAATACTATCAGGTTTCTGAGGTGACCACTTGACTGAAGCTACTCTGGCAAAGATCAAGTGAGATCCACTTCTTACTCAACAAATACAGTGGCCTCTAGCGGCCTCTCTATTCTTTAACCTCTCTGATCTATGCAACAACATTTTATGATCTCCTTTCCTGCCTGGAAACAATGGAAACTTGGAAACTCTTCCTTCACAACTTAAAAGGAGTTAAGGAAAAAAAAAATCAACCAGTGAGGCACCTGCCTTCCCCTTCTCCACTCTTCACTATTCAGATTGTGCAGTGTGAAAACTAGAAATGGTTTCTCAGTAAAGAGATATGTTTCCTTTTTATCGATAAACTATTTCTGCTAGTTGTATGGACAGTAACAGTAAAATATCTTTGTTTTGCTGGAGAAGTGAGGCATCCTGTTAACAAGAAATGCTGCTTTTTTTTGTTTTACTGAAAACATATTTTGCACAAACCACTAAACCCACAAGAGTTACAGTTTAGCTTAGCAAGCTTCATTTGTAAAATGTTACCCACGCCAATAATTGATTCGTGTAGTAAAATAAAGAATGCAGCTGGAAGGAAAATTCTGCTGGCTTAAATATCAGAAATCAGGATGAAGAGAAAACAAAGCTAACCTCCCACCACAGAAAGCCTTCAGAGCAGACCACAAAGTGGACATGGGGTCATTGTTTAGCTGCTGATCTGACCAGTTTCCACAGTCTCTTCTCATCACCAGCAGAGCTCCAGTGGCTCCTGAGACCAGGCTGCACAACTGCTACACTTTTAGAGCTACCCAGGAGCTACAATCCTAGTCCACCAAGGAATGTCCCGGTTCAGCCTTTATCATCTGCTTGAGTCATTTCTTACCCTTCCTTTCTCTTGTTGACGTCATAACCCAGAGACCTCATGGCTGGAAGCAGTAAACAGATGCAAGATTTGATCTTACAACTGCCTCTCTTTGCTTGTGTATGCTTTGGCTAAAAATCCAAACCAAAAGCTAAAAGTAGGAGTAACATATTTCTTTTCCAAGTGTGTTTTCTTTTTCATTTTGCTGACTTTCTTGACTTCAGAGGTAAATACCCTCATACGATTCCTCTCTTTCTTTCCCATTAAATGTGTCTCATTATTTGTCACTTAAGCAGTGGTATTCCTGAGATGCAGATCCCATACTTAAAATGCTTTATGCAACCTTAGGGCATTTCATCTACTTCCACAGCTATAACTGTCACCTCCTGTTTCACTCTAAAATTTCTAATTTGAATACCAACAGCTCAGAAGTCCAGATCTTATTCCTAAATGTCTATTGAAGACTTGCATCTGGATGTCCTGTAAGCTCTTCATATTTTACATCATCAACACCAAGCATCAGCTAACTCCTGAATTATGTTTCGCACAAGAAGACATGTGATAACGTTCACGGTTAGCCTTGTCTTTGCCTTTGTCCTGAATCTCACATTCAGATGGTTCCTAAGTCTTCTTGCTTCTGTATAATCAGTCCTGTTGTCTCCTTCCCTACCACCTTCTCATGCCTCATCCCTCCTCTATGCACTCTGGCAACTGTATGATTTGTTGAGCCTTAAATTTACACTGACATTCCTACCTTCATGCTTTCCCCTCAACCTGGAATGCTATTTCCTAATTTATCTTTATAGGAAAGTTTTACATGTTCTTCAAGTTCCTGTTGAAATGTGAATCTTCTTGACCTTTGTCTAATTCTGTTTTACTTTAAACACTCCTTCATCACTGCTACCTATAACTTCCAATATACCTCTACTCCATGTCATATTCCTCAGTTTGTTTACGGGCCGCACTTTCCCGCTATATACCATTAGATGTCCTAAGGGTAGAAACCATGTCTTACTTATCTTGGTATCGTAAATAGACTACCTTACCTAAGAAAGGCAATTAAGAAATGTCTTTTCAGCTATATTGTGGCTAGATATAAACATAATTAAATGTCATTTTCAAAGTAAAGAAATATTCATTTTGTGATTATATGAACATAGTACAATTGTACTCTACAATGTGAATTGGCTTTAAGTTCAACTCTAGTGAAAAAATACATGATTTAATATTATGACAAGGAGTAATTTCTACATTCCAAATGGAAAAACAAATAAAACCACAAATAATTATTTGATTTGTTTGCCTTACATTATAGGCATAATTCATAAGCAATATTTACCATTTTAAAGTGTATAATTCAGTGGATGTTTTATAGTATATGCACAAACAGTATATGCAACCATCACCATTATCTAATTCCAGAATTTGCATCATCTCAAAACGAAAACTCTCAGTCTGGGCAATACAGCAAGACCTTTCTCTACAAAATAATAATAATAATAATAATCAGCCAAGCATGGTGGCATACCCCTATAATCCCAGCTACTGTGGAGACCAAAGGGAGAGGATCGTGTGTGTCTAGGAGTTCGAGCTGCAGTAAGCTATGGTTGCACCACTGCACTTAACCTGGGCAACACAGTGAGACCCTGTCTCCGTGTCTCCAAAAAAAAAAGAAAAGAAAAGAAAAAGAGAACGTGTACCCATTAGCGTTCATTCTTCATTCCTCCCTTCTCCCAAACCCTGACAACCACTAGTTTTTCTCTACATAGATTGGTGAATTCTGGACATTTTATATAAATTCAATCAAACAATATGTGATATTTTGTGTCTGGCTTTCTTTCACTTCACACAATGTCTTCAAGGATATCCACGTTTCACGTGTATCAGTACTTTTTCCTATTTATGGTGGAATATTATCCCATTGTATAAATATGCCTTATTTTGTGTGTCCATTCTTCAATTAATAGACATCAGATTTTTCAACTTTTTGGCTATCATAAATAATGCTGCTATGGATATAAATGTACAGAGTTTGGTGTGGACATATGTTTTTGCAGCTCCTTAATACACATCTAAGAATAGAATTGTTGGGTCATAAGGAAATTTTATATTTAACTTTTTGAGAAACTACCAAACTGTTTTCCAAATTAGCGGCATCATTTTATATTCCCCCTTAAATTTACAATGACATTTCTACCTTCATGTATAAGGATTCCAATTTCCCCATATTTCTCACCAACGTTTATTAAATTTTTTTTTTTTTGAGACAAAGTCTCAGATGGCGCCATCTCAGCTCACTGCAGCCTCCGCCTCCTGGGTTCAAGCTATTCTCCTGCCTCAGTCTCCTGAGTAGCTGAGATTACAGGTGCCAACCACCAGGCCTGGTTAATTTTTTTTTTTTTTTTTTTTTGTATTTTTAGTAGAGAAGGGTCTCACCATGTTGGCCAGGATGGTCTCGATCTCCTGACCTTGTGATCCACCGCCTTGGCCTCCCAAAGTGCTGGAATTACAGGTGTGAGGCACCGCGCCTGGCCTAATATTCTTTTATTAGAACTCGTCTAGCAGGTGTGATCTCGTATTTCATTGCGGTTTTGATGTGCATTCACTTGATGATGCTGAGCATCTCTTCGTGTGCTTATTTGCCATTTGTATATCTTCTTTGGAGAAATGTCTATTCTAGTCCTTTGTCCATTTTTAAATTTAGGTATTCTTTTTACTATTAAGCTGTAATCATTCTTTATATGGTTCTTTATAAATTTGGAAGAATAGATTCTTACTGATATGATTTGTAAATATGTTCTCCCATTCTGTGGGTTGTCTTTTCACTTTCCTGATGCTGTCCTTTGATGCATAAAAGTTTTTAATTTTGATAAAGTCAAATTTACATTATTTTTCTTCTATTGCTTGAGCTTTGGGTGTCATATCTAAAAATCTACTGCCTAATACAAGAAACCAATGCCTAATCCAAGGTCACTAAGATTTACACCTATGTTTTCTTCCAAGAGTTTCATAGTTAGCTCTCATATTTAGGTCTATAATGCATATTGAAGTCTATCATTAATTTTTGTATATGGGAGGAGAAAGCGGTCCAAATTCATCTTTTCCATGTAAATGTTTATTCAGTTGTCTCAGCACCATTTGTTTAAATAACTATTCTTTCCCCCATTAAATTGTCTTGTCACCCTTGTTGAAAAATCAATTAACCATAAATATATGGGTTTATTTCGGAATGCTCAATTCTATTCCAGTAAAATAAATGCCTATGCTGATGTCAATACCATTTAGTCTCGATTATTATACTTTTGCGGTTAGTTTTGAAATTAAGAAGTGTGTCTTCCAACTTTGTTCACCTTTTTTAAGATTGTTTCAGACTATTCTTATTTTACAAATGAATTTTAGAATGAGCATAGCAATTTCTGCAAAAAAAAAAGGAAGCTAGGATTTTCACAGCAATAGCATTGAATCTCTAAATCAATTTGCCTTATTAACAATACTAAGTCTTCCCATTTGTGAACATACATATATTTCCATTTTTTAGGTCTTCTTCAAATTCTTTTCATGATATTTTGTAGCCTCTAGTATCTTCACTAAGTATTTGCATTTTCTTGAGTAAAACGCAAACAGTAACAGTATAGATTGTTTTATAATTACAATAAAGTATAAAAATAAAAACTATTTAAAGTTAGCATTTTACCAGTTGAAACATTTTATAATGCCACTTATAATTTTGATAAAAAATATTTTAAATTCATACTCAAAAAGGAGTATTTATTTCATATGGTATTAACTTGCCTTGGTTAAGAACAGCTCTGCAACTGTAAGATAAAATGAGCAACAATAAAACGTATACACCTGGATTTAAGAAGTCAGCTATTCATAAACAGCAAACAAAAAAATTATTTCCAAAGGCAACCAGTCATCAAGAAAATTTCATCATATAGACAGAAGCATTTCAAATTATTCAAGCAAACTAGAACAGAAAATAGCTATATGTTGTTAACTGAGAGTTTTATTGAAACTTATCATATTAGTATTACTTTAACTCATCCTTATGGTATAATTCTTTAAGAAAAGGCAGTTAACCAAATTTTTAAACTAGATTCAGTGATTCAGCACTAATAAAAGTCTCTTGCCATTCCATGAACCACGACTTACCACTTGTTACTAATTTCACATACACAGTCAATATTCTACAAAGCAAAATGCCTGTTTTCAACAGTAAAAATTATATCATCTATTTAAGCTAACTTATTAGGTTGGTACAAAAGTAATTGTGGTTTTTGCCATTACTTTTAATAATGTAATGTAATGTAATAATGTAATGTAAAAGCAATCTTGCCATTACCTTTAATGGAGAAAACAGCAATTACTTTTGCACCAACCTAATAGAATGGCTCACAGGGTTTTAAGATGATGGGTTCATTAATGATAAATCAATACTGATATGTATGCAGAAAGACTAGACCAGATGAACAATTACAATTCAAGGCAATTAGCCCATTTTCTCAATTTGTATAATCAGTGAAAGATTTTCATTCAAAATAACCATTTTCGTGATTTGAAAAATCATGAAAATACTACCCATGTTAAGCTTCCTCTCAGGTTTGAATAAGAAGATCTTACTGCCAAAAAATAAAATTCTATGTGGGTACGAACTGGAGACTGTAAAATCTTCTTAGTGCTGCTGTACTGGCTATTGTATCAATACTGACACATTTCTAACAAACAATGATGGATGTGGAATGAAGGTCTCGTATTAGCACAACAGCTTCAAAATGCAAATGATGACAAAATATTTAAAAAATTAGATATCCAAACAATAAAGTCACTTGGATAAATAAAAAAAGTTTACTATCACAGGCATTAGCATAATCAAACATGTTGTCACCACCATTAGATCATTATTCACTCAACTCTATCCAAGATATAGAAAAGACATGGCCCGTGCCTTTGAATAGCATACAAAAAAAAAAAGCACCATGGAATACTGAGAAACATCTATAAAAGTGCCAAGTAAATTTCTGGAAGTGAACATATGAAATTCATGTACACACTATGCTTACTCCAAATGGAAAGATTCACAAATATACTGATATTGGTATAAATATACTTACGTTACTATGGAAAAGACAGATATTGAGAATAATTTTAAAAGCAAAATAGGTGTGTCTGGAGTACAGTATAGACAGTGTATTTCCAATCTGAACAGTGTCTCATTCACACTAAATCTAAGATAGAAGACAAAAAATTATTTAAAATTAGAAGACACTGAAATAAAAAGTATATGTTATCATTTTCATGTAAATAAGGCTTGTAAGTGGGGTGTGTGTGTGTGTATGTGTGTGTGTGTTTGTGTGTATTTAAACTATGAACTCTTAACATATAAAAGAGGTAATACAAATTGCTAAGAAAAACACAAGGGCACGTTTTTTTGGACCAATAAGGTATTTCAACAAAGTGACAGGAGACAAAACCAAATATAAAAATCAAAAAGAATAATTTCTACATCAGCAATAACCTATTAGGAAATATTAAAGAATAAAATCCCTTTCCCAACGGTAATAAAAACTCATACAAGATAGCAATAACACAAAATGAGAAATATTTCCTTCTATAAAGAAGGCTATTTATGTTACTGAAGGACACAAAAAAGACTTGAATAAAGAGACCTGCCAATGGAAAGATTATGAATTGAGAGTTGTCACTTCTCCCTCAAAATTATCTTAAATTAAATATAATACTAACTAAAATACAGTGTTGTTTTCAAATTGATAACCTGATTATCATATTCTTCTGAAAATAAAGATGTAAAAATAGAGATGAAACTTTGGGGAAAGAAACCATCACCTACTAGAAATCATAATAGTAGTTTTAATAGTATATCATTAATTCAGGAATAACAACAAATTACTTATACCCAGAGAATATAATTCAGTCCTTAAATTAAAATAACTAAGTCATGCAAAAAAACTTGGAAAACATGAACACACTCATCACAGCAAAGGCAAGACATTAGGCCATTAGACAGAAAGCAAATGAAAAGATAACCTCTAGAAATCTGGGAAACAAATTTATCTAAAAAAGAGGTATTCTTCTTACCTATTCATTGGTAAACTTTTACAAGTTTAAAATTATCACGTATTGGCAAAAGGGTAAAGAAATATGCACTTTCATATTGTTGGTGGAAGGTACTAACAATTGGAAGAGCAATTTGGCACTATTACAATTTAAAATTCACAGACCTTATGACTCAACAACTGCATTTATGAGTTTACCTTTAAAAAATACATTAGTACATGTAGACAATAAACCTGTATAAGGATGTTCATCTTAGCATTGTTTGAAATAGCATAATAGCACAAACAAACTGAATGTACATGGAAATAAGGATTAAATAAACCATGGTACAACCACACTATCAAGTAATAGGCAAGAGTTAAAAAAAACAATGGTGTATATGTTTTTGAGCCAGTGTGGAGATATCTTTAAACTATATGTAAAATGAAAATAAAGTATAGAACATCATGTTACCATTTAAGAAAAAAATATATATGTATATACACAGCTACACAAACCTTCACCTCTATTTCTTTGAAGCAGTCTCCTGGGGCCCCCAAAATCAATCTTCTGCCCATGCCACAGCCCATATTGAAGGCAGATCAACCCAGACATTTTATCTCTGTAGACAGCCAAAAATTGAATACTTAAATTCCAAAAAAATGCAATGTTACACAAAAACTAATGTAGAGGAAGAATTTTTATTATGGCAGGAAACGCTTAGATATATTTAGTTAAAAATAATATACAAATTTATATATACCTATGATCTCAGCTGTACTTGAAAACACCCTCACTATATAACTCAGATATACTCACGGGGGGAAAGAAATTCACCAAATGTTCACTGAATAGTTGGACTGCAGTGATTTTTATTTTCCAGACTCTTTTTCTTGTTATTTTCTAGATGTTCTACAATGGGCATTTATTACTGTAAGTGCAAAAGACAAAACATGTTCTTTTTGAAACAATGTATCTTCTGTTATTGGATTCTTGAGATACCTCTGTATAGATAATGCCAAAATATTTCTCTACTCCCAGCCTCTCCCCTTCACTCTAGTCTCACTTTTCAGCTACCTACCGAGTAGTTATCAGTGTCCCAGCTTTAGTTCTCCTGAATGTGATTTCTCCACCTCTCCCACTGCTGTGCTCATTGATCTCATCTCCCTGGCAGGCCAGCCCTGTCCCAGTTCCCAGACCAAGACAGGACTGAATCTGAAAGTACTAATACAAGGTCACCCCCTCCTCCATACTCTTATTCCCATCCATTGCTGAAGCAAAGTTGCTGATTCTGTGTCAGCCTGGATTTTTGCCCCACGCCACTGTGGCATCAGTACCACACTGCAGGACACACTCGATCATTCTGTCTGGTATTAAACTGTTCAGGTATTCATCTTATAGCCCCTACTAGATTGTCAACTTATGAGACAAGGCACTGTGTCTTACTCACGTATGGCTCCAGGACCGTGCCCCTCAAAACAGTGGTTTCGATAACTTGTAGGAAAGCATTTGTAAATGGCTGTTACATATGACCAGAAATCTGAGGATCTGTTTGAAGATGGAGCGAGTTCAGAGACTTAGTTGAATCAACAAGCATTTATGAAGGAATTACTGTGGGCCCAGCAATGACACAGGAGAATACTAGAAAAATGGAAGGTGCGGCTCCTATCCTTAAGACAGAATCTAGAGTGGTTGAGAACACCTTAGGAAAAAAAGTAGAAAATAATTACTGTTTTGGCTTCTGCCTTAACAAGCAAAACATGAAAATCTTCTTGCCTGAGGTCCTGATTTCACAGATGGGCAAACTGCAATCGAATTTGCCTGCCTGGATTCCAGACTACTGCCAGCACTGACTTTTGCTTCCTGTCCCAACTCCATGGGCCCCAATGTGCTTGGCTTTGCTTGTCACTATTTGTATGCTTGCCCACTTTAAATTGTTCCCTTGGGTCCAGATTCCCTGCCCCTCCAGTTCATGCTGTGGGCTAGAATCTAAATTTTCTCCTTCTTGTGCCACGTTGCCCTCTGTCACCTGTTTCTGCATACACTCTCCCACAATAAAAAGTTGTGACCACAATCTCAGCTTTTTGCTTCAACCTCTTGCCAAAACCTGAGAACAAGGCAGGCCTCTATATCAAATTGTAACAAACACTGCTGCTTACTTACCCAACAATCATTTACCTCTTCCTCATTAAAAGAATTGCTACTCTGTTCATCAGTCCCCTAACCTCCTCCACCCAGTGAAGGCTAATCCCATACATAGTCCCAGCCAGTAAATCCTGATTTAGTCTAAGCGCCTATCATTCATGGTATTCCCATTCCCCTTGCCATTGACTAGACTGGGAATGTCCATGTGATTCAGTGCTGGCCAGTGACATAAGAGAGAAGTCTGCAGGAGGGCTTTTGGCAAAAACCTCCTCATTCTGCAGGAAGAGACGCTGCTGCTGCATGACGGTGTGCTAGGAACTAAAGAAGTGATCATAGCACCGGCTGAGGAAGCAGTCAACATGCAGACTGAGCACAGACAAGAGAAATGTAGAAAGCAGAAATTAAGCCCATGTCTCCCATCCTCTGCATTTCTTGTCATTTTAGAAATCTTTTCCAATGTATTCCCCTTCCTCTGCTGCCAGGTAACATATATTAAATAGCGCACCTTAAAATTTATATATATATATATATATATATATATATATATATATATATATATATATATATATATATATCAGCAGCTTTGTTTTCTATCTCAAAGGGGTAACTTTCAAATAGGAATTTGACAGGTATTTTGGTTGTTTTTAGTTTGAAGCTATTATGAGTATGCTGTTATTAATTTTCATGCAAAAGTCCTTGTACATATGTTTTCATTTCACCTGGGAGTGGAGTTTCTGGATCGTATGGTAAGAGTATTTTTAACATTAAGAGAAACTGCCAAACTGTTTCCCAAAGTATTACATTCCCACCAGCAATGTATGAGTATCACAGTTGCTTCACATCCTCTCCAAAACTTGGTATTGCCAGTCTTTACAACTTAGTCATTTTAGTGTTTGGATAGTGGTATCACACTGTGGTTTTAAATTTAATTATTTCGGTGAATTATAGAGTTATCATGTGCTCATTAGATATTTGTATATTTTCTTGTGTGAAATATCTCAGCACATATTTTGTTCATTTTTTAGATGGATTGCCTGTCTTCTTACTGAGTTGCAAGAGTTCTATACATAGTCTAGATAAAGTCCTTTGTCAAACATACAGAGAGAGACATGTAGTTCTAACAAACCTTTTGTCTTTTGAAGAGCAAAACTTCTTTCTTTAACTTTGATAAAGTCTAATGCATATTTTCTTTTAAATTTTATGATTAGTGCTTTTTGGGTCCTAAGGGATCTTTGCCTAATCCAACATCACAGATTATCTCCTATATTTTCTTCTAGAAGTTTATGTACTCAAAATCATAGATTGATCCCACAAACATTATGCTCAATGCAAAAAGGAATATAAAAATGAGCACATATTCTGTGATTCAACCTATATCAATTTCTAGAATAGGAAAAAAGAATCTATAGTGACAGAGAGCAGATCAGTCGGAAGAGAAGATTTTAGGGTAACAGATATATTCTGTATCTTGATCGCACTGCTGGTTACACAGGTGTGTTTGTCAATCCACAACAAAGTATTCACTTAAAATGGGTACACTTTATTGTATAAAACATATGCCCAAAATTTTACTAAAATAATTTTAATGGGAATTTGGAGCTGGATTGGTAGGAAGACTGGTGACCACCAGGTCCTCTGAAATAGAATTTAGGGGGATAAGCAAGGCTTTGCTATGCCTGAGGCAGAAATATTAACCTTAAAGCATATATAATTTCTTAAATAAACATTACTTCATTCTAAATGCATAAATGCCATATAGTCTTTCACAAACATTGGCATGGCCGAAACAAGCCAACCACACACTGGGAGAGTCCCTAAATAGTGGTAGCAACTGACTTGTACCTTCAATGTAGGAAGAAGTTTCAAAATGAAAGAGAGGGAAGGATGGAGAGATAAGAAAAGACAGGTTACTTAGTCCCTCACAGTTTGCCCAGAGACTGTGAAGCTAAATTTGCAATTTTATTGGGAAAGGGAAAGCATATGCCACTGAAGGTGAAGTTTTTTTTTCCTTATGCAGCAGAAGTTTATGTTTCAAAAGAAAAAACAAATGGAACACAATGAAAACAAATCATTTGCCTTGAAATTTTAAGAAAAAAACACATGTAGAATTATAGAATTTTATAGCTAGATATAAGTCTAAGTCACTCAAAAGGCAGATAAAATAAATAAGTGTTGGAGAGTTTGAGGCTTATTTAATCACATAACAAATTAATTAGCTGGTTGAAAACCTGGAGGGGAATCCAGTTGCCTTGGTTCAGTGTGCTTATAAAATTATAATCTCTAGCTCAATGAGAGCATTGAGCACAGAGCAGGTATTTTCAAAAAATACCTGTTGAATGAATTCATGCTAGGTAATATAATAAAAAAAATACATGAAAGGCATAAGTGCAGTAGAGAGATGAATTTAGACACAGATTTATTTTTCCCCAAGACTCTTTTTTTTTTTTTTTTTTTGAGACGGAGTCTTGTTCTGTCGCCCAAGCTGAAGTGCAGTGGCACCATCTCGGCTCACTGCAGCCTCCGCCTCCTGGGTTCAAGCGATTCTCCTGCCTCAGCCTCTCAAGTAACTGGGATTACAGTCGCCCGTCACCATGCCTGGCTAATTTTTGTATTTTTAGTAGAGACAGGGTTTCATCATGTTAGCCAGGCTGGTCTCAAACTCCTGGCCTCAGGTGATGTGCCTGCCTCAGCCTCCCAAAGTGCTGGGATTACAGGCATGAGACACTGCGCCTGGGCTTCCCCAGGAAATTTGAGTCTTGTATACACTTCTTTATGCCACTTCCACATATTAGAAAAAAAAAACATATTTTGTGAAATTACTCTGGCAATTATCAACGCCTGAAGAAACAGAATGAAGTGGTAAACTCTAAAAGACTGTAGGATACCCTTTCCCGGAAACAATTGAGTACAATTAGCTCTTTATAAAGTAGTTAAGGGACATTGCTACTTCCTCACTGAAAGATAGATTGATGATATTTAACAACTGCTTCAGGCCCTATGAATTTAAGATAAACTTGGAAGACTGAATTTTCACCAAATGCTTACAAATAAAACATGGGAACATCAGATCCTCTGGTGATTTCTGGAGTCCTTGTGGTTTCTGGGTGGGATGTGGAAGAACAACTGACATAGCTCCATCAAGAGTCCATGGTTTTAGTTCCAAAACATCAAGGGGCCATAAAAAAGATATTGGACCTACTGCAGATACATAATGAACAACATAAACTCAACTTGCAGAATATGAACATCTCAGAAGCTTTCTATTAATTTTCTATTATGGCTCTGTGGCCCTTGAGACCATATACAACTCAAGGACTTTTTTATCTCTAGCCCTCTGGCATGTCCACTCATTTAATGTAGAAACACTGTAGCAAGTTAGGATCTTATTTAATGTATCTCCATCTCAATACATCCCATAAATGTATTACCTGGCTTCCCCCAAAACTGCCTAGCAAACAAAATAGCCCGATGTCTACAAGTAGCAACATACTGAAAAATCAACATATGATTTATATTACTTTTTTATCCATGCTCTAGTTTTAAAAATTATTCATTGAAATTTACATATAAACTTACTTTAAAGCAACTAAAACATAGATTATAGTAGACATCGCAGCAAAAATTTAGAAAACCCCTAATTGAACAGATAGTTATACATCCTTCAGCTCAAAAGAGAAAACACAATTAATTCATTCTGTCTCATCCTTACTCCACCTCCCTGTTTGGTCACCACCCTCACGTATGGGGAACATACCTGCTTTTTCACTCCTGTTAATGCAAGTTTTCCTAATACCTGAAATGTAATAGTCTAATAGTTGTGTACGCAGATAAGGCCTATTAATAAAAGGAAAAATAAAATAGTGTTCAATAGTAAAGCCCTAGAAAATTAAGGTGTCTGAAGTTAGACTATCACTATGTTTTGTAAAATGTGTTATGAGTAATAATTTCAAAGAGGTATATAATGCAAATTTATGGCTGAGTTAGAATTCAGCTCTGAGGTAAAAATTCACTTATAAGGAAAATAAAAATGTCAAAAATCTCTGGTAGTATAATATAAAGCTGACTAGCAGCAATACATCTGAAAATGTATGATTTAGATTTGCTGAATTTTTAAAACATCAATTAAGAAAGATCTCAACATAAAAAATAAAACTACTACAGTCTATGGTCTGTTAGTTTTTAGAAGTATATTTACATTAGTTTTTAGAAATATATTTGTGTTTATGACTAATATATCTTAAGATAATATTCAGGAGGACAATTTTGTATATTATTTGAACTACAAAACAGAAATATATGAGAAACATTTTACTATTTGGGAGAAAACAATGGAATTGTGTCTATTAAAATGGGTTAAACATGAGCATGATAAATACTGATACTTCAAACTTGTGGGTAAAATTTTCTGGAAATCCATTTTTGAATAAAAGAATTCAATTCATATCACTTATGCTGTTGGATAAAGATTTTATGGATAAATTTTTCAAAATAGTTTATGAACCTCAACTAAAAACAAAGGTATGCCAACAGATGTAGCCAGTGAGCATCTGTCTCTCCACACAGAGAGTATACTTAACCTGCTCCATGCAAATTCCTTCCTAGACTCTCTATCCTCATCACACATTAGTCTCACAGCCACAAAACTGAAAGAGCACCATCCATTTAGAATTTATTAATAATCTCGGACACCAATGAAAAGGGGCTTTTGTAATTAGGAAAAGTAAATAAGCCCCTGGAAATACAATTACCCTAACAAGTACTGGCTTCACATAGGTCAAAATACAATAATTTTAGTTATTATACAACGAGATATAGTCCTGGAATATTCATGGGATAAGGAAAAATGAGGGAGAGTTCTAGTAACCATAATATTAAATCTTTATTGTTCAGCAAAGGTCAAGTTTTCCCTCTGCCTTGAAGTTAAAAGAAAAGACCTAAGAATATTCTGGGTCCTCACTATGACACCGATCATGGATTCCATGTCTCAGGATGGGGCTTTAGGTGAGATAAAGAACTGAAACTACCTCCATGGGTAGCTGAACCTTCTATGTAATGAAATGGATCCCACACTAGAAGTTGTCTTAACCCAGTGATAGTATAATTACTCTGACTGTATGTACTCTACCTTTCAATACATTCACCTGTATGCCAAATCTTCCAGTAAATAGTCTCTCTAATGTTCTTCAAACACACCATGCCTTTTCCTCCCTCTCTGCTTTTGTTCCAGCCCACCCTGCATGAAATCATTCCCAGGAGTCTCTGTCCAAGCTCCAGTGCTACTACCAAATATAATATTTTCCCAGCTACACAGACACCCGTCTTCTTCCCAATTCCTCTAGTACTTACTTGCGCTTCTGTCTTTCTAGTACATAATCATATATGGTCTTGGAATGTGTTTAAGTGATTTCTCCTAATTATAATAATGTTTACTTAATACATGTTTTGTTTGTACCAAGTACTGAGCTAAACACATTTAACCTTTAAAGCAAGCCCATGAATCAGAGTCCCTTACAATTTTCATTTTATAGATGAAAAAACAGATTTAAATTGTACACAAGGACATGATCCTCCTAAGAACTAGAGCCTGTACTCACATCTAAAGCTGTCTCCAAAGATCTTGTTACTTGCCACTGTGAAATAGGACCTCATGCAAATGCCTGTTCTCCTCAACTAGACTGTAAGCTGAGGTCAAAGAGAGTGTCTTTTACTTCTTTCTACTTTCTTGGAATGCCTCACACCACTCAGCCTAGGGTTAGGCAGGTGTTAAGAGCTCTGAGGGAGGGAGACACAGAGAATATATCCGGAATACATTTTACAGGGGTCCATAAGATCTTCTATTGGCTCTTTATTGTATCAAGTATTTTTAAAGGTCCAGTCAACTAAAGACAGAAGCCTCTAGAAATGAAATTCTTCAGAGGAAGTCAGTCTTTATCTGCAAACTGGATTATAGTCAAGGAGGCAAGCTGCTTTTCAAAGACACTAGTTGCTCTTCTAAAATGCACATTTTATTAATTGTACTCATCTCTCTTAAAATTTTGCTGTAAAAAAATGTTACTTTGTTTGCTAGTTCTTTAATAACTTGGTATGTTTTGTTTCCACTCAGTGGACTAATGTTTACAAAGGAGGCAAGTGAAAAGTACCTGTGTTTCTATACTAAGCACAGTATCAAAAACTGGGGCATACACCCACACCACTCTGCAGAAAAACTGCAACAAAGAAAGAGCAAAGCCCATAGAGGGGCTGCCACCTCCCCACATTCACAACTCTGAAGCCCCACAAAGAACAGCAGACATACTGGCAGGGGAAAAGTCTTTTGAAAGAAATTTGGACAAAACTAACTTATTATGCTCATGTATAATTAACATGACAGTCTTTCACTTGTTTCACGGTATTCTAGGGAAAGGAACACCAACAAGGAAAACACTCCTATCTACAAGTTCACTATTAAGTAATGCAAGCATTCCAATACACACAGGGTTGACTGCAATCTGCATCAGGATGTTGGTAACACTGGTAATTCAACCAAGCTTTAGTTACATGGCTGAAGAGTCAGCCAAGCCATTAATGGAATTGCATTCCTACCATGGGGAGTTGAAGGAGTCCATCACTCCTAATATTACACACTTCCCCAGCACTGACTCAGGTGATTAACTATCAGCTCTTCATCAAATCAGCACTCAATCACTTAGGAAGGCAATTCTCTTCATCTCAACTCCTGCTTTACACTCCCATAAAATGCAAAACTGCATATTGCACTACTGTCATATAATAATTTAAATGAAAAGAAAAAAATCAATAATGTGTTCCACAGCATAGTGTCTTACTGGCAACTTCAAAGAATCCACCATTAATTTTGGTCCCTCACACATACTCCTTAAACACAAAACACAGCTATTCTAAAGATATTAAGGTTTTTTGGTCTGTTGTTTTAGGAGAATATAAATAGAACAAAATATAGGCTTCAAAATATCCATTTTTGATTTATACTTACACTGTTGGACCCTTCTGAGATGATAAATATGCTAAACATTCTGAGGCATGGCTGTCCCGCCATGTAAAAATAAACTTTACAGCAGCAATGCTAACAGAAAGAATTGTCAAATTGCCAATAACATGTATAATGTAAGGGGTTAGAATGCAAGCTGAAGAGAGCAAGGTAAATTATAGCATTCTGTGAAAATAAGTGATGTAAAACCAACAGCAATTTTAAATTATTAACAATGGTTCCGAAGCTAATTCAACTTTTCCATTGGTGTAAGCCACAAACAGAATCACACAGCATGTTTCTCTTTAAACATCTTCAGGGGTCCTACGAGGTGGGTGAAAATGGGTAAGGGTGTCTGTTAAAGGCTCTAATGCAGCTAATGCCATCTAAATGGTATATTTACAAGCCTGTGGAGTATAACCTCATTTCTCCAAAACTGTCTAACCATTATCCTACTTGAGAAGTTAACCCATGATGAACAAAAGTACCTCTCTTCCACCCTTCTGCTCCCTATTTTCCCAAACCTTTCTATCTTGGTATTTTGTATGCTGAGCAAAACATTCCATAAATAATGCTGTGGTGCACAGGCATTAAAGTTTAGAGAGTTTCTGCCTTTGAAGTAGGTAGTGACAGGACCAAGGACACACGGGTTCAATTCCAAGCCAAATATGAGGCGGGTGGTTTGAAAATGTCAAACCAAAGAGGCCTAGGGGAAAAGAACACAAGCTTCCACTGCCACCTCCCTTCCTCTCCCCTCCCCTTTTTCTCTCTTGTTCCTTTCCTCTCTTCTCCTTTTTCGTTGTGGTTTCTCACGGAGACAATCAAAGCAGGGAAGGCTGGATTTTAAATTGGTGAGACACACACTGGAAATATGTAATTCCCAGAAGAAAAAAAGAAACTGCTGAAGAGGGGTATGGGGGCTGTTGGCAGCATGTCCAAGTGACAACCCTCCCCACCCCCACCCTAATATAGCACAAATCCACAGATTCTTCTTCGATCCTCTTCTCCCTCCAGTTCCCAGTACTCTACCCAACTTGACCCTTCATCCTAAAAATTTAGGAATCTGCAGGGCACCCGCTGTTTAAGAGTGTGTCTCTCAGTATATGCACCCAATTTTCTGGAACCCCTGAATCCGGACAGTTGTAGCAGGCAAGGGATGCTCCCACCCTCCCACCGGGGAAGAGGTAAGAAAGGGGGGAAGAAGAGATGGAGACAAGAGGAAAGGGATGCAGAGCTGTGCTCTAGGGCGAGTGGCTGCAAGGAAGACGGGGAAGAAAGAAAGGGTGGGAAGGAAGTGGGGCTGGGAGAGAGGAAGAAAGGGATGAAAGAAAGGCTGGAAGGGAGAAAGGAGGGGAGAGGAGAGAGGGATGTTGGGAAGGATGAGGGAGGGAGGGTTGGGGAGCGGGGAGGGGGGAGGATGGAGAGGATGGGAGGGAGGTGGGGAGGGAGGGAGGCAGGCAGGGATGGAGGATGCTCTGCCCGGGACTCACCTCTGTGGGTCGGTGGGAGTTTCTCGCCTCCTCCTCTTTCTCGCCCGTTCCCAGCAGCTGGAGTGGTAATCACAGAAGGGACTGGAGAGGCGGCGGCAGGGACAAGGGCAGCAGCTGCTGCAGCCGCCTCTGGCCGAGGTGCGGTGCCGCCTGCTCTGCCCGCCCGCCTGGGTCTCCGCCTCACTCGGGGCTGGAAGCGAAGCCGCTCCCCCCTCCCCCCGCCCGCCCCGCGTCCTGCCCAAGCGCGAGCGGCAGCGGCCCGGATCGCCGCTAGGGGAGGCAGCCAGTGCGCATGCGCGGCCGCTTGCTCGCTCGCGCGCCCCCGCGGTCCCCGTGGCTCCGCGGCGCCTGGAAAGGCACCGGGCATCGAGGGGTGGCTGGGTGGGGGGCCGCGGGCGCGCGCGGCCTGGGGAGCGCCCGAAAGGGCGGGGCGGGGTAGGGCGGAGCTCTGGAGGCGCGGCAGGCTCGGCGCCGCAGGTGGGGGGAGGGGACGGCGGCGAAGGGGCACCGCCGTAGGGCGCAGGTGCCGTGTCCATGACAACCGCGTTACCCTGCGGGCGGGGACCCGGAGCTGAATCGCCGGAGTCGCGAGGCCCGGGGAGAGGGACCGGGTGCGGGAGCGGGCAGGATAGGGGCGGGGGGGATAGGGGTGTCGCAGAGTAGGAAAGGAGGGCCAGCCCAGCAGGGGTCCGACACGTGGCAGGAGGAGGGCAGGGCCAGAGTGCTGCAAAGGTAGTGACTGCCGCGGAAGGGAGGTTTGTTGGGATGTGGAGTCCCGAGGGGAGAGGAAGGGAGATTTGGACTTTAAAAGAACCTAGAAGAGGATGGAATTGTTAAAACAACTGGAATATTTGCTCATTTAACAAGCCTTTGTTGAATATTTTCTCCGTGGAAGGCATTGTGATTCTTTTCTTGATTCAGTGGATATTACTTGGCTCCTAGTTTGTACCAGACACTGTACTTAGGCATTTTGAGATATCCAAAAATGTTCGTCCTCTGAGAGGTTATACTGTAGTTGGGGAACTTACATAGCTAGGGCAGGGAGTGTTTGCGCCGCCAGCCATCGGCAGCTGGGACTCGATGTTGCTGGAATGTAACTGTTACAGAGGTGCTAACAGTGAAAAAGGTACACAGCTACATCAGATGAGAAATATAAGTTACAGTCATCTTTGTTCTGCCACAGTGCCAAATGACAATTTTGTTTTGTTTTAAATCAAGAGAGAGAAACAAAAAGAAAATCTGTGGAAGTTTAGTATGACACAACCGACGCTAAGTTCACAACATGCTACCTGTTTGGTATCCTAGTCCACTAGCATCAGTGCGTGTGTTCATGCCGACACTTGGATGGCTTTATGTCACTTAGTGCATGCATTTTTTAAATTCTCCTTCATCAATGGCTATGCCATTGATATTTTTCCCTCCCCCCTTTTGCTTCCAAGTTCGCGTCTGCAATTGTTTGAAAATTACATAAAATCCTACTATTTTTAATTCTCTCTAGGGAATGACTGGAGAGGGATACCTCTGTCCATGCCTCTATCTTTCTCTCCCAATATCTTTTTGGCTTTCTTTTTTCTTGTCCCCACCACTTTACCAATTTAAAAATTCCTGGGAAAAAGTGAACAGGAGTCACCGGATATTGGCTTAAGAAGAATCTTAGCACGCAACCATGTTTCAGGACCACGGACAGTGACACCGCGTGCTCTTACCACCTAGCGTTTTTCTTAGACTGCCTATAGAAACAGGAGAAACACGCTAAAGGCACACGATGTGCTTCATGAAGTGCCGAGCGCCAAATGATTTGTGCCAAAAGGTATAAAGAGTGGAGAATGAAAAGTGCATACTATGGACTGGAGTAGGTAGGAAGGAGGTAGGCCTTCAGCTGAATTTTGAAGCATGAATAAGATTTAGAGAGGCATCACAAGTCCCTGATGTGGTAAGATGTGGTAAGCACCAGCGAGGTGCTTAAATAAAAAGGGATACTGCATACAGTGTCATTCCAGAGGCAGAAGACACCTATGAATTTGAATGGTCCAAGAATCTGGAAAGAGTAAAGTTGTCCTAGTCAAATGAGGTAGAGCATGCACGTAAGAATTGACTTTTTAAAAAAATGATTATTGTGATCTTTTTCATACTCTGGTCAGGCCTGAGGGAATAAACTAAAAACTACAGGCCAAAGAGTGACCAGACAAATTTATCTCTTTAAGTTCCAAGGATTCATGTATAGTTTTTTGTATTGTTGTAATTAGGCTTACATTTATAATTTTTGTTTTAATTGCAATTAAATAATGTAGACCACAAAAGAAAAATAATGTAAACCAAGTGCTGTCTAGTCAAAATGAGATTTGTCTTGTTTGTTGTTTTGTAGTGACTTTCAAAACTGTAGAATATTATCGAGAGACATTTAAAAGTCATTTCTAAAATATTTGTAAGCTTTTAGTTCATGCAATTGCTTTAAATTAGAGTTATTAAAAAACCAGCATAAAAGCCATCTTTGATTTCTCAGACCCTTGGTCTCCCTCAGTTCTTCAAAATACATCAAACTGTGGTCTGTCAATCAGACAGTGATAAGAAATTACTCAGGCAATGGGTTTCAGTCACCAGCAGGCAAATGGCAGCTGAGATTTTTGTTCCCTGCTGCCAAGGAATTTACTAACTCTTTTATGTTTTGAATAAAGGGGAACCCTCAACCCTGTCTACCCTATGGAAAATCCAAATTGAATGTTACTACAGCCATATTTATTTCCCTCTGATAACAGTCTAAATATGCTTGTATAAATAATGGCTATTATTAGATGCTAAAATGCTATCATGTTGTTTGTCCCCATTGTAAACTAAGGGGATTTTTTAAAACCCTTATTTCTTTTGTTTTGAGTCTGCTTGTGAATCTGATTGTTTTTGATTTTCTTGATTTAAGTGTTGTCCTTCATTTCAATGACATAAACATATACAGTCCTCAGAAAAACAAGCAATTTTCTTCTTTCCCTCACTCATATTAAAAATTTATGCCAACATAAATATCAAACAAAAGGATCATTGTTAAAGGTATGGCATTGTGTTCAAATGCAGAAGATCCTGTATGTAATTATAATACAATTTAATGTGCAATCAAATGACATCTAGATTTTTAGGATACTCCAAGCCAATATTGGCATCTTAAGTAAAATTTTCTGTATTGCTTATTCATTTAAATGTCAGGTCTCTACACACTAGGACCCTAATTCAGTCTGTCAGCTCCAGAAATTTCACTATCAAGCCCTCCTGAGCAATTTCATTGCTTTAATAGACTTTATTTTTTGGAGCAGTTTTAGGTTCACAGAAAAATTGAGTGAGAAGTACAAAGAGTTTTCATATACCTCCGGCCCCCACAAGGGCACGACTCCCTGTGATCAACCCCTGGACCACAGTAGCATGTTTGTTACAATTGGTGAACCTATATTGACACATCATCATCACCAAAGTCCATAGTTTACATCAGAGTTCACTCTTGGTTTTGTACATTTTGGGGGTTTTGAAAGAAGTATAACGACATGTATCCACCACTATGGTATCATACTAGTTTTACTCACTAAAAATACTCTGTGTTCTGTCTATTCTTCTCTTTCTTGCTCCTAACCCCTGGAAACCATTGGTGTTTTTCCTGTCTCCAAGTTTTGCCTTCTCCAGAATGTCATAGAGTTGGGGTCATGCAATATGTAGCCTTTTCAGATTGGCTTCTTTCACTTAGTAATATGCATGTAAGATTCCACCATGTATTTTCATGGCTTGACAGCTCTGTTTTTAGCACTGAATAATATTCAGTTGTCTCTATTTACCACAACTTATCCACTCACCTACAGAAGGTCATCTAGATTGCTTCCAAGTTTTGGCAATTATGAATAAAGATGCTATAGCAATTTCATCTTTTAAGGACCTCCTAAATATTTCAGACCCTGTCACTATATTTATTATGTATCAATTGAACCCCTGGATTTCTCCTCATATGGTCCAGCTTTTTCCTACAAATCTAGCTGCAGATTTCTTCTCTTGTCTGAGAAACAACCAATGAAACTTTCACTTTTGTCGTTTTATGTATTCCTTTTACTATTAAAAAATTAAAATAACTTGTTTTAAGTTTTTTGTTTTGTACCAGTAGTTTCTAACTCTAATTTTCATTTTTTCAAACATATTTATCATTTGTATCCCTAGGTAATTGTTTATATATATATATATATATATATATATATATATATATATATATATATATATATATATACTGCAATGGTGAATATATATATATGTTTTCAAGTAAACAGAATGAGTGTTTTGGGATCCATGTGTGTAATTGTTTTATCTTTTGCTTGTTGAAACATTTCAACCATAACCTTATATAGGTAGAATGTACCATATTCTAGTTTGTGACATTGGACAAGTTTTTTAATGTCTATGACACTCAGTTTTCCAGTCTGCAAAATGGAGGCAATTTTTATCTATCTTCATGACTTTCTTGTGAGAATTTTATGAAATAATACTTGACATGTTTTAGCACACTGTTGTCCATAAATAGAGCTGTATACTTGCTTTAATTAATACTTCTAATATCAATGAGTCAATTAATCAAGCAGTAAAATAATATTATTCCTCAGTGTCTTTTGACCAATTTGAATCTGTTTCTATCATCTTTTATTTCCAATTAATCTTTTTCTTTAAAAAGAAAGAATAAGCTTTAATATGTCTTCTCATAGTAATTGTATCTCTCTCATCTTCAGGTTCCCTAATAGATTTACTTTCCCTTTAGGAGAAAGCCGAGACTGCTGTCTGTTTAATACATTTTGAAATTGTGTCATTTTACTCTCAATTGTCACCCTGGAGCATGTTTTTCCTGTATCTGCTCTATGGAAGAATAGTTTCAGTCTTAATTCTTTCAAAAGCAAATGACTGAAGTCCAATTTAAGTTTTGAGCAAAAAGGAAATTTTGGCTCACATACCTGAGAAGTCTAAGGTGTGTATATATGAGGCTAAGCTAGTCCAGGGGATCATCAAAAATATTAATCATGGCAAGGGATATGATTATACTTGCTGGAGCCTTGTGTTCATATTTGTGTCACAGATGACTGTGACCAGAGGAATAGCACACTCTGGTTCATATGTTCACTCCTGTGACCTTATGCAGGAAGAGGAGAAATTCCTGAAAAGATGTTGAGGAAGGACATGGGAAAGTAAGTATACTGCACAAACAAAAATTACAGCTGCTCAGCCCATTCATCACTGTGAAGTTATTTGAAGAGTGATTTCCACAATAAATTGTATTGGCGTGTGCTGGGTGAAAAGCATTTAAAGGTTTTTCTTTAGTGAATACACAGAAAACAATAATGTGCATGAAGTTCATTTAAGAGAAATATGTGTAGCATTTCCCACACTTATATGAACAAGGAAGCCTCTCTCACAAAATATATCTCGTGGCTAGATTCAAAGGAACATGCTTTGGGAAACAGCTGACCTTAGTTTTCACCTTACTCTCCTGTTCTTTGACTCACAGCTTATTAATGAGCTTATTTCTGTTCTTCCTTGATTTAAAAAATGTCTGATCCTCTTCTTAGTCTGTTTTTTGCTTCTATAACAAACTGTCTGAGACTAGGTTATTTATAAAGAAAATAAATTTATTTGGCTCATGGTTCTGTAAGATGGGAAGTCCAAGATCGAAGGGTCACAGATGGTGAGAGCGTTCTTGCTGCATTATCTTATGGTGGAAAGGCAAGAGACAGCAACCGAGAGATCAGGAGAGGAAGGGGGCTGAATTCTCCTTTTATCAGGAACCCACTCCTTGATAATGGGTCCACTCACCACACCCTCAGTAATGGCATTAATCCATTCATGACCTAAACACCTCTAAAAGTTCCCACTTCTCAACACTGTTGCATTGTGGATTAAGTTTGCAACACATGAACATTAAGGGACACATTCAAACCGCAGTATCCTCACTGCCACTTTTATTCTTATCAGTGAATACATAATTTTAGAACTCAAAGAGACTTTCGTGATAGTTTTTTCCTATCCAGCCTCCTTATTTTTCAGATGGCAAAACTGAGACTCAATGTGTTTTTCTTTCCCATAATCACGAAACTAGTCAATTGCTGAATTAACCATATGGAGTAGGTTATGCTGAGGTAAGAAATAACACCCAGATTTCAGAGGGTTACATGATAGCTCTGTTTATACAAGATTCCCTTTCTGAGACCCAAGCTAACTGAATAGCCGCTATCTGGAATCTAATTCATGACTATTATACAGGGAAAGAAATAAATTAATTGGTCTGGCCCTGGAGTGACTCGTATATTAGGGCAAAACTAGTCACATAACTCCTGTGACCACAAGATGCTTTGAAGTACAAAACCACCATGTGCCTGGCAATCAAAATATTTCACAAACAGTCCTGAATACCATAGTGAAAACGATTTGGGACAGAATCTCCTGATATCCAGAATACAGAGGTATTTCCTCTACCACTTTGAATTACCAAATATGTTTTGATGATGTATAATAATGATAGATAATACTTACAGAATAGTTACTGGTGATATTAAGAGGTTTCTACACATTAGCTTTTCCAAAGATTACCAATATCAACCACATTTTTAAGATGAAAACACTCTGTGTTTCAAATTCCTCATCTTAAAGATGTTGATGTGAAGAGTACCTCTAATTTTGAGGTTCTGAGTATAATTATTGTACCATGTCATAGAGTTGGCAGGTGGTACAGGTGGGTTTATAGCCTATGCAGTCTGACTCCATGGTCCATACTGCTCTTCCCAGCACTCTGATACCTCCCTGCTGATGGAAGAGAAACAATTCCTTTGTATAAGTCAACTTAACTCAGCTTGGACGTGGTTGAAGAAATTCCTTTTTTTTTTTTTAACTTGTAACACATGCACCAATATACTTTGCAAAGGAGCTTTAGGGAGTTAGAAAAAAATATATGTTCCATCGAACAAAGTTTTAAACCACCTACCTCTACAGAGGTAATTTCAAAGACATAGAAATGTCCTTATTTACATACAAATGCACACATGCACACACACATTATTTTCCTGTAGTATTTCATTTGAAAAAGTGTTTGGCTGATTAAAAAATATAAATGCCACTGAACTAATAGATCTCCAATTCTACAAACACTATTGTTCCAGTGCCTGTTTACATTGTGTATTATTATGACATTCTTACTAAAGGCTCAAACCCAATCTTGTTAAACTCAACCTTATTCAAAAGCTCTGGCACATTGATTCATTCCTCCATTCAAGACAATTTTGACACTTGTGTATTGGGTGACAGCCACAATTCTCAATGTTGATTATTTAGGTAAAAGACACAGTTTGTACCATTAACAGTCTCATACTTTAATGAGACAAACTGACAACTCGAGATAAATGCAATATAATGTAATGAGAGTGCACAGAGCACACTATTTATGGATTATCCAATGTCTATTCCCATCTATTCCCACTCTAACAACTGTACACCTTTCCATAATGCAGCCCACATGCTTTAGCCTGAGGTTAATCTCACCTCTGGCTCCAGGAGCCGACCTTGTCTAACTGGACTTCCACAGGCATTGGTTGAGAAATTCAGGCCTTAGCTCATTGCCGTATTTCATTCTATGGTCACAGATTTTGATATAGAAATTGACATATTATGGAGTTTGGGAGCATGGAACAAAAACAGAAGTTTTTAATGGATTCTGAAAAATAACTAACTTCTAAAGAGAGCTAATAGAAGAAATGTCCACTTTTCTTTCAATCTTAATTGCATTTTAGTGTAGAGCAAGGAAATAAATCAGTCGTTTTATGACTGTATCAGTCCAAGCCCAGGAAGAAAAAGGTAAACAACTGTAGACAGTTCAAACACGTAGAATTTAAAATAAGGAACTGATTATGCAGGTGTTAGAAAAGTTGGGAGAGTGAAGAAGAAAAAATGAAAAAAACCAACGATTAGCAACGTTAGGAAACATCTACTGCTGCTAGGGTATGAACCACAAGAGAAGAGATGTCTTACCAGTGCTAAGGCTGTGCTGCTGGGAGTGCCATCAAGGAGGGCCCATCTGAGTCAGAGCTGGAACAATGGAGAGGGGGTACTGTTGCAGAACCCATGGTCCTTGAAGGAGTGCATCTAAATCCAGAGGTGCTACCAGAAAGAGAAAGAAAGATGTCACACTACAATAGCATCTCCTCTCTTCCTGCCTTCCTGTCTTCTCCCAGTGTCTCCTATGGATATAACTTAAGAAACCAGCTGGAAACAGAGCCTAGAAAATTTAATATCCAGATTCCCCAACCATAGAATTATGAACAAAATTAAAGAATGGTGGGAAAAGCGGCAAAGTAGTCAAATAATCAACACTTTCAACTCTTTGGCAACTCAGCCTCCATATACACCCTTTTCACTGTACTTAAATTTTAATACAACTAAAAAGACAATGACATGATGTTTCTCCTGATCAAGATGCATCCACTCTTTATATAATGAAAGATACCCTCACATTGTCCCCAAAAGTGGAATAGGCAAAATCTTATGACTTATATGCCACCTATGAGTTTTCATCCAAAGTCACAAGTCCATCCAGATACTCCGTCATTAAAGATTAAATTGTAGGTCGGGTGCGGTGGCTCACGGATGTAATCGCAGCACTTTGGGAGGCTGAGGCAGGCAGATTACCTGAGGTCAGGAGTGTGAGACCAGCCTGGTCAATATGGTGAAAGCCCGTCTCTACTAAAAATACAAAAATTAACCGTGTGTGGTAGCATGTGCCTGTAGTCCCAGCTACTTGGGAAGCTAAGGCAGAAGAATTGCTTGAAACCGGGAGGCGGAGGTTGCAGTGAGCTGAGATCACACCACTGCACTCCAGCCTGGGTGACAGAGCAAGATTCCGTCAAAACAAAACAAACAAACAAAAAAAGATTAAACTGTAAATTTAACCACTATCTTTACTCCTTATATTAAAAGAGATAAAGGAAAAAAAAACAGTAGTTCACATATTCACATATATAGTGGTATGCTTTAGTACTCACATTAGAATAACTTTCTTTATCTACCACCCATTCCATGATACTTTGCCCCCAGCCACAATCTCAGTTAATATCGTCCTCACTTGATGGGAATGAGCCAAATCTTCATTGCTGAAGGTCTGAGTCCTTAGTGGAGTAGCCTCTTTGGGTTGTCTAAGCTTCTAACAATTATTCCCATTGAACTTTAGAGCGCTTCAGGAAACCTCCTTCATTCCAGATATAATTCTCTCTGTCTCCACTATAGAGCAGCAACTCAACTTCTCCTTGGTAATCAGGATCAATCACTGAAAAATCATGGTAATTCCTTATTTTTCTGTTGGTTCAGTAGAATAAGGACCCAAAATGGCCGGGTAGTGGATCAACTTCCATTTCAATGAAAGAATTATATCCAACATTTGAAACATTTTTTATTATGAAAATAAGCCCTCACAACAAACACAGCCTACAATTGTGGGCATTGGGGGAAAATAGCTGTTCACTTCTCTTTCTTTAATGTATTAGGGTAAAACAATATCATATATGATGTCTAGTAAAAGCTGATACTACATAGTGTATGGAAACATCCTACATTTGTAAATTATTGTCTCTCAGCTGGCACAGTATCTAATATGTCAGTAGGGCATTTTATGTTTCTGTTAAGGCAGCTGCTTCTAAGCCAATAAGTATGTAGTAAGATCAGGGAATTGTGTGACACCATTGCTGCACTTCTTTTGCTTTGTAATAAGTTCTTTGGTCAGAAGCAATGTAGTACAGAACGTCTTGATGGTGAATATGACACGCCAAAGGCCTTCTGATGGTGGCTTCTGGCACCAGCTAAGGGACAATAATCTACATTTCGAGTGTTTCCATATACCACGTAGTATCAGTTCTTATTAGACATCATATATGATATTGTTTTACCCTAATACAGTAAATAAGAAGAGAAATTAACAACCATTTTCCCTTGTGCCTGCAACTATGAGCCCTGTTCTTTGTGAGGGCTTATTTTCATAATAAAAAAAATGTTGGTGCTAGAAGAGGCACTGGAAGCAGAAAAAGCAGATGAAATACCCAAAATAAATGGCAGAGCAATCACTCTGATACCAGGTGGTTGCCTGGTCTCCCCAAGGAATAGTGCCATATCGGGATATGAGCTGGACCTCTGCTGTTAAACTTGTGCCTGCACACAGCAAGGATGGTAGTCAAATCGCTTTGGTAAGAGAAGGTCTATATTGTTGAGCCCTTGCAGAATCTCTATACTTGCTTCTGTGGCCACTTTATACATGAGCCCATTGATCAAGCCCTAAAGAGTCTAGGAAATTGCAATCTAGATGACATCAACAGACCAGGTCATCATGTACACATTTTCTGTGGTAGTTAAGCATTTTCACTAAGCTTCTGTTATTTAGGAATTTCATGATTTCCACTAAAGCTAGGGAGCCTGTTTCAAAGTTGGTGTTTTCCAATATCATCCCCAGCCAACAAAAGACAGCCACCACAAAACTCATCTCCTTTAATTTTCCTATGGATAATTATAAAATTATATAAAAGAATAGAAATAGCATAATTATTCCACTATTACCCCAGCACTCAGCTTCAACGATTATCAGTTCATAAGCCATCTTCTTCCATCTGTATTCATATTCACCACCTCAATCACAGTTTTGAGGATTCTAGTACTTCTCTCACTAATGCATTTCTCAAAACCTGAATGAAGGGAGTGTTATGTGTGACAGGGAATGACCAAGTCGCAAATCACAAATGCAGTCTGTTATTTTTGTATCCCAAAGCTGTAGAATTTTTCTTCACTTTTATGCCAAGAAGTTGTACATTCTCAACATTATTAAATATAAGCCACATTAAAGTCTGATGTTGTGTCCACAGTTGAGCCATTCCTAGCTACTCAAGATAGCACATGGCAAAAAGAATCTCTGTAAATCTTTCTTTCTTCCAAAATCTTTAGAATCTTTCCCACACATATTCTCCAAATTTTAGCTAAAATGAGTAAAACTAATAATACTCTTACAATAACTTTTTGTATTTAAGTCACATTTCCCTGGGTAAGATTGTATACTTGTGCCCCAGGTGTTTGCTAAAATCAGACTCAAACTGCAGTTTTGAAGGCAGTGAAGCATGGTGGGGATAGGTCTTATGAACAGGCATCCACTTGAAAGTAACTTCCTTAGGGGAGGTAATTGCAGGGCCTTGAACTAAAAAAAAAAAAAAAAAAAGACTAATATCCTTGAATATGGGAGACTATTTCTGCTAGCAATAGAAAGTTCAATGAGATTTGAGGGTTCAGGGTCGTCGGATTCACCTCCATCTACCCAAATATCCCTATTTCAAACCCCAGAGTCCCATTCTTTCCCAATTAATGCTCTAAAATATACACAAGATCATGTGCTTTTAGTTTCACATAAGATACATGATGAGGCAGTAAATTCAACTTACATTGTAATTCTGGAATTTTCACTTTTAGATTTGGGATGGGATTTGTGATCTTCCCTGAAACTACAATAAATGAGCAAATATTTTAAGACCACAGTGAAATTTCCCTGGTTCCCTGACCTGCCTTGAACTAAGATTTTAAAGCACTGGGCTTGTAATTTTGTTTCTATAAGCAATCTAGTGCAGTATTAGAGAAAAAAAATCTTTCCCCACAGTCTTTAGTAGTCATCATCACTATTACGGCAGTTGAATGCATTGACCACTTTATTTTACAGAGCCTTGCCTTAAGAAGGCCTTTTATCTAAAGCAACAACAGATAAGCTGAATGCAGTGGCTCACTCCTATAGATCCAGCTACTCAGGAGGCAGAGGTGGGCCAGAAGTTTAAGACCAGCCAAGAGGCCAGGAATTTAAGACCAGCTAGACTGAGTGATAGGGCAAGACTCCATATCTAACAAATAAATAAATAAACAGAAAAATAAACTTTGAATAAAGCCACAACAGATAATTTGGTAAATGTGATGTCATGGCATGTCATGGATTAGCAGTAACCCATTTTCCATGGGTAATAAGGTCATCATTATATTCAAACTGTACAAGCTACCTAACCCAAGAATCACATCACTGAATTAACAAGACAAAAACAAAAACAAAGGAGAGTACCTTATTGTTTTAAAACAATAGACTGTAATTTAGAGGTCTAATTCAGGAGCCTTGTTACATTGTATTGAGTCTGAGAGAAGTAAAATAAAAAGTACACCACAGATTAGTAATTGCTGACAGTGGCTGCTTCATCAAGTTCTTGGAAAACAAAAGTGACAAAACGGTGTAATCAGAGCCCAGAAGAACACTCAGTGCTTCCCTGCTAGGGTAGCTAGTTTAGACAGTGCTGAAACCATGACGAAGAAGGCCTGCAGCTTGTCCTAGAACCATGCAAGAGGGACCATTGAAGCTGAAGGTGGATTGCTGTTGGGTGGAAAGGATGTAGTCACTCAAAAATGCTGCCAGAAGAAGAGCAAGAGAAAAGAACAATAGCTTCTCCCGTGAGACAATCTCATCCCTCCACTAGTGTCTTCTCTTGGAATGATGTGAGTAGAGGTCTGCTGTCAAGAAAGGCTAAGGAATGCATTTTGTATACCCCTATTCTCAGTATTTCAGAGCAGAGAAGGGTGGGGTGAGAGAAAGTAGAAAAATACACACTGTAGCCAATATGATTTAGAAAAATCTTTCAATTTTTTGTGTGTATTTCAATTATTCTGTGTAATTTCAATTATTCTGAGCCATCTCCTGGATAAGAAGGACTGCATTTGATTCCCAGGTGAATATAAAAGTTTGACTCGAGTTTATTAAGCATCTACTATATAATTACTGTTTGTATCCCATAGAAATGGTGGTAAACAAGAATAATGCCTGTATTATAGAAATGGAGGTAGGTAACAGGTACATAACAAATAAATATGTAATATAAGTTTAGATGTTGAAAAAAGCTATGAAGTGAAGTAAAATATGATAAAGGTATAGAAGACACAGAAATTAGTGGAATTTTTCAATAGGGGCTTTGAGGAATTTCTTTTTGAAAGGTCATGAATGAGCACAGATCTGAAAGAGTATGTGAGTGTGATGGTGAATTTTATGTGTCAACATGAAAGATATTTTTGGATGAGACTGACATTTAAATCCATGACCTTTGAGTAAACAAGAATGGCCTCCATAATGTGGGTGGTCCTCATCCAATCAGCTGAAAGCCTGAATAGAACAAAAAGGGAAATCTCCAACAGATGGCATTCAAAATTTGTCTGTACCGTCGGCTGTCCTGGGTCTCCAGGCTGCTGGCCAATATTGCAGATTTTAGACTTGCCAGCCTCCATAATCACGAGTCAATTACTTACAATAAATCTTTTTCTATATATACACACAAATCATATTGGTTCTGTTTCTCTGGAGAACTCTGATAATACAGTAAGTGGTGCCTGCAAGGCTCCATGTAGGAGCATTCTGGGCCTATGCAGTAGCAAATGTCAAGGTCCTAAGAAAGGAACAAGCTTGTCACAATGAAGAAACATCAAAATGGGATACTATAGCCAGTGTGGAGTGAGTGAGAGACGAGCATCAGCAGATAGGACTAGAGAGCTTTAGAGGGGTCCTATTACATAGGTGGCGTAAGAAATCTAGAGGGGAGCTCTAAAGGGGTCCTAATAGTGTCTGTGGCTATGGGAAGGATTAAGGATTTTATTATAATTGCGATGAGAAGTCAGTAGAGTGTTTTGATCAGGGAAGAACATAATCTAATTTTAATTTTCAACAGATCGCTGTGACTGCTATATGGAGAAGTGATGTAGGGGACACATTCAGATGTACACAGACAAGGTATCAGGGAATTGCATCAGTCTAGGAAGGATATCATGGTAGCTTTGTGAAGCCCACCCTAGCTCTGACTTCAGTTTATGAGATTCAGTTTTTTTTCTTATTGTTTAAGATACTCTGACCTGGTTTTCTGTTACTTGCAGCTATTGTGCTCTGAGTGGGTAGAAAACATGATGGCAAGTGTATGGTGCTGAATCAAGGTAAAAGAGGTCAGTGAAAAGGATACCTTCCTCTTAAACTAGGAAGTTGATGGTCTTTGTTATGCAGTTATAGAAAAGTAATTTATAACAACACTTCTTCTGCCTTAGGAAATGATTATGTACTCACAGAGGGTGGAACATAAAGGTGATTGGAAAGAATCAGGATGTCAGATTGTGTTGGATTAGTCTTCCAGCCTTCACTGAGGTCTACAGTATAGATACTGGATTGGCTTAAATTGAACGTTCTGCAAATAAGAGAAGGTATGGAAGAAAATATCATTCTTTTCTGCCTCTGCTCGGAAAAGCAAATTATTTCAAATACACTAATGTGGAGTTTGATAGGGAAAGGAATGCCAAGTCTTATCCCCAAGGTGAAGTTTTTGTTAACAATTCAGGATAATAGGAGACCTGGAAGGTTGACAAGATTAGTATACAACGTGAGCCTACTCTTCAGACCTCTCTCAAGAAAATTCTGCTAAACATTCCCAACCGATGAAGTAGTTAGCCATGCCATTCAGAATATGCAGATAGAATTTAATCTGGGGGTAATTATGAAAGTTATGGTGTCCTTGTACCTAAGGGTTTTTTTTTAATTGCTCCGAGGCAGCGGTTAAGATAAAGGTGCCAATCAAGGTCCAAAGGAATGGACAGCAAACAGAAGCTTGTTGCGAAGAAAATGAAATGATCAGAATCAGACTTTGACCAGATAAACTACTGTGGAGACCATGCTTGCTAATTTTTTGCATGCAAAAGATCAAAGCCTACTAACTTTTTAAGGGAGCTGTACTGCCAAAGATATTCCAGGCCTGGCTCAAAACAGTCTTTAACTGCTCAAACACAGGACATCTCCAGTCCCTCAGATTTGCACCTACTGGGACTGGACTACAAACGTCACACCATCTCTAGAAAGGACACACTCTTCCATGTCCATTTTCAATGCGGTCATGAAAGAAAATAGACAGAGATCCATCCTACCAGTGGAACTAAGTACTGCCAATTTGGCTAACCAAGGATCTCATTTCTCTTTCAGGTATATTCTTGTCCAAGAGGATGTGGTATCTACATATAGGAGGAAAGATATACGTGTACATGTGGTGGCTGAACCATTTGATTGTGGTGAATATTGCTGAATACTTACTATTTATCAGTCTTCCTTTTCCTCTTCCTGACAGCATGACTGTGTTCATTCATGTGTCTAAGGAAACTAAAAAACAACAAAAATAGAACTGTGGCCACTGAATCAATGTGCCCTACCCTGTACTTTTATATAAGCCAATACAGTTCTTTATTCTTCAAAGAAATTGGAAGCGGGTTTTCTGTTACGTGTATTCAAATGCACCTTGAAATTTATATATAAAGTTAATAATTGCATGATATACAAATGCAGATAGGAACATAATTCCTAAAAGAGACATTGCTTAGACGAAACAAAAGGAGAGTAGTAATTTTCTAAGACAAGAGATAGCGATGATATGCAGTTTAAGTACTGTTTGGACTACCTGAGTACCATGATTTAGTGTGGGGTGTTCTAGTGGAAGATACCCTATCTTCACTTCAGTAAGAGAAGAATTAGTGGACATGGGTGTGCTAGGTTAACTGCAGGACACCAAAGGGAGTGAGTTAACAAGACACTGAGAAATGGTTAACATTATCTGATGTAACATTACGCTGTACAGAGCAGAGAACTGGAAGGGATAGAGAAATAATAGGTATTTGGTGGCTTTAGATGACAGGAGATGCAGAAGATGACAGCAGCAGGAACAAATACTAAGAACGAGATGGGTCAATGTCATTGACAACTAATACAGTAATATGAATAGCCAAGAGTTGAGAATACAAAATCAAAAGCCTAGAAGTAATTGAATCAATAAGGCAGAAATGTGTAAGATGATAGATGGCAACCAGTAACTGACACCCAGGGCCGTGCTGGGGAAACAGAGAGACGTTGTGAGCTGGGCTGAAAGGGAGAGTACGGTCTCCATGTAAAGAACCTGCTGCTCCTTAGCTCCTGCAGGCCCCTGCCATGTGGGACTGTGGGATGGCATTGCCGGAGCTTCCAATTATGGTACACGTTGGATCCAGATTTGTATGAGAAAACTCCTTATTTTAAAATGTTGACAACTAATTCAAATTTTGAACACTGTGTAGGCCTACACTAGGCAGGCCAAAAAGCAGCAACAAAAAAGTATCTGTATGCTGTGTTAGGTCCCAAAGCCATCAGTTTTCTATATATGGCCTAGGGGAATTTTTTAGGAACAAATATTTCTCAAAGTAAAGAAAGCATTTTCTGATGTTCAGCAGTTCCTACAGTTTTACTTATTTCTTCTTTTGTTGCTGTTAAACTCCAGTAAAGTTAAGTTTAATATTTTTTTATTTTAAAGTCATGTAGAACTTGAACCATTTTAATATAATTATATCTCCTTCTATGTATAGTTCAAAGGGTAGTTATAGATAAATAAATACATATATAAAATTATATATATGTACACAGGCGGTAGGGCTAGACAAAAAAAGAGAGAAAATAAAAAAGTATTCAAAATTAGGAATAAGAATGGAGTTAATATCAACAGATGCAAAGGTAAATATGAATAAATTAATAAATCCCCAAAATGGAAGATATTCTGCAAAAAAAAATAATATTGGCTCATTCAAAAATAGAAGTAGAACATAGTTATATGCCAGTGAGTGAAAAATTTGTCAAAGAACACCATTGAAAGTATTTTGTCTGTATTGAGTTTATACTTTCCAGTTTTCAACTTTACAATTTTGAGGAAAATAATTGCACTTGTAAAGTATCTATTCTCTGAAGATCCATTGTGTTTAAGATACAAACTACATTTTAATTGCATGTAGAATACTTTCAGACTCTTTTACACTGACAAAAACTAATTTAAAAAGTTAGAATATTCATATTAAGAAAAATATGACAAGTCTAAAAAGAAAAAAATTCTAAAGCTTATAAACAGAAACAATTGCTAAATTTTTTTGGTAGCCTCAAACTTTGGATAACAGAAAATACTTTTTAGAATATTATTTGTTTAGAATCATTTTTCCCATTTAAAGTATACAATTCAATACTTTTTAATATGTTCATAGTTGAGCAACTATCACCACTATCTATTTTTAGAACATTTTCATTACCCCAAAAGACATTCTGTACCCATTAGCAGTCATTTGTCATTCTTCTTATTCCCTCCTCCCTCAAACCATTAATCGCCCCTCCCCTTCTTAGCCATAGTAAACCACTAGTCTAGTTTCTATCTCTATATAGTTGCCAATTTTGGACATGTCATATAAATGGAATAATAATATATGTAGTCTTTTGTAACTGCCCTCTTTCACTTCGAATATTTTCAAGGTTGATCCACAGTATCCATGATACTGTATCATGTATCGGTACTTCATTTTTTAAAAAATTACTAAATAATATTACTTTTTCTGGATATACCACATTTTTAATCCATTTATCAATTAATAGATATGTTATTTCCACTTTAGGCAATTAATTATGAATAATGCTGCTGTGAACACCTGTGTATCGAATGTGTTATAATTCCTCTTGAGTATACACCTAAGAGTGGAATTGCCTGGTCACGTGGTAACTCTGCTTATTATTTTAAGGAGATGACAAACTGTTTTCCAAAGTGACTGCATCATTTTACATTCCCATCAGCAATGTATGAGGATTTCAATTTATCCGCATCCTTGCCAACATGTTATTATTTTTATTTTTGATTATAGCCATCCTAATAGGTGTGATTTGGTATCTCCTTTTGGTTTTCATTTGCATTTACCTAATGGATGATGATAAGCATCTTTTCATGTGTGCTTATTTGCCATTTGTATATCTTCTTTAAAAATACATTTATTCAGATCTTCTGTCCATTTAAAAATTACATTATTCAAATTTATATTATTGAGGTGTAAATGTTTTTATATATTCTGTATATAATTCTGTATCAGATACAAAATTTGTAAAATACTTTATTCCATTCTGTGGGTTGTCTTTTCCTTCTATGGTGTCATTTGCAGCGCAAAAGTTGTTGTTTTTTTGTTTGTTTGTTTTTTGTTTTGTTTTGTTTCGAGACGGAGTTTTGCTCTGTCGCCCAGGCTGGAGTGCAGTGGCGCAATCTCGGCTCACTGCAAGCTCCGCCTCCCTGGTTCACGCCATTCTCCTGCCTCAGCCTCCTAAGTAGCTGGGACTACAGGCGCCTGCAACCACGCCCAGCTAATTTTTTTTGTATTTTTAGTAGAGAACCGTGTTAGCCAGGATGGTCTCGATTTCCTGACCTCGTGATCCGCCCGCCTTGGCCTCCCAAAGTGCTGGAATTACAGACGTGAGCCACCACGCCCTGCCAAAAGTTTTTAATTTTGAAAAAAATTCTGGTTTTTTTTTGGTCTTGTCACTTGTGCTTTTAATGTTGTCTCTAAGACATTATTGCTCAATCCAAGGTCACAAAGATTTATACGAATGTTTTTGTCTAATAACTTTATAATTTTAGCTATTCCATATATATCTATAATCCATTTTGACTTAATTTTTGTACAGTGCAAACAAAGAGTACAAATTCTTTCTTTGGCATGTGGATATGCATTGTTTCTAGTAACATTTGTTGAAAAAATCTTTTGTACTGAATTTTCTCGACACTTTCATGGAAAATCAATTGGTCACTAATGTGCAGTTTTACTTCCCGGGTCTCTACTGTAATCCATAGATCTACATGTCTATTTTTATACCAGTACTACACTGTCTTGATTACTGTAGCTTGCAGTATGTTTTTAAATCCAGAAACGTGAGTCTTCCAAATTCATGTTTCCTTTTTCAAGACTGATTTTGCTATTCTAGATCCCCTGCATTTCCACATAAATTTTAGGATTGGTTCGTCAATTTCTGAAAAAAAAAAAAAATAGGGCAGCTGGGAATTTTTAAAGGATTTGATTTGAATCTGCAGATAAGTTTGGGATGTTATCTGTTCCATGAACATGAGATATCTTAACATTTGTTTATGTCTTCTTTAATTTATTTCAATAACGTATTGTAGCATTCAGAATTCAAATATTGCACTTGTCTTGTTAAATTAATTCCCAAATTCTTTCTTTTTAATTATATTATAAATCAGTTTTTTTCTTAATTTCATTTTTAGTTTAGATTGTTCATTGTTAATATATAGAAATACAATTGTTTTCTCTATATTGATTTTCCATCCTGAAATATTGTTACCTCGTTTATTATTTTAATACTTTTTGGTGAATTTCTTATTATTTTAATTGTTTTAACTTTTATTTCAGGATCAGGATACATAAGCAGCAAGTTCAAAGACTGAAGGAACAAGGAATATCAGCTCATAAAGATGAGAAAGAATCAGAGCAAGAACTCTGGCAACTCAAAAGCCAAGGTGTCTTCTTACCTCCAAACAACCATATTATTTCGTTAGCAACGATTCTTAACCAGACTGAGATTGCTGAAGTAACATAAGCAGAATTCAAATATAGATAGAAATGAAGATCACTGACATACTGGAGGAAATCAAAACCCAATTCCAGGATTTTTAAGATTTTTGTTTTTTGAGATGGAGTCTTGCTCTGTTGTTGCCCAGGCTGGAGTGCAGTGTTGCGGTCTCGGCTCACTGCAACCTCCGCCTCCCGGGTTCAAGCGATTCTTCTGCCTCAGCCTCCCGAGTAGCTGGGACTACAGGCATGTGCCACCACACCTGGCTAATTTTTGTATTTTTAGTAGAGATGGGGTTTCACCATATTGGCCAGGCTGGTCTCGAACATCTGACCTTATGATCCACCTGCCTCAGCCTTCCAAAGTGCTGGGATTACAGGCACAGTCGGCCAATATTTTTATATACCAGATTATGTCACTAGTAAATAGAGATAATTTCACTGTCTCCTTTTCAATCTGGAGGCATTTTCTTCCTTCCTTTTTCCCTTCCCTTCTCTCCCCTCCCCTCCCCTTCCCTCCTGTTTTTCTTTCTACTTACTTTCTTACTTTTGCCTCTTTGTCTTGGTTAGAATTTCCAGTATGATGTTAAATAACAATGGAAAGAGCAGTTATCCTTGTCTTGTTCCTCATTTTAGAGGCTTAACCCTGGAGTTTTTGTCTATGCCCCTTGTGAAGTTTAAAAAGTTTTTCCCAATCATAGTTTGTTGATGGTTCTTATAATGACAGAGCATTTGATTTGATTAAGTGGTTTTTTCTGCTTTTATTGCAATGATGTTGTGATTTTTGCTTTTTAACTATTGATATGGTGGGTTACATTGATTGATTTCAGATATTAAGCCAACTTTGCATTTCTGGGAATAATCCCACTGGTTGATGATGGATAATCTTTTTTATATGTTACTAGACTCATTTTTCCAGTATTTTGGCGAGGATTTTTGCATCTATGTTGGTCTATAGTTTTCTTTTACTGTGTACCTTTGCTTCTGATATTGAGGCAATAATGGTCTCAAAGGATTAGTTGAGAATTGTTTTCTTCTTTAATTTTTGGGAGAGTTTGTAAAAAATGTGTATTAATACTTCTTTATATGTTTGGGCTTTTATTTCATTTTTAAGATTTAGCATGCAAATTATGAAAGTTCAAATTTAAATCCCTTGTGCTTTCTTAATCTTTTAAACTTAGATTATAAATCTTATTATATTTTCAAGTATTGCAGTCAGCTTGTACATAATATGAACAATGTTTTGTCCTATTTAAACAGTTTAATTACTTTCACATTTCAAAACATAATTATACATTCTATATGTTTGATTTTCTCCATAAATTTCATTGTCTGATTAGATAGAAAATCTACCATATTATTATATAATTCTTATAAATGCAATAAATAACTTTATGAATACAGTGAATGCAAAATTCTTTTAGGTGATCCAACACTCTAAATACATTTAGTAATATTAAACAAAATTCCATTTGTAAATTTATAGCTTAATTACAAATTCTAAAATTAGAGTTCAATATGGTTATTCTAATAGGCCACATTAAAAATATGTAGATTTACTAAAAATATAAATAGTATGAATATTAAAATACATAATATTAAACATTATAGGTACATACAATATCAATTAACAGGTACTATTTAAGCACAAAATATTACTACATGATTTTGATTGTCTCAAAATAATAACTACTCTAATTATTAAATGCATATCTATTATGATGACAAGTATATGTGGAGCTAGATAACGCATTTTTGCCTCTTTCTGGTGATCCATCTGTACTGTAGGGTCTAGACATCCGAAATCTACAGTTCCCAGATGTCCTTACAATCAGGGTCCTAAGTGCAAAATTATTTCATCATATAGAGGTACTTGAATCAGATTTTTAAAACCTAAATAAGAACAGGGCCATCTTCTTACACATATTTCTGTTGCTGCTTAAAAGCATGGTTGTATCTAGGTACTAGCTCTGTGAGTTTGGTGAGGCAATGGTGTGGTGGCAGCAGCAGCTTCCCAAATCTCTCTTTCTCTTCTACAGTGATGTGATCCTGAACTCAGCAGTTCTAGTAATAGGTCCAGATTTCACATCTTTCTGATGGAAAGGAGGTTACAACTCTTCTGGAGACACAGTTCAGAGTTACTCTTCTGAGAAGCTTTCCTCTGGACCCTGTCTAGAGCCAAGCCCTTCAACTCTTCCAGGGATTGTTTAAAGGCCCAATTCCCAGTAATAAATCCCTTTATGCTTAACATAGCTAAAATAGTTTCCATTTCTGTTTCTTGAATTCTGTTAACTTTGGCTATTTAAATCTAAATCTCCTTGGTGTTTGAAGCTGTGTTCTCAACAAAGATGGTATATACTCTTCAAATTACCTAAGATTTCTAACAACTAAAGATTTAAGCTGCATATGAGTCCTGGAGTAGCAGAAGACAGAGTGATTCATCTACTGCCCAGACTGCCACATTGAGCCCCCTTTTTTAGTCATTTTGTGATGGGCTTCAAAGTCATATGCAAGTTGAAGTATAAATAAAATGGATACTTAGAGGAATAAAAGTGTAAAACAATGAACTTACAAGAAGCGAAGTTCAGACCTGTACAGAGTAGGCAGACAACAAATGTTATTGAAAGATCAACTAGTGAACCCCAGATTATTTTCAAATTTTTTTCCTCTTCCTCTATAATTTTGCAGGGTTTTCATCCATTACTGTGCTTTGATGGGAAGCTCTCTCTGATATAATAATTACAGTTTCACAGAAACTGTATGTGCCATGACAATGCATATAACCACTTCTACTACTAATATCCTCATATCACAATGGGGTATGGGGAAATAGCAATTATATTCTCCTGGATTCTGCTGGGAAGTATGTCCAAAACTTCTGCTCTTACAAGATTTTCTAAAATGCCTGGATCTTCTGGCATCCTTGTCTCCTCTAAGGGATCATAACATTTCTCAAGATCAATAGAAAAATAAAAGCCTTTGAATAAATAGTTCTTCAAAATGAATTATTTCTAGTGAACTTTAAAGCCTAAGGCCTAAGTGTGAGAAGTCTAAGTCTTTGCCTCTCACACATTTCAATAACCATTCATTGTGTTCTTTTTGCCTCCTGTATTCAGTTGTAATAACTCTTTCTTGAAACAATAGATTCTTCATTATTTAATGGTCTAAAAGATGGACGGTCATGTTGTAAGCAGAAATTACTGGGAGTGAGAGGGAAATAATCCAAATCTCAAAATACTACATATATAGCATATTGATGCAGTTTAAAGTGGAAACCCTTTTCTGGGAGTCTTCAGAACAGTACTGACTCATGTTGAGTTTATCATAAAAAACACAGGATTGGATGTGCAGCATCCAATGACAGATGGCTACTGAGGTGAAGCAGAGACCCACTCCCCAGGGCAAATTGAAAACCCACCTCAGAAATGGAATTATCCACAGCAAAGACAGACCGGTATTTGAAGGCACAGGGCCAAAGAATATGCCAAACTGACATTTTTATGCAAGCTTATATTCTGATTCTACAGAAAGGTTAAAAGAGCAAGAAATTGCAGGTAGTATATATACTATGTATGGTCAGCTTGAGCAATATTGAAATCTGGGAATATCAAGGCATGACTCCACAGAGTGGATGGAAATACTGAAGGTAAGATTCAGAATATTTTATTGATGAAATTGGCAAGAACTAGGCCACCAGATGAATGAGCTGGGCTTCAGTCCTAGAATATTAAGCAAGCAAACAGCAGAGTACAGAGTGGAGATCAATGCATAAACTGAAAATTACAGTGACAATGAGACGAGGGGCCATGAGTATTCCCTGCCAAGAGAAGTAGGACCTAGAAGCAGGAGGTCTTACCTTTTGCCCTTGTCCACTCTCCACATATTCCCACTCTGGGTAAGGGGAATACTAGTCTGATTAAATCAGATTCCAGAAAAATGATTTTGCCTAGTTATTGAGAAATTGCGTTATACTACATCAGATGTTCATAAACATAGACATGCCTCACTCTGTTTTCCTTTCTTCCTCAAATTCTCTGGGATTTCTTTTCATTCATGCAATAGAATAAGCAAAATGAGCCAGGGTCTGCCTCCTTGGGGTAGATACAGTTATCTTATTCTTTCTCTTTGTAATGAAAAGAACAAATTGTTTAAAGAAGGTACTGATCAATGTTAAGTTTTAGTCATTTTTGGACATCAACTCCAAGCCCTGCTTACCAGAAAGCCCTACATTATCTGAGGGTACAAGCCTAGATCATAATAATTGAGTGATGCCTTGTTTCTCACTTGCCATTATTCTTGTGTAAATATACCTTTCCTCCATGAAATCACAGGGAGGAAGGATGGCTGAAATAGAAAATGATTTAGATATCCCCAAGTCTTTTGACTATAATCCCATTTTAAGACCATCTAATCAGGTTCTGGACCCTTGGGATTAAAATGAAATTTCAGGACATATTTAGTGCCTAAAAATTAGCAAAGGAAAAATTTGATATCAGTTACCATACCATTCTTATAGAGAAAATAATGAGTAAATAACTGGACAGAAATCACATTGAGAAAAAGAGAATAAAAGGGAATGAAAGGGACCAAGTAAACATGATTATGTTTAAGAGAACAATAGGAGACACAGCAGATAATAGAGTAGAAGCAGTAGGAGCAATACAAAGAGAGCCGAAAGTGCCATGGAAGTCGATAAAGGAGAGAATGGGGAATGAGAAAACTGTCAGCCTGGTTCCATGCTATAGAGATAAAGTAGAGAAGAAAACAGATAAAAGGTTAATTAGATTTAGGAACTAAAATATTGTGGACAACTTTGGACATGCAATTTCAATAGAATGGTAGTGATATAAACAATTGTTAAGAGCTAGAATAGCTCTTACTTTTGGAAATGTAGGCCCAAAATCTAGTGAAAGGACAGACAGGAGAGGCTTTCTGAGGAGGGCTGGAAAGTGATGAAACCAATAGCATGAGAGGAGAGCCTAAGATTTGTATAGAATTTGTGCAGGATTAAAAATACTTTCAAGAAATTGTTCATTGAGAAGAGCCCAGTGGAAAGATTTTAAGTAGTAATACAAAAGTTATACTATAATCCAGAAGGTTCTGAAGGAAGTCAATGTCACAGATGAACAATGTCTATCACATGCTCTGGTATACCAGCCTAACAGCCTTGAAAGATACTCAGTTACTCAGTTAAATGAGTTGATTTTGGTAGTTTATGCCCAGTGTCCACCTATGTTGGTTCCTGATTATCATTTCTGTCCTCAGGAACAAGGTGTTTGATAATCTAGTCTACACTTTTTGTCCAAAGTCAGTGAACACTTATTGACATTGACCTTCACTGCAGAATGAGTAGAAATCTACTCATCAGAAGGCCACACATGTGTTTGAACTGTGTTTTTTTTTTTTTTTTTTTTTTTTTGAGATGGAGTTTCACTCTTGTTGCCCAGGCTGGAGTTCAATGGCGCAATCTCAGCTCACCACAAACACTGCCTCCCGAATTCAAGTGATTCTCCTGTCTCAGCCTCCTGAGTAGCTGGGATTACAGCCATGCGCCACCACGGTCAGCTAATTTTGTATTTTAGTAGAGACGGGGGTTTCTCCATGTTGATCAGGCTGGTCTCGAACTCCCAACCTCAGGTAAGTGCTGGGATTGCTGGGCCTCCCAAAGTGCTGGGATTACACTGTCTGTCTTTTTTAACATCCCAGATTTTTCACTTTAAAAATGAAGAACTAGGACCAGAGAGTATGTTACTGATCCCCAAATCATTAAACACTTTGTGTCGTAAGCCAAAGCCAGGTACACTTTCTGATTCATTCTGAAGAATTTTGCTTATTTCCAATTTATTATTTACTTAATATTCATACCTTACTCTTTTAGTTATCTATTGATATGTAATAAATGAATCCCAAAACATGGTGGCTTAAAGCAACCATTGATTACTCTCTCTTTCATTGTTTTCTGGGTTAATTGTGTTCATTTGGGTAGTTCTCACTCAGAATTTGTCTATGCAGTGGTAGTGAGATGTGAGGAGCTGGAGTCATCTGCTCCCCAAATGAGCTGATCGTGTTAAATGGCTGACTCACATGATGGTGGCTGAAGGCTGAGAGCTCAGCTGGAATGCTGAGAGCTCAGCTGCAGCTGACCACTGGAGCACTTGCACGTGGCCTCTGTGAGTTATGTAGGCAACTCCCAGCGTGCTATCTGGGTTCTCAGATGGAGCTCTCCAAATGAGCACTGCAAGATTCCCCAGAGAATGTTACAAAGTTTCTTATGAGCAAGGCTCAAGAGTCCCAGAATGTTCACTACACTCTGTTGACCAAGCCAGCCACTTAGGCCACTGATTCAAGGCTAGGGAAATTAGTTTCTACTTTTTATATGAGAAGCAGCATGTTTATATGAAAAGAAACAAATTGGCGGAATTCATCTTAGGGCACCATCTCCCATACCCACTTATGTTTACAATAACTAAAGATAGTTTTTTGCAACGTATAGAATATTTACAATCTTTCCCTTAGACTTGCTATGTCTATTGACAATTTCTCATTCATCATCAAATCTACTGTTACAAGATCACGAAAATGAAAACATGAAATTTCCAAAGTTAAGATGGTTACATGTTAATGCATCTTTTAAACTGCTTTGGAATTATAGGGCTAAATTTTTTAAAAAGCATTAGTAGTTTTTTAAATTTATTATGTTTTCCTCTTATCTAGATAATTGAGCAGAACTTCTATGAAGTAAATATACATGTATTCTTTCTGTGTAGCATGCTGCCTATATGTAGCATGATTTGTTAAAGTAGTTTTTCTTGGTATTGTTGCTACAAAACAGACTTTAAAAATATTTCGCCTATTTAAATTATACCAGCAATACGAAAGTTAGTCTTGCCTGAGTTTTCAGCTTGTCGGTATAATCATTTTAAATAAATGCAAATCAAAACCACAATGAGATACCATCTCACACCAGTTAGAATGGCGATCATTAAAAAGTCAGGAAACAACAGGTGCTGGAGAGGATGTGGAGAAATAGGAAAATTTTTACACAGTTGGTGGGACTGTAAACTAGTTCAATCATTGTGGAAGTCAGTGTGGCGATTCCTCAGGGATCTAGAACTAGAAATAGCATTTGACCCAGCCATCCCATTACTGGGTATATACCCAAAGGACTATAAAACATGCTGCTATAAAGACACATGCCCACGTATGTTTATTGTGGCACCATTCACAATAGTAAAGACTTGGAACCAACCCAAATGTCCAACAATGATAGACTGGATTAAGAAAATGTGGCACATTTACACCATGGAATACTATGCATCTATAAAAAAGGATAAGTTCATGTCCTTTGTAGGGACATGGATGAAGCTGGAAACCATCATTCTCAGCAAACTATCACAAGGACAAAAAACCAAACACCGCATGTTCTCACTCATAGGTGGGAATTGAACAATGAGAACACATGGACACAGGAAGGGGAACATCACACACCGGGGATTGTTGTGGGGTGGGGGAAGGGGGGAGGGATAGCATTAGGAGATATACCTAATGTTAAATGACGAGTTAATGGGTGCAGCACACCAACATGGCACATGTATACATATATAACAAACCTGCACGTTGTGCACATGTACCCTAAAACTTAAAGTATAATAATAATAAAATAAAATAAAATAAATCATTTTAAATCAGCTTTCACTTTTGTTTGAGTCCTAATTATTCTTAATTGAGTTCTCAACTTCTCATGGCCAAAAATGATTCTACTCTCCACTTACACGATGGTCATCCAAAAAAGATCATCAGGTTCTCTGAGTTAAATATTTTTTTCCTCAAGGAAACAGAAAATTTGCAAGATATCCATAATGAAGTTATAAACTTCCTATTTAGGAAAAGAGGACTATGCATGACATTACTGCCATGAAAATCACATTTCAAAACCTGAAAAGAGATCTATGAATCTAAAATAAAGGGGAGATGTTGCCTGTACTGAGCAATGAGGCCTACATCAGTTGCTGGCATAATTTTCCTACTTCATTGATATTGTCCAACCTACCAAGGCATGAAAGTAAAGGCTACTGGGTAGAGAAAGCAACTGTGTGGCAGTCAGAGTTGTGGCTCTGCTGCTCTCAGTGCCTATCATGGGATGCTTTGTGCTTCTTTCCACATCCAAACAAGGTTAATAAAACTTGACCTTTCTTTAATCTGGTCATTTGAATGATGAAATAAAATGAGATTTCAAAGCGATTTGCAAACTTAGGAGCAGTATAAAATAGAGTTTCTTATGATTGTCCCAAAATAAATTTCTAGTGTGCATACACATTGTACATTAATTTACTAGGTAGAAACATTTTTGTTAAGCATGAGTAGCAACACTTTAAAGTGAATCTTCAAAAGCTCCTGATTTCTTGGTATCCCTTTAGTTTAAAATAGCTCCTCTGTTAGATGCACAGTCCCCAGATAAATTGCATGCTGTGATTCTATTATTTGTTTAAATTAAAGAAAAATTGTATTTTTTTTTTACTTAGTATAAAAGCATTCCTTGATCATAGGAAGAAAATTTAAATGTATAAATAGATCTTTTGAAAAAAGAAGCATATTATTCTACTACACAAAGTTAACAACCATTAACCATTTGGTCTGTTTCTATAAATATCCATCTATAACCTTCATATAGATAAACACAGAGAAAGAGAAACTGATGGCTATCTATGGTATATCTGTTTTATTTCTAGCTCTTTCTATGTAACAATGTAGTATGTTCTGGAAAATGAAGTATGGCTGGTAAAGGTTTTAGAATCTCCCCTATTTTCAAATTTCTGTAGAGATAGCACAGGAAATTTGGACAAGAAATTTCTGTCCTCATTAGGAGAAATCACAGAAAATGACATTCAACTAATGGAAATCTTAAGGAATTATCAAGCAAGAGTAATGTAAGAGGAGTGAGGACAGGAAAGTAATGTGTCATAGACCCACCATTGCTGACCACACTCTTGAGAAGCTTCCTGTGGACTACACTATGCTTAGGAGAGCCTACAGCTACCAGGTGAGCTCAGGATAGCTCACCTATAAAAGTATTCGTGTGCAATACGCCTGAGGAGAAGCCTGTCCATCTTTCATCTCAAGCACCTCGCCCTTGCAGAGGAAGACCAGCTGGTTACCTACTTCTAGCTAATACCCTTAGAGAAAGACCAACCATGTTGAAACCAGAAAAGGAATTTCTACATTAAATTAAATTAAATTAAATTTTTACCTAATTGCTTCTAGCTGCATTTAGGGAGGAATCCTCTGTTTTGTTTCCACCTATATGTGTAGGTCAGAGATAGGAGTCAGACCCACTTACCCCACCTCACCATGCTTTAAGGTCAAGGAAGTTCAGCAAAAAGGGATTGGCAATCTACATGAGTGCTCATGAAAGCTATATCAGCCACTCGTTCTAAACAAGTCACACATTTAACTAATTAATTAATTAACATTTATATTTTATTTTATTTTATTTTATTGTGACAGGGTCTTACTCTGTCACCCAGGCTGGAGTGCAGTAGTGCTATTATGGCTCACTGCCACCTCAATCTCCTGGGCTCAGGTGCTCTTCCTACCTCAGCCTCCCAAGTAGCTTGCAGGAAAGGCACATGCCACCATGTCGTTAATTTTTGTATTTTTTATAGAGATAGGGTTTTGCCTCGTGGCCCAGGCTGATCTTGAATTCCTGGGATCAAGTGTTCTGCCTGCCTCGGCCTCCCAACCATACATGTATTTTTAAACGCAGAAGTCCCTTGCATGCTGGACTTATCATTATGGTGTCTTATGTTGATATTCAAAATAGGTCCTATGAAAAGAAGTCATTCTATGAAAAAGACATTTGTACACACATGTTTATAGCAGCATAATTCACAATTGCAAAAATATGGAATTAGCCCAAATGCTCATCAGTCAACAGGTGGATAAAGAAAATGTGGCATACGTATACACCACGGAATACTACTCAGTCATAAAAATAAATGAAATAATAGCATTCGCAGCAACCTGGATGGAGGTGGAGACCATTATTCTAAGTGAAATAACCCAGGAATGGAAAACCAAACATCATATGTTCCCACTTTTAATGGAGCTAAGCTATGAGGATGCAAAGGCCTGAGAACAATACATGGACTTTGGAGACTCCGGGTAAATGTGTACAAGGGAGATGAGGCCCTCGGTCCACCAGCCCATGGGGAACTGGATCCTCCCAACAATTACTGAGTGAGCTCAAAATCAGATCCTGTCCCTTTTGAACCTTCAGATGGTGGAGGTTCTGGCTGATACCTTGATTGCAGCTCTTGAGAGAACCTAAAGAAGAGGAGCTGGCAATGATGTGCCCCTTTTCTGATCTGTAGAAACTAGCAGAAAGTAAGTCTGCATAGTTTTAAGACACTAAATTCTGAGGTAATTTGTTATGCGGTAATAACTAACCAATAGACGAGGGCACTCGCTTTGGCAAATGAAATGTAGATGGGGAGATGGATGTCATTTCTTTGAGGAGCTTTAAAAGTTAGTGTATTGCTCAACATATTTCTTTTCACTGTGTCATGTCAACTGGTGATGTTCCAAGTGGTGGCTGGATTCTGCCAGGAAGGCACATGCAGCAGAGCCATAAGCCAACATGCAATAGAGACATAGCACACATGGGAAGTAAACTTTTGTCTTACAAGCTGCTAAGATTTGGTGATTATTTGTTGAACCAGCATGCACCAGCTCAGGTTTGCCAGTGTTAGTGCTGTTGACAGTCTGCTGGATGATTCTATGTTGTAAGAAGCTTTGCTATGTATTGTATGACTTTTAGCCACATGCCTGACCACTAGCCACTGGATGCCAGCAGCATTGCCCATGCACTCCTCCACCAAAACTATCTTCAGACTTCACCAAAAAGCCCTTGGGGATGAAATTGCCCTTGTCTGAGAACCACTATTCTAGTCTATCCTGACTGATAAGGTCAGTTCTCTCTCTTCCTCACTGTCTGCAGTTCTCTTGGCATAAATGAATTATTTTGCCCTGACTGAATGCTGGTGAATCCTTCTTTAGCTGCCAGTCATACCTAAATTCTTTTTAAAATAGGCTTTTTACCTCTTTGAATAGAGTTCTGAGATAGGAACTGGAACAATATGATGCTCTCATTTTTGGGTGTATGACCCTCATCTGGTTTAAAAAAAAAATTTAACCTGAGTAACATTTGGAAATCTAGGCTGATCCCAAGGTGTCACTACCAGAATAGCTGCGCTGCCACAATTCCTAAGCCTTTATGTTTTTCAGGCTCGGGCCAGGAACTAGCCCACGTTTCCAAATCCCTAGTACATTGTGCAAACTTCTGACTGATGTAGTTGAAGCCCTTCCCACTAGGTTTGGGGTCAGGAGAAAGCACCCTTCATCCCTGTGTGCATGTATGGAAGAAAGGTGAAGATACTTTTCCAAGGAAATGTATTTCTCCTATAATCTCCAACTCCTAATCCTTTGAGACCCTTGATGTTAGCTACAGGTTGAAATCACAAAACTAGCTTTAAAATTCCTGATGACCTTCCATTTAGAATGCAGTCTCTATTGTTATGAACCGTCAACTGAAATAGACACTGAAGTAAATCCATTATAGCATTCATTATAATATTGTATTTTCTGAATTAATTCATAGTATTTTAAAATTCTGAAAATAAAAATCTTACTCTGAATCTATGCCACAACACAGTCTGTTCAGCTCAGCTGACCAAAAGTATCATTTTCACTTTGGGTTTAATCTAGAATGAGTTTAAGATTTCTCTTTGCTGAGTAACATGTATGTGGCCTCTTCCATGTAACAAACTCCAGCCTACTCTTCAGTTGCTTCTCCTCCTTGGTTCTATCAAACCAAGCAGACTCCACTCTGGAGTTGAAGGCCTTTAGGATTCACATCTTCCGTCTGTCTTCTTCTTTTAAAGTTTTTCAAAGTCTATTTATTTATTTATTTTAACAGTTTTATTGCACTTTAATTGTTATTTAAAAGCTGCACATATTTAATATATACAACTTGATGAGTTTGGATTTATGAATACACCTGTGAAACCATAGCCACAATCAAGGTAATAAGTATATCTAGCACCTCTACAAGTTTCCTTCCATCCTTTAGGTTTTTGTTTTGTTTTATTTTGTATGTGTACGTGTTTGTACGTGTGTGTTAAGAACACTTACTAAGATCCGCTCTCTTAACAGAATTTTTAAGCACACATTACAGTATTGTAAACTTCTTTTTTTTTGCCTCTTGTATGATCTCAGGAAAAGAGACTCTTCCCATACTCTCTTCTCTGTCTCAGCACACCTGATCATGACTTCAAAATAAACCTGTTCTAGATTATTGCAATTTGGGAAATGAGAAAGTAGGAGACAGAGGGGCAGAGGCTAGGAAAAGGAGAAACAGAGCATCTTTTTGTTGTCTTTTCATTAAAATATAATCAGAGAGAACATAATTTTAGAATGTATTTTGCTAGACGACAAATTTAGAGGCACCTTCCTCAGAATGATTTTGTATGGCCAATCTAAGTTTTTCCGATTACATAATTATAATTTACATTTTAATCAGGGCTGGTAAAATTGCTCTTTAATATTCACTTTATTCATATTTAGGTTTTTAAAAAACTTTTTATTTATATGAAAAATTAGTGTGATTTTTGCACTTCTGGGAATTCATTTTATTATTTCCATTGAAATAAAAGATAATAGCTACTCTTCCTTGGGCCCATTTAAAAAAAACCCTACTAAGGACATTAATTTGGAGGTAGGTATATAATCAGACAGTAAAATATTTATCATCAGACTTTTGAAAAAAATCAGCTGAAAGGAGGGAAGCAATAGTGACAGTGAGTTCTAATATCCCTCAAAAAAACAAGATTAATGATGCAAACCACGGAAAACGTTAAGAAAATTGTTATTCATATCTTCAGTGAGATTAGAAAGGTTGCTGCATTCAAAGAGATTATATGGTCATGGAAAAGAAAAAAATCGAAGTACCAGAGTGTTTAGCATAAAACATTATTGCTGAAATTAACCAGAAAATCACACAGTGAGCAGAATGGATATTGCTAACAAAGAGATTAGTAAATTAACTTGAGGAATTATCTAAGAATTCAGAAAGATATTAAAAAGAAATGAGAAAAAAGATAACAAATGTAGAAGATGCATCTGAGAGTCATGATATTTATATACCAGAATTTCCAGAAAGACAGTACAATGTTAATATAATAGAACCAATAATTTAAGGGATAATAGAAGATAATTTTCCTGAAGAAAGATCTGAGTCTTCAGACTAAAAAATTCTGATTAAGTATATGGATGCCTAGGACAATAATTCTCTACATGCATACAGTGAGAAAGATCAATTAAGAACTTGGTGTTTTTTATGGTTTGTTTGACCCCTCCAAATCTCATGTTGAAAAGTAATACCCAATGTTGGAGGTAGAGCATAATGAGAGGTGTTTGCATCCTGGGAGTGGATCTCTCATGAGTAGATTAATGCCCTCCCTGGGTGGGAGGGAACTACGTGAGTTCTTGCTCCATCAGTTCTCAAGAGAGTTCCCCAGAGAGCTGATTGTTAAAAAGAGCCTGGGACCTCCCCCTTCTCTCTCTTGCCTCCTCTTTCCCAGGTGACCTCTGCATATGCTGGCTCCCCTTTTCCTTCCACCATGAGTGGAAGCACCTTCAGGCCCACTCTAGATGCAGATGCCAGTGCCATGCTTCTTGTACTGCCTCCAAAACCATGAGCCAAATAAACCTCTTTTCTTTGAAAATTATCCAGCCTCAGTTATTCCTTCTTTTTTTTTTGAGATGGAGTCTCACTTTGTCGCCCAGTCTAGAGTGCAGTGGCATGATCTCAGCTCACTGCGACCTCCATCTCCTGGGTTCAAGCGATTCTCCTGCCTCAGCCTCCGGAGTAGCTGAGATTACAGGTGCCCACCACCATGCCGAGCTAATTTTTTCATTTTTAGTGGAGATGGAGTTTCACCATGTTGGCCAGGCTGGTCTTGAACTGCTGACCTCAGGCAATCCGCCCGCCTCGGCCTCCCAAAGTGCTAGGATTACAAGTGTGAGCCACCACACCCAGCCAGGTATTCCTCTATAGCAACACAACTGAACTAAAACACGTGGTTTTATATTTGCAGTATGAAATGCTTGATGATAACCCAGCATTGTCTAGAGAGTTCTGAGAGAAACTCACTGAGAGCTCTAGTATTCTACATCCAAGTAAATGTAATTGTATTTAAATTTTCACTATAGATAGTAAAATGCAATAGATATAACATTCTGAAAACAGGTGCCAGACCAAAATGGAAAGTTTCAAGTGGTTCAGGTGAAAATATACTTTAAAACGTCTTAAATGCTTCACATTGAGTCAAAGAGGGTTAGCGGGTGCATTGTGAAGTAAAAAGGACATTTTGAGGAAGGTGCTGGTGTCCTATAAATCCAGCCCATCAAGGGGACTTGGACATGGCATCCTGTCTCATAGCTCAAGTCTAGTGAAAGGGATTAATGAGCATCAAAAACAGATTTAATGCAGAAAACTAGCTAACTTTCATAATTTTAAATGCATTGAGTTTTCTCAGTGAACTTCAGGAAGATGGTAACATCAATAAAATATGACTAGACCATGTAAAAAAGGAAAAATTGGAGATCATGAATTCTTACTATCAAAAATTGACAAAATAAAGCTAATATGCTCATATACAATTGATATTCATCCCCTTCAGTAAGGTTGATACATTAAGCTGGTTTCTATTTGGAAATCTAAACAGCAAAAGCAGGCTGGAAAGCTGCTCCAGTGGTGGAAATGAAGGTAGTAAAGGTGAGACGGTGATGTGTAATGGCCTTCACTTTGAGAGTCTGTTAGAGCAAAGGATGTATGACTATTTCCAGTGGGCCAGTTGGGTATTATACTACATGCTCAGGCAAGCATCGTAAGGGAGATGTTGAATATAACTGCAGATTCCAAAAAGGGTAGAGGTAAGTATCAAATAAGGCAAGAATATATTACCTGAGTCCAGAATATTATTAGTAAGAGGTATGAATTAATGGCCAAAGGGTATCTCCTAAGACCCACCATACTTGTGCCAGCCAAGTATAAATATTTCTTCCTTTCTTATCTTCCTCTCTGCCAGTGTCAATTGGGTAAGTAACATAAGCTGCCATAAGAAATGACCCCCAACCTAATCATGGTTATTTCTCATTCCCATCATAGCTTAATTGGGTGTTGAGTGGGCAGTCTCCTTCTATCTGATCATCGACGAAGTTAGCCACCTTTCATTTATTGACTCTGCCTTACAGTGTTTCATTGTGTTTCTAAATCTGGCCGGGAGATAATGAAATAAAGTATGGAAAAGACACACTTAAGAAATTCCATTCTAAGCTACCTAAGACCGCTATTCATCACTTCCATTTGCATTCCACTAATAAAAATTAATCACATGGCCCTAACTAGATGAAGGGAGGTGGGATACTCAGGAAGGAGAAATGGGTTTGTTGAGCACGCAGCTGGTTGCTTTTGCTTCCAACCTTCTGCCTTTAAGCTACAGCTCCAAAGGGGTTGGAAATTTAGTGGGGGAGGAAGAATTGGGAAGAGAATAGAAATTAGCTGTTCTTTGCCTTTTTTAAGTTGAAGTAGTACTTAGTTGAAGGAAGGAGAGGAACTGTAACTTTAAATGAATTTGGAAGTTTTACTAATATGTGGGACTGGGAATTTTCAGTAGCAACTTGACTTTATGATTTGTGTCTTGAAATTTGTGGATTTCCATTGCTTAAAAGTAACTACAAAAGATGCAGAAGTATCAGACTTTTCATTGCTGGGGCAAAACTAGTCCCACAGAGCAAAGTTAAAGGAAGTATGTGGAAATACCTTGTGATTGCATCCCACCAGTTGGGCTAGTTTAGCATACTGGTTACATAAATTCCCATGTATTTATTTTAAACAGTAACTAGCGTATTCTGTTCCTTTTCCGTGTGATTACCTTCATTCATGGCTAGAAGCCCTGGGCTTTTGTTAACTCTAGAAGGGGTTGTAAGCTTACAGGCCAGTTATCAAAGTTGACAGATTCTTGACTTCTGGGCCACCAAAGGCACCATTGAGCTGTGAGACAGAAAAAACTGCCTAGGAAATGCAAATAGGCAGAACATGTTTTAAAAACACATTTTTTTCTCCTTTATTCACACATCCACACACAACCACAAACACCAGAAATCAGAAATCAGGGAGGTAAAGAAGGGAGTTAGAGATCATGCAATGGGCTGGGTGTGATGGCTCATGCCTGTAATCCTAGCACTTTGGGAGGCCAAGGCAGGTTGATTACCTGAGGCCAGGAGTTTGAGACTAGCCTGGCCAACATGGTGAAATCCCTACTCTACTAAAAATACAAAAATCAGCAGGGTGTGGTGGCGGGTGCCTGTAAACCCAGCTGCTTGGGAGGCTGAGGTAGGAGAATCATGAGAACCTTGGAGGCAGAAGTTGCAGTGAGCTGAGATTGCGCCACTGTACTCCAGCCTGGGCAACAGAGTGAGACTTGGTCTCAAAAACAAAAAAAAAAAAAAGAAAAAAAAGAAAAAAAAGAAATAAAAAGAAAAAGAAATGATGCAATGAACTCATCTCTATTAACATTAAAACTCTGTCAAGGAGATGATAGATTTGTCCCTTGATATTTAGAGGACATAGGTCTGTAAAAACACTTTTGTTCTGTATTGTCATAGGGACTATCTTGAAGGTAGTAGTCTAGCATTAGAACTTATGACCAAGGTCATATGAAGTAAAGGCATCTTTAGAAAGTAAAGACATGGAAGTAAAAACATCTACTTAGGGTTTTTAGGCACAAGAAAGACTTGAAATTTCCCACCTGTCTTCTGGGGCACTAAGTTTTGTTGAGTACAGATGAGTGTACCCATGGGACCTGAATGGGATGGCAAAGGTAGCCGAGAGACCGAGTGGCTAGCAAAAATTGTCACAGGTAAGACAAAGAAAACTTAGCTGAAGAAACTGCAGACAGGAGAATAACAAACTAAAATCAGAGAAGTAACAATGGGCCAAGATCTCAGAAGATGCTAAGATCTAGAGAGTTGGGATAGAAGTCAAGTTGGCAGTAGCAGAAAAGAACAATGTGCATAGCATGTGTTTCTCATCTAGATGAGACCTCCATATACCAGTCATGTTTTGTCCCCCTTCCATGGTTCTTGCATGCCATCTACATTTATATATCATTTACTAGTAGGGTTCTGAAAAAATCACTGCTACTGTTACCGAATGGCTAAAGCCTGCTTTAATACAAATATAGGTTAATGGTTCTTAGAAGTGCCCCGATGAAATAGCCAGGCTGCAATCTGGGCTCCCTTCAGCCCAGTTCTCTTGGATGCTCAGGATTTCTCTGTTTCTTCTGTGGGTCTCTGAACCTGAGGAGATACTGTGCCTATACTCCAGGATGCTGGCTCTACCTGATTCTTACATTGTATTCCTAAAGAGCTGAGCTTCTGTTCTCAGTCATCCTTGCATGGCTTGGCTGAGATTCCTGGTGCCCTGTGTGATAACTCCTGCCATCTCCACTTCACATCTTGTGTTTTCAAATCACACTTGCTTTTGCCTTTTAACTTCTGGTTTGACACTGGGTGATCTTGGACTTAGTTTCTACAAATTGATTCTCTGTGTAATTTGAAATTATGATAAAATAATTGATATTAATTCCATAAATATAAATGGCATCATTCCAGGAATCTAGGCTGTTGTTGAATTCAGCAATACATTTTTTATCTACAGAAATGAATTTGCCATTGTATGGAACTCGGAAAATGCATTCAATTCGGGGTTGGTCAACTGCCCTTCATTTATCTTATTTTAGCATTTCTTTTCTGTACTTCAGCATCCTTATAGATATTGAGTATTACCAAGCATAATAGACAAACAGAGTAGAATGTGGCCTGTTAACATTCTATCTGAATCAAGGTGCCCTTGGTCTTACATACATAATGATGAATAATTAGAATAAGCAAGAAATTTTCCTGAATATAAAGAAGGCTACATAAAGCAAAAAAAAAAGTATTCAAAGATGAAAAATAAGCTATATTGAAAATCAGAGTATTTGAAAGATATTGGCAATACTCATACCAAGGGAAAATTTTTATAGGATTGGTAATGCTTCATAGTACATATTCATTTGGAATTTTGATTTGTTCATCTCTTTGGATGGTTCATATTAGACTGTAACCTTCATAAAACCACAAATCAAATCTGCTTTATTCAATGCTAGCACTTTGTGAACGTTCATTAAATAAGAATACTGAATGGGTGCTCCTTAAGGAAAAAAAAATAAGAATAATTTCTGTCACCTCCAGCTTCACTTGTCTTCCCTTTTTTCCTGGACTTGTACCCAGAACAAAGGGGAAAAATTGCTATTTCTATCTAGGAGACAAGTTTCCGGCTCTGTTTTTCTCCCACTTGGTGGTTTTTACCTTTACACTCATAACCTGTGAAAAAAACACAGCTTAGGCATTTTCCATACTGTATGCCACAGAGTCCTATGAAATAAAACTGAAGAAAAGATTACAAAGTAAAAAAAAAAATTATGGGGAGCTCTGGGACAAAAAAAAGAAAAAAGAGTTTTCTTTAGAGGAGAATTCCTCAGAGTCTTCACTTGTATTACATTTAGAGATAACTTTTGTTCTATGTAGTATTCATACATTTTTATACTCATTGGAAAAACAAAGAAGGCCCTTTAAGGCTGAAGTGACTGGATGGGGTTTTCTTTCCTGTCTCACTCTTCATGGAGAGCTGGAAGAATCTCACACACATCCACTAGAAAGAGCCTATACCCTGGAGCAGGATTAGGGTGCTGGGTAAAAAGACTAGAGGAAATAAAGGCACCATATAGGAGTGAGGAACATTAGTTGAAAGACCAGTGGGAAAATGAATATCTAGATCAGCAACCTAATTGAATTGATGACGACTTAACAGGAAGTGTAAAATACTATTTTAAACCACACTTCTGATTCTAGACTCATAATAATTTCGTTTGGAAATGAACTATGACTTAGACATTATAGGCATTAAAAAGACAGTTCATTAATATAAATTAAAATTAAAATATAATGATTACTCTATTTTATAACTCTTCCTACTTTAGATATAATAGGGCTTTTCATTTTTAAAATTAAAAAATAATTAAAGTACAGTAAATTTTACCTTGTGGTGTAAATTTCTGTGGCCCTTTTTATTCAAGGCTTCCTTTTTAACTCCTAGCAAGCACAGATCTTTTTCTTCACATATGCTTTGCCTTTCCAAAATGCCATATAAATGAAACCATGTCATATGCAGTCTTTAGACATTGGCTTATGTCACTTAATGTGTTGTATTTGAGATTTATTCTTATTGTTGTTTTTGTCAATAGTTCATTCCTTTGTATTGCTGGACACTATTCTGTTGTATAAATGTGCTAAGATTTGTTTATTCATTCCCCAGTTCAGGGACATTTGGGTTGTTTCCATTTTTTTCCCTGATTACGTATAAAGCTGGCATGAACATGAATTTTAAATAAGATTATATTTTCTACTTCTTCCTCCTTTCATTTATGTCATTGGTGTAATACATTTTCTTTAATATACATTATAAACACAGTTGCTACTTTTTTTGCTTTCATTATGTGTTAGGGTTGAAGTCTAAAAAAGTAGTCACTAGACACATGTGGGTAGTTTAAACTAATTAAAATTAAATAAAATTTAAAACCCAATTCCTCAGTAATACTTGACACATCTCAAGTGTTCAACAGCCACATGTGGCTAGTCTTATTGGTGGCACAGAAATAAAATTTAATTGTTGGAGAAATTCTATTGGACAAAGCTGCTTTAGAACCTTGAAAATAAGGTTAAAAAGTATATTTTATTTAACTTCTTTATGTTATTTCTAGCATTCTTTATCTCAGTAGATCCAAGTTTTTGTCTAAAATCATATTGTTTCTGCTTATTTTCCTTTAACATTTTTTGTACTGAAAGTTCACCACATGATGACATTTCTCATTCCTGTTTGTCTGAAAAAGACTTTTTCTTTTTCTCCATTTTTGAAAGATATATTTGCTAGATATAGAATCCTTGATTGACTTTTTCCTTTCATTACATTAAAAATGTCACTTCATTATTTTCTAGCACACATAATTTCTGATGTGAATACGCTATAATTATTGTAGTTTATTATGCATGTAATGTACATTTTTTCCCATCTATGCCTTCAAGATTGTATTTGTTTTGTTTTTTGGCAGTGAATATGGTGTGTGTGTGTGTGCATTTGTGTGTGTACATGTGAGAGAGAGGGAGAGAGACAGAGAGATTGAAAATGTATGTGTGTTAGCCTACTTGGTATTCTCTGAGTTTCTTGGATTTGTGATTTTTTTGTCTTTTTTTAATTTTTCAAAATTATTGGGTATTACCTCAATGCTCAGATAAATAATTTTAAATGTGGAAGCAACTCTAAACTGAGGAATAGGCAGAAGCTGGAAGAGTTTCGGGTGCATGCTAGAAGCTTAGATTGTTATAAAAAGAACTTTTAAAGGTGATTCTGGTGAGGACTCAGGAAGAAAAGAGAAGAGCTAAAGACAAAGCCTCCATTTTCTTGGAGAATACAAAAGTAATCATGAACAGAATGTTGGCAAAGACATGGATGGTCAAGGTCATTGTCATGAGGTCTCAGACAGAATCAAGTGACATTATTATTGGAAGCTAGAGGAAAGGCAATCTCTGTTACAAAGTGGCAAAGAATTTGGCAGAATTCTGTTCATGTTCTAGTGTTCTGTGGAAGGTAGAACTTGAAAGCAATAAAAATGTATATTTAGCATAATTAAATTGGATACTTAGCTGGTGAAAATTCTCAGCAAATTGTTGAAGGTTGCTCAGTTCCTATACAGTAAAATGAGAGAAGAGAAAAGTGACTTGAAGGTAAAATTATTAAGCAAAAAGAACTAGAACTTAAATATTTGGAAAATTCTCAGCCCATCTGTATCGCAAAAAGTGAGAAAGCATGTTTGGAAGAGAACAGTAAGGGTGCAGCCAATTGACAGTTTGATAAGGAGATTAGTAATGGGTATGAACTACAGGCTTACCAAACCACCCCTGCAGAAAAACTGCTAATTTGAACTGAAAGGGGCAAAAAATGGGATGAAATGAAGAAAAGCTGTTAGATTTCTTGAATTCTGTGTGGTAGGATTATAGAAATATTCAGCTGCAAATGGGCACTATTCTTCAAGACAAAGAAAGAATGACCACCAAGGTGATTCAGAGGTCATCAAGTCTACTTCCTTGGTTTTGAAAGGTGGGACCATTGTCTTTCTTACAAAAGGCCAGGTGGATGCTCTCCAATGCCCTAGGAGTAGGCCACCTGGCAGACAGAGCTCTAGATTTGAGACTCCTGCCTGGCAGGGCTGCACGTGCAGTACCACCACCTGAAGGCAGGGCATGAAGCCAAAAAGGATTATTCTCAAGCCTTCAGTTCTCATAGAACTTGTCTTGCTAGCATGTGGACTTACTTGAGATTTATCACCCTTTTCTTCTTTCCTATATCTTCTATTTGAAAAGGGAATGTCTACGCTTTGCTTGTTTTGGAAGCACATAACTTGTTTGATTTCACAGGTTCACAGCAGGAGAAGAATTTCACCTTAGGATGAATTAGACATGGGGTGTCACTCATATCTGATTTGGATGATATTTAGATGAGACAATGAACTTTATATTCTTGTCTTGATGCTGAGAAGGATTAAGACTTTGGGGATGTTGGACTGGAATAAATGTATTTTGCATGTAAGAAGAACATGAATTTTAAGGGGCCAGGGTCAAATTCAATGGAATAAATGTGCCTCCCCACAACTGATATGTTAAAATCTTTTTTTTTTGTTTTTTGAGACAGAGTCTCACTCTGTCACCCAGGCTGGAGTGCAGTGGTGTGATCTCAGCTCACTGCAAGCTCCGCCTCCTGGGTTCAGGCCGTTCTTCTGCCTCAGCCTCCCGAATAGCTGGGACTACAGGCACCCACCACCATGCCCAGCTAATTTTTTGTATTTTTAGTAGAGACAGGGTTTCACCGTGTTAGCCAGGATGGTCTCGATCTCCTGATCTCGTGATCCACCTGCCTCAGCCTCCCAAAGTGCTGGGATTGCAGGCGTGAGCCACTGCACCCGGCCGATATGTTAAAATCTTAACCTCCGATGTGATGGTATTAGGAGGTGGATTATGAGAATAGAGCCATCATGAATGGGATAAGTGCCCTTATTAAGGGAGCCATGAGAGCCCTCAGTCTCTTTCTTCCATGGGAGGATATAAGGAGAAGTTGGCTTTCACAACTCAGAAGAGTACCCTCATCCAAACCCAAACATGCTGGTGCCCTGGTTGTCCAGCCTCTAGAACTGTGAGAAATAAAATTCTGTTCTTTATAAGCCACTAAGACTATAGTATTTTTAATAGCATCTCAAACTGACTGAGACACATATAATGGCAGCAATTCAAATTCCAACAGCTAATAATCACATGGCAGCCTCATCCACACTTGAACCTGATTTAGATAAATGTGGACGAGTCTGCCATGTGAAGAAGGCTAGGCTAGCCTTCTAGAGGTGTGCCACAGCCAACATCCAGCCTATATAGTTACTTTTCTCATAAAAATTTCATTATGCCATCTATCTTCATTACATGAATTGTTACAAACCTTCAATTCTACAACAAAATTCTGTGATATCATTTGACCTTTCTTTAATATGGATCCTAAATATAAATGCAAACTCAGGCACTGAAAATATATGGTTGTATTTCATGAAGAGACATTAAGAAGATTAACCTTTTAGACTATCAAACATGCAAAAACACAAATGTAAGATTTTGCAGGAACGTTAGAGCCCCCAAAATAAGTCTGAATGACTCCGTGTATGCACCAAAGTTAGTTATACAAACAGTGTTCCACATCAATGAGAGTAAAATAAGAAATATCTGCAACTCAATTACAATAATTGATTCCAAATCAGAGGTGGACGCAACGGTTGCATCAGAAGCATTCAAAGAAGTGATTCATCTATGATTCTGTGATGCATTCCTAGGAAGACAAAACATCCAGCATGTCAATTTTATAAAAAACTTCTCCAGTATTTGGTAATTATTACCAGTGAAGAAACCAGTGTTCTGGCTCAAGATGGACATTTCCTAAAGTGAAGTCTCTCATATTAAATGCACAACACTCTAAAGCTAAAGAAAGTACTCTGCAAAATTAATACAGGCTGCTCCATTATTGAATTGCTTGCTTTTGTAATATCCCTTCTTGCCTTCCTCTGGTACTCAGTTTCATATTACCTCTGGGCTACTTTGGATTTACAGTTTTATCGAGAAAAGCTTTTTATTGTTGTTATTATTTTTAGAGACAGGGCATTGTTTTCTTACCCAGGCTGGACTTAAACTCCTGGGTTCAAATGCTCCTCCCGCCTAAGCCTCCTGAGTAGCTGAGATGCCCAGCATTATCTGGGAAAGCTTTTGGTGTTGTATCATAAATTACTGCTGCTTGATATCACTGGCCTCCTAAATAATCTGATGTGTATTCACTTTTTCTGATACTGATATAACCATTTTTAAAACTTTCTTTAATCATGTCATCTGCAAACAGGGACAATTTGACTTCCTCTTTTCCTAATTGAATACCCTTTATTTCCTTCTCCTGCCTGACTGCCCTAGCCAGAACTTCCAACACTATGTTGAATAGGAGTGGTGAGAGAGGGCATCCCTGTCTTGTGCCAGTTTTCAAAGGGAATGTTTCCAGTTTTTGCCCATTCAGTATGATATTGGCTGTGGGTATGTCATAAATAGCTCTTTTCATTTTGAGATACATCCCATCAATAGCTAATTTATTGAGAGTTTTTAGCATGAAGGGCTGTTGAATTTTGTTGAAGGCCTTTTCTGCATCTATTGAGATAATCATGTGGTTTTTGTCTTTGGTTCTGTTTATATGCCGGATTATGTTTATTGATTTGCATATGTTGAACCAGCCTTGCATCCCAGGGATGAAGCCCACTTGATCATGGTGGATAAGCTTTTTGATGAGGTGCTGGATTCGGTTTGCCAGTATTTTATTGAGGATTTTTGCATCGATGTTCATCAGGGATATTGGTCTAAAAGTCTCTTTTTTTGTTGTGTCTCTGCTGGGCTTTGGTATCGGGATGATGCTGGCCTCATAAAATGAGTTAGGGAGAATTCCCTCTTTTTCTATTGATTGGAATAGTTTCAGAAGGAATGGTACCAGCTCCTCCTTGTACCTCTGGTAGAATTCGGCTGTGAATCCGTCTGGTCCTGGACCTTTTTTGGTTGGTAGGCTATTAATTATTGCCTCAATTTCAGAGCCTGTTATTGGTCTATTCAGAGATTGAACTTCTTCCTGGTTTAGTCTTGGGAGGGTGTATGTGTCGAGGAATGTATCCATTTCTTCTAGATTTTCTAGTTTATTTGCGTAGAGGTGTTTATAGTATTCTCTGATGGCAGTTTGTATTTCTGTGGGATCAGAGGTGATATCCTCTTTATCATTTTTTAGTGCATCTATTTGATTCTTCTCTCTTTTCTTCTTTATTAGTCTTGCTAGAGGTCTATCAATTTTGTTGATCTTTTCAACAAACCAGCTCCTGGATTCATTGATTTTTGAAGGGTTTTTTGTGTCTCTGTCTCCTTCAGTTCTGCTCTGATCTTAGTTATTTCTTGCCTTCTGCTAGCTTTTGAATGTGTTTGCTCTTGCTTCTCTAGTTCTTTCAATTGTGATGTTAGGGTGTCAATTTTAGATCTTTCCTGCTTTCTCTTGTGGGTATTTAGTGCTATAAATTTCCCTCTACACACTGCTTTCAATGCGTCCCAGAGATTCTGGTATGTTGTGTCTTTGTTCTCACTGGTTTCAAAGAACATCTTTATTTCTGCCTTCATTTCGTTATGTACCCAGTAATCATTCAGGAGCAGGTTGTTCAGTTTCCATGTAGTTGAGTGGTTTTGAGTGCGTTTCTTAATCTTGAGTGCTAGTTTGATTGCACTGTGGTCTGAGAGACAGTTTGTTATAATTTCTGTTCTTTTACATTTGCTGAGGAGTGCTTTACTTCCAACTATGTGGTTAATTTTGGAATAAGTGCGATGTGGTGCTGAGAAGAATATATATTCTGTTGATTTGGGGTGGAGAGTTCTGTAGATGTCTATTAGGTCCACTTGGTGCAGAGCTGAGTTCAATTCCTGGGTATCCTTGTTGACTTTCTGTCTCGTTGATCTGTCTAATGTTGACAGTGGGGTGTTAAAGTCTCCCATTATTATTGTGTGGGAGTCTAAGTCTCTTTGTTGGTCTCTAAGGGCTTGCTTTATGAATCTGGGTGCTCCTGTATTGGGTGCATATATATTTCGGATAGTTAGCTCTTCTTGTTGAATTCATCCCTTTACCATTCTGTAATGGCCTTCTTTGTCTCTTTTGATCTTTTTTGGTTTAAAGTCTGTTTTATCAGAGACTAGGATTGCAACCCCTGCCTTTTTTTATTCTCCATTTGCTCGGTAGATCTTCCTCCACCCCTTTATTTTGAGCCTATGTGTGTCTCTGCATGTAAGATGGGTCTCCTGAATACAGCACACTGATGGGTCTTGACTCTTTATCTAATTTGCTAGTCTGTGTCTTTTAATTGGAGCATTTAGCCCATTTACATTTAAGGTTAATATTGTTATGTGTGAATTTGATCCTGTCATTATGATGTTAGCTGGTTATTTTGCTTGTTAGTTGATGCAGTTTCTTCTTAGCATTGATGGTCTTTACAATTTGGCATGTTTTTGCAGTGGCTGGTACCAGTTGTTCCTTTCCATGTTTAGTGCTTCCTTCAGGAGCTCTTGTAGGGCAAGCCTGGTAGTGACAAAAATCTCTCAGCATTTGCTTGTCTGTAAAGGATTTTAGTTCTCCTTCACTTATGAAGCTTAGTTTGCCTGGATATGAAATTCTGGGTTGAAAATTCTTTTCTTTAAGAATGTTGAATATTGGCCCCTACTCTCTTCTGGCTTGTAGAATTTCTGCTGAGAGATCCGCTCTTAGTCTGATAGGCTTCCCTTTGTGGGTAACCCAACCTTTCTCTCTGGCTGCCCTTAACATTTTTTCCTTCATTTCAACTTTGGTGAATCTGACAATTATGTGTCTTGGAGTTGCTCTTCTCAAGGAGTATCTTTGTGGCATTCTCTGTATTTCCTGAATTTAAATGTTGGCCTGCCTTGCTAGGTTGGGAAAGTTCTCCTGGATAATATCCTGCAGAGTGTTTTCTAACTTGGTTCCATTCTCCCCGTCACTTTCAGGTACACCAATCAGACGTAGATTTGGTCTTTTCACATAGTCCCAAATTTCTTGGAAGTTTTGTTTCTTTCTTTTTTCTCTTTTTTCTCTAAACTTCTCTTCTTGCTTCATTTCATTCATTTGATCTTCAGTCACTGATACCCTTTCTTCCAGTTGATCAAATCGGCTACTGAAGCTTGTGCATTTGTCATGTAGTTCTCGTGCCATGGTTTTCAGCTCCATCAGGTCTTTTAAGGACTTCTCTACATTGGTTATTCTAGTTAGCCATTCATCTAATCTTTTTTCAAGGTTTTTAGCTTCTTTACGATGGGTTTGAAATTCCTCCTTTAGCTCAGAGAAGTTTGATCATCTGAAGCCTTCTTCTCTCAACTCTTAAAGGTCATTCTCCGTCCAGCTTTGTTCCATTGTTAGCGAGGAGCTGCATTCCTTTGGAGGGGGAGAGGCGCTCTGATTTTTAGAATTTTCAGATGTTCTGCTCTGTTTTTTCCCCATCTTTGTGGTTTTATCTACCTTTGGTCCTTGATGATGGTGTCGTACAGATGGGGTTTTGGTATGGATGTCCTTTCTGTTCATTAGTTTTCCTTCTAATAGTCAGGACCCTCAGCTGCAGTTCTGTTGGAGCTTGCTGGAGGTCCACTCCAGACCTTTTTCTCCTGGGTATCAGCAGCAGAGGCTGCAGTACAGTGAATATTGCTGAACAGCAAATGTTGCTGCCTGATTTTTCCTCTGGAAGCTCCGTCTCAGAGGGGTACTCGGCTGTGTGGGGTGTCAGTCTGCCCCTACTGGGGATGCCTCCCAGTTAGGCTACTCAGGGGCCAGGGACCCACTTGAGGAGGCAGTCTGTCCGTTCTCAGATCTCAAACTTTGTGCTGGGAGAACCACTACTCTCTTCAAAGCTGTCAGACAGGGACATTTAAGTCTTCAGAGGTTTCTGCTGCCTTTTGTTTGGCTATGCCCTGCCCCCAGAGGTGGAGTCTACAGAGGCAGGCAGGCCTCCTTGAGCTGTGGTGGGCTCCACCCAGTTCGAGCTTCCAGGCTACTTTGTTTACCTACTCAAACCTCAGCAATGGCGGGGACCCCTCCCCCAGCCTTGCTGCCACCTTGCAGTTCGATCTCAGACTGCTGTGCTAGCAATGAGCGAGTCTCCATGGGCATGGGACCCTCCAAGCCAGGTGCAGGATATAATCTCCTGGTGTGCTAAGACCATTGGAAAAGCGCAGTATTAGGGTGGGAGTGACCCGATTTTCCAGGTGCTGTCTGTCACAGCTACCCTTGGCTAGGAAAGGGAATTCCCTGACCCCTTGCACTTCCTGGGTGAGGCGATGCCTCGCCCTGCTTCGGCTAATGCTCAGTGGGCTGCACCCACTGTCCTGCACCCACTGTCCGACAAGCCCCAGTGAGATGAACCCAGTACCTTGGTTGGAAATGCAGAAATCACCTGTTTTTTACGTCACTCATGCTGGGAGCTGTAGACTGGAGCTGTTCCTATTTGGCCATGATTGTATATTTAGAAAACCCCCATCGTCTCAGCCCAAAATCTCCTTAAGCTGATAAGCAAATTCAGCAAAGTCTCAGGATACAAAATCAATGTGCAAAAATCACAAGCATTCTTATACCAAATAACAAACAAACAGAGAGCCAAATCATGAGTGAACTCCCATTCACAATTGCTTCAAAGAGAATAAAATATCTAGGAATCCAACTTACAAGGGATGTGAAGGACCTCTTCAAGGAGAGCTACAAACCACTGCTCAATGAAATAAAAGAGGACACAAACAAATAGAAGAACATTCCATGCTCATGGATAGAAAGAATCAATATCATGAAAATGGCCATACTGCCCAAGGTAATTTATAGATTCAATGCCATCCCCATCAAGCTTCCAATGACTTTCTTCACAGAATTGGAAAAAAATACTTTAAATTTCATATGGAACAAAAAAGAGCCTGCATTGCCAAGACAATCCTAAGCCAAAAGAACAAAGCTGGAGGCATCAGGCTACCTGACTTCAAACTATACTACAAGGCTAAGTAACCAAAACAGCATGGTACTGGTACCAAAACAGAAATAGAGATCAATGGAACAGAACAGAGCCCTCAAAAATAATATGACACATCTACAACCATCTGATCTTTGATGAACCTGACAAAAACAAGAAATGGAGAAAGGATTCCCTATTTAATAAATGGTACTGGGAAAACTGGCTAACCCTATGTAGAAAGCTGAAACTGGATCCCTTCCTTACACTTTATACAAAAATTAATTCAAGATGGATTAAAGACTTACATGTTAGACCTAAAACCATAAAAACCCTAGAAGAAAACCTAGGCAATACCATTCAGGACATAGGCATGGGCAAGGACTTCATGTCCAAAACACCAAAAGCAATGGCAACAAAAGCCAAAATTGACAAATGGGATCTAATTAAACTAAAGAGCTTCTGCACAGCAAAAGAAACTGCCATCAGAGTGAACAGGCAACCTACAGAATGGGAGAACATTTTTGCAATCTACTCATCTGACAAAGGGCTATTATCCAGAATCTACAAAGAACTTAAACAAACTTGCAAGAAAAAAAAAACAACTTCATCAAAAAGTGGGCAAAGGAAATGAACAGACACTTCTCAGAGGAAGACATTTATGCAGCCAAAAGACACATGAAAAAATGCTCATCATCATTGGCCATCAAAGAAATGCAAATCAAAACCACAATGAGATACCATCTCACACCAGTTAGAATGGCGATCATTAAAAAGTCAGGAAACAACAGGTGCTGGAGAGGATGTGGAGAAATAGGAACACTTTTACACTGTTGGTGGGACTGTAAACTAGTTCAACCATTGTGGAAGACAGTGTGGTGATTCCTCAGGGATCTAGAACTAGAAATACCATTTGACCCAGCCATCCCATTACTGGGTATATACCCAAAGGATTGTAAATCATGCTGCTATAAAGATACATGCCCACGTATGTTTAGTGTGGCACTATTCACAATAGCAAAGACTTGGAACCAACCCAAATGTCCAACAATGATAGACTGGATTAAGAAAATGTGGCATATATACACCATGGAATACTATGCAGCCACAAAGAAGGATGAGTTCATGTCCTTTGCGGGGAGATGGATAAAGCTGGAAACCATCATTCTGAGCAAACTACCACAAGGACAAAAAAACCAAACACCGCATGTTCTCACTCATAGGTGGGAATTGAACACTTAGAATACTTGGACACAGGGTGGGGAACATCACACATCGGGGCCTGTCGTGGGGTGATGGGAGTGGGAGGATAGCATTAGGAGATATACCTTATGTTAAATGACAAGTTAATGAGTGCAGCACACCAACATGGCACATTATACATATGTAACCAACCTGCATATTGTGCACAATGTACCCTAGAACTTAGAGTATTAAAAAAAAAAAAACTTTCTTTAAGCCCGGCCATGCTGTCTTATGATAACATTATTTTTCCAAGTTCTATCTATCTTTACATAAGGCAATGAAAGAATGTTTCCTTTTCTACCATTCTATAGTGAAGTTATTTGGAGGGCAAGAGAATTGCCTCTTAATAAGTGGCGCTAGAGTGCTTGACTATTGAGAACATATGGATCTATGGGCACAAGCTACATTAATGCTGATGATTCTGGTAATGGCACCCCTTCCACTCTCGAGATCTCAGAATGATCTGTTGAGAACTTCAGGCTTTATTTTCCACATAATCACTTTCTTGAAGTATTACTGAAATCTTTGCTTCCAAGGTATCAGGTAGTTTTCACACTATTTTTCTACAACATTGTTGAGCCAAGAAGAAAGGTGAATGGTCCTGCTCACTTAAGATTATATCCAAAGAAAGAATGTTCTAGGTGGCTGCCCTCCCAGCAGAAGTTAAACACCATATATGAATTTTAAACAGAAGCCATCACAATATATGTCAACTCACCAAAGTGTCCTAATGCCTAAACACAACATCTCAGCTACATCAGGAGCAGGACTTTCTTTTTTTTTTTTTTTTTTTGAGACAGTCTCACTCTGTCAAGTGCAGTGGTGTGATCTTGGCTCACTGCAGCCTCCACCTCCTGGGTTCAAGCTATTCTCCTGCCTCAGCCTCCCGAGTAGCTGAGATTACAGGTGCACATCATCACACCTGGCTAATTTTTGTATTTTAGAGACAGGGTTTCACCATGTTGGCCAAGCTGGTTTCAATCTCCTGACCTCAGGTGATCCTCCTGCCTCGGCCTCCCAAAATGGTGGGATTACAGGCATGAGCCACTGCGCCCAGCCAAGAGCAGAATGTATTATACCTTTATGTTAGCACAGTTTTCCTCCTGTCCTCAAACCTAACTCTATATGACCAGTTAATAGAATAGAGAAGTTATCTACCCAGCAAGGGCTGGTAAGCATTGATAGTCTAGCGAGTTTCACCACATAATCACTTTAAAATGATGTGATACCTGGATGACTCTTCCTAACTGGGGAGACTGGCATTAAAAGGACACATCCCAGCTTCCACTCAAAATGTTCCAATACAGTGAACTTTCCAACCATAGACAAAATAACAACACAGGGCAGCATGTACTCTATCTGTATTTCTGTCTGTATTCATTGGCTTTTCAACACTAGAGTCAGCACCTGGCACAGAATAGCAACCAATACGTTTATTGAGTTCTACTAAATAGAACTTGCTGCTAGAAGGTACATCTCTGTTCCCCTCCTTGCCTTTAAATCATTCAACCACACATATTTAATAATTATCTATCTGCAGCAGGTACTATGCTAGGTACTATAGACACTGCAATGAACAAAACAGACACATTTCCTATACTGACATAGCTTATAGGTTGCTTTTTTGTGTCGTATACTCTGGCTGCTTCTCTGAATCTAGGTAGAAAAATATTGTGCCAAAAGATAGTCACTTAAGGAATCAGGGCCTTAGGGATTTACATCATTTGTAACTTAGTTCTCCAAAAAGGACTAACCATGTGGACCAAACCATATCAGCTGTTCCTGGAGGATGTCATTCCACAATTCTTCCTGGGAAGGCAGAGCCTAGAACACTCTTTCTTTGAATCTCTAGATAAATTATCTTGAAGAGGAGCATGCCTGTGTTTTTTATTTCCCCAGGAAATGTTTGAGAGTGGTATGCTTTTTGAGCCCTTACATATCTGATAATATTTTTCTGTTGTCTTTACATAAAAATAACAAGTTGACAGAATACAGAATTCATCAATCATAAGTCTTATCTTTTATATCTCTGTAGGTAATTTATCCAGTTTTCTGACCTTTATTTTCATTACAGAAAAGTTTGAGAACAATCTAAATTTGTTCTTATTTGTAACTTTTCCCTTTCATATCGGTAAAATTCTTCATCACTGAAATTAATAAATTTAACATACAATTCACACACTGTACATTTGCCTGTATGAATCTCATTCTCATCACCTCAACATTTTCTCTTTAATTAAAAAATTTTTGCTACTGTACATTGGCTACTGACTTTGCTCTATCTAGTATTGTTAGTTCTTAAGCTAGATCTTCACAAATTATCTTCTGAAGTGACAATTTATTCTCTCATTTTCATGTTTTTCTTTTTCCTCATCAATTTTACCTTTATATTGCTGATTTGACTTTATGTTCTTTTCAAGGTAAATTTTTATTTCATATCTGTGTTTTTGGTCTCCTTAGGGTCACATGTTAACTTGTGACCATTGATGGACAGCCAAACTTTTTCTGGTATCTTTGCTCTCCTTCTTAGATAGGCGTGATGGCCCAGCTAAATCATTCAGATATGGCCTGGGTGCCTGCCCAGCTCTTGGTTAAATGAGTAATGAATGGGGATTGGTGTTGATTACAGAGACATTTATATGAGGTGGGGACTGAAGCCACCTGGTTCCTGCTTCTTCAAGGACTCCCAAACACGGTGTCAATGTAAACTCTATGAAAATCCTCGTGCTATGCACTCAAATGTCTGATACCAGCCAGGTCAAAGGTGAGATTCTGCAGCATCATAACATAAGCACTCGCACACTGCCAGGGAACCTCTCTTCTGAAGTATCCAAGTGAAGAGCAAAGAGGATTTTAAAATGCCTACTTATCAGTAAAAAGAATTGATCATTCATTTATTTTTCAAAATTGGAGTTTAGAACAAGCACATTTCTTGTGTCTTAAATGATACAGACAAGTTTCACAAAGTAACTCTGAAGATAATTTAGAAGATATTTCAAAGCCATTTTTGCTCACTCTGCCATTGTAGATAAAAATTACTGGGCCATGGCCAGGAACCGTGGCTCACGCCTATAATCCCAGAACTTTGGGAGGCTGAGGCGGGGGGATCACTTGAGGTCAGGGGTTCGAGACCAGCCTGGCCAACATAGTGAAATCTCGTCTCTACTAAAAATACAAAAATTAGCTGGGCGTGGTGGCATATGCCTGTAATCCCAGCTACTTGGGAGGCTGAGACAGGAGAATTGCTTGAACCCTGGAGGCAGATGTTGCAGTGAGTAGAGATAGCACCACTGCACTCCAGCCTGGGTGACATAGCAAGACCCTGTCTCGAAAAGAAAAAGAAAAAAAAAATACTTAATGGGCCATGGGGCAAAGAAGGGCATGAAGGGAAACATAAACAGTGCAGTTTTTAATGTTCCTGGTGTATGTAGTGTTGACGAGTCTAAGTCTAAGGGGGTGATCATGTGGGTGAGGAAGAGAGAAATCTGAATCCTTTTCCATTAAAAGTCTGGTGTTGTGCTGGCCAAGCCCAGACATAAGGAGAGTAGAGAATGGGAAAAATCATTCTGGCAGCATTGTGGATAAAGGATGGAATGAAGGCTGAAAGCTTATTTAGGAAGTAATAATTCGGGTGAGAAATTGGCCTATTGTGGCAATGTGAATAGAGAGTGAGAACATTTTTAGATATTTAGATAATAGAATAAAAACTACTTAGCAACCAACTGATTGTAGGAGAAATATATAAAAAGAGCTTAGAATAACTTCCAGTTTCTGGACTAAGTGATCAAATTGATGTTGGAACCAAAAGGGATATTCAAAAAAGGGGAGATTTTGAGTTGAAAGAGGGTGTGAACGTAGAACACAATAAATTCACTTGGGACATATTAAGTTTAAAGCACATATAGTTAGACTGAGGTGATTATTTCATGGTGTATATGTGTAACAAATTATGAAATTATGCACCTTAAATATATACAATCATTGTCAAATATATTTTAATGTAAAAAAGAATAAATATAAGGTTACCAGGTAGAGATATTCAACAAGATGCTAGATATATGGTCTAGAATTTTAGAGAGAGAATTAAAAAGAAGATACAGATTCTGAGGTCATCAGTATATTACTACCTGGAAAGATGACAAAAGAAGACACTAGGCAATGTCCTAGGTACACAGGATACAACAGTAGAAAAAGAGACCAAGTCCCCACCCTGGGAAGATGACATTCTACTAGAAGAAGAAAAGCAATAATCAAATAGGAAAATACATAAGTTGTATAATTTTAGACTGTTGTTTAAAAAGGCTAATAATAAAGGATGCTGCAACGTAAGAGTTGAATGAACAGAAAAAAAATTATTTGCAAAGAACCAAGAAGGAGAAGTTGAACTGAGTAGGTGAAGAAAAATCAAGGGCCAGAAGTGACATGTCAAAGAGGAGTGATCAAAAGGACCAATGCTAAAGATATTAAACAATCAGTAAATTTTCTTCTTGATTGTGTTCAAGGGCTTATGGCTCTGTCTTTGTAATCAGAGCTGCCGGAGAGAGAGCATATGGAGCTCTGGCTTTGCCATTCTGATTGCTGATTTTAAAACAAATCTTACCATATTTTTGATGTCTCATTCCTAAAATGTTCCTACGAGTAAAACTGAGTAATTCTAAAGGAATTTAAAATTATATATTCTTTATCCAAGTTGATTGTAGCTATCTCATTTCTCAGGCAAGGAAAACTTATCCCTCAGGACATGTGGAAGAAAATGGATATATCCTGATGTTTCTCTCTTTGAAAAAAAAAAATCCTTTTTACTTACAATACTTGCATATTCCTCTATTTGAAACTATTTTTTCCTAAAAATACAATTTGTCTGTATGTTCGTAATAATGTTAAAAGTAAACTAGATTATTTTCTGTTCCTAGAACTATGAGTAGAAGTTCACAGTAGCAAGTTATTTTTATTTGCAATGCAGTTGTTTGTCTTAGATGTTGAATGTAACACCTTGAAGAGTCTTCTGAAGTATATGATTTTGTTCTTCAAATTCATTATTTAGTTGCTTCTCTATGTTGCTTAGAATAGAATCAGTGTGAGAAGTTTTCATCTTGAATGTACTTCATATGTAATCATATTTTAAATTCTATCAGGTTTTACTAGTACTGTTAATGCATTTAAGTGTGCATAAAAGCCCAATCGTTTTATCCATTTCTTTTTTTCATGGGAAAGAATTGGAGTGTCAGGATAGTTATATTTGAATTAGCTGTAATCCAAGCAGAAGCTTTTCTGTGGCATGTATTTTTTAGAAATGGCAGGGGAATAAGTTTCACAGTGGGCAGCATCACTTTGAAAACATGATTATTAATCTTTTTCGGAGCAAAAATGCAATAAAGAAATTGGTTCAGCAGGATGAGAGCCTAAACATTTTTATATTTGTTGCATGGTGTGAGATGGAAAATAAAATGGGTAAGGTTATAACCAAAATTCATTCTCCCTAGGAAGTTTTCACTGTAAAGCATGGCAAATATACAATAAACTTTTATTTTTCCTTTTTGAACTTGAGAGGGCACCAACTCTTCACCTTGTTAAGTACAGAGAAAATAATGGCCTTTTGATGGGCTCGTGCTAGGGTGAACTAGAAAACCACATCATTAACAATCCTATTGTGATGAAAAAATAAGTGAGTGGAAGAATTTTGTTATATAGCTTCCAAGTGTTTCTAATGAAAAATCTCACTAATGCACACAGACAACCACTATCTGGCAAAACTACTGCCCAGGAGAGAGCACAAGACATTCATGCTTACTCTAGTCATGCTTGGTGTTGATCTTATAGAGCAACATCAGGGAATTATATTTCTTTTCTTCAAAATTCACTCATTTTGTAAAAAGAGAAGGCTTCATGACTCTTATAAGAAATAAAATGATACTGTTTTAGTGTTTTATTAGGTGATATAAGAATAGTTAAATCATGTGAAGACACAAGAAATGATCACATCCAAAAGCTCTGAGAATCTATAAGGAAGTTTCTATTACAGGGCAAAGTAGCACTGTATCTTCTATTGGGGCTTTGGTTCTAAACATTAAAACTAATTCCTCCTGAGATGCTTAATTCTATGGAAAGCTTAACTACATCTACTAAGTGTAGGTTACCTGAGCTTAAGGTTTGCTCTGGGTATTTCCAGCACAGATCCTGCAGCTGCATCTTATTTTGTGACTATAATGTGAGGGAAGGGTGCTGATGCCAGGAACTGTCTATTTGCCAGCAGTGGCTAGAGAGAACTAGCTTGGTCCTATGCTTCAGACCCTTTTAAGTCAGGGTACTATCTCCTGGGATGAAATGCTAGTTGAGAGTAAAAGGAGAGGTAGGGGAAGGTAGAGAGTGAGGGAGAGTGAGCAAGTGGGCTTATGATTTTTTACTTTAACATTGTCAATTCTCCCTTCGTTAACCCAATGAACAATATAATATTCTTAAACTTAGTCAACCTACTGCACTGTCTCTTTTTTTCCCTCCTTAGGGAAATACTCGCGGAGTTTCCGTAACTAAGGTAAGTAGAAAAAGAGCTTTGATATCTCCCATGAGGCTAACTGACAACATATATGTTTTTCATATGAGCCTTATAACTGGGCTTGCTCTGGTTTTACAGGATATGTGGTTCAAATGCTCATAAAGTTCAACATAATAAAATGGAATTAACATTTTATTTCCCCCCCAATGACCCACTTATATTTATAATCATTTTCCTTTCATGTTTGAAAATCAATATTTCATTTTTTTCTATTAGAAAAATGTAACAGGTCACACAACACTGTGAACTGTAGGCCTCAGAAATGTAATAATTAAAATAAATGCTTTATGAATGCATGTTTGCTGTGGACTTTGGAAAGGGAAAATTTCATGGTAGCTCTTCTATTCCTCACCAAATTTTAATAAATTTGTTATTCCAAAATATTTCCCTGAACACACTGAATTCTAATTTTCTTTTTCTTTTTTTTTTTTTTTGAGATGGAGTCTCCCTCTGTCACCCAGGCTGGAGTGCAGTGGTGCAATCTCGGCTCACTGCAAGCTCCGCCTCCCGGGTTCATGCCATTCTCCTGCCTCAGCCTCCTGAGTAGCTGGGACTACAGGCGCCCGCCACCGCGCCCGGCTAATTTTTTTTGTATTTTAGTAGTGACGGGGTTTGACCATGTTAGCCAGGATGGTCTCGATCTCCTGACCTCGTGATCTGCCCGCCTCGGCCTTCCAAAGTGCTGGGATTACAGGCGTGAGCCACCATGCCCGGCCGAATTCTAATTATTTAACCCTTTGAAATGTCCTGTTTTCACTCTATTTGTAGTCTAACACATATACTTGAATTGTTTTTGTTTTCTTCTTTCCACAAGGGTAAAAACAAATAAAACATGAAATTGCTCTGTTCTGAGCAGAACTTTGGTGCTGAGATTGGAGGTTTAACAATTTCAGCATTCTAACCAAGTGCCATTTTACCCTCCAGATTTCAATCGTTCCAAGAGTAGGAAAAAAATCTTTTCTAAAACATATGCCAGAATTTGGGATAATAGTGGGTCCATGTTATAAAATACACACAAAATGCAACAGAATCTACAAGCTGATGTCAATTTGTCTTGGAGAGATTAGAGAAATTCAAAGCTTTCTCAAAAGAAATAACATACAATTCCATTCTATTTTAATACAGCACCAAATGAGATGTAATTTTAAATACTTAAAACACAACCACAAAATAACTTTAATAGATTTGGAATTGTATTTAATATTTGTGCATTGAATTCGTGCAAATAAAAATATAAATTAAATGGCTTTAAGAATCTTTATTAAAGGATTCAGAATTAACTGCCAAATATATAAAAGTTTATGAAAAAATCAAAGGACTAGATGTAGAATCTCAACATTTTTAGCATTGTAGGAGTCTTTAATGAGCAAAAGACAGATTCTAAGATATTTCTAGGTCTAACTTGTCATATTTTAAAGTAATTTAAAATAATGTAAAGACGTAATTTTATAATTCAATAGTTTAAATTATTAAATTATTAAATAATTTAAATTATAATTTTATAATTTAAACTAATTTGAAGATGTAATTTTAAATACTTAAAACACAACCACAAAAAAACTTTAGTAGATTTGGAATTGTATTTAATATCTGTGCATTTAATTCATGCAAATAAAAATATAAATCAAATGGCTTTAAGAATCTTTATTAAGATTCTTACCTGGATACTCTCAACCTTTGTAAGATATTTCTAGGTCTAACTTGTCATATTTTAAAGTAATGTCCTGGATATTATCCCTAAAAAAATCTATAATTCATGCCTAGTTTTTCTCACTTCTCCAAATTTCAAAGTTCAGTAGTGAGAAAATAGGTCACAGTATCTAAGTGTATGAAACATTGTATATGGCTAAGTGATCTCCAAAATCTTGTGTATCTTATGGGCCATACTAAGGAAATGGACAGAGTTGTAATGACATTCCTTGTATGCAAGAATATTTATACGACTATTTCTTTGATTACCCCAAGTGGGTCAAGGTCCTGGCAGGAACCTAGTTCTATGCAAACCAGGTTTTTTGAAGAGCATTTAAAAATATGTTTGCAAAGGTACGTGTAGGTAATAGACAACAACAAGGGAGAGTGGAGTACCCACAAACTGGAGAGGGAAGGTTGACATTAACCCTAAATAGAAATAAGGATTGTGTTTGCCAGCAGCTTTCAATGAAGTCTGTGGAGAGAGGGTGGCCTGACAGGGACCGAGACCTTTGGCCATGGGATGCAGCCAGCCCATGGCAACCCCACAGACAGGGAGCTCAGGCATAACTGCGATGACCTTACTTTTCTCCTTTCCTCCAACTGCCCCACCCAACCCAAAGCTCCAATGTCATAGAGTGAAGAACAGATGTGTAGGAGTATAAATATGCTATTTAGCAACATCCCAAACTATGCCAACATCCCTGTGTTCTCGATTTTGACTATGCATATGGAGGATATAAGATTGAAGAATAATGTTTGCCTTAGATTCAAGAATACTTAATTATGCCTTGTAATGCATGATGAGCATAGTCATTTTTAAGTCACTTAGTCTTCTGCCCTCACCCAGACACCCCCTTTATTTTTTACTGTTCTAGCTTTCAAATCGACTTTTCTATCATTAACTCATTCAATGACATCTGTTCTGCACACTCTACCATTGAGGCACTGTGTTAAGTCTACTGGTAAGGAGATGGACATAACACAGTCTTTGCCCCTGCACTGTCTTGTAGTTAAGATTTATATAAAGATAAAAACTCCCAATATTATAGTGTAACAAGAAAGATACGAGCATATATTCACAGGTCTGCCTCTATGGAGTGTCTAATTTGCAGTAATGTTTTATAGAAAACAAAAACTTTAAGTCTGCCTTCAAGACAATTTTGTTTCTACTTATTTAATAAAATGGCAACCTGATTATGATTAGGTTTCTCTTATGAGTCTGCATTATTTCTCTTATGAGAAATAATGGCTGGCCACGTAGACTCAATCATTTAACCTCCAAAAAATTTATTTTTCATCTGAGCTTGGTTAATGTGAATCCACACTGGAAAGAGAGATCCAAAGTTACCATGATAATATTTTGAGACTTTATGTTTTGAGTAGGATTCCAGAGCAGGGTTATTTCCATAAGATATTTTAGGCCATTTTTAGTGGTCTCTTAGGAGGAAGTGTCCAAATGTTTTCCAACATTTTGTGCCATTAATTTACTATTTAAATTATTATATTATTGGCACAAAATGAAAGAAGCATCAGTGAATTATGAAAGCATAAAATGTGTGACTGTGTGTGTGAGAGGGTGTGTTAGATGTAGATTGCAAGTACTAGAAATGTAATACAATTGACAAATAATTACATATATTGTGAATTATACATCAGAGTTCAGTTTGTTTTATAACAATATAATATGGTAAATTACTCACAGGGTAAAATATACAAATAAAAAAAGAAACTGAAAAATGGGAGAAATTGGGAGGGAATCACCATATCCTAGGAGTTAAAAACAATCTTGCAAATGAAGAGTATCAGCACCATGGAGAGTGACACACATTCACGAATCCTTTCGGTCATGTCTATGACCTAGGATTAGGTTCTCTTCCCGATCCTATTTCTAGTAACTTGACAGACCCCTGTGCAACTTCTTTCCATCAGAACTGAGGGGCTTTATCTATATGATAATAAATCTATATTTTAAAACTTGCTTTTAGCACCAGAAGTCTTTATTATCTTGTACAGAAGCTCATTATTAGGGTAACTATTTTGGTTTGAATGGTGATGTAGGGATCATATCTATTCTACTTACCTCTATTTCTCTGTTTTTGTCTCTATGGCCTCTCATACATCTCCAAAGAACACAATTTTGTTAATCACTGCACCAATAATCTGATGAATTATTTCAGTTATAGCATTCTTGGGGTTAAAGCAGGAGTAGGTTGGCAGAATACTAAGCTTGTCTTCAGTCTTGTTTGGATTAAATGACCCAGCCTCCTTTTCTGAAAAATATATATATACTGTTTGTCCTGCAAAGTACTGGCTGGCCACATCTATGGAAGGAAATATCTGAACCTACCACTTATGGAGAGCCAACCATACTTAATTTTCTAAATGATCATGTGTGACTTGATTTGAGCAGGTTTGCTTCTGTGTCAGATAGACCCTCCATATACTACTACAGAGGATTCACTTATCTGTTGGCACAAATTTTTAACAGCTTGTAAATTTTCATGGCTCCTGTTTACACATTTCATTGTCACATTTATAGCATGACAATTCCTTGAATTAAAGTACCAGAGCCAGGGGGCATATTTAAATTTTTTATTTAAAAATGATACTGCCTACCTTGCCATTTCTTTTAGGCAGAGCTATTCCTTTTCAGTCTCTTAGCTGAACTTATTTGAATGCTTTAAAGCTAACATCAATTTTCTACTAAGTAATGTGCAGGAATATGCTCAAAGTGTACATAGTATTTATATAAGACATTAATTGTTAAAGAAAACATTTTCTTGGGTGCAGCTATTCCTGAAACATAGCTGATATCCAAGACAGATGTGAATGCACACCAAATCATGACTACACAGGCATTCCCAAAGTGCTCAGTTTAAGTTAGCAATATGGTTCCAGTTTCTCCAAATTTTCCAAATTTTAATGTTTCAGGAAGATAACTTTTTAATTATTACAAATTAATTTTGATATGGCAGAGGATGGTAGGCATTTTTATTCTCCCTTAATGATTTTAGGTGACAGTGGTTATCCTTTGAAAAACTACTTAATTACTTCTTCGTCTCATCCCCAGAGTCCTGCTGAAAATAGAATCAATAAAAGTTATAATGGAACTCAATGAGTGACTAGAATGATAATGAAGGATGCATTAGGAATCTTTATAAATGGGATGTGAATGCCCAGTTCAATCTAGTGGAGCCTTACCATGCTGCCCTTCAGATGTTTGAAAGCTCTATATTATTTAGCAAGACCATTAAATGTGGTTTATCTTTCAAAAGAAGGTGCAAAGATTAATGCAACTCACCAAATGGCTGAAGTAAATGACCATGATGATGTGTGCTTTTCCAAAATTTGTTCCAAATAGGAAAGTGGAGCTAACGATATTGAAGCAATGTATTGACCTTTATTTTAAAGGGAGAAAAAATCTCTCTTAACTATAATATTTAGATAATTATTTTTATTACAGAAGTGAATTATGCGCCACGGTTATATTTCACCAATGTGTAGATGCTTTGCAGGAAACGCTATGAAAAAACATACTACTTTCATCTGTGGCATTTCTTTCCTTCAAGCAGAGGCGGGAGATATTTTAACTGTGAAGTTTCACTGAAGATATGTCTAGTGGTTGAGGTATGAAGGATTCTCCAAAGTAAGTGACTAAAGTGTGATTATTGGCTGGATACACGTTAGGCACTTAGAGACTGATGTGAAACTTGTGTCTCAATCAATGGAAGGCACTTTTGCCTTCTCAGCTACGCATTCACTTCTTTGGGGCAGTGATAAAGGGACATATTATTAATATCTTTATGGCTTTCCTATACTTCTTGCAAACTAATTTAATGTTGTTAAGTAGCCAGAAAAATAAAGATGAAATGTGTTTAAACACTCTGACAGTGTGAGACTGCCTCCTTGGAGGAAGCTAAGAGAGTTTTCAAAACTCCCTCACACTGTTGGGTAAAGGAAATAATCATTCCAAAGTTTGAGGTTTTACTTGTGAAGCCATCTGGCTACCAGAGTATCTAGATGTTGTTCATTGAAAAATAGTTGTGCTAGTTTGGATTGTACAGTTTGTATACATATATACAAAATTCAAAATATAATATTCACTATATCTAGCATACAATATAATGTATACATTTAATATATATTTTTAAGACATGTATTTGAAAAATATTTTATATATATAATACATATATATAATACATGCCAAATAATGATATTTAAAGACAAAAAATGAAGTAATTTGATCTTTGAGTGAGATAGAGTCTTAAACTGATATCCTTGTCTACTGAACTAAATTCACACTGGTTCTCCCAGGAATGCTGGTTCTCCCAGTAATGCTCTAGATTTCTGACTTTAGGAAAATCACTCAGTATTTTTTTTAACTCCAGTCTCTTCATCTGTACAGTGAGATTATATTACAAACGAATGATTACTAACCTCTTGACCATATGTTCCTGAGGGTTGCTGAGTTTTTTTTTAAAGTTCTCATTTCCAAATTGGCACCAATCTTTATTTATAAATGTCTAATGACTGCTCATAACACATTGAAATGTATTTAATGTAATAAAATTTTTCAAAAACGTATCTGAATTTATAGTGGCTATTTGTTATAATGTAATTTCTCAATCACTTGAAACTAGCAGAATCTGCAGATCTGTAAGATTTTTGTTTTGATCCTAAAAGGATCCTCACACTTGAACACATTTGGCAATCACTTGAAAAAATTATCATTCAAGTCAGTTACAACATAGCATAGTAAGTCCTTGAGTAGTGTTTTGTTCAATGTTGTTTTCCTTTGTTGAGAAATAAAACTAACTCTCAGCTGGAACCATTGTTTGTGGAGTTTGCACATTCTCCCCATGTCTGAGTGGGTTTTTACATACTACTCCGGTTTCCTCCCACATCCCACAGATGTACACATTAGGTGAATTGGCTGTCTACATTGTCCTCATCTGGGTGAGTGTGGATGTGTGTATGAATTTGCATTGCAATGGACATTGTCCTGTTCAGAACTGGTTCTTGACTTATGTCCTAAACTGCTAGATGGGCTCCAACCACCTAGGCCCTGAACTGGAATACATGGATAATAATTATCTTGTTTTCATTCATCTTTCTTAAATGTAGGAATAACTCACATTCATTTCAACGTTTAATGTAGAAGTGTTTTGGTCTTTAGATATTTGGTGATATTTTGTGACCAGAAATATGCCATAGGAATTTAACTCTTGTTTGTATCAATTAGCCTATGGTAAAATTGGTTTATTATACATTTCTTGCCTTGAAGTTGAAGTTTTGAAGTTTTCAAGAACCTACCGATGACAATGAGAATTTACTGTTGTCTAGAATTTCAAGATAATTTCATCATGTCTATTATAACTTGATTCAAACAAAAAGCATACCTAGTAAAATGAGTTCTATCTTATGGAACAGTTTTATACTATATAATCTCTAAAACTCAAAATGTGATCCTTTTCATGGCCACTGTTAGAGTGGCCATGTTAGACAATGCCTTGGTTTATTACACTTACAAAGTTTGACATAAGAAAAGACAAAGAATCCCATATGTAAATAAAGCATGGGAGGGTTGACTCAGTGGATGCAGAGCAGCCCTTTTGTTATGTATGATTCACATACCAGTGGACCGTAGCATGATTCTTTAATGTTGAATCTGACATTCATTCCCTTCTTTAACATTTTAGTATCCAAATAATAACTAGGTAAATGTGACCAAGACAGGTGGTCACATTTCTTTTTGACTCATGATAGTAAAAAAAAAAGGAAAATGTTCTCATGATCTTTCTAGCTTTAGTGGGCCTCTCTGCTGTGTCACGTATTTCTGAGACCTTATCATTCTGGAATCCATAGAGTGTCACACTAATAATTGTTTGGTCTCAGACATCTCTCATGGAATTTTAAAAACTCCTATCATCCCACCAATTTTTCTTCTAATGAGTACTGGAAGAAACTGGAATAGAAATATCTGTGCGTTCGAGACTTGTTGGAGTAACGGCACACATAATGTTCTAATTCTAAGAACTATCCTTTAAACCCCAATCCTGCATTTGTGTATCCATATATTTTGAGTGTGACCCCACACATTTACCCATAAAGGATCTGACCTCAGTTTAGTTGATTAGGTTTTCTCTCATACAAGTTTTTTAATGGGAGCAATGGAGTGCTGGTGCATTAATGGCTCTGGAGCTAAAAGCTCATGTGGAATAGCAAGGTAGTGCTTATTTTCCATAGTACTCTTGGTGAAACAGAAATGGAAGTTTGCAGAGGGAAGGAAAGCAATATGTAGTGATAAAAACACATAAAAAACAGAGGTAAACTGTTTCCTGAAGTATTTTTTCCTCTATCCAGTAAACATTGATGGTACTTCTTTTATTTTTTAACGAGTTACCTTTCTATGTGCCAATATATTCCTCCTCTTCCTTTTGCTTATTTGAATGAGTATTTCTTGCAACAGAAAAAGTCTTTATTACCTAACCCAAACTCTCATATGCTAGAGGATAAGCCCATTGTAGCCTACTTGGTGGTGTTGCTAATACCACCTTTTTGCTTCTGATGTTGGCATGAGACCCATTCCTTTCAAGCTCCCTGGGGAATGATTCCACCTGTATAACAATGTCTATTATCTCTTTTCCACTCTAAAGAATTATGTACATTTCAATTTCTTATCACTTCCATTCTCTCATACTGAAATGGGAAAAAATGATCTCCCTTTTTACTTCACTGATAAGCTCACAAAGTCCTCCTGCCTTATACTCCCAATTTCCTGTAAAGATTTTTATAACCTGGATCTTTCATTTTAAAACCCCTTTTTGGGGGGAGTGGGGACAGAATCCCTTTCTTAAAACACTGAAGAATGAGTCACAGGAACTATCTTGAGGGCCAACTTCAGTAGACTGCATCATGCGGTTTCAAAATATGTCTGCTTCAATCAAAACCTACTGACAGTGAGTCAAATGCGCATTTTCTGATTCCCTTCCCTTAGGATAACTTACTTCTCACAAGGCCCCTTGATTGTTCATGCACATAAACTCTGATGGATCCATTTCAACAATTTTCAAAACGTAGACAAGTCTGAATCCACAGAATTGCAGACTTTCATCTCTCAAGCTTTGATTTCCGTTGAACCATTTTGGTATTAACTCTTCATGGCATAAACTAACTATATGTGTCTTTGAGCAGCCAGAAGACCTGTCACGAGAACTAAAGCTGTCAATTACCTACTGCCCATCTTCAAGCCTGAATACTGGTTTTCTTATGTATTTCTAGACTTTGTATTTTGTCAGCCTACTCTGTTCACTCCATGCTAAAACTCACAGATACCAACTGCTGCCTATAATCAAATGCTCTTCACTGGTCTCATGGTAGCTGTTTTCAGAGCCATACTGGAGGTCTAAAGTCTTCTGTGTCAACTTCTAATTTGATGAACATGCACCTTGTATTTACCTGAATTATTTTTAAAAATATAAAAATTCTTTGAACACAAATTAAAGTTTTTGATTCCTCAAGTCACAAAATAAATGCATAAATATATCAAAACATAATGCATACATAATATGTGGCTTATTTTGAAGTTGTCTGAAGGTAAAATAAGAAAAATCTATCTACACTTGAAGAAACAGTTCATAAAGACTACAGATATTATATAATAAATGTCTTTAAAAGAAATCAAGATCTAAAAAATACAGAGAGAGTTTCCTTCACAAATTTGCAAAACTGTGATAAGGTTTAGAATAGCTTATTTAAGATTCACCAAGGTTTCATCAGAGCTGTTATGAGATTTTTTAAAATTATTTCCATAAATTCTAGATTTATGTGTTATATATCTAGGAACATAATTTATACTGTCTATAAGAAAATCTACTGAAACACTCCTAGCCTACTATTTCTGGAAATTAACTTCAGGATGTTAGAATGTCTGGATAATATTTCCTCTTCCTTTCCCCATTCCTACCACAGAATTGCTTATTATCTTATGGGAGCCAAAATAATTTGGTATTATTTACAAAAGGGAGGTGGGACTGATATTTAACTTCTTGCCCCTCCTCCAGTTAGATCAATGCAGCCAGAAACTCTTATGGTAAAAGTGGCAGTTTCCATATGGTAATGGGAACAGTCCACTCAATTTAGATTCAAATGTACTGGTCATTTATTGTGAGCTGAGTATTGGGTAAGCACTTTTACATAAAGTGTGGTTTGCAACCCTGAGAGAAACCCAGCTAGGTAGGGCTCATGCTCCCTTTTCAGATGAGGTCACCCAGCTGGTGACTGTATTTGAAACTCAATGTCCTTGACAGTCTATGTAGCTCTGCTTTAGAGGGAACAGCCTGGATGGCAGGTAATAAACTGCATGAGGACCTCATTAGGAGGCTCTGTGCTTAACCTTAAAAGGTCACTTTAGATCTCCAGTACATTAGGCAGTTTCTTGGCTGGACACCTCCTTCACATATATTTTCCATTTTCTTTAGGTATTCACTGTCTTACTATCTCATCTTCTGGGAAGAGAGCAGGAATATCATTTCCAAAGTTGTGTTATTGCAGGAAGGAGTATGAAGATAATATGCAGAAATGAATGTCGATTTTTTTCCTGGAAAAAAATTTTTTTATAGCATAAGGCTAACGTCCTTTCAGTGAGTGAGCATTTATAGATGGCTTGGAGGAAACAGGAGAGATAATTGAGTCAGTATAGAGATTAGGTAGTACAGCATTTTCATTCTTCCTAGGAGAAAAACAAAGCTCAAAGAAAGGTAATGAATTCCTTAAAGTACTGTAGCTAGATAATGATGGTACAAGGACACACACCCGGGGCTCCTAACTCCTTGTCAACACTTTTTCTTAAGTTTATTACCCTAATACTGCTCTTTCTATAAGTGGATCCTATAAGTACACTGGCTCTTTCTTTTATTTGGAACTGTACATCTATATATTCAGGCCATTATTTATCAAAGCCATTACAGAGACAAAAGACAGATTTGATAACAAATTACTGGACAGGCTATTTTCTCTAATCACATTTGGAGGAAAATTAAACAGTAGCTAAAAAAGGAGATTAGAGGAAACCAAACAGCACTATCCAATTCTCTATATAGGACAAATCTGGATTTTTTTTTGGCATAAACATCAGCATTAATTGGTCAAAATTCTAAGTTCACTTTTTGTACCAGCTACAACACAATAGCTGTGGGATTGCTATCCAGGTGACACTGTCCTTTCCAATCTAGTTATTCTCTGGGCTTGAGCTTAAAGCTTTCATCCCTAGAGAATTGAAAGCTGATTGCACATTATATTACATAAGCGTTGGAGACACACTGAACCCTTTCTCCACCATCAAAAGGAACAGGCCACCAGAAGGCTTTGAGCAGCCTTGGCAAGTAGTTAAGCTTTATGTGAGGCTGAGTATAATGAGTAATTCCACTCCTGTGCAAGAAGAGATTTGTACTTCTCTAAGCAAATTGGCTTGAAAGAAACCACGGTGGTGTCCTCTAATAGGGCACATGATTTATTCTGCAGCAATTCTACATCTGTCACTGTGCTTTCTGAGTAGAAGTTTTTTTCTAAATACTGGTAAAACAAATCCTTAGAAAACCACCCTTGGTATTTGGGAAAGATGCTTGAAGAGCCATCTTTCCGTTTTCCAACCTTCAATGTAGGGTTATTCTAGGGCACATTTATTGGCGTACAAAATAGTTCTTTTTTTTTTCTTAGAATATTGTGGGGCAAAGCCTACTATGCATTAGATGCTTCAGATGTGACAGGCAACAAGACATTTTCTCCGATCTCAGGGACCTCTTTATGGAAAAAAGAAAATACAAATATAAGTCTTTCTTTTATCCAATTACACCCTGTCAGTAGTTGACTGATCTGAGATTTGAACTCAAGCTGAGTTTGATTCCAGAGCCCAAATGCTTAACTACTATGCCATCCTGCTTTTAAATGACATATGTCGGGACTTCACCTTGCTCTTTAAGTCTTTCTAGATCTTTTATGAACTATAAATAAAAAATTATTTGAAAAGAAAAGCTAGCATTCTCTGGATGCTCTTGTTTTATTTTTTATTATTCATGAACATTTAAAAACACATATCCTATATTTGCCTAGAGGCAATGAAAACACAAAGGATACAATGTTTTAAATTTTAGTTAAACTCTTTATATTATCTGCTTGTGCACACAGGAGTTGTGAAAGGGGCTATGGGGGCAGGTACAATCATGGGCAAGGCTTTATTCTAGGCTACTCTGGATACGAGCATGCAGTGTGTCCACTCACATTTGCTGTTTTAGACATCCCACAATTAATAGCTTAGAACCACTAATCAACAGGTGATTAGGTCAAAACTGAAGTGTGATATGTTTGAAGTTAATTTTCACTTAAATGGAAAATTGCATAACATCCGAAAGAAGCCAAAAGGAAACACTTATCACTTCACCCTTTCAAAAGGCTTTAAGCTATTATTTAATTTCCACCAAATCACTTTGAGGCTCAGAATTTTCATCTCTGTTTCACAGATAAGAAGGAGAAGAAACTATGGGAGGTTCAACATCTGGCCCTAGGCCATGTAACAAATCAATATCAGAGTAGAGATCAGAACTCTGCAAAACTTGGGTACTTTTGATTTTTCTACTTTGAAGACAATGCATCTTGAAAATTGACCCAGTCTTTGAAAAGCAAGGCTCCTTAGTAAAGTCCTTGTGTTCTTTGTAAGTCAAAAATCTTCTGACTTTTAGTTCAGGCTATTTGGAAACTCCTTACTCTCCAGAAAGCATTGAGGAAAAAAATGTATCAAAAAATAATGGTGGCAATTGAAGTGACACAAAGCCCCAAGCTTTTGGATTTAGTTCTCAACCCTGCCTGTCTAGCATCCTCAAAATGAATTTATCCCTTTATTTGGCAAAGTGTATGTCTTAGATTGCCCCAGTAGTATTGTGCCATACTTCTAATTGACTTTTGAGAATAATCTAGGCAGGTTCAACTTCTTTTTTTCAATCCCTTCTTCCAGGGTACAAAAATCAGCAAATTAATTCATTCTGAGGAAGGAGTAATTTCTTCCATTTTTCTAACACAGCCATTCTGACACAGGGGTAAGCAAAAGTGACTAACAACTAACATAACTTTAATCATGAATATGCAAGTGGTGACCTAATTCCCTTTCTCCTCCTTGCAGAGACATTGATGCTCCTCTCAACCTCATTTGTACCAAATTGCAGATGATGTGTATACAACCCCATCGTTTGACACACATACACATTTTGAGTACCTGGGAAACAAAAGGTCACTAAGGCCAATTAGAGCAGGAAAAAAACTGCTCATAAACCACCAGGGGGTTCATAAGATAGGGGATAGGGTGGAGAGGCAGGGAAGGAAAGGCAGACAGAAGCAGCAAGGGAAATAATAGCTACAGAGTATCCACTGGCACCTAGAGTGATTATCCAAGGGGAGGGAAGTCTTTCTAGTTACTTCTCTTCTTGTGTCTGCTGCCTATTATGCTCCACTCCATCCTTAAATGACAATTCTACTTGATTCCTTGAATTGGACAAATTAATATAAAATATTTCTTCAGTTTCTTTGTGGCTATGTAACCAGGTTTGAAATTTTCCTATAGAATATTTGTATTCTTTTTCCTCCTTGGGAAAAAAGTCAAATATCATACTATTTATATACACTAGTTATCTATTGTGCTGAGACCACTTACCCCCAAATTTACTTGCTTAAAATAGCACATGCTTATCATCTCATCATGTTATGGGAGCACAGCTTATCTGGGTCCTTTGTTTTAGGATCTCTCACCAGGCTGCAAACAAGATTTTGGCTAGGGTTATCGTCTCATCTGAAGGCTCAACTGTAGAGATATCAGCTTCCAAGCTCACTCATTTTTGTTCCTTGAGAGCTGGTGGCCTGAGAACCTCAGTTCTTCACTGGTTGTTGCCATTCAAAATTTATTGCCACATGAGCCTCTTCAGCTTGCTTTATCAGAGAAAACATGTGAGAAGGCCAGAGAGAGAGAGAGAGAGAGAGAGAGAGAGAGAGAGAGTATGTATACAAATAAGATAAAAGCTTAACATCCTTTGTAGTCTTATTATCATGAAAGTGACATTTTATCCCTTCTTTGGTACTTAAGGGAATGGATTACAGAAAGCCTTACATAATATCAGGATGTGGGAGTCATTAGAGCCAGGTCAGAAACTGCCTACCACAGCATGTTTAGGTTTTAAATAGCAAGTATATTTTTTTTTCTTAAAATGTATTATAAGTCTGAAAATAACTGTGTTAGACAACAGAATTGTGTCAGAGAAGGTTTTGAATTTCTATAGTTAGTAAAATTATCTCTTCCTACTTGTGATAGTTAATTCCATGTGTCAACTTGACTGGGCTAAGGGATGCCCAGACAACTAGTTAGACATTATTTCTGGGTGTGTCTATGAGGGTGTTTCCAGATAAGATTAGATTTGAATCTGTAGACTGAGTAAAGAAAATCACTCTCACCAATGTGGGTAGACATCATTGAGATTCAATTGCTGAGAGCCAGAAAAAAAAAGTGGAGGAAGGGCAAATTATCTGTCTCTTCTTGAGCTGGGACATTCATCCTCTCCTGCTCTTGGACATCAGTTCTGCTGGTTCTTGGGTCGTGGGACTTGGACTAGGACTCACACCATAGACTCCCATGGTTCTCAGGCTTTTGGGCCTGGGCTAGCACCAACAGGTTCCTTAGGTCTCCAGCTTGCAGATGGCAGATCATGGAACTTTTCAGCCTCCATAATTTTGTCAGAATTCTTCACGATATATCTCTTTGTTTTTATCTTTATATATTCTATTTGTTCTGTTTCTCTGGAGAATTGTGATTATTATGCAAATTAGAGGAGATGAGCCAATAGAACATATATTCTTCCCCCAACTCCTTGTCAGTATCTTAGGGTGACATACACCAGAAATTGTTAAAGCCTCACTTCTGACATATTAATTCTTATGAGGAAGGATCAGTGAAGAGTTGTGCCAGTTTTTGATGATCAGAAGTGTAAGCATGTGTGAGGTGGAGGTAGGAGTTCTGTGAGAGGTAACCAGGGAGTACTGCAGGAAGGCCAAGCCCTGACAGTAGTCATTACCACTCTGCTTTGAATTCAACCTCCCACAATACGCCTCATACAAACAGACAAAGTAATCAATAGGGTCCCAGTACATTTGTTGTCATTTCACATAAAGCTGGCCATGATTAACCTGAGGATAATGTTCATTTTGAATCTCCCACCTAATAATCAGGGTAAAAAAGAAAGGAATTGGTGATTTTATTATATATTTGCCTATTGCATCTAATAAATAGTCTCTGGATCCCTTTTCAAGGCATGTGATAATAATATTTAGTTCAGTTTAACCGCAAGGACAGATAAAGAAGGATTTAGAAAGGCTAGTTCTTAATTTCTCAAATAAGATTGGAAGCCATTTTGTAACAACAGAACACGTATCTTCATGCCAAATTTCAAAAATGAGGAAAAGCAGAGCAAAGAAACATAGGGAGCTTTCAGAAACAGGCTCTACGTTATTGCCTAGACAAGTTCAACTAGAGGTCCTTATGTCATTTTATTAATTAGCATGTGTTTGTATATGATGAGTGGACTATTCATACTTTAAGTACTTAATGAAAAATAGATCAGCTTCTATTCTTCAAGAGTTTATGGGAAACAAAAACATCCATGCTGATTCATCCAGTAAATATATATTTATTGAGAGCTGATTTTATACTACTGATTTGTGCTAATTGTTGGATAAAATAATAAAATACATTAAGAAATTTCCTCCTTTCTGGAGCATATATAAATGTCAGGGAAATAGATAATAAACAAATAAATACTTAAAACAATTACAGATTGTGATAAAATGCAAAAAAGAAAATCTGTGGTATGTTAGAGAATGAAAACTAATAGCTAATTAGTCACAAATAACTCCTCTAAAGGGGTGAATTTGGGCTGAACTTGGAAAGAAAAGTCATGTGAAAGCTATGGGAATGGTATTTTATGGAGATGGTTTAGCAAAGGTAAAGACTTTATAGACAACACTTGACTTGTTCTAGAAACAGAAAGAAAGTCAGTGTGCTGTTAGCACCAATAATTAGAGGGAGGAGTAGAGGCTGGAGACGGTTTTCATGTGTATTATAGTCATGGTAAGACTTTGAGTTTTATTCCAAGTACAATGAAAAGCCATGAAAAGTTTTTAACTGAGGGAAAGGGCATCTCATATACATTTTAAAAGTACCACTCCATTGTTTGTGTAGAGAATGGATTAAATGTAGGCAGAACTAGGGTGACTGCATAGCAGCTTATTGAAAATATCCAGAAAAGAGATCGTGGTGGCCATGGAATGAGAAGGGACAAATCCAAAATATGTTTGCAAGTAGGGACTTCCTGGTGGTTTGAATGATGTAAAAGGAAAAATCAGAAAATGTTTCCCAGGTGTCATGCTTCAGTCCCTGGGTATATGATGGTATCATTCATTGAGGTGGAGGTATGCATATGGTGGAGACAGAGAGGAGGCAATTAGGAGTTCAGATATGTTAATAATTTGAAAACACATCACATACTGCATGAAACCATAAAAATACAATAATTGAAATGTCTTCAGTTGTAGAGATGATACATATTGCCTAACTAGAAAAGTTTAATTTGATACAGTTTCTGAAAGAGGTGGTACATAAGTTATAGTTGAAAGGAGAGGTATGCCTCATGAACAACAGGAGGAGCAGCAACATACATTCCTTGTATAGGACAATCTAATACTTGTATTTAAATTAGTTCAGTTCATTGGACAAGAAAGCAGTTGCTAAGGAAGTGAACTGCTCCATTCTGGGGGTGTGAATACCTTTGTAACAGTCAGTTCCTGGATGGAATTTTCTCCCTGAGATGATTCTAAGAAGAACATTGCTCGGCACTGAACTACTCCTTGCCACAACTTGTACAAACTGTCTGAATGAATTAAGTGGTGGAGTTTGTATTTTGGCAAAGTGGAAAACATGAATCCCACTGGGTTGGGTGCCCTGTGGAGAGCATCAAGGATAGGAGAGGCAGACAAGCCATGAAACTGGATGACAGGGACAATTGACTATGCTTTATGGTGTTCTACCTGATTCCTGGGGCTGTCAGTCAATGATCAGCAGAGGGAGCTGAGTCTTCCCAAGGCTAAAACCCTTTTCTGGCAATAAATTAGAGATTCAGGGGAGCACATTCACTCTTCAGACTAGGAGATGGCTCTTTAGTGAATGAAGAACTCAAGATGGGTTAATGAAGTGCATGTCTCTCTCAGACAGTGAGGGCACTTAGGTATATGGATGGCTGTTACTGAGTTGCCAGGTGTATTCAGCTCTAGAAATGAGTCCCTAAGGACTAGGTCTTTGTATTGTAGTCTCAGTCTTCCTTCAGAAAACAAACAACAAACAAGCAAACATAGCATATCTATTTCTGTTTATAATAAAAATAGTAGTGTACTTAACATTAAAAATAAGGATTCTCCTTTCCTTTTACCAAAGGGCCAGTAAAATACTGAATCACCACACAGCAATGGCCAAGAGAGAATACCCTCCAGCGCATTGGTTCCAGAGCTGGGAATGTATCCCAGACTCTTACTTCTCCCATAAATTTTTCCTTCCCCTTCCTTTCTACGTTACTGCCATATCCACTTCCTTTTCCTTCTTCATTTCAACTAGCAAATCATAAGTGGATACCACATGTATAATGTTAGGACTCATATACCAATATGCAAAGAAGAGATCATTTGTGTGTTTTCTGGCACTTCTGAAGTAAGGTTATTTTAACTCTTAATAGAACCTTTAGAAACATAATAAACAAAATGTCCTGGGTGCCACCAAGATCCAGGGATAACATACCTTTATATCAAATTTTCTTCAGCTATGAGGCTTACTTCTTTAAAGTAATATGCCTTATAATGAAACTTAATGATTTTTTAACAATATTATTTATTATTATTAAAAATCTAATAGTTTACCTTCGCATGTTTCCCTGCAAGGGAAAGAGTCATTCAGGATGAGGACAGCCTAGGCAGTGGTTCTCAAACACCAGCATGCATCCAAATTACCAAGAGAGCTTGTTAAAACATATTGCCCCACCCAACTTTCAGAATTTTGGATTTAGTAGGTCTGGGGTGCAGTCAGAAAATTTGTATTTCTGACAAGCTCACAGGTGATTCTAATGCTGCTGGTCAGGAAACACACTGGAAGAACTCTTGTTCTAGAGTTTTGCTTTTCCAAATGCATTACCCAGAATATCAGGCCCCACCCCAGACTTACTGAATCTGAATCTGCATTTTTAGCAAGATCCCAAATTGATCCTTTTAAATAAAAATTTTATTAAGATATAATTCACATGTCAAACAAGCTACCCATTCAAAGCGTACGATTCATTGGTTTTTAGTATATTTACAGAAGTGTGCAACCACCACCACTATCTAATTTTAGAATACTTTCATTCCTCCCAAAAGAAACTCTGTACCCATCAGCAGTCAGACACCATTCTCCTGTCTTCTTAGTCCTTAGAAACCACAAATCCACTTTCTGTTTCTATGGATTTGCCTGTTTTGGACATTTCACAGAAATGAAATCATACAATATGGGAGCTTTTGTGACTGGCTCTTTCACTTAGCCAAATGTTTAAAAGGTTTACCCATGTTGCAACGTGTATCAGTGCTTCATTTCTTTTTATGCCTAAAAAATACTGCATTGAATGAATAGATCACATTTGTTCATCTTTTTGTCAGTTGATGGACAGTGGATTGTTTTCACCTTTCAGTTGTTGTGAATAATGCTGCTGTGAACATGTGTACACTGGCTTTTGTGTGGACATATATTTTTAATTCTCTTGTTTATAGCTAGGAACATGTTCACTGGGTCCTATGATGCTTCTGTGTTTAACCTTTTGAGGATCTCTCAAACTATTTTCCAAAGTGGATGTACTAGTTAACAATCCCACTAGCAACCTATAAGGGTTCCAGTTTCTTCACATCCTTGCCAATAGTTATTATTACCAATCTTTTTTATTTTAGTCATCCCCAGTGCATGTGAAGTGGTATGTCATTTTTGTTTTAATTTACATTTCCCTAAAGACTAATGATACTGAGCATCTTTTCAGGTATTTTCTGCCCATTTGTTTGCATTCTTTGGAGAAATGTCTGTTCAAATGCCAAGTCATTCTCATGCACATTAACATTTGAGGATTGCTGGCCTAGGTGAGGTTTCAGACTACACAGTCACATATATCTAGGACAGTGGCTGTCAACTGGGAGTGACTTTGCCTCTGAGGGGACATTTGGCAATGTCAGGAGACACTTTTGGTTGTCTCAACTGGGGGAGTCCTACTGGCATCTAGTGCGTAGAGGCCAAGGATGCTACTAAACTTTTTACAACACACAGGGCAGCCCTTCATAACAAATAATTATCCAGACCACTAATGACATTAAAAAACCCTCATCTAGAGGGGCCGACCATCCTGTTTTCCAGTAATGTAGATGTTGCTCTTTCATAGGACTTTCAGTGCTAAAAAGGAGGCCATCTCTGGCAAACTGGGATGGCTAGATTACCCAACCTCACAGGGCTTTGTGCGTTCCAGGTGGGCCATTTCTAACACTCACGGTTGAAAGACAGAGACAGTTCATAGTGTGTAATAAATGCCAAGGAGCTGGAAAAGCAGCTTCACAGGGACTCCCCCACACTTATCTCTAGAGCTTTGGGGTAATTCCAGCCAGCCAGGGTCCCACAAGAAATCCAGGCTTCTTTGCAGCCTTCTGCCTCCGCGTCTCCATGCACTGTAAGCCAGACCCTGCTGCTAGGGGTTACCGACTTTGCAAGAATGAGTGACTGCTGCCCAGCATCTGAGGTTTGCTGCTGCCTTTGACCCTCTCCTCTTTTTTAAAAAACGGGCATAACAATAGGAACAATACAGCACGGGTGGCTGATTGGAGTCCAGGGACAAAGGCACAGAAACCATCATAGCCTCTCTAGTTGGAGAGTGGTGGAATCACAGCCTGTCAGAAACAGAAAAGACCCTGGAAAGCGTGACCACCCCCTCATTTTATGGAGCTTGCGTGGTTCAGCGCTGGAACAAAGAGCAGCGCGTTAGATTCATTACCACTTAGGGGTCATGTGAGAATAATGGCCTTTTAATTGCCAGGATGAAAAAGAAAGTGAAACGCTTCCCTTTTAAAATCCTAGACACCCCACTGGGAAAGGTCCAGTCATATTCAGAGAAGGAAGTGCTCCTGACCTAGCTCGGCTGGTGAAATAGTGACACACGGTTATGTTATGAAGCAGAGCAGAGGTACTCAAACCTGAGAGAGCGTCAGAACTGCCTGCAGGGCTTGGTCAAACGCAGAGGCACCTCCAAGGTTTATGATTTGATAGTTGTAGGGTGAAACCTGAGAACTGCATTTCTAACAAGTTTCCACTGCTGGACTGGAGTGAGAGACTGTGGCTTTCCTGATCCTTGCTACTCAAAATGTGGTGCGTGGGCCAGCAGAATCGGCAGCACCTGGGAGCTGTGAGGAATGCAGGATCTCAGGCCTTGTGTCAGGCTGGCTCAGAAGGAATCTGAATTTTGACAAGATTTCCAGTTGAATTGTGTGCAACTTACAGTTTGAGAAGTTCTTCTTAAGAATATACAAATAAATCTATCTATCTACATATATATATCTCTAATTTTTTTTTTTTTTGAGACAGTTTCACTCTTGTTGCCTAGGCTGGAGTGCAATGGCACAGTCATGGCTCATTGCAACCACTGCCTCCCGGTTTCAACTGATTCTCCTGCCTCAGCCTCCCAAGTAACTGGGATTACAGGCACACACCACCATACCCGGCTAATTTTTGTATTTTTGGTAGAGACAGGTTTTCACTATGTTGGGCAGGCTACTCTCAAACTCCTGACCTCAGGTGATCTGCCCACCTCAGCCTCCTAAAGTGCTGGGATTACAGGTGTGAGCCATTGCACCCAGCCCTCCTTAAGAATATTTAATTGGGCCGGGCATGGTGGCTCACGCCTGTAATCCCAGCACTTTGGGAGGCCGAGGAGGGTGGATCACAAGGTCAGGAGATTGAAACCATCCTGGCTAAAACGGTGACACCCCATCTCTACTAAAAATACAAAAAATTAGCCAGGCCTGGTGGCGGGTGCCTGTAGTCCCAGATACTCGGGAGGCTGAGGCAGGATAATGGCGTGAACCCAGGAGGGGAAGCTTGCAGTGAGCCGAGACTGCGCCACTGCACTGCAGCCTGGGTGAGAGAGCAAGACTCTGCCTCAAAAAAAAAAAAGAATATTTAATCAAGGTACCCCTGCTGTTACCGATTCTTTAAACCAGAGCTGACTACACATTAGAACCTCATGAGGAGATTTTGAAAATCTGCCCAGAACAGACCCCAGACCAATGAAATCAGAATCTCTAGGTGTGGGATCAGTGTTTTTAAAGTCTCCAGGTAATTTCAATGTATGGCTAGATTGTGAACCCCTGCTTTAAACACAACCAGCCTACCCAGCACATTTAGCCAAGCGAAGTCAGCCAAAGTGAGCGATAGCCAGCCACTAGACACACCAGCCCTGGCCTCAAGGGCCTGCTTACCTGCTCCATCTATTGTCTTGTGACTGCCTCCAAATAATTTCCAATCACTTGCTTTGAACTTTAATTCACACCATTTGTCCTCCTCCTGTTTGATGATCCACTAAGGCTTCCTGATGACATCTCCAAGTTCTACCATTTCAGTTCATCGCAGGTAGAAAGTAGCATCATTTTTCATATCCGTGATCAGTGTTGCTCAATCTTGAGATTACGCTAACTGCATCAGAAAAGCCTGTGGTGCTTGTTAAAAATGTAGATTCCTGGTTCTGCCCCAGACCAAACCAGAAGTCTTTTGGGAGTGGTCAGGAACCCGTGTGGTTTTGCAGACACAGGTGATTTTGATGTAAGAGATAGGTAACTACTTATTCAGACTTTCTAGTCCAGCTGCATCCCCTCCCTAAGCTTAGTTGAATTGGTATTAACCTTAGTATCTAAGAAATGTTCTGCTCAAGTACATTAATCATGAAATGAGCATTAGTGATTATGTTCTCAGTTCACTCGGATGAGGCTAGCAGTGATCTATGCTACCCAGGCAAAAGTCAAGGCCTGAGTGAAGACCTCACCTCCGTCACTGCTGCCTACCCTCTCCTGCATACTTGCTGGGTGCTGCCCCAGACGCCAGCTTCTTGCTGCATTTGTTGTCATCAATGAAAGCCAGGCTCATGTGGAAGTGTCATGTTATTTTTCTTATATTTTGTGGGGAAAGGACAGCTTTAGGGCGTGCTGCCTTTTGCAATTGAGTTTTCATCTGAGAGGGATAACCCAGAATCACGAATTTCCCAAGGAATAAGTTAGAGTACCTTTTTCAGGTTTATCTCCTCACACAGCAACTTGAGTGGAGCAAGGTAGCATTTGGGGCCCATTTCTGCAGTGTGGCCTGGGGCTGTGAGATGAATTCACTAAATTTTATTTTCCCTGCATCTAACAGAGGTTTGAAGAAGTGATGGGACACCAAATTGGACACTGAGGACACACCCCAATGCACACAAAACAAGAATATAATGCACGCTCTGCACTCTGAACATTAAGCAGGCCATATGACAACACTTCCTTAACACCACTACTATTCAACAGTGAGGAAAACAAAAGGAATGCAATCTGGGATCTGTGACTTAATGCAGGTATTTTAACCTTGTAGCTTTTAATGCAAACATACTTCTCCCCCACCACCAACCATCTAATGCACCTTTCACTGTTCTCTCCTGGGCCCGGTCTGCCAAGACTCAGACTACCTCCCCACACCTTCATGTCCTGTCTCAGTGATCTGAGATGAGAAGGAAAATACAAGTAGAATGTAGGCACTATGGTTAGTTACAGAATTTGGTTTCATTGAGGGCAGTAGGGATGAAAGAATGGTTATGGTTTTCTGACCTAAGCCTCAAGAAAATTCCAGTATGTGGAGAGATTTCTACTTGGAAAACCTACAGAAACAAATGTGGGGCAGGACTGGAAGAAAGATACCTGCTCCATGTTGGTCTGCCTAGATTCAGACAGCTCTCCTTGCCACCATGCAGGAGAGAACCCAGGAAAGTGGGTGAAGTATTAGCTCAGCACCACTGTCCCTGTTTCTCACTCATCTCCCTTCTGGTCCCCATGTATTCTGGTGCTCACTAGAGGTAGACCCTCCCTTGTTTGATGACCTGACTGGACCTAGGCTGATGATCTTTGTTCCTTTACTCTGCTTTGACATCCTCACCCCTTTTTGAATTTGGCATCACCCAGAGCTCTGGATAGACCTTGCCCCTCCAGCCTCAGCCCTGTGGAACTCTCACACTGGCTGACTCCATTCCTGCAGGACCAGACTCAGCTGGCGTCCATTGGCATTAGGAATAATATTGATCAAGCAAGGGAGCTTGGACTTCATCCTTTGAACTCCAGCTAGATTATCTTTTGTGTTTCCTGTGAACATTTTCATCCTCCGAACATTTACAAGTTCCAAATTCCAATTTTCTGTCTAGAATGTTCTCTTTTTCATTCTATCCACTATTAAGCCTCTCTTATTTTTCTTCTTCTCCTTCTTCCTTTTTTTTTTTTTTTTTTGACAGAGTCTCTCTCTGTTTCCCAGGCTGGAGTGTAGCTGTATGATTATAGCTCACTGCAGCCTTGACTTACTAGGCTCAGGTGATCCTCCTACCTCAGTCTCCCAAGAAGCAGGAACTACAGGAATGCACCACCCTGCAGGAATAATTTTTTTTTTGTATTTTTAGTAGAAATGGGTTTTGCCATGTTGGCCAGGCTGGTCTCGAAATCCTGGGCTCAAATGAGCCACCTGCCTTGGTCTCCCAAAGTGCTGGGATTACAGGTATGAGCTGCTGCGCCAGGCCTTAAACCTCTCTTATTCTTTTAAGAACCACCTCTCTAAAGAACACTGGCTTAATGAAAAATATGTGCTCTTTATTCTATTGCTTGGCTTCTTTAGCAATCATTCATTTTTCAACAAATATTTCATGATCACCTACTATGTGCCAAGTCTTGTGCGAAATTCTGATGAATGAATTGTCATAGCTCTTGCATTTATGGAATTTAAAATGGACATGACTTTTTGGTTTCACAATTTTCTTTCCCGTTGTCTCTTGTAGATGTATTTCTAAATTTTTGTGTTTGTTTTCTCAATCATATTACAAGTTTTCTGGTTACAAGTTTCCTTTGTCCTGGCATCAATTTATGTTTTCTTCTTAGGACAAGAGTTTTTTTTTTTTTTTTTTTTTTTTCCTCAAAGGCATACAGTGAGCTCATCTTTGGCAAATAATTTTCCAGTACAGAGGATTGGAACAAGCCACAAGAATACAAATTTCATCTCATAGCACTGAAACATTTTCATAGGAGAGACTTATTGCCCTAGGCCTGGTGTTTATATGAATATTTTTAAAAACAAGCAAAGCATCAAGAAACAAGAGCATCTAATCAGCTTTCTCTGTTAGGCACAAGCACCCCCAGCAGCACTAATCTTGGAGGGAGTCCTCACCTGAGATCTGACTTGCTGCAACTAAAATTTTTGTCCTAATCCCATGAGTGAATTGTCCATGTGGAGCTCAGGAGTAGTTTGTTTCTGACTTGTCCCTGTTCCCCCCAAAATTTGGTCCACTAGGGACACATTCCTTTTTCCAACCAAAACAATGATTTGAAAGTGTTTCTAGATTTGAAAATACTGTCAAAGTGAGAAGCAAGTGTAAAGTTCTATGAGAACATCAGGCTGAGGGGAGTGAGCTGTGAACAGGGGATGGACTCCAGCCATTGGAACAATCTCCTGAAAGCTGGCTTCATTTCCCTCGCACCACATGCTGGCATCGGCTTCTGTGTAAGCTGCAGCTAAAGCATTTACTCCAGTTGCTATTTGAAAACAACCTCGCTGACAAACAGGGACAGCCCAGGCTGTCTTTATCCAACTTTGCCATTTGTTTGCCATAGACAAATTAGGCTTGGCTAGAGTCCCATTTGAATAGTAATATAATATTCTGTTAAAGATTAAATTGGTCAAAAGAGAGCCTTTGTTATTGGGGAGTAGATGAAAGTACAAAAAACCTTTGAGTGAGTATCAGAGCTGGCCTTTGATAAAATTGAGACAGAGAATAAGTTTCTCTTTGATGCCTTCCTGGCAATACCACAGCCTTCCAAAGTGGAAATAAACTCACAGATCTCTAAAGCTAAAATGGGAATCTAGTGGTGGGGAGGGGTAGTTGATCTTTAAATGTGAAAGTTTCCCAGATTTTACCCTTGTGGTATCTCACTGATCAGCACTTCCAACTTCCTCCCTTTGGTGAGGATGCAGTACTTTCTTTAAGGCTCTAGGCCAATAATGGATAACTAATAACGAAGGAAAGGCTGAATAATTCAAACAACACATCACCAAAAACTAGAAGAAAAAGAAGGAATAACATAAATCTAGATAATTACAAATAACATTGTTAAAATACCCTCTCCATGTAGTTGAAGCATTACATAGTGAAATGTACATAGATTTTGGAGTTAGGTCAACTTGAGTTGGAATCCTGGTTCTGGGTATCTAGCCTTGAATGAGGAAGTTGACTGCTTGGAGTTACCATGTTCTCAGCCATTAAATGATCATGATAACCATACATACTGTACTGTAGTTGTGGTTTATCATAATCGTACTTTGCAAATACTTGTCGTTCCATCCTAGTATTATAAGCCATCTTTGGAGCTTTTGAAGAAATTTATTACCAGAGGGGGGCAAACCAGCCTGTGCTACTGACTAATTTGTATGAGAAGTTTGAGGCTGCTGTTAACAAAATAAAACATGAAAATATGGCATCAGGATCTAATCAAGAAGCTTCCTCATCTCCATGTTGGAAGTCACCTATAATATCTTTCCAGTAGTACTGTAAGATTTCTATGAACCAGTGACTTCTATGTGCCTTATATTTTTTATATTTCCTCATGGGAGATTTTATTGCAGTTATTTTTGCTTTCTGTTCCACAATTGCATATTGAGTATGTGAGGAAAGATAACATCTTATAGTTCACCGGAGGAGCAACATACAGGCCTATGGTGAAAAAAATTTGCATCACCGAAAAGCCTGACTTTTAAGCTAAGAACAATTACTGAATAGGACTTTTGAGTTGCCTCCTCAGGGAAGGAGGTATGTTCTGCCTATGGGTGAGAGAGGGAACTAAATATTTGGTGGCTAAATAGTGCATTGCAGATTGCATTTCTGCTAGCCATATATTCCATTTTTCTACCCTGTCCTTCCTTGCAGGAGGATTATATTTTTCCACCCTACTGAACTTAGAAGTGACTACCTAACTTATTTGGTCAGTGAAATGTGGGCAGGAGTAACACGTGTCATGTCTGACAAGTTTTAAGAGCGAATAGTTTTCTGGGTCTCTTTTTCCTTTGCAATTTTGTATTCAAAAGTGCCCTTTTAGTCTAGATTTCAGGACAAAGGCAATGCACAGCAGAGCCACAGCTGATCTGCATTAGATCTACAGCATGAGCAACAATCAACCTTTGCTGTTGTATGTCACTAACTCTGGGGTCTTTTCCTGCCTCAGTGTTACCTGCATTAGGCTAACTCATAAAGTAGTTGCAATTCTTAAGAATATCAAATAAGAGAATAACATTACCGGTCTCTAAAACAGTGTCTGACACTGTGGGTTCAAGAAATTACATCAGGATAAAGTGGTGAGTATAACTTTTAACTGACCAGGAGGGAGTGTATACCTGGTCATCTGAACTCCTCAAAGTCCAGCTTTAAAGAGGCTCAGTCCACTCTCTTGACTGAATAGGATTCTCCTCACAATTCTAGTTTCCTGTATGGGGACAAGTTGGTCATTAGTGCTGGTAACAACCTCATTCTTCCAGCAATGCTTGGCTTCCTTTCCACCAGGAGCACAAACATGGAAGTCTTTACACGAATGATAAAAAATATAGTAATAAAATACAACAATTTTAATTTACTATTTTAATATGCAAAGACCTGAATAAAATAGTGTACACAATATAATGAAGTCTTTACATAGTAATTTCTTTATACCTTTTTCTGCCTGGAACACACCAGTCTTTCTTTGAACCTTGGGAAGATATGTGGGGATAGATAAGGAATAGCTGCAGATTAATACCTTCCTTAGGCATTTCAATTTTGGGAGGCTTTTATAGCCCCCATAAGCCAAATAAACTCTCCATGCCTTGTGTTCTCCATATATAAAATGGAATTAAAATATTTTCTTTAGAGGAACATGAGTGTTAAGTAAAATAATATATGCAAAAAGGCTAGATGAGTATTTGGCTTATGGTTGGCACTCAGTATAACACAAACACATGGATTTCTAATGGTAAATGTTGGTTGCTCTGGTTGGTTGGTGTGTAATTTTTTGTTGTTTGGTTTTGGAAGTTTCTGCCTTCAACTCAAACCATTAGCTACATTTGCCTGCTCTTAAGGCCAGCGCTTCTAGGTATTTATAACACATTTTCTCTTATGACTGACTGTCTGGGATTCCTCCAGCTAAAATTACCAACCCTAGAAAAATGAGAGCTTGTAAATGATTAGACAATGATAAGAAGCCTTGATGTGTGATATATATCAATTTCAGAAAAATTATTTTCCTTTTGTCCCTCGGGCCTTTGAAGCAAGAACATTTGGACAACCTGCCTGAATTACAGCCTTTTTGGTGTAGTTCAAATGATCATCACTCAGAGAGGCAGAGACCATGACTTATAGGACTAAAACATGGGCTAATAATGTCCCAGGCTTGGAGCTTGAGATTTTTGCTTCTCTCAAGCTCCATGAAGCAGCCTATGCCACTTGTCCTCCTCCGCTTCTGTTTCCTTTGGTGCAAAATCAGACTTTTTACCTCTCATATTTGTTGTTTGAGAAAAATTGTTAAAAATGATATAACACTTTTAGTAAGTAATACTATTAAAGATGTTACTACTGCAAAGAAATAAAGATGACTTGGCTTACTAAATGATGCTAGGTGTAATCTTAAGGCATACGAACATGATTAAAAGATGTCAATTTTAATACCAGCCTCCTGGAACCTCACATACTCTTGTTTTCTTCTTACTGGCCCAGTTTTATTATTGGATTATTATTTAATTATTTTTCTCAGTTCCTTCTCTCAAATAAAACCACATTTGCCCTTGGAGTTTCATTTGAAAACTCTTATTCAGTTTAAATCTGTGTATTTCCTACTGCATAAAATCCACTTTCATGGTTTCCTAATATTCTTGAGTTTTACAAGGATAGTTTCATTTATGGTGAATATTTTATTACTCTGTTTAATTTAGAGTCCTTAGTGTCATTGCAGAATGAATTATAATTTCTAGGAGTTCACTGGGAAAGACTAAGGAAGTCTAGTTAAATTAAATGAACATCGTAAAAGTGATATGATAAAATGATGATAAAATAATAGGCAATATTTATTGACTTCAAACTACATATCAGCACTGAGCTGACTGCATGTTTATTCCTGTTATCTCATTTATTTTCAACAAGAAACTTCTGAGTTAGATACTGCTGCTATTCTCATTTTACAGATGAGGAAACTGAGGTTTTAAGGAATTGTTTGCAATAGTCATAGACCTAAAAACTGGGGAAATCAGGCTCCACAGAAAATTTCAAGATTAAAAAAAAAGTTCACGAGCCCATTATTTTTTGCTTAACAGATCCCATATTGTTACTTTGTTTTAATTGTGTACACAATGAAATATTCTTTGATGTCTTAAAATGTTCATTTTGAAGAATTGGCTAGTTGTTCTAGCTTGATAGTCTATTGTAGGTAGAATAAATAAACAAGGAGACATGGAGTGACCTGAATAAATGTAGCCTGCAACAATGAGGTGCCTCCAGCTGGAAAGGAAATCACAGGAAGTTTGTTTACTGAAATCAGCCCTTGCCCTTTTCCTAGCCCCTTCCCAGCTGGTTGATCCTGCCCTCTGCAATCAGCTCCTCTTCTCACTGGGATCATTGAGAGGCTGGATCTCTCATTCGCTCACACTCAAATAACTAGCAGGCTTGGAGATAGTCTTGATTCTAAACTACCCAAGGATTAGTGTAATGTCTATTGGGACTGTTAATATTTGCTGAAAGTCCCTATAGAGGTACAGCTATCTACTGACCCATTTAAAAACAGATTTATTGGATATGTTTTTTTTCAACAGCCTCATGGCTGTCATTTCTTGGGGTGTACCTACTGTACGCTGAGGCATGCTTTACACAGATCCTGTAAACTTCATTTGCCCAAAGCTTGCCTGTTTCTTTTTTTTGTTATTTTGTTTTTTACATGTTTCTGTCTCAATATTGTACTTTCTCAAATGTATCTACCACCTCCACCTTCATTTTCCAGTCAGCGGCCCCAGGACAGAAGTTCCTTGATCTGAACTTGATCTGTAATTGCCCTTTTCATCCTGTCAAGCACTTTCTGTTCCCAGTGACTACTAGATGTTCCAGCTTACTTTCTGCTTATTCTCGTCTTTGTTCCAAGTGTGAAGCATTAGAAGAAAAATACCTACAGGTGAGTGGAGCCTTACTGAGCATATAGCAGAAAGTCACCATTTAAAACAATGAAGGTAATTAACTGCTGCTGCTTTCACATTCTAAAGAACTACAGAATTCACACCAAGAAGGAAACTGCTCCTTGATTGAGGAAAATATTGAAAACATGGATCAAGGAACACAAAGGGAGCTAAACTGTTCTGCATTAAAAAAAAAATGAAGAGACTGACTTAAAATGAAATGGTCCTTGGTGTTTTGAAGACAGAATAAAAAGATCTGCCTTAAGGAAACCTTATATATTATAAAAAGCAAAGACATTAAGGAGTTTTGGTAAGTTTTGAGAAAGGGAGCCCCAGAAAGGCAGGGCATTAGAAAAGTGACAGGATGAGGCTGATGGAATTTAAGACAAATGATGTCAGATGTAGAACTGTCCTATTCTGTATTTTCCCTTCATTTTCCTCTCAAGTATCTAGTAAAGGTTTATTACTCCACAAAATTATCTGTTCCTTTAGGAATTTAAAAAGGATTTCATTTTTGAAGACACAGAGCAATGAATTCTAGAACAGGTTCCATTTGGAGACCTGGTAAAAAGATGACAGAAAATGAATAAAAATACCCTAGAAGCCGGACCTCAGAGTATGAACGGAAGATGACAACCAGGAGTGTAAGATGCCCTGGATATTATGAAAAAATTTGAAAAAGAGACTCAATTCCCTGAAGTCAGATGGAGGATTGAGTACAGTTATTATTTTTTTTTTAATATTAAAGAAAGAACGTTCCTAGAGACTGGAAGATTCAGGGTCAGTTGGTTTCATAGATCACAGAATCTTTTAGAGAATGGAAAGAAAAATAAATTCATATACAGTTTAGATAAATACATGAATAGAGTAGATTCATTTGAAGAATGTCAATCAGAAGTTAATAAAGCTTATTAAAAGTTATTAAAATGCATTGAAAGAAATTAATGAGTTTTTTTAGTAACATATTACAAGCCTTTGAAGAGAAATCACACACACACACATGCACACACAAAACCAACAACCTCCCATCAATACCACTGCTGAGAACCAACTTCTGATAGGATGATACTACCAGAACGAGGTGCAGGAATTCTACATTCCTGTGAAATTTTATACAGAGCAATAAATAGTTACCACCCACCATTATTCTCTTTAATAACAATGTTTATTTCTTTTACTGCCCTTTTCATGATATGACATTGTGTTGTTCATTTGCTTATAGCAGGTGTTATTGCAACCTGTCCTCAGAATTATCTATATCTTCATTTCATGTTAAAAAAAAAAGACATGACTGTGCTTTTCTTGGAAGGCAATGGGTTGTGAGAGAGGTTTGCAAAATAAACATCACCCTTTACATTGTGGAGGAGAAAGTGTACATCACATGCAGCTAAATGAAAACTTACATTACACCACTTCATATGAATCTTCTTAATATTTAATCTAATAAGCAATCAGTAACATTTTATCTCTTAAGGGCAGAATCTTGTCTATTTATCTCACTGCTATATCTCTGGGGAACAGAACAGTGCCTGGTAGATAGCACTTGTTCTATAAAATTTTATTGACCTGAATGAATGAAGTTGGAAAATTACAGAAGATATAGACCTTAAGAGATTTGTTATTTAATGAAATAAAAGGATAAAGTAACGTTACAGGTAACAGAACGTGAAAATAATTGTACCACACTCTACATGATGCAAAGATCCATAAGCTGGCATCAAGCCTGATAATGCAATGGTTTATTCACTGAGTATATATTTTCTCTAATGCATGTCTAATGAATTAAAATGCTGCTTGTTCCTAGTCATCTGTGCCATCTGGCACTACAATTTTTTAAAAATAGAGATGTATGGATTAGGCTTTGGCTATTATAACTGGAGCATATTAAGAGACTACTCAGAAATAACGAGAATTTTTGAAAAAATCAGAATGTAACCATATAAATTGTTACTCCATCAAAGCATGCCCTACACAAATAATGTTACCATTGTTTAAATATTTTGAACATCTCTCTTTGAACTGCCTTTAGAATTAGGTAAATAGTCATGTTGAAAATTCCTCTTCAGTATCTGCATCCTATGTTTTTGTCCCCAAGCATCACAACTCAGTTTGATAATCCATCATATTTACTCAAATAAGTACCAAAGACTTTGTTTGTGACACACCCAAAGAGTTGCTGTATCTTGAGGCTGTTCCATAGAGTCTACAATATTTTATGAATATATTTCACAAAATGTTTCAGGGAATGGTGGTCTTATTGGATACATTTGTTTACACTGAAAGCCTTAACATGCACTTAAAGTTTTAGTTTTACTATGTAGTTAAGCCACCAATCCTACAACTTTTATATACATAACTTACAGCCGGTCCACAAAATCAAAAAGCCTACTCATTAGTGTTTTCTGTGCTAACATGCCTGTTGTCAGTCCACGGATGTGTTATTCATTTGATAGAAACCTACCCTTTTGATTAGAAGCTATAAACATATGATGAAGACTATCAAAAAAGATAAACATCTTTATTCTTTATTTTCTTAGCAATATTAGTGTGTTAGGTTTTCAGAATACAATACTCTGTAGATGAGGTAAGATTTCATAAAGAATATAATTACGCAAGCAAATCCTTTCGTATAAGAGCATATGCATTCTTGATTGCTGTGGTTTGAATGTGGCCCATCCAAAACTCAGGTGTTGTGAAATGTGACAGCATTAAAAGGTGGGGCCTTTTAAGAAGTGATTAGGCCATGAGGGCTTCTCCCTTGTGAATGGGATTATGACCCTTTTAAAAGCAGCTTTATGCAGTTTGCCTAACTTGCCCTTCTGCCTTCCATCAGATGAGGACATAGCATTTCCACCCTCTAGAGAATGAAGCCCTTACCAGACAACTGAACCTGACAGTACTATAATCTTGGACTCCCAGCCTCCAAATATGTAAGAAAATAAATTTCTGTCCTTTATATATTATCCAGTCTGAGGTATTTTCTTATAGCAGCACAAATGGACTAAAATAATGATGATGGAACCCTTGAATTTTCTATTGCAAGAAGACCCAACAGTTAATGTGTGTGTGCACACATGTCCATGCAGGAACCGGTCTTCTGTGACTCCCTACTGGTTAAATAGCCTTTGGGGCCTTTGAATCATCCACTGCTAATCATCCACTCTTAGCCAGGTTAACTTACAGTTTCATTTAAAAATTTTCTTTCATGTTTGACCTTAGAGTGAAGGCAGTGGCAACAGGATTTTTTATTGCCTTTACACACACATACACACTGATGATAAAGGTATATTTTTCTTTTTCCCCTCTGTCTAACAGCCCAAACCTTGGCAAGATAAACAAGATTTTATTTTACTACCAGCTGCCCATTGTGTTAAGGCAAGAGGTTCTCATTCTGTCTGGATACTGACTTGCTTGCATTTATACAGTTCACATTTCACTAAAGCTGACCAATTCATCCATCCATTTCCATTTCTAAAAAATTATACCTACATTAAATAAATAAAAATATGCTTACCACTAGACATGCCTAATTAGGACATCCATGAACCTTAATTCTATTTGTTTTCAAATTATTCGTTTTATATCTTTTGACCCACTCGTTGTCATGGATCAGAAGCTTAAAGAACTACCCTCCTGCTTGTAGTAGTTAGATATCGTCCCTAGAGCTGAGTATCTAGGGTTGGAGTTTGATCTAATGACCCCTTTCTATCTGATACTTGGCCTCCAGAAATGTTGCTCAGAACAAATGACTCACTTATTCAGATATTCTTTTAGGTTCCTGCATATCTGACTAGGTAAGATATAACAAATAGTATAGAGGTATAAGGTAGCTTTTGTTATTGTTTATTAACCACTAACGGTGTGCCCATTACATAAAAGGCCCAAACTATATTTCACTTCACTGAAAGATGCATCATGATCAAGAATGTGAAGTTGACAATCCTGCTCTGCTATGTACTGGTCTGTTCAATTATGGGCCTCATACTTGAAAAAGAATATTTTTCTGGAAGGGGAAAACTTGAATATGAAGAATAATTCCAGGACATAAGAATGTTTTTTCTGAAGAAAACTCAGAGAGAATGTAATTCTGAATAAACTTATTTTGGACATCTCTAGTAGATAAAACCAGAATATATCGTAGGCATGAGGTTACGGCAAATGACATGCCTAAGCAGGAAAGAACTATGATTCCCAGTTGGTCTCACAATTCTCCCTCTCTGGCTGAACCGGTCCCTCACCGCCCATGATCTAGCATTGGCTTCCTCTCTCTCTTGACCTCCTGGAGTACAATCTTTCCCCATCAGTTCTAACAAGCTAGAGAAACAACTTATTATTTTTTGGACAAATCACAAGCAGTGGAGAGCATTAAAAGATAGGTTTTTTTATTTGTCTTGATTTTTTGTGGGTTTTTTTGGTCAAGGTAAAAGATAAACAAATCAGGATCTGGCAAAGTTTCCAAGTAGGAAAGACAGAGTTCTGAAGAACAATAATAAAGGATATCTTTGTAATTAACAAGCGTCCCGATTAGTCCGCATAAGAGGCAACGAATTCTAAACCAAGTTGATTTAAGCTGGCAGTGTTTCCATACCTGGTGGGAACTTAATTCTGTTTTATCAGCCTTATCTCTAAGTTGAAAGCCATCCCTTTTGCCACAAGCCGTGCTATAATTCTGCAATCTTAAAGCTCACTTCAGTTGAAATAAACAATCTATAAAGTGGGATGTTTATCTGCTGTTTTCTTTTCAGCATAAGAATCTGTCATGGTCAGGTAGAGACCATTCAATTTTTATATCTACATATATATCAATACCTAGAGAGGAGTTCTTTAAAATGCTATTTCATAAGTACAATAACAGGATTTTTTTGTGTATGTATTACTACATAATAAATACCTCAAAACTTAATGGCTTAAAACAACAAATATTTTATTATATCTCACTTTTTTAAATCAGGAATTTATTCAGGACTCAGCTGGCCATTTGTTTTGATGTGGTGTTTACAGAGGTCACTCTGTGGTGTATCAGTGGGCAGATAGGATGGTCTGGAATGTCCAAAACAGCTTTACTTACATGTCTGCAACTTTGGTGGGGATGGATGGAAGGTTGGACTCATCTGGTGCTATTGACCAGAGTACCTACATGTGACTTTTATAGCATGGAATTTTCAGAGTAAATTAGATTTTTTTCAGAGACATCCTGGGGTCTCAGAAAGAGTCCTCCAAAAGATAGCAAGTGAAAGCTATAAGTCTTATTAGGCCTGGGCCCAGAAACTCTATTCTACTGGTTAAGCAATCACAAAGGCCTCCCAATTTCAAGTGAAGGTGATATGGAGCCCACCTCTTCAACAAAGGAGAGTCAAACAATTTGCAACTATCTTTAATCTTCTACAATACTAACCTTGGAAGTCTATGAGAACATAAGCATAAAATACAACAAACTGCAGTATGTACTCTCAGTTCCCTCCTCATAAAAAATTAATGATGATCTGGCTGGTCTTGTGTCTTCTTCCTACATTGTTAAATTCTGCGGATTTATCTTTCCTGTAGTTCTTACTTCACACTTGTTTGTCATGGGATGTCACTTTTACATAACAAGTACTTTATTCTTTTTAGACAATTATAATTATCCCTTACATGTGCTCAACATCTATTTGCAGCCTTTATTACCAGAGTCTGCAGAAACTTTGTTTCTTTTTAATACATTCTGAGAAGCGCTGATTTCCAATTTAAAAATTCTGGGAATGGTACCCCCTTTTGTTTTTATTTGAGCCTTTACTCTAAGTTGTAAGCTACTTACTTTGTTTTGTTGGTTCTGTGCTAGCTAAGGCTAGGGAGAAGAAAACCATGGAAGACTGCTCCCTCTAGCATACATTTGTCAGTTTCAACATTATCGACATTTGGGGCTGGATAAGATTTTTGTGGAGTGCTGCCCTGTGTGTTGTAGGATGTTTAGCAGCATGCCTGGGCTCTACACACTAGGTGTGAGTAGCTCACCCTCTTCTAGTTGTGCCAGTTGTATTCAGATATTTCCAAATATGTCTTTGGGAGGCAAAACTCCCCCTGGTTTAGAGCCACTGCTCTAGCAGGGATAGTAACTCCTAGATAAGAATTTAAGTTGAAAAAAAAAAAGATTCTACCATTGGGTAGAAATATAGAATGCATGCACACCTATAGCACAGGAAAGCATAAGCTTCACTGTTTGTTTGTTTTTGAGACAGCGTCTTACTCCGACGCCCAGGCTGGAGGGCAATGGCGCGATCTCAGCTCACTGCAACCTCCCCCTCCCAGGTTCAAGCGATTCTCCTGCCTCAGCCTCCCAAGTAACTGGGATTAGAGGAGTGTGCCACCATGCCTGGCTAATTTTTGTATTTTTAGTAGAGATGGAATTTCACCATGTTGGCCAGGCTGGTCTCAAGCTTCATTGTTTAACTTACCAAGACCAAAATCTTATGGGCTCTATACTTCCTATACCCAATCTGATTGCTAGAGTACTGGCCCATGGCCCCGGAGTAAGAAAAAATTACGTATATATTGTCCATTCATAGCTACTCGATTTAGTGTTCTCCTAACATCCTACAGCCTGACTAATGCCTCTTAGATTCTGATTGCATCACATTCCTTTCCACTTCAAAGAAGTGGAAAGTTGCTACTATATAGAAATATCCATCAAATTCCCATTTCTGAGCTTGACAATACTAATTTCTAATTAAATACAAATAAACCGATACCAAATCAAGTTATTTATCATACTGTGCTTGACCCTACAGTGTATGGTTTGAGATCAGCAGTCGTTAGTTCACCAGGTCATCAAGGTATTAGCCATCTATATGAAGGAAAATAAAACAAAACCAAAAACTCATGGTTTAACTTGTCCAAACAGTTCATTAGCTCTATTACACCTGGAGGTCCAGTAATTATCACAGGAGGATATGAATGGTATTTTTTACTAGCCCTTTTCGGATAATTTTTTTTCTTACAGCCTATCCCAATATTTCTTCAAATCTCAGCTCTCGCGTAAGTTCCTTTGTCTCCCTCTGCCTCCAAAGTTGCTACCATTTCACATCTCTCATCACTTAATGAAAAATTTGGACTTATTCTTCACCTGTGATATTTAGTCATATCTCATTCTTTGTTTTATGACACTGCATCTAGGAACACTTTATATTTGCTAAGTACTTAGTAGCTTTTAATAAATTAGTGTGGCTCACACTCTCATACACAAAGATTCCCAAGGGTAAAAGAGAGGAAACCTACCCTCCTTAGGGAAGTGGAGGGGATAAGGAAGGGATGGCATAGCCTTAAATGGGCACTGCTTGTTAAATATCCCATTGTGTCTCATTTCCTTTTTTAAATTAATGTAAATTTCCATGCATCAGCTCAAAAAGATATTCATCTTTATGTAAAATAAAATGCTACTTGAAGTTACTTATCAGTTTAGACACTTAATGACACCACTTCTGCCCCCAGATTTTCACTTGAAACTGGAACCTTATGAGGAATGTATCACATTCCTTGGGTTCCAGTCAAGACCATATTGTTATACTTGGTCTATAGATGAGAGGTCTAAGGCTCAGGGAGGAGAAACGGCTTATAAAGATCAAAGATAACGCCATTGACATAGTTTAAATATTTATTAAAGACCAAGGGCTTTACTTTATTAACACAGTTAATCCTCTAAACAACTCTTTGAGATAGGTACTACTATTGTCTCCATTTTACTTACGAGAAAACTAAGGCACAGAAATTAAGCAGTTTAATATCTAATAATTGATCAAATCAAGACATAAACTTATTTTGGATTTCAAAGCTACACTTTTAACTTCTATCCTCTACTGGTTTGTTAACTGTACCACAGAGCCCAGAAGTCAGTTATTTTCTCTTTTTATTCAGGCAGTTTAGCCTGCCTTTAGTCCATTTCTAGTGTGGTTGTTTTGCCTTTTATTATATGTACAATGTTATTTTTGTGTTTCTTGTCGATTCTTCCTAAGACAGGATTTTGCACAATTATATTTTTGTAAGATGATTGACCAACCGATCTCAGGTCTAGCCAAATTTGGTTTATACATTGAGCCCCTGCTTCATGATGGTTTTCTGTGCAAGGAGAGATGCTGGAGACTACAGAAGCAGGGCAATTAGTAAATATAGTAGATGTTGCTCTTTATACTTCCTTGTATTCTAGGCTCTTGCTGTCTTTTGTCACTTTTTTGACTCAGCAGTTTCCAGGGACCCAGAGTCATATCTTAGGCTGAGCACTAGGCCAGCGAGGAATCAGAAGCTGAGGAGGGTTCTTGGGAGGCCAATGCCAAGAGGATAAAACAAAGTGAGGGCCATTTCATAACTAGGCTGGGGAGCATCCAAGAGTGTGAAGAAAGATGAGAAGTCAAGTCAGAGTTCAAGATGAAAGCTGCAACATGCTGGAGATAAGAAAGCCCAGAGGAAACATCATCATCATCACAACAACAATAACAAAAGAATTAAGAAAAAGTTATTCAAAATTGAAAAATAAGACAAAGGGTGGGGTCATGTCCTTCCAGTGTCATACTGGGGCATTATTTAATAGGCCATTAAAGGTTATTTCTAAGAGAATATACCTGTTTTTGACTGCGCTATTTATTATTAAAGTCCTCACACTACGAAGTTATATGTTAACTTGTTCATTTTGTCTGTTAAAGAGGCAAAGGGTTTCTTTTTACTAGAAAACCCCAAAGATATGGATTTATTGCTCTGTAGAACATTAATAAATTTTATATCTAAACTCAAAATTTTATTTAAACCATATTATTTTTATTTTTTAAATACACTATTTTGAGCAGTTTTGGCTTTATGGAAAGAATTTGTGGAAAATACAGAGTTTCCCTATACCTTCTCATCCTCTCCTCCTATAAACAGCATCCACTCCAGTTTCTCTAATAACTAACACTTTGCATTAGTGTAGTAATTTCTTTTACAATCAATGAGTCAATATTGATACACTATTATTAACTAACTTCATTATTCTTAATTTTTATATATAACTAGTTTTCCAGTGCTCTTCGAACTAGCATTACCATCTTACTGATACTTACTGATAGTCTCATTTATGAGTTAAATAATTTTTGTATTTGCATAACATATTTTTTGAAAATTATTCTTTGAAATAAGAAACTGAGTCTGTGATGGATAAAATAAATTGCCTAAGGTCACAAAGCTAGTAAGTAACACAAACAAGTAAGAATGGAGCAAGAAATATGAAGTGAGTCTGGGTCTACACATTAATTCATAGAGTGTTTCTATAATGGCATGATGCTTTTTTGCATAAGTACCAGTATATCTTAGTTTACCTTCCTGCTCCAAAAGGAGTGAGAGCTTCAGCAGATTCAAAGGAGAGCATCCAATTATCTTGCCTAGGATGGTATGCCTAATTGTGCTAATTGTGCCATTAATGACCTATGTGCTAATAAATCATCTCATTGATAACCTGTGTATATTAATAATCTCACTTGTTCAACATAACCTGTTCAATGTGACTATATACTTTATAATACTGTATAACTCTAGGGAGCATTTAGATTTATCCATTATTCCTTCAGTCAGTAAATTTGAGTACCAAATGTGCTAGCAGAACCTCACATCATGGAAACTATTTATAACTGATGATGCAGTTTCATTCACAGTGCCTTCTTTAATCTTCACAACATGCAGATGACGGCAGAGAGAAAGTCTTCTGTCTCCATTCTCTGGATAAAGATACTGATGCTGAGAGTCTAAGTAGCTAGTCAAAGGTCAAACAGGTGCTATTTGGCAGTGATGGGGCTTATACTCACACCATCTGAAGCCTTGGTCAGGAAAGACTTTGAAACCACCTTTGCAAAAATTATAACAGTGAGAAAATTATAGCGTGAAAGGATTTGATTTAACTAATCCCTGTCTTGCCTTTATCTTTCCTTAATTATTACTGGGCTTAGGTCAAGCTACTTTGGGAGACATTTAGTTTACAGTTTAAGTGATAATAGCTCTTCCCCAAAACTCAACCAACCACCTTTGTAAAGCTAATGAGAGACCACCAGGCTGGGAGGAGTAGAGGAATTCTGTTAAGGTGTAGACATAAAAGGTTGCCAGACATTTTTCCATAGGTCACAAGACACGCAACTTCCCCAGTGATTCCTGCAGATAACATCACCATTGTAGAACCCAAGATCGGCCTTTTGAGATATCTTCTCAGGTTTTTTGCTCTGATTATCAGTGATCCACAACCGCTCCCATGGACCCATGCAGGATTGACTCAGTGTAAGAGGACAGCTTCAACTCCCTATGATTTCATCTCTCATCCAAGCAATCAGCACTCCCCATACCCTATCCGCCTACCCCTCAAGCTACCTTTGAAAAACCCCTAACCTCAGAGCCTTTGATATTGATTTGAATAATAATTCCATTTCCCACGTGGTATGGCCAACCTCCATCAATGAAACTCTTTCTTTACTGCAATGCCATGGCCTTTGTGAATTTATTATGTTTGTGCAGTAGGCAGGAAGAACCTGTTAGGTGGTTATAACTTCATAGCACAAATATATATGGTGGGTAAAATACAACACACACACACATACAACATCCAGTTCCTAACCGCAAGGCACCTTTATTCTTAAAGAAAATATCCACACTTATGAAATAATTTATAGTAGAATCTGCCAAAACAGTGTCTGAGTTGAAGGGAGAGGCCTATCTGGATGGGCTGGAATGCTCAGAGAAGACTTAATTCTGAAGAGAGAATTTCAGTTGAGCTTTGAAAGAGAGCATTTGAAAAGGGAGAGGAAAGAGTAGAGAATTCTGGGAAGCAAGAACTCAATTAATCTTTGAAGTATGAAGTGTCCCAGTGAACTCTGCAGAAACACTTGCTGATTCAGTCCATGAGTGAACACATAGCCCTTCTCTTAGAACATTTTACAATCCTTTCTTATATTGTCTCAATTGTCTTAAGCAACAATATAAAGCTCCAATCTTTAAAAGAAGAATTTGCCTTTTTACACCCATATTTGTAATCTTACAAAAAGATTTGCTTCCAATCTTAGTAATGTTTTTATTCCCAGTCTCCTGGGCTGAGATGAGAACTTCTGTCTCTAGTATGAAATCCAAATCCTAAGCTTATTTGGAAATTTAGTACCAAGCTTTGTTCTAATCTTCCCTAAACACCAAATTGTAGTTGAAAATATTTTTAAACTACCAGTTCATATCCCTTAAATTCCCTTTCGGTATTTTGTGCTGTCCAATACACTCAAAAGATTTTATAGTGCTGAACCTAAAGATCTTAGAGTATACTTATGGCATACATTTTCTGGTGATAGAGAATATGTGCAGAAAGATGTAGTTTGGGCCACAGAGTTCCATACCTGTGGCATCATGAAAATCTCATATAAGAAATTTCAGAACTGTTTTCTGATTGGAGCATGTTTGCTAATGTGCCATGAGATAATTTAGGATATTATATTAGAGTTAAGAGGGGAAGATCCTGTAAGAAGTTATGTGTTAGAAGAAATTGGCTCATCTTTTTAAGTGACTTCTGTGGGATAAAGAGGAATTGAGCTGCCTAAAAAATTTCCCTAGGCATGGATGTAGAAATTTTCTCTGTCTTGTAACCTCTTTCTCTCCATGTCTTATTCCTATAAACCTGTGCTCTCGGGGAACTGTTAAATATGTCCCTAACTGTTAACCCAGGTGTTTATTGACAAGGATTAATTCCTTCCGGAAGTAAGTGAGTTTTTATATTAAGCTTAAAGAAGACAAAGCTTTAAATACAAATGAATGAGTATACAATGATTGAAATTACATGGGGTGGGACTGACATTTTGGAATGTGGGGTTTTGCCCAATGCTTTATTAAATTAAATTATTTAGATGGATGCATGCTGTGCTGATGTCTACAGCCAGTGATGCTGCAGAGACGTTAACATGTTAAATTCATTGTAAGCAATAGCCTTATGTTTGGAAAAGATTAAAGCTTTAGAGCAAGACTTTGAAATAGGCTTAGAATTTGGATTTGTAACAAGATACAAAATTACAGCTTAGAAAAGTAGTTGTTCTCAACTTGGAGACATTGCTTTTTATTGGCCAAAAAAAAAAAAAAAAAAAAAAAAGAAAAGGAAAGAAGAAGACAAGGAGACATGAGATATATATCCCTCCCTGCTCCTAATGTGAAAAAGAAGATGACTTGGAAAGTGTGAAGCTCAGAAAAAGTCAGTACATTGAGGAAGGTGTCTTATTAAATATGAAGTAGTCCTGGGAAGAACGCTGAAATAATCTAGGAGAGTTGCTGATTCAAGTATCTTATTAATAGCTGCCTATAGCTTTTAGTGATTTACCTGCCGTGTTTATCTAATTTCAATGATGAGACAGTTATTATAATTCTTGCTGATAAAATAAAATAGAATTGAGGTTTGAAAACATTTACAAAAGACAAGCAAGCAAGTCATATCTCAATATTTACTTCCAAGGAATAACAAATATAACTTCCCCAATTGTAAGACTGATAATTCATACACACCTGGATTTCTGAAGATTTTACCTACAAAAGGTAAGAACAGATAGACCTATGCATTTGTTGACGGTGAGGATCATATTTGATTCTCTACTGGGATGAAAAAAAACTTTAAGCACAGTTTTGCTTCCAGATACCAGGCATATGTTCAAATATAACAGGATGCCAGGACAGTCTTCTAAGAAGGATTTCTTCAATAAGAAGCCCACTATTGCCCATTTTCCCACATAGTATTCCTTAAGCATTTTCCCACATAGTATTCCTTAAGATACTAAATAAGTTTATGTGACATAAGGATGAAAACTTCTGTCTCCTCATTCCCCCAAATATCTTCCTAGAGATGTGAATTAGGTGCTTAATAAAATAGGTGTTTCAAGATCAAATCAGTTTTGGGAGTGTATTAGTTTATTCTTGCATCACTATAAAGAACTAATAGAGGTTGGGTAATTTATAAAGAAAAGAGGTTTAATTGGCTCATCATTCTTCAGGCTGTACAGGAAGCACTGCACTGGCATCTGCTCTTGGTATGGGTCTCAGGAATCTTACAAACATGGCAGAAGGCCAAAGGGGAGCAGGCATGTCATGTGGCAAGAGCAGGAGCAAGACGGAGTGGTGGAGGTGCCACATTCTTTTAAACAACCAGATCTCATGTGAACTCACAGAGAGAACTCACTCATAACCAAAGGGATGGCAAGAAGCCATTCATGAGGGACCTATTGCCATGATCCAATACCTCCCATTAGGCCCCATTTCCAACACTGAGGATCACTTTTCAACCTGAGGTTTGGAGAGGACACACATCTAAACCACAACAGGGAGTGATGGTTGAAAGTAAGTTATATCAGTTACCTATTGCTATGTAACAAACTGCCCCAAAACTTGGTGGTGTCAAACAATACATTGTGTATTTGCTCAAAATTCTGTGAATCAGCAACTTGGGCCGGGCCAGGTGGGAAATTCCTCACTGGTCTTGTCTATGGCCATTCGTATGGTACAGTCATCTGGTGGCTTGGCTGGGGCTGGATGGTCTAAGATGGCCTCACTCCCCTGTGTGGTGGTTAATGCTGTCTAACAGCTGGGCCTCCCTTTCTGTGTGATCTCTCACCCTCAGAGAGACTAGCCTAGCTTTTGCATCTGGTATTATAGGGGTTCAAGAGGATGAGAGGAGAAGACCTTGTGGATTCTGGCCCAGATGCTGCATAACATCATTTTCATAATATTTAATTGGCAAAAACGTTGCAAAGCCTGCCACAACTCAAGGTCCTACTCAACGGGAGCATCTGTAGAGAATCCGAGAACATTTTTAGACAACAAAAGTTTTAAAACAGTTTTCTATACTATAGAATTTTATAAAATTACCAAGGAATTATTATGTTTATGGGGGATATAGTATATATTATTTGTGAGGGTGTGTATGAGCGTTTGATAACTCATTGAGCTAGTGTTTTTAACAATATACTTAGGGATTTCTATTTTGTCTCATTACTCCTCGTTTTTTGATCCTCAGGCCCACTTTCATAGTCTATAAGTCTAATAAGCTTATGAGGTTCATGCTTAATTCCCTTACCATTCTTAGAATGTAGAATTTATTAGTCGTAAAACTAGCCTTAGATTGTAACTCAGGGATGAGAGAAACCTAGTTGTTGCCCTCAATTTTATTATAAACAAAATGGAGGGATGAGAAAGGGAGTAGCTTTTCAGAAATAACTTCCATGTTTGGCAAAACCTTGCTTAACCATACTGGCTGTTTTCCTAAATTTTATATATATGAAAATTTAGTTATGCTGGTTGTCAATGTTATCAACTCTAAAAAAACCGCATGCCTGAGTTCAAATCTTGACTCTGCAAAATAGATAAATAGAATTATATCAAACTAAAAAGCTTATATATATATATATATATATATATATATATATATATATGAATTCAGCTCAATAGTAAGAAAACAATCTGATTAAAATAGACAAGGAACTTCAATAGAGATTTCTCAAAAAAGACATACAAATGGCCAATAGTTTTGTGAAAAATTGCTCAACATCATTAATCATCAGGATATGCAAATTAAAGTAACAATGAGATATCACCTCATACCTGTTATAATACCAGCTATTATCAAAAATATGAAAAATGACAAGTGTTGGTGAGGATGTAGAGATAAGGGAACCCTTGCACACTATTGGTGGAAATGAAAATTACTATAATCATTATGTTAAACAGTATGACAGTTCCTCAAAAAATTAAAAATAGAACTACTATGTGACTCAGCAATTCCACTTCTAGGTATATATCCAAAGAAATGAAATGAATATGTCAAAGAGGTATTCACACTCCCATGATTATTGCAGCACTATTCAAAGTAACTAATATTCAAAATCAACCTAAGTGTCTGTCAATGAGTGACTGAATGAAGAAAATGGAGTATATATACAGAGTGGAATACTATTCAGCCACAAAAAAGGAAGAAGAGGAAAATTCTATCATTTGCAACAACAAGAATGAAGCTAGAGGACATTACATTAAGTTAAATAAGACAGGCACAAAAAGATAAATACTGCATGATCTCACTGTATATAGACTCTAAATGAGCCAAACTCATAAAAGTAGAGAGTAAGAATTGCAGCTCTTTTCAAATTTGTCTAGCAGATTTTCCATTTTTTCCCAGAACCACCCCCTCCCCAGCCACCCCTGCAAAAAAGCAAATGACAACAATGATAATAAACACCTCTCAAAACAGAGAGTAAATCTGTGGTTACCAGAGGTTGGGGGATGGAAGGATTGAGGAACAAAACTTTGACCCTGACACTTGTTAGCTGAAAGACTTAAGACAAATTAAGAGTTTTTAGCTCTAGTTTCATCATTTGTAAAATGTAATTGACAAAATATATTCCAAAGTGTTATTGTAAGAATTAAATAAAATTTACTAAAAGAGTGGTTGACCTAAAGTAACCACCTAAATGGAAGCTGCTACTATCACCACTAATGCTCATTTCCTTTTCATGCCATTCTGTCATTAATAGAACAGGTGGCTCATATCCGTGCCTTCTAATCCCTTCACCATCCAGTTTCTCCTTCTCAATTTATTCTTTGTGCTATAAATTTCCCTCTACACACTGCTTTGAATGTGTCCCAGAGATTCTGGTATGCTGTGTCTTTGTTCTCGTTGGCTTCAAAGAACATCTTTATTTCTGCCTTCATTTCGTTATGTACCCAGTAGTCATTCAGGAGCAGGTTGTTCAGTTTCCATGTAGTTGAGCGGTTTTGAGTGAGTTTCTTAATCCTGAGTTCTAGTTTGATTGCACTGTGGTCTGAGAGACAGTTTGTTATAATTTCTGTTCTTTTACATTTGCTGAGGAGAGCTTTACTTCCAACTATGTGGTCAATTTTGGAATAGGTGTGGTGTGGTGCTGAAAAAAATGTATACTCTGTTGATTTGGGGTGGAGAGTTCTGTAGATGTCTATTAGGTCTGCTTGGTGCAGAGCTGAGTTCAATTCCTGGGTATCCTTGTTAACTTTCTGTCTCGTTGATCTGTCTAATGTTGACAGTGGGGTGTTAAAGTCTCCCATTATTATTATGTGGGAGTCTAAGTCTCTTTGTTGGTCTCTAAGGACTTGCTTTATGAATCTGGGTGCTCCTGTATTGGGTGCATATATATTTCGGATAGTTAGCTCTTCTTGTTGAATTCATCCCTTTACCATTCTGTAATGGCCTTCTTTGTCTCTTTTGATCTTTGTTGGTTTAAAGTCTGTTTTATCAGAGACTAGGATTGCAACCCCTGCCTTTTTTTGTTTTCCATTTGCTTGGTAGATCTTCCTCCATCCTTTTATTTTGAGCCTATGTGTGTCTTGCATGTGAGATGGGTTTCCTGAATACAGCACACTGATGGGTCTTGACTCTTTATCCAATTTGCCAGTCTGTGTCTTTTAATTGGAGCATTTAGTCCATTTATATTTAAAGATAATATTGTTATGTGTGAATTTGATTCTGTCATTATGATGTTAGCTGGTTATTTTGCTCGTTAGTTGATGCAGTTTCTTCCTAGTCTTGATAGTCTTTACATTTTGGCATGATTTTGCAGCAGCTGGAACTGGTTGTTCCTTTCCATGTTTAGTGTTTCCTTCAGGAGCTCTTTTAGAGCAGGCCTGGTGGTGACAAAATCTCTCAGCAGTTGCTTGTCTGTAAAGTATTTTATTTCTCCTTCACTTATGAAGCTTAGTTTGGCTGGATGTGAAATTCTGGGTTGAAAATTCTTTTCTTTAAGAATGTTGAATATTGGCCCCCACTCTCTTCTGGTTTGTAGAGATTCTGCTGAGAGATCTGTTGTTAGTCTGATGGGCTTCCCTTTGTGGGTAACCCGACCTTTCTCTCTGGCTGCCCTTAACATTTTTTCCTTCATTTCGACTTTGGAAATTTATAGCACTAAATGCCCACAACAGAAAGCAGGAAAGATCCAAAATTGACACCCTAACATCACAATTAAAAGAACTAGAAAAGCAAGAGCAAACACATTCAAAAGCTAGCAGAAGGCAAGAAATAACTAAAATCAGAGCAGAACTGAAGGAAATAGAGACACAAAAAACCCTTCAAAAAATTAATGAATCCAGGAGCTGGTTTTTTGAAAGGATCATCAAAATTGATAGACCGCTAGCAAGACTAATAAAGAAAAAAAGAGAGAAGAATCAAATAGACGCGATAAAAAATGATAAAGGGGATATCACCACCGATCCCACAGAAATACAAACTACCATCTGAGAATACCAGAAACAACTCTAAGCAAATAAACTAGAAAATCTAGAAGAAATGGATAAATTCCTCAACACGTACACTCTCCCAAGACAAAACCAGGAAGAAGTTAAACCTCTGAGTAGGCCAATAACAGGATCTGAAATTGTGGCAATAATCAATAGCTTACTAACCAAAAAGAGTCCAGGACCAGATGGATTCACAGCCAAATTCTACCAGAGGTACAAGGAAGAACTGGTACCATTCCTTCTGAAACTATTCCAATCAATAGAAAAAGAGGGAATCCTCCCTAACTCATTTTATGAGGCCAGCATCATCCTGATACCAAAGCCGGGCAGAGACACAACCAAAAAAGAGAATTTTAGACCAATATCCTTGATGAACATTGATGCAAAAATCCTCAATAAAATACTGGCAAACCGAATCCAGCAGCTCATCAAAAAGCTTATCCACCATGATCAAGTGGGCTTCATCCCTGGGATGCAAGGCTGGTTCAATATACACAAATCAATAAATGTAATCCAGCATATAAACTGAACCAAAGACAAACCACACGATTATCTCAATAGATGCAGAAAAGAACTTTGACAAAATTCACCAACTCTTCATGCTAAAAACTCTCAATAAATTAGGTATTGATGGGACAAATCTCAAAATAAAAAGAGCTATCTATGACAAACCCACAGCCAATATCATACTGAATGGGCAAAAACTGGAAGCATTCCCTTTGAAAACTGGCACAAGACAGGGATGCCCTCTCTCACCACTCCTATTCAACATAGTGTTGGAAGTTCTGGCCAGGGCAATTAGGCAGGAGAAGGAAATAAAGGGTATTCAATTAGGAAAAGAGGAAGTCAAATTGTCCCTGTTTGCAGATGACATGATTGTATATCTAGAAAACCCCATTGTCTCAGCCCAAAATCTCCTTAAGCTGATAAGCAACTTCAGCAAAGTCTCAGGATACAAAATCAATGTACAAAAATCACAAGCATTCTTATACACCAATAACAGACAAACAGAGGGCCAAATCATGAGTGAACTCCCATTCACAATTGCTTCAAAGAGAATAAAATACCTAGGAATCCAACTTACAAGGGATGTGAAGGACCTCTTCAAGGAGAACTACAAACCACTGCTCAATGAAATAAAAGAGGATACAAAGACATGGAAGAACATTCCATGCTCATGGGTAGGAAGAATCAATATTGTGACAATGGCCATACTGCCCAAGGTAATATATAGATTCAATGCCATCCCCATCAAGCTACCAATGACTTTCTTCACAGAATTGGAAAAAAACTACTTTAAAGTTCATATGGAACCAAAAAAGAGCCCGCATCACCAAGTCAATCCTAAGCCAAAAGAACAAAGCTGGAGGCATCACGCTACCTGACTTCAAACTATACTACAAGGCTACAGTAACCAAAACAGCATGGTACTGGTACCAAAACAGAGATATAGATCAATGGAACAGAACAGAGCCCTCAGAAATAATGCCGCATATCTACAACTATCTGATCTTTGACAAACCTGAGAAAAACAAGCAATGGGGAAAGGATTCCCTATTTAATAAATGGTGCTGGGAAAACTGGCTAGCCATATGTAGAAAGGTGAAACTGGATCCCTTCCTTACACCTTATACAAAAATTAATTCAAGATGGATTAAAGACTTAAATGTTAGACCTAAAACCATAAAAACCCTAGAAAAAAGCCTAGGCATTACCATTCAGGACATAGGCATGGGCAAGGACTTCATGTCTAAAACACCAAAAGCAATGGCAACAAAAGACAAAATTGACAAATGGGATGTAATTAAACTAAAGTGCTTCTGCACAGCAAAAGAAACTACCATCAGACTGAACAGGCAACCTACAAAATGGGAGAAAATTTTCGCAATCTACTCATCTGACAAAGGGCTAATATCCAGAATCTACAATGAACTCAAACAAATTTACAAGAAAGAAACAAACAACCCCAACAAAAAGTGGGCAAAGGACATGAACAGACACTTCTCAAAAGAAGACATTTATGCAGCCAAAAAACACATGAAAAAATGCTCACCATCACTGACCATCAGAGAAATGCAAATCAAAACCACAATGAGATACCATCTCACACCAGTTAGAATGGCAATCATCAAAAAGTCAGGAAACAACAGTGCTGGAGAGGATGTGGAGAAATAGGAACACTTTTACACTGTTGGTGGGACTGTAAACTAGTTCAACCATTGTGGAAGTCAGTGTGGCGATTCCTCAGGGATCTAGAACTAGAAATACCATTTGACCCAGCCATCCCATTACTGGGTATATACCCAAAGGACTCTAAATCATGCTGCTATAAAGACACATGCACACATATGTTTATTGCGGCACTATTCACAATAGCAAAGACTTGGAACCAATCCAAATGTCCAACAGTGATAGACTGGATTAAGAAAATGTGGCACATTTACACCATGGAATACTATGCATAAAAATGATGAGTTCATGTCCTTTGTAGGGACATGGATGAAATTGGAAATCATCATTCTCAGCAAACTATCGCAAGGACAAAAAACCAAATACCGCATGTTCTCACTCATAGGTGGGAATTGAACAATGAGAGCACATGGACACAGAAAGGGGAACATCACACTCTGGGGACTCTTGTGGGGTGAGGGGAGGGGGGAGGGATAGCATTAGGAGATATACCTAATGCTAAATGACGAGTTAATGGGTGCAGCACACCAGCATGGCACATGTATACATATGTAACTAACCTGCACATTGTGTACATGTACCCTAAAACTTAAAGTATTATAATAATAATAATAATAATAATAATAAATTTATTCTTTATGTTCTCTGTGAAAATCACTTTCTCAAAGTTCACCACATGTCAAAGGTCCAGGCTCTAAGGCTGTACTTTGGGCATGGAGGAAGAAGTGGATGTTTTAGAATCTCAAGCCATATACTATCTTAATGGAAGAAGATGGGACGGATTCTCAGAGTCAGGCAGAGATGCCAGGTTAGAGAGTAGGAATCATCCACTGACTGCAGGATGGAACTGAATAGTTCCAAGTCTGAGAAGTCAATTACCTGTGATGACAGTCTGGGAAGTCCAGACAAAAACTCAAAGTCCAATACCTGAAGTCAGGAGTTAGAGCAGAAAGAACAAAGATACAGCAGTGTGCTAGTGGGTTAAAATAGATTCATAACAAATGACATCCTGAACACTATGTTTTGCACAGAAAACTGTACACATACATGTTTTGGCATACTTTTGTTAGGCCAGGAGCATTTCCTTAAGGTAGCAGGATTGAGATGGATACAACCCTTTGTCAGGCTTTTCTGTTCATGTGGGTAAGACTATCCTTTTCTGTGTTTTCTCCGTGGAAAGCTGTCTTTCAGTCTGCGGTATACCTGGAAAATTCATTGACTATCTGGTGTATCCTTAGATCCAGAATCCTCCTATCTGACAATGGCATAAGTTGAGGAAGGTCTATTCTGCCCTCCTCCTCCTCCTCCTTCTTCCTCTTCATTGCTAGAGGGTACTATGGAGAGGGTAAGAGCATGACAGGTAACTTACAGGATAGATAAGTAGGATATTGTGTGTATGTTGTAGGTGTGTGGGGATAATGCATGTAGTGTTTATGTACATGTGTGTGAAGTTGCATATGGGGAGAGAAAAAAAACCAGAAAATAAGATCTGTGATTTCTCATCTTAGTTCTTGGGATTAGTCAAAAATCTGCTCCCCCAAATTGGTTTGAAGGCAGCCTCACCTTACCACCTACCAGAATTATCCCCTACATTGTATGTTACTTACAATTCCTGGTTGTAAAATGGGATTGACATAAAATAATCATGTAGCTTTTTAGTGTAAAGTCTAAGAATCTCCAGTGGTCAGTAAGCAGTTTTGCAAAGTTGGCAACTCTAATAGACTGTAATATTATTTCTTCCCATTAGGCAACATTTGCAATATGGTTCCTACTAGTTTTACAAACTTGACCATCCTGAAGCAGCTGGAGGTCAGGGTTATACATTGGGACGGAATAAATAAATGAGTCCAGGGTTGAAGCAAAGACACTGACTACTGTAAATGCACTATAAGTGCAGGCTGTGTGAGATGGTATGGTACAAAAGAAGGTCCTATAAATGAAGATGGGCTTCTCAGCTCAGAGTGGTTACCTTGCTGAAATCATAGAGTTGAGGAGACATCAGAGAGATGGAACATGATATCGATATAGAATAAACAACATTGGAAAAATTTACTGCAGTGTGAGTGAGTGGAGTGCAGACTCTAGAGAAAGCACTCAGACACTGAGTTATGGCTGTGTTTCCTCTGCTTGAAAGGTTGATATGTGATGTTTCCTATAGCCCCAAGATTTTTTCCTTGGTCAAATCATTCTTGCAACATTAACTCAAAGATTTGATAAAAGTATAGCAGATTTAAAATAAATGAGACCCTAACCAAGGTGACTATGCAACGGATAAGCACCTTTAACTCCTTGTCAACATGATTTATTGAGTAATCAGTAACTGATACTGATGATATTCAGCTGCCCTAAGACAGCTGCATAAGACTATGCACCAGTAGGATGCCCTTGAGGAGATACATGACTAGTAAGGTAGAAAAACTGAAAAGACCCCAGAATTTAAATCTTTCCAGAGTGAGGTGGTCCATAGCTGCTCAGCCTTTTCTCTCATGCCCATTGTGGGGCCTGAATGTGGAGGAATTTTTGGACTTTAGAAGCTGCGCTTTTAAGTCAAACCAAGTTGCCCTGCATGTTGAGTTGTGGTCCTCCTACATGTATCCTTTCTGAAAGCTAAATAAAGTTGGCTCTGGGTATAGCTTTTTCTGTCTTGTGAGTTTGATTGTTACTCTGAACTTCAGGCCGCTGCTGCTGTTCAAGCTGAGAGCTTCAGATGCCATGATTCTTTTTGACTAGGAATTGGTTGTTAAAGCCTTTGGACTCTGTAAAGTATCAATGACCTTTCTTGTAATGCCTTTGTCAGTTCTAGTTTGCATTCCTCTTGATATTTTTGCAGCATGTTGAACTTAACCACCCTTCTCCTTTGGGTCTCTTTTCTCCTTCAATTCTGTGACATCGTTCTTGATCTTCTTTTATAAAGATGACACCATCTCTGTTGAGTATGCCTCCTCTTTCAGTATTCTTCTGAGGAGTAATCCTCTATGTCTTTTTGCCTCCTGGCTGCCAAAGACAGATGACCCATCCACAATGCTTATGTAAGTTTTTTATTGTTATGTAACAAATTACCACAACTTAGCAGCATAAAACAACACTCATTTATTATCACACAGTTTCCATAATTCAGGATTCTGGGAACAGCATAACTGGGTACTCTCACAAAGATAAAAGAAGATGAATATACTTATTACCCTGATTTGATCAGAATACATGGTATACACATATAATAACATCGCTGTGTATCCCATAAATATATACAATTACTCTGTGTCAATGAAAAATGGGGAAAAAAACAATAACAAGCCTGTCACAGTGGCTAGGACCTGTAATCCCAGCACTTTGGGAGGCTGAGGTGGGCAGATCACTTGAGGTCAGGAGTTCAAGATCCACCTGGTCAACATGATGAAACCATGTCTCTAATACAAATACAAAAATTAGCTGGGTGTGGTGGTGCACACCTGTAATCCCAGCTACTTGGGAGGCTGAGACAGGAGAATCGCTTGAACCCAGGAGGTGGAGATTGCAGTGAGCCTAGATCACACCACTCCACTCCAGCCTGGGTGACAGAGCAAGAATCCATTGCAAAAATAAAAATAAAAATAAAAACAAATTGTCAGCCAGGGCTGCAGTCTCACCTGACCCTTGGCACCCTCTTCCATATTCTCTCAGGTTGTTGACAGAATTCATTTTCTTGTGGTTATAGCATGCATGGAACTTCAGAGCCAGGAGGAAAGAGGGAGTCTCTGCAGCTGAGTCTTTCACCTCTAGATTCTTTTTTAAAGGGCTCAACTGATTAAGTCAGGCCCACATAGGATAATTTCCCTTTTGATTAAAGTCAAGTGATTAGGCATCTTAATTAAATCTGAAAAATTCCTTCATCTTTGCCATATTCTATTGGTTAGAAGCAAATTATAATTCATAAATATACTTAAAACCTTTGACCTGTATACCTTAAGTGTATAAACTACATGGTTCATGAATGATATCTCAATAGAGTTCTTTAAAAAAATAAAGTTCTGAGACAGGGAAAGAAATATAATCAAGTTACAAATCATATCCACATTCAAGGGTAGGGGATACTAGGGGGCAGGAATTATGAGGTTATATTAGAATTCTATCTGCCACAATACTAAAAGTACCATCTCTATGCTTGACATTTCCACTGAGCCCAAGGACCATATTTCCACTAGATTATCAGATTCCAAACACTAGATTAAATCTTCCCAGAGTGAGGTGTTCCACAGCTGCTCAGCCTTTTCTCTCATGCCCATTGTGGGGCCTGAATGTGGAGGAATTTTTGGACTTTAGAAGTTGTGCTTTTAAGTCAAACCGAGTTGCCCTGCATGTTGTGTTGTTTCAAATAGTTTGAAATAGGTTTCAAATAGTGCCTACCTGGCAGCTCTTGTTATAGTATTTCTCAGTTTTCAATGAAGTGTCCATGCATGAAATTTGTATATATATTTTAAAAAGCTTACAATAACAAATCCAAAAGCAAAGAATAACAGGAATAGAAGAATTACCTCCAAGTACAAGGCTGCTAGAGTTGGCTTGGTGAATCGGCAAATAAAAATACTAATATTCACTTGATTGGGGAGGGAGGGGACAAGAAAAACAGTAGATCTGCTGTCACAAAGAAAGGTAGAATATAATTTTACCATCCCCATATTCATATCCTGCCTATGGACCCAAAGTTTATGACAACCATGTACTTGGTGACTGTTCTTAAACACTTGAGTTCTGCTTTTGGTGTTACCAATGTACACTATTGCCCTTTTTTTTTTTTACATTTATTCAGAAATCAGGGCAAGACTTTTGCTTTCAGTATATCCTGAAAGCAACTGTATGTGAGTAAAATTTGTTAGAAACAGAAGGAAAGAGCAAGAATTCTAGTAAATTCTACGGAACTAGCTCAAAATAACAGACCTACTGAACTAGCTCAAAAATAATAGATTAAGCATCCAGGACTGTGACTGTTTGTATCGTATCAGTTTGGATGAGAATTTCTCTGATATATACAACCAGGTGTGTGAATGCTAGGATATCTATTCTTAATTTTACTAAATGTTGCTGATGCTTTCCACAACAACTATGTTAATTACACCCCCATCAACACTCAATGAAGTTTCTCATTTCTTGTAGTTTTCACCAAAATTTGCTAAAACCCTACTTTTAGATTTTTGTTAGTCAAATGGGTCTAACCTGGCATCTCATTGCTTTTAATTTTCTTCTCTCTGATTCCTACTAAGGCATATGTGGAAATCTTGATAACCAGTTAGACTTTTCCTCCTATGACATGTTTATTTATATTTTTACTCACGTTTATTTTGAGTTTCCTGGTTTTTGTAGTTAATTTTTATAAGTTTGTGATATATTCTAGATTAGGTCTGTTTCATAGAGCTTTCTCTGATTATGGAAATGTTCTATATCAAACTGTTTAACATGGTCCCCCCAGCCATCTGGCTAGGGAGTACTTAAAATATGGTTAGTTCAGTTGAGGGACTGAAATATAATTCTATGTAATTGATTTAAATTCAAATGTAAATAACCATATGTGACCAGTGACTATGTATTGAACAGTTTAGTTCTAGGTGATACTCTTGTGAGTTTTATGGATTGCAAATATCTTCTTCCAATCTCATATCTCTATTACTTTTGTTTAGAGTTGTAATTTGTTTAATATAAACTCTAAATTTTAAAGTAATGAAATCCATAAAATTTTATTGTCTAGTTTGTTAGGTTTTTTCCTTTGTATGAAGACATTAAGAACATTTCCCATCCTTAGATCCAATAATGTTTTCTTTATTTATGCTTTAGTTTTTATTATATCTTTACTTCTGATTTCTTTGGGTTGAATTTTCCTGTTTTTCTTTTTTTGTTAAAGTGAAATGTTAGGTTATTAATTTTAGATTTTTCTTCTTTTTAAATATAGGCATTTATAGCTATAAATTATCTTCTAAGTACTGCTTTGGCTGCATCCCATAACTTTCAGTATGCTGTATTTTCATTTTTACTCATCTCCAAGTATTTAATCATTTAAGCAATTTCTTTTACTATCCATTATTTAACACTGTGCTGTGTAATTTCCATATGTTTGTGAATTTTGTGATTGATTTCTAATTTTATTTTTGATGAGAAAGCATACTTTTTGGAAGGTTTAATCATTATAAAGTTTTATTGAGGCCTGTTCTATGGCCTATATATGGTTTAAGTTGAATAATGTTCCAAATGCATTGAGAAGAATGTATAGTAGTTTGCCTACCCACAGTTTCACTCTCTGAAGTTTCAGTTACCTATGATGCAGTATGATATTTAGAGAGACAGAGAGAGAGAGACAGAGAGAGAGACCATATTTATATAACTTTTACTACAATATATTGTTATAATTGTTCTATTTTATTAGTCATTATTGATAATCTTTTACTGTGCCTAATTTATAAATTAAACTTCATCATAGGCATGTACATATAGGAGAAAAACACAACATATATAAGGTCCAGTAGTATTATCAGTTTCAGGCAACCACTGGGAGTCTTGAGACACATCCCCTGCAGATAAAGGGGACTATTGCGTATTTTGCAGTTTTTGGGTAGAATGTTTTACATCTATCTATGAGGTTTATATTAATAGTTCATTTATAATGTTGTTCAACTTTTCCACATCTTTGCTGATCTTCTGCCAGTTATTCCATCCATTATTGAAAGTGAAGTACTGAGTTCTCCAACTATTGTTATTCAGCTGTCTATTTCTTCTTTCAGTTCTGTTTTTCCTTAAGGCATTTTTGGACTCTTTTGCTAGGTGGATATAGGTTTATAATTTTTATGTCTTAAATAATAGACTATTTTATTATTATAAGATGTTCTTTTTTGCCTCTAGTAACAATTTGTCTTAAAGTATATTTTGTCTGATGTTATTATAGCCACTGCATGGCTATTTGGGTACTAATGAATCATATATCTTTTTTCCTAGCATTTTAGTTTTAACCTGTTTGTGTCTCTGAATTTGAAGTTTTTCTCTTGTGGACAGTGTATAACATATATTGGAATCTGTTTCTTGTTAATTCTTTTAAATTTAATTTTAATTTACTTTTTAAAAGGTATATATTCAATAAATATATTTATTTTCTTTTGAATAAAGTGTCAATTTAATTTACTTTTAACTTAATTATGGATAGGGTAGTCATTATGTCTGATGTTTTACTTGCTTTATATGGCTTACATCTGGGTTTTTTTTAGTTTTTCGATTTTATCATTACTGGTTTGTTTTCTGTTAGATATTTTCTAGTATATCATTTTAATTTCCCTGTGATTTACTTTAACATTTGTTCTTGAACTGTTTCTTAGTGATTTCCCTAGGGTTTATAATTAACATCTAATTTAAAGCAATGTGGTTTAGACTAATAAAAACTTAATTTATAATAAATAGTATACAAATATTTGCTCTGACATAACTCTTTCTCATGGTATGTTTGTGCTATTTGCATCCAAAATACATCTTTATGCATTATAAGCCCTTTTACATAATTGACAATTATTGAGTTGTGTAGCTGTCTCATATTGAATAGGAGAAGAAAAGTGTTTTAAAAAAATATATATTTATATTATTTTTATTTTTGCATTTAATGGTGTTCAGTTTTTCTTTTTAAAATTAAAAACAAATTTGTGGGTATACTGTAAGTGTATATATTTATGGGGTACATGAGATGTTTTGATATGGGCATATGTACGGTATGAAATAAGCACATTATGGGGAATGGCATATCTATCCCCGGAGTATTCATTTTTCTTTATAAGGATTCAAGTTACTGTTTAGTGACCTTTCATATTAGCCCTAGGGATCTCCTTTAATATTTTTTATACTGCTAGTGGTAAATTCTCTCAGTTTTCTCTGTGTCTTAATTTCTCTATTATTTTTGAAAAATAGTTTTGCTAGACACAGAAGTCTTAGTTGATAGTGTTTTTCTTTTCATGGTTTCTGCTGAGAAGTCTTTTGTTAATCTCACTGAGTACTGATTACACATGATGACTTGCTTTTCTCATGCTGCTTTCAAGGGTCTTTATTTTTCAACAGTTTGACTGTAATGTGTCTCAGTGTGGATCTCCTTAGTTTATTCTACACGGTGTTCATTGAACTAATTGGATATGTAGATTAATGTTTGTCATAAAATTTGGTAAGTTTTTGACCATTATGTCCTCAAATATTTTTATACCCCTTTTTCTCTTGCCCCTCATTCTGGCACTCTGAATATGTGTAAAATAGTGTGCCTGATGAGGTTCTACAGATTTCTGAAGCTCTACTTATTTATTTTTCTTATATTTTCTTTTTGACCTTCAGACTGGATACTCTCAATTGATTTTTCTTCAAGTTAACCGATTTTTTCTTTTCGACAGTTCGCATCTGCAGCTGAACTGCTCTAGGGAATTTTTTAATTTCAGTTATTGTACTTTTTAACTTTCCATTTGATTATTTTAAATAATTTCTAACTCTTTATTGATATTCTCTATATAGCAGCTATGAGAGGAAAATACATCTTGGAACCCCAAAATCACTAAGCCAAAGGGAAAAGTCAAGCTGGGAGCTGCTTAGGGACAACCTGCCTCCCATTCTATTCCTAAAAACGATAGCTACTAAGATAAAAAAGCTACATACCTCCCTCACAAGGAATTTCCTTGTAGACAAAGGACAATCAGAACTCAAAGTCACCCCTCTGCTCACTGAGATAAATGCGTATCTGACTGTCTCCTTAAGAAAGGCTAATCAGAAACTCAAGAGAATGCAACCATTTGTCTCTTATCTATTTATGACCTGGAAGACCCCTCCCTGCTTTGAGTTGTCCTGCCTTTCTGGACCAAACCAATGTACATCTTACATATATTGATTGATGTCTCATATCTCCCTAAAATGTATAAAACCAAGCTGTGCTCCAACCACTTTGGGCACATGTCATGAGGACCTCCTGAGGCTATGTCATGGGGGACATCCTTAACTTTGGCAAAATAAACTTCCTAAATTGACTGAGACCTGTCTCAGATATTTGGGGGTTCACATAGGGAATCATTCTCATCCTTTACTTCTTTACACAAGGTTTCCTTTAGTTATTTGAATATATTTCTAATAGTGAATGTCAGTTCTTTATCTAGTAAGTCTGACATCTAGGCTTTCTCAGGGACCATTTCTATTGACTTTTCTCATATGTATAGGCCTATTTTCTTGTTTCTTTGAGTGTCTCATCTTTATTATTGAAAACTGGACATTTAAAATGATGTAATTTTTAAATTATAGAAAGAAGATGATCACCCCCACACACCTGGGCTTGTTGTTACTGCTGTTTGTTCGTTTATTGACTTATCTGGACTATTATGTAAAGTCTGTATTCTTTGTTGTGTGTGGTCTATGATATTTCTATTTGGTTACCTTCTTGGTCAGTTAATGATTGGTTAGAGAACATCTTAAATGCTTTGAACCAATATGTGTTGGGTACATTTCAGTGCTTTGGTAGGCAGTTTAAAACCCTGCCTTAGACTTCTCTTTTTGCTGTCTACAGCCTTAAGGTCTGATAGCAATGAGAGCTTAGTGTCTACTCAAATCTTACCTGATATAGGCCATGAGCACAGCCCTGCATACATGAATGACTTCTAATTCCCAGGAATATGTGAAAGCTTTGCAAAGTTTCCTATGGATATTTCACTTTTCAGTGCTTTAAAAAAAAATCAGCCTCTTATCCTCAACTGGCAATGCTGCATCAGGCAGCTATAATGTTAATCAGTTGTCATTATTTATTTTTTCTATAAATGCCCTTCTAGTATGGCTGTTTGCACTAAGCTAACTCTGAGTCTGGTCAAATAAAGACAGTGAGCTGTCATAAATAGTGAACATTCTTTGGGAATGAGGCATGTGATGGATGTGATGGGCTAAATTCAGTTCTACCTCTTCCAATGGCTCATAGTCTACCATAGTTGCAAGAATGTTGGTTTTCAAGGTCACTAAAGAGCTGGAAAGGGAGATAAAATTTGGACATACTAAACCATCACAAAGCTTATTGTTTTTATAGGATTCAACTTTTTTTCTTTTTTTTTTTTTAACTAAACACTTCTCAGATTGTGGCAGACTTTTGCATACTTTCCAGAATTTTTAAAAAGTTGATTTTGACAGGTTTTTTTTTGAGGTTTTTTTGGGGCCAATATCCCTGTTATTGTTATGGAAGGGTAGGTTTTCAGAGATCTTTGTTCTTCCATTCCAATAGTTGAACCTGATTCTTATCTTTTTCTTTAGAAAATTTTCTAGTGTCATTCAGATGTGGCTAGGCTACTTCTCAATTCTTGTAATTAGCATTATTATTGTAGTAATGTAGTACAGCTACCATCCAGTCTCCAGGAGCTGTGATACCCTGTTTATTGTCCTCATACTGGCAGCATCAAAAGTAGCTAAAAATTTGTTTAAATGGAAACTCTTGGGACCCAACCCAGACCTACTGAATAAAAAACTCAGGTGGTTTGACACTGTAGACTATAGGCATGAGTTACTTTTAAAGTTTGTCTGAACTTGGAAAGGATTTGGAAGTAGCATAAATTTGAAAAATCATGCTTTATATGGTAGGTGGTTCACATGAAGAATAGCTGATGTTGGGAGTCAAAGGTTATTGCTAGGAAAAGGCATACAGACAAATCATAGTTTACTACAGCTCGTCCGTATCCCATTGTGACTAGTTTTTAGTTACAGGCCTGCTTATTTCCCAAATCTTCTAAACAATTTTAGCAATTGCAGTACAGTTTTACTCTTCCCCACCTCTTTTCTCTTAACCTTATTTTCATAAAATATCATAGAGAATTATCTTTCTACCATTAATTGGGATAAAAGACTGAGACTTAGAGCCAAGAGAATTTTAACTAGAAGCTTTCTGGTTCTTTAGTTAGCCCTAGGGGCATTACATATCCACTCGTCCATCTATTTATTCATCCACTTATTCATTTGTTCCACAAGTTCTTGTTGAAGGAAAAGATGTGGAATTCTGGACCTAGATTCAAAGGGAAATGAAGGTATTAGGAAGATACATGAAGTCTGGGAAACGTAATGAGACACTGTCTCTACAAGAAATTATAAAAAAAATAAACAGACTTGGTGGCACTTGTTGTCCTAGCTACTCAGGAGGCTGAGGTGGAAGGAGCTTGAGCCCAGGAGTTTGAGGTTAGAGTGAGCTATGATCATGCCACTGCACTCCAGACTGGACAACAAAGTGAGACCTTGTCTCTAAAAAAATAAAAAATAAAAATGAAAAAATTTAACAAACAGACTTGAGAGCCAGTTGCATAGAGATGAACACGAAAGACTGAAGACTTCTCTGCAAAAGAGAAGGAAAATAAAAACGTATAAAGAATGAATCTTGAGGAATGCTCAGATTTGAAAGGATGAGGGAAAAAGCTGTTATTTAAAAACAAAGCCCACTTGGTTAGTAATGGGATCTTTCTTGTGAAAGATATACCCTGCAGAGGTGAGAAAATTTGACTTCCTCAAAGAATACTGATTTTCTCAAAATGTTGTCCTTGGCTGGAAAAGGAAGGGTGGGTATATGAAGAGAAGGTGATTAAGGGGTACCAAAATACAGTTAGATAGAAGAAATATAGTCTAGTATTTGACAGTATAGTAGGGAAATTATAGTTAATGATAATTTTTTGTATATTCCAAAATAATTACATGAGAATTATAATGTTTCCAACACAAAGAAAAGATAAATGTTTGAGGCAATAAATATTCCAATTACCCTGACAAAATCATTATACATTGTATACATGTATCAAAATATCACATGTATCCCAAAATATGAACAACTCTAGTATATCAATAAAAATATGTAGTCCCTGGACCAGCAGTGTCAGCATATCTGGGAAACTGTTAGAAATACAAAGCCTCACCCAGCCTACCAGATCAGAAATCTGGGAGTGAGTCCCAGAAATCCATTTTTTGACAAGCTTTCCCAGTGATTCGGATGTACACTTAAGCTTGAGAACCACTGCTATAACAAATTACATCCCGTGGTCTACAGAGGTAATCCACAGGGATTCTTAAATTCTTGTGGAGAGCAACATGCTGATTAGGAAAGAGATTGTTATTTTTTGCCCAATTTTAATGGCTTGTTTTGAATATTCTCTCCATTTATTAATTGAGGAGAAAAGTATCAACCTAAACTCCGGGTTTTGCCAGGCAGAAAGTTGGTATAATATTTATTATTATTAGAAATCATAGCATCAGGAAAGCCTTAAAACATATGAAGAGCTTCTTAAATAAGTCCTGAATTATTTCAAATGAGATCAATCCATGTTGAGCTTTCAATTAGAAAAGTGAAATTTTATAGTTATGGATTGGGTTGGAAGACAGTCGAACCTAATCTTCTGTGTCCAAAATCTCCTTCTTCAGTGAGCAACAAAAAGAAATGAAGCTCAAATGAATGTCCCTAAAGTCTTGTGGGAAACTCAATAATAAAAGAAAAATTCAATGCTTGTAATCCCAGCACTTTGGGAGGCCGAGGCGGGCAGATCGCCTGAGGTCAGGAGTTCGAGACCAGCTTGGCCAACATAGTGAAATCCCGTCTCTACTAAAAATATAAAAATTAGCCTGGCATGTTGGCAGGCACCTGTAATCCCAGCTACTCAGGAGGCTGAGACAGGAGAATCACTTGAACCCAGGGGAAGTTGCAGTGAGCCAAGATTGCACCATTGTACTCCAGCCTAGGAGACAAGAAACTCTGTCTCAAAAAAAAAGAAAAAGAAAAATTCAATTATATATTGAACTCACTAAGGGATAAAAATACTTTGGACATATTAGAATGATTCCAAAAAATAAAACAACAAACTCTTGACTGGTTAAACCAGAATTCCTGCATGTATACTTCACATATTAGAAAACAGGAAACACATAATGCTGTGTCAGACCGTAAATGTGAAATATAATAACTCCCAGTTACATTAATGGCTATGGTTAAGTGAGTGTGTACTATGTGCTAGTCTTTGTGTTAAGATTGTTATTTGTCACACGGAGGCCTGCCAAGAGGCCTGTTATAATTTCCATTTCACAGACAGCACTCCAGCCTGGGTGACAGAGCGAGACACTGTCTGAAAAAAATCAAAATTAAAAAAGTAAAACATATCAAGCTCTTGATTCCATCTTATCAGAGATCCTGTGAGAACACATTTCTAAGTCCTCAGATAGGAATGCTTTAAACCTTCCAGAGCTGATGAAACTTTCTCTCTTGATACTTTTATAATTATTAATCACATAGCTAAAGATAGGAAATGGACTTCTCTCTGGATGTACCAAGAGTCTTATTCCTGGGGTACATTTGGAATGTTAATGGAAAAGTAAGAAATTACAGATTAAATTTCCATAGGGTGCTAAGGCAACATTCAAAAATTTTCTCTTCTGCACATTATTTCTGGCATTTTACATGAAAATATTCTCACTCATAGGTGGGAATTGAACAATGAGAACACATGGACACAGGAAGGGGAACATCACACACCAGGGACTGTTGTGGGTTGGGGGGAGGGTGGAAGGATAGCATTAGGAGATATACCTAATGCTAAATGATGAGTTAATGGGTGCAGCATAACAACATGGCACATGTATACATATGTAAAAAACCTGCACGTTGTGCACATGTACCCTAAAACTTAAAGTATAATAATAATAAAAAAGAAAATATTGTCAATATTTTCACGACAAAGAAAGGCCTTAGGAAAGGTGACTTAGAGACAAAATAGTTAGGACATAGCATCGTGGTGACCTTAGCTACCACTCCGTAATTTGGGAGTTACTTATAGTATTTATCTTGAAGGGTGGTTGTAAGTATTGCACTAGGCTACACAGGTAAAACCCTTAGCAACGAATCTATCACAGAGGCATGGTTAATAACTGTTAATTATCATTGTCATCATTGTTGCCATTGTCCCATCTTTATCATGGGTTTGCACAAACCCAAAGAGCCTTCACACATGGCCCACAGTGATCTTCCCTCATTCACAGTAGTCAATGTAACCTCTTACTAAATAAGTGATAGTGTCTATTTGGACTGGGGTATGATCCTCAGGACCCATAAACAAGGCATGAGGGTCTTGTTTGGCCTTTTTTACATTTAGCATACAAAAAAAATTTTTTTAAGTAAAACGAAAGCTCTTTTGCTATCAGACATTTGATGAACTATGTAATTCAGGCTTTGGCCAAAGGGTAGGATATGTGTACTACTGAGTGTCACTGTGTTTTAGAAATTGATGTCCTGCAGGGTCAGAAGGGTACTCCTGAGTGAGGTCAGAGATCTGATTTACCAGTTGATGCCCTTGGGCAGAGGGTATTTTGATCTTAGTGTGCTGCATTAACTCTACCCCCAGGTTGATTTTCCAAAACCAATGTCCTCAGACACTTTCCAAAGTGCTCATTCCTTCTTTCTCCCTCTTTTGTAATGTATTTTTGATTGTTAGGTTTCTGTTACGTATTTACCATCCAATCAATAAACATTAGCCAGTTTATTAGTGAAACAGGCTTGATTTCATGATGTTACTCACAGAAGGCTCTTATTTATCATTCTAGTCCACAAAAGTTCACAGCTGATGCAATATACAGTCTAAGCAGCTGTGCTGCCAGGAGCAGTTCCTATGCCTGAGGCTCCCCTTCAGGTCACAGTGAATGAGCACAGAAGAAACTCAGTGATTGTCAGAGAGAAACGAAAACAAACAAACAAACAAAAAGAAACAAACAAATAAAAACAAAAAATGTGTCCAGAGTCTGGCCTTGAGTGCAGATTTAATGCACGTAAAAGCCTCTTTCTCCCCGTGAACTCCCCATTGGTGAGTGTACGTGACCACTCATCCCCCACGTTAATCATGAGTGCAAAGCTGTGTGCCTGTATCTAGAGGCCGCAATGGGAAGTGGCACTCAGATAATGGGATTCCTGTCAGCAATTGAACTAAATGACTCAGGTCAGTGGCCTCTTTGTTAGAACTGGGGCCAGGAGGAGCTAAATGACCCTGAGCAGGGAAGGTGGCGCCTGAGAGTCTAGGCAGCCCTGCAGGGTTGGACAGACATCAGGGAATTGAAGCCGATCCTGCAGGGAGCCAGGCTTTTGGGCCATTCAAACCTATTTCTGATGTAAAACTATTAGTTCTTGATTGGAGCTGTGATGGAGAATAGGGGTGAGCTGAATTTTAGTAGCACGGAAACCCTACAAAGTATGTCCACATTCCTGCTTGTGACCTCCAGCCCATTGTAGGAAATTCAGAGCTTCGGAGAGCAGCTTTTTTTTTTTTTTTTTTTTCTCTGTGAACATCTTCTTTTATCCTACTGCTACTGATATGCATATTTTATATGTCTGGAGGAGCTTACTCTAGATGAGTGGCTGGCAAACTTGCTACAAAGGGCCAGATGGTAAATATTTTAGACTTTGTGGTTATACAGTCTCTGCCACAACGACTCAATTCTGCCAGTGTAGTGTGAGAGAAGCCATAGGCAAAACATAAACAAATGAGTGAGGCTGTGTTCGAATCATACTTTATGTATAAAAGCAGGCAGTAGTCAGATTTTGGCCCACAGGCCACAGTTTGCAGAACTTTGCACTTGACGCTGGTTTTGCTTACCAAGCTGTTTTCCTACTAACAGTCATAGAGGACCAACATGTAAATCCATGGTGCTTTTTGATATTGATGCTGCTACCTGGTGTTCTAGTCTCATGAGTGGCCTCCTTTGATGCACATGAGTAAGGATGGGACGGTGCTTGAGGCACAGCTATGACCAGTACCACCTTTCTACTGGTCCCAACCTTAAAGGGGAATTTTCTTCAGTGAGTTTTTGGCTTAAGATGAGGCTTCCCCAAGTTTTGATCATATCCTTATCCAAATCTCCCTGCTGTAGTTCAAAACTCAGGTCAGGATTTTCATGAAGCCGCTTGAAGAAGTATTGAGATTTTCCCAGTTGCATTTACAGAGGTGATAAAGAGATGGAATATATTCAGAGTTGATAATTTCAGCTAACTGGAGATTCCACGAAATGCCATTTAACTAAAAGCTATTCATTTGAAAGAACTGATTTCTATTACTGATGATTTCATCCTTCAGAAAATTATAAAAATAAGGTCCTACTGCATAGGATATCATTAAGAGTAATAAGGAAAAAACAGGTTGGAAATGTAAGTCAACATGAAAGTTGGGGAGAAATGATATCATTGGAGATTTCCATTGTATTCATGAATAGTTGAGTAGAGTCAAAAAAATAACCTGAGAAAGCAGAGTCTTTCCCAAAAAAGAAAACCTTAAAAAGATGAATTTGTGGAAAATAAAGATAAAAACAGTTTTTGTTTTTCACAGCTTGGGCAAGAAAATTAACAAACAAACAAAAACTGGCCTGATATTTGATTAAATGATGAAAACGACTCATAAGGAGATCATACTTTCTTCCAGATAGATCACACAGGTAAACTAAAATAGTGATTCAAAAAATAGTAACCATGGATTTCAGAGAAAACATTGATCCTTTTCTGAGGTTTTACCTGTCTTCTACTTTAGTGTATTTTTGAGATTTTTTGGAGATCCTGTGCCTTGAGGATTTTTGTTAAAAGAACACGGTTTTGAACCTCACCCCAAAATTACTGAGTTAGAATTTCTAGGTATGGGGACTAGGATATCTGTGATGTTAATGGACATTTTAGTAAATCTCAGTCATACTGAAGTGTGAGAAGCACCAGCAATCCCATCACCTTGGCCAAAACCTTCTCTCATTCATTGGGCAAGTGTTTGGAAAAGACACTGTTATGGATTGACTTGTTTCCCCACAAAATTCATATGTTGGAGCTCCAGTTTCAATGTTAATATATCCTTGAAAGAGGTAATTAAAGTTAAATGAGGTCATGAGGGTTGCAGCCCTAATCCAATTGGACTGGTGTTCTTAGAGGAAGAAATCTGGACACACACAGAGACACCAGGGAAGTGAGCGCACAGAGGAATGATTATGTGTGAGGATGCAGCAAGATGGCCATCTGCAAGCCAGGAAGAGAGGCCTCAGGAGAAACCAATCCTTTGGACACCTTGATCTAGGACTTCCAGCCTTTACAACTGTGAAACAATAAAATTTTGTTGTTTAAACTACCCCATCATGTGGTATTTTGTATGGCAGCCCTGGCAAACTTATATGAAGGACAATCAGATTGCTGGGTTTGAAATCCACCTGTTGAACTCCATCACTGTACAATGTTGGGCAAGTTATTTGTCTAAGACTCATTTTCCTCATCTATAAAATCAAGATAATGATAGTGCCCACTTCATCAGTTTTTTGAGGTGATTAAATGAAATGCAGGAGACGCTGGAACCATGCAGGGGTTAGGGGTGCCATCCCCCAACAGTTGAAAGTCCACATATAATTTTTGACTCCCACAGCCTACTGTTGGCTGGAAACCTTACTGATAACATAAGCAGTCCATTAACACATCTTTTTTATATATACTGTATTCTTAGTTAATATTTTAACTAAATTCTTACAATAAAGTAAGAGAAAACAAACTGCTATTAAGAAAATAAAGAAAGAAAATATATTTACTATCCATTAAGTGGAAGTGGATCATGATAAAGGTCTTATCCTTCTTGTCTCCATGTTGAGTAGGCAGAGGAGGAGGAGAAGGAGGAGGGCTTGGTCTTGTTGTCTTTGGGTGGCAGAGTGGAAGAAAATCCATGTGTAAGTGAGCTCACAAAATTAAAACCCATATTTTTCAAGGGTCAACTGTAATCCATTCTAAGAACTCCAAAAATGCTTGCAGAAGTGAAGTTCATGATGCTGGGTGCACCTTTTGCAGAATCCGGAGGAAGGCAGAGGAATGGGGAAAGTAGGCAATGGTGAATACCAAAGTGGGGATCAGAACCTCCTCACTCCTTGACTTTGCTTTTCTACTTTCCTCTCTTTTTTTCTACCTTTTTAGTCACCAATTTCTCTGGACCCCTCCTTAAGAACTTCTATCTTTTTCATTGACTAAGTAATCAATCAATGCATCAATCACACATTCTTTCATTTATTCGTTGAGCAGAGTGGTTGAGCACCAGTCTTTTTGGAGAGCACAGAGGTAGAATAAGATCATGGTTTCACTCCTTGAGACACGACACAGGTGACATTTCTGCACTATTATTGATGGTTTACAAGGATCCATGATATACATTTTCAAGTTTGGATGCTACAACCATCGTGGAAGATAGACCAAATAGGTATCATTCCTATTTCCATATGTGAAAACCAGGGCTAGTTACTGCATAGCTATTAGCTGGGTTTGCTTGAATGGGAACTTACTCTGACGCCACTGAACAATGTTGAAGTGTTACTAAAGTGGCAGCCACATCAAGCTGTGTGTGACAAGTGCTGTAAGAAAACTGTTGACCCACTACTGTGGCTTAAGGTGGAAAAAATTCATGTCTGGATGAAGTAATCAAGAAAGGTATAACGGAGGAGGTGAGATTAAAACTGCAATTTGAAGAAAGAGAAGAAAATTCTAATTTTGTTTTCTTAATCTGAAAAAGAGAAATCCCGTAAGTCTGGGGTTTGAAGTGAATTCATATGTCACAAAGAGTAGATGTGTTATGCTTCAGATCATCTATCTCATTGCAAATAAATAAGTGAAATTCAATATAATTATCCACCAGGTTCTGTTTAGTTGTTTGTTTATTGCTATTTAAGCAATCAAGTTTTAAATAAAACATGGGAAGAGAAATGCAAAGTGCTGCCAAAAGAGATGAATCAAACTTAATTAGTTTCCAAATACACACCTTTTATTCAGGCCCCCACCAGGCTTTCTCTTGGGTCCCTGTCAATGTGAAGAATGGGGAATGACCAAGTTGATGAAGATACTCAGAGGGCAGAGATAAACAGGTGCACTTCCAAGAGTTGAGAGAGAAAGAATGGTTTTGCTGGTGGCTGATAAAATTAGACTTTTATATATTTTAAAGGAGTAGGTACTGCTTCCTAGAATGCTTATTCTGAAGTAATCATAAAAATAATTAGCCACTTTACATAATCATTATCAGTTGATGATATAATTGTGTAGTAATAGAAGGCATACCATTGATTATTATCCCGCAGATGAAAAAACACATTTTACTCTAAATTAGTCTCATTCAAAGCAGAAAAAAACAAAAAACACATAGCTGAACCGTGATGTAATGTTAGAAACCTTTTAATCTATGCCACTTTTTCTTTGATGTTTGTTTAAAAATCCTAAGCCAATTCATTCATGTTGTGTAAGTTATGATGGCAGACTGAGATCAGCTTCCTCATTTTCTGTGCATGACACTCATATGACTTTGGGAGAATACAAAACTTCTATTGAATAAATTGGCCCTTGTTTATTCTCTATTAAACTGAAAACAACAATAATTCACCATTAACAAAACATATACTGATTCGGCACAAATATTTTTAAATTTATAAAATGTGCAAAAGTCTTTCTTTTGTTTGTTTATGAACATTGCTTAGTGCTGCAGATTCTCCCCCATGCTTTTTATCTGTGAAGTGCAGTAGTTAATTTACATATTTCTAGTCTCATGAAAATTTAAGGGTGTAAGACCAAGTGACTGATGTCTGCTTGACATTCAGGCTGCAAACAGCCCTAGATCAATCAAATTTTTGTTATTTTTCTGTTTATTTTAACCATATGATTGATTAAATTAGTATATCCAATTGGAAACCTTTATAGCAAGTTAGATTTGTACTTCAGGGAAATAATGTAGACCCTTATGGTGATTTTTAAAAAACAAAGCACATATTTTTGTTTGTATTCTTTTGGTATCAACATGTTCTCCCAAATTCTTCTTTAAAAGATAATGGTGTTAATGACATATCTGTCTATGTAAATACCTGGAGAATTTCCAAATAAGACTATTCTTTTTAATTTTGAACTTTCTATGTATCTGTGCACTGTGTAACCCCAAATGGCAAACCAGGTTAAATGTGGTAGTGTTCACCTTGGCTAGAGCCAAGATAGATAAATTATGATTAAAATGCAGGTGAATTTTTATGTTGCAGGGAAAAAATATTTCTGGGATGAAGCCAAGAAAAATATGGAATACCTGTTAAAGTGTTTATGTTAAGATGGGGAGAGGATAGCAAAATAATAAAAAAATTAAAAAAAAAAGAGGAGAGAGAAAGAAAAAGGATGGTGACCGTGTATTAGGACTCAAAGGTAAGTTGGTAAGATCAGGGAATGAAGTAGTTGTCAGTAACTGCATCTGCCCTCATTAGATCTTTGCAGAAAGTCTGGAGCCCAGCAATGTAGAGTGGGAGGAGGGCAGAGGTAGAAGAATCTCAAATGTATGCTGTGGACACTATTGTGCAACCAGCCTACACATCATTACTGTAAATTCTGCACCTGTGTTTGTATATGAAACCTTGTTTTATATTTCTTAACTTTTAAATACATATGTAACTACAAAAACTGGAGACCTAAATAGTCAATAATTCTGTTCACTAAATATTTCTGGTTCTATACTTTTGGGAAAGTTCTGGTTTCTTGCGGTTGGAATGAAGCCAGTAGCTAGTTCTGGCCAGCGAATCGATAACAAAAAAGTCATGTATACATTCTAGAGATGACCATTAATTACTAATTTAAGACCTCCCAGAAGTCAGCTTCCCTTTGGAACAGTGACCTACTCCATCAGCCTCGGTTCTTGAGAGTGAAGTCATCAGCTCCTCTCCAACATATGCTGGATAAATAATGTGGATGACAAATAAACCTTTGCTGTTTTAAGCTACTGAGGTCTTGGGACTGGTTGGCAGCAGAATAACCTAGATTATCTAGCAGAAATATCTCCTCAATTATATTTTCAGATTTTCTGTTTCTGGGCCAGTTCTGATTGAGTAAAAACCACAATTATTTCAACAGCTTTATTCTCCCCTTAATACAGTAAAATCAAATCCATGCTTCAAGATGCAGGGTCTATGTCTTATTTTACCTCCCATAATAGGATCTCTACTCTCTGTGGCTCTCTGGTTATATTAGTTCCTTATATTCTCACTCCCTGCTTTCTCACATCTGGTTTTGAATACATCTATAGATTTGTAATCATCTTTCAGTTCTCAATGGTTATTTTACCAGTCCAGCTCTTTTCTAGGACCAGAGTCTTCCTGGAATGCCCACTTTAATGTCAGTGAGCCCACTGCCTGCCTTTGCCAGGAAAAGGTCTGGAGCTCTGCCGCCAGGTTTTGGAGTTCTGCTTTCTTTGGATAGAGTTCCCACATTTAGCACCAGCAGTCAGTCTCATTCCTGGCTGGAAGCTCTGCCTAATTGGAAGTGTCGGTGCCAACCTGTGCTGAAGCAGGGACTATGAGTAGGGTGCTTCCTTGGACTTGGTGTTTGGCCTATGTAGCTGTGTCTCTAGAGCCAAGTGCTGAAGCTAGATCCATTTTCCAAATGTCAGCTTTACCACACCGTTCAACTCTGCACTTGATTCTGGCTCTTTCTTCTTTCACGCTGGTTCCATATGGGAAAATGTGACCCATGATGGTTCAGAAGCAAGTTCAGAATGGAAAAGTGATTCCCTGACGAGCTAATCTGGAAATAGAAAGCTTAGTAAATAGACCAACAAAAGAGCATTATTAACAAGATCTGGAGAGACAAAAAGAGAATGAATTTCAGGTTCTAATTGCTCAGAATCAACAGGCAGACTGGCCAAAGCCCATGCCCAGAGCGCAGAAAGGTAATCTGAGATAGGTGGCTGGACTTATCATATAGGACCTTGGAGCACTAGTCCAGGAATCTAAAGAAAACTCCAATTCTTCATATTTCCAGGGAAATTAGACAGAAAGGTCAGCCTGATCCTCAAGAAAAAAGTAAAGTAAATCATTTCAAAAGAAAAGCAAAAACAGAGACAACTTATAAGGGTGGCTGTGATAGTACAGCAGCTGGATTTCTGACTCTAGCATTCTATTTAGACCAATATTTCTCAAAGTGGCATCCACACATCAGTGGCCTCAGTACCATGGGTGGGGGCAGGTTGACAATGTGAATAAATGCACCTAGCAAATAATAATACTTAGATAACCAAGATGAATGTGTGAAGATTCTGCTGCCTGTTAAGAAGGACATGGATCCCTTTGTCAAAGTCTAAAACCAAAAAGGACAGACAAAATCACAATGAATTGTTAAATAAGTTGTGGTTAGCAAGCATGCATGTGGGAATTATTTACAATACATTTAAGGGAGAAAATAATTTCTGGAAGCATTTCTTATCTTGAGACTTTTCAGTTTCAACATGAAAGGAGAGGGAAAAGACCAAATGTGAGAATAAAATAGTTAAGTAAGGCAGGCTTTGGTAAATAAGACAGAGTGTATTATGAAAACACAGATGAAGGACTCTTTATTTCAAATTAAGAGACTATGTTATGTTTTCATTAAGAAGAACCTAAAGCAGATAAACTTTTTAGAGGAGGATATTGTGGAGAAGAAAAAAGTGCATTCTAAGAGGAAGGAAAAGTATAATCAAAAGTACAGAAGTGGAGAAAACCTGCACAAATGTTCCCTTTTAAACCATCAGCTCCCAAATGTTGCTTCACAGAGTTATGCCGTTCTTCCTGTCAACAGGTAGCTTACTAAAAGATTCCTGAGTCCCAGATGTGAGGATTTTGACTTAGCAGTTAAAGTGGGCCCAAAGGAATTGTAATTTTGAAAGGTTTCTCATATCCATCAGTGATCTTTGTAGATGAGTAGAATCTACTCCAGAGGCATTACGGAGATATGTGTTAAAAAGACCCTATTGAACGCTTTTACACTCTTAGTGGGAGTGTAAATTAGTTCAACCATTGTGGAAGACAGTGTGGCAATTCCTCAAGGATCTAGAACCAGAAACACCATTTGACCCAGCAATCCCATTACTGGGTATATACTCAAAGGATTATAAATCATTCTACTATAAAGACACATGCACATGTATGTTTATTGCAGCACTCTTCAATAGCAAAGACTTGGAACTAACCCAAATGCCCATCAATGATAGACTGGATAAAGAAAATGTGGCACATATACACCATGAAATACTATGTAGCCATAAAAAAGAACATGTTCATGGCCTTTGCAGGGATATGGATGAAGCTGGATGCCATCATTCTCAGCAAACTAACACAGGCACAGAAAACCAAACACCACATATTCTCACTCATAGGTGGGAGTCGAACAGTGAGAACACATGGACACGGGAAGGGGAACATCACACACCCGGGCCTGTTGGGGGGTGGTGGGCAAGGGGAGGGAGAGCATTAGGACAAATACCTAATGCATGTGGGGCTTAAAACCTAGATGATGGGTTGATAGGTGCAGTAAACCACCATGGCACATATATAGCTATGTAACAAACCTGCACATTCTGCACTTGTATCCCAGAACTAAAAGTAAAACAAAATAAAATAAAATAAAATAAAATAAAATAAAGACCCTATTTAACCCTGTTTGCTAGCTGCATATATATGTGCATATATACATGCAGTGAATTAAATATATATTTAATCACATATATTAAATAAACATTTAATCCAAGTGGTCTACTGTTGCTGGAATATAGGCGGAAGAAGTGACATTTTGGGGAAGGTGATGTACATGTAGTGGTTACACCAAAATAAGACGGCAACCTTAATGAGTGGCAAAGTGGCCAACAAACAGGATGCCTCTGGCATCTCTTTCTAGTACCTGCTAATACTCATGAAGAAGTGGTAAGGGCCTATGTGGGAACAATCCCTCAAGACCCAATACACTAGACACTCAATTTTACTAGTACTACTATCTCTTGAAGACTCTGACTCAAGAAGATGGAAGCAGGTCACCAGTTTCAGAAAGGGAAATGAGAAAATCATAGTAAAAAGCAAGTAAGTCATGGACATTCTATGCATAGGTCAAGTTAATGTTATTTTATGCTAAATTGCATAGCATTCTGTGATAGGCATTTAACTCTAAGTGTATCTAAGGATAAAAAATGTGATTGCCTGTTTTAGTACTAATGTTGTCATTTCTTAAAAATACAACAAATGCCTTTTAATGTGATTTTTATGTGATATCGAACCAAATTCCTAGTATAAGTTAATGTGAACTAGTCTGTTTTATTCTTTACTAAGTAGTGAGATTAGAGATCATGAAGGTGGGATGGCTGGACTTGAGCACGGGTAGAATTTTGACAAGGAGGAGTAAGGAAGAAAGAGTTTCAAAAGGGTTAGTTAATGCAAATGTGCAAAGAGAGTGCAGAGCAAGTGAAGGAATGGCAAACAACTTTATCACATTTTCTCTGCCTTTTGAAGATTTCAAAGTAACATCCTTTAAGTTGTCTTGAGTACCTAACATCCTAAGTACCTCCTAATGCATCCATTGTTTATATTTATACCACTTAGTATATATCACAGCTACTTTGACACCTACATTTCTTATAACCTTTATTTCAAAGTGCTTGACATCCTAGTTGGTTTTGAAAACCTGAAATAAGATGCCTTACTTTGGAATAAAGTGAGAGAGAGAGAGAGAGAGAGAGAGAGAGAGAGAGAGAGAGAGAGAGAGAGAGAGAGAAGAAATATGCATTCAAATTACCAGGGAAAGTATATGTAATGCTTTCCTTGTACAGCCTGGAAATGAAAACCAAATTTTCCTGACTACCAATGTGAAAGCGCTAGAAGATTCAGTAGTTACTTTAAGACTGAGAAAAGAGATGTTTAAGCTGGAAATGATGAAAGGCTTTTTAATTAAAGCAGCATGAAAGATGGGTCTGCAATTTACGCTGATTGTTTTTTATCATATACTTCTTCATAACTTCAGTAAATCCTGGGGAGGTTGGGAAGCTAAGTGCTGCATTCCCTGTGCCTATCTTGGTTGCTAAATGTTTCCCATTCATTATAATGCTTGGCCTGTAAGCACCATCCAATTTCTCTACGTCCTTCCCACTCTTCAGACCACAATGATTATGAATGGGCCTAGATAATAGCTCCTACTCTCCTTTCCCTCTCTGTCCTATTTTCAAAGATAACAGTTGTTCCTTGCTGCTGTCAATAGGCATGCCATGCAAACATAAGACAGGGTTTCTTATGTACCATTTGCTGTCATCCAGAAAGGTGGACAGTCTCCAGACCCCCAATTTCAGCAAAGGACTGGCAGTATTTGATTAAGGAAACAAATGCTTTTCAAATCACATGGAATTCAGGAAATAGTTCCCAAGGTCAAATTGGATATGATGCTGCTATGGCTGCTTAAATCCAGCTTATTTGTTAAAGCCCAAAACCACCTAGGGCTCGGCATCAAGATTGCAGAGAGTGAACTAGCTCGAGAATGGGTTTTTTAACATCTGCCTGCATACGCACTATGCCATGTGATGGAAAATTAGGAGGTAAGTATATACTTCCCATATACTTCCTTAAACAGCTTCTTACTGCCTTAGCTCTCTTCCACCAAAGCCCTCTAACAGCATGGGTATTCTAGTTTCTACACAGAAACTACAAAGTAATTCACCCTCCCCCAGTCCCATGTTTTATTTCCACACACTTTTCTCTATCCATTTAAATTCTATCTATCCTTCAAGGTCCATTCCATACTCTAACTCAGTCTCTCCATTTAATTATGTTCCTTATTATCCCCGATCATACAGAATGTAGGAACAATGTCATGAAATTTGCCATGTACTCCTAAGTTGTTTATGTCATTATCTAAGATTTTTGGTGAATTATCCTTGTCTCTTAGGTATTAATGAAAACTCTATTCTGAAAGGCACTTTATCTTCTACTGTTTTGACTTCTATCCCCAGGACCTCTGTCTTCCTTTAGATTTACCAAAGGAAATTCACAAATGCTTTTTCATATATTGGATATCTAACTTTTTAAAATAGAAAAACTCATACACTATTGACTTATTACAGTTAGGAAGTTGAGCGCAACCTCTCAATGTGTTATTCTTCTTTTCATCTCCATATCACTGACAGGTGGTCCTCCAGGACTGCCTTAAATACTCCGAGATAAGACATTTATTAAAATTTAATAGTTTATGGCTGGGCGTGGTGGCTCACGCCTGTAATCCCAGCACTTTGGGAGGCCAAGGCGGGTGGATCACGAAGTCAGGAAATCGAGACCATTCTGGCTAACACAGTGAAACCCCCTCTCTATTAAAAAATATGAAAAATTAGCCGGGCGTGGTGTTGGGCACGTGTAGTCCCAGCTACTCGGGAGGCTGAGGCAGGAGAATGGCATGAACCCGGGAGGCAGAGCTTGCAGGGAGCCGAGATTGTGCCACTGCACTCCAGCCTGGGCGACAGAGCGAAGAGTGTCTCAAAAAAAGAAAAAAAATTTAATAGTTTATTTTATTTTGGGATGTTTTTAAATGCTATAAAATTCCTCCTAATGATAGCCTAAGGTGCTCTTCAGTAACTTCCATTCATTGTCCTAATTCTACTTTCAGAAATGGCATAAGATAATTGGAAACCTTCTTCTTTTTTGGTAATAGCATGTATTTGTTGGGATTCTCCAGAGAAACAGAACAAACAAGATGTATACACACACATACCCAGACAGAGAGAGAGGAATAAAAGAGAAAATTATTATGAGAGATTGGCTCATGTGACTACGGAGGCTGAGAAGTCCCATGATCTAATGTCTACAAGCTAAAAGCTCAGGAAAGCCAGTGGGGGTAGTTCCAGTCCAAGCCTCAAACCCTGAGACCCAGAAAAGCCAGTGGTATAAGTCTCAGTCTGAGTCTGAAGGCCTGAGTACTAGGAGTACTGATGCCCAAGGACAGGAGAGGATGTCCCACCAAGCAGATAGACAGAATTTACCCTTCTTCCACCTTTTTGTTCTACTTGGGCCCTCAATAGATTGGATGATGCCTACCCCCACTAGTGAGGGTAATGTTCTTTACTCAGTCTACTCATTCAAATGATAATCTCTTCCAGAAACACCTTTACAGAAATACTCTGAAATAATGTTTTATCAGCTATCTAAGTATCCCTTAGCCCAGCCAAGTTGACACATTAAATTAGCAATCACGCAGTCATTTAGCTATCTGAAGGCAAACATGCTTGCATTGCTAAACATTTGGTCAGGATGGAACCCAACAGCAAAAGACTTTCATAATGAGACAACTCCAGTTCATCACCCACAACACACAGAAACTTCAGATCAAATGGAGAGATGCTTGTTGAGCAATCTATTATGCCTCAGAGAGCTTTGAATGATCACTGGATAGACAGAGAGAAGTCATATGCTGCTGGAGCCTCTGAACAAAGAGAAACCTCTGGAAACCTTAGTCAGTTCCTCAATTGAGGTATGAACTTCTTTTACAAGATGTCTGCAAAGTAGCCTCTTCCGTCTGGCTTAGAAATCTATACCAATGCATGAGCAGCAACATCCTTGATGAACAAGCAAGTACTGCAAAGAAGACATGTCATTAAGAGGTTAGATGCAACTCAAGTGTATTTAAAGTTGACTTGATAGTTTTTGATCAATTGAATCAAAACTATGAAGATGCAAATACTTCAGTGAAGTCTGTGAAAATTACAGTATGAATCGTAACAAAAGTAAAAATTTTTTCAGTGACTGGGGCATAGTGAGGTGTCTTGAAAGAGGATTGTCCTGAAACCTAGGAGATTTGACTTTTGGGGGTTTTTCTATTATTATTAATTTACGTGAGTTTTGGGGTACATGCATCTCAGTTTCTTCAACTGTAAATTAAGGAAGCTGAGTGGGTGACCATCAAGGCTGCTTGCAGTTCTAGCTTTCCCTTTTTAAATACGCTTGTGAGTTCTTCTACTTACTCACTGTGGTGCTATGGAAAAGCTCTTCAACATCTTGCTAAGAGAATAAAGCCAAATGTTTATTGTTACATTAATTGACATAACCAATCTGTCCCCGAAAAATTCTACAAAAATCCAAGAAAATCATCCTGTAGGGATCAACGAACTTCAGTGCTTACCTGTTTTCTAACTTTTCTTCAAAATTTTGCCTGATCCCTGTACCAGACTCTGTATAGTGTAGTTCACATATTATTTGAATTCAAAGCAGCTTTGGAGAGTACAACCCTCTTATCTTACAGTTCAGGCATACTGGACTGCAGTGCAGGGTTTCTTTACAGCAATGTTATAGCAGAAGAAAATTTTGCAATGTAATTTTCAGGAAAACTAAAACTAGGAAATATTTTTGTAATGTTAAAAGCCACCTTCTAATTTACCTGTTTTATATACTTGGTAAATATTCCTGTGGAGAACAACCTCCCCACCTCTGAAGCCACATCTAATTGCAATCATCCAGGTGTTGCAGGTCTCTAAAATCCTGCTTTTTCTGTAGTTGCTTGTTTAATTGAAGAAAAGGAAAAATAAAATCTCCGATGGAAGGGTAATCAAAGCTTGAAATATGCATTTGGACTGCTTAGAGTAACTGAATTCACAGACTAATTATTGGCTTATCATATGTTCTGTGCTGTGTGATTCAGGATTGGGAGGGGCTGCCACATATGATTGTATCTCTTTAGGGCCCAGTTGGCTTGACAGACTAATGTTTGCCAAATTCATAAAATCTTCCATTTTCATAAAATGGAAGAGGCATGGCACAGACGGAGAGTAATGCTGCTGCCTTCAGGGTTATAATGGTGAAACCTCTCATCCCTGAACAACCTGGGTCTTGTTCATTCTTAGTCACGGAAAAAAAAAAAGAAAGAAAAGAACAGAAAATCTTCAACCCTACTGCAATTTTATTCCCTGTGATACCTTTTTCTCTAAACAAGACTCTGAGGCACAAGTGCCTGGGAGGCTCTTTATAATATTTTCACTATGTATCATTTTGCAAGAAAATTTCCGTCCAGTTTGGAGATTATAAAAAGTTGTTTTGTAATGTCCCTCTGGACAGAAGAAAGTGGTACAATAAATTGCAGCAGCACATCCTTATAAACAACATTAACAGAACTGTCTTGAATGTGGACATAAGAGACTATGGGGGTTCTGGGGACCTGTAAAACTGGATATTTTGAAGACTATTTTACATAACATTGTGTACATTATGAGATTGAATTTGTCTATATTTACTTCTTCCTCTCTCAGATCTTTCTTCCACCCTCTCTTCCTTTTCTCATTTCCAGAAAGTTAACTAGGGCAAAAGGCAAAATTATTAAAAAATTTTTTTTGAATACGAATCTGGGATATTTCTTCCTTCCCAGAAATACTAACATAATCACTGTCTCTCTACCAAAAAGCTTTAGGACTTTTAGGATTTGTATTTGTGTGACTCATTCATACTACTTCAAGGTGTTTAGCTCAAGTAAATTGTTGGACAAGTGTGAAAATGTTTGTAGAAGCATCTTAACCACAATCGTATTATTCAATTCAGTTCAACAGATATGTTAGAGAACCCCCTATGAGTTAGTAACTAGTTAGCTACTGAAGATTTTAAAAAGTGAGCTAAGTAGACATAAGTGTATACAGGTGAGAAAGGGAAAGGTATGCAGTATGATAAGTGCTATGATAAAGGCCCTATGGTGGGGTTGAAGGATGGCCACATAACACAGACCAAGGAGTGAGTGGGCAGCAAAGGCTTCTTGGAGATTTCTACATGTATTTCAGCTCAAAAAACAAACAAATGATTGTATATTTTTATAATGGAATATTATACATTCATAACGCATGTCATTATTTACTTATTCTAATGAGAAAATGTTCATCATATATTGTTTAGTGAAAACCAGACAGGCCAACCTAAGTTATGTGCAGTAGGATCTATGATTTTGTAATACGGAATATATTCATGTGCAGTTACAGGTATATGTAGAAAATTTCTGAGGTTAACCATTCTTGGTAGTGATTTCTCCCTTTATCCCTATCTATTTAAATATATCTAAAATTAATGCATATGATTTCAGTAATTAAAAACAAAGAAAGGAATGCTTACAGAGTGAGGCAACTGGCATAGGAAAACAAGTGGTACTGAGGCTGGGAAGGTGAGAGATGTGCTATCTAGTCCACCTGAGCGATCCTGCTGCCTTAGGCAAGGATGCTTTATCAGACCTCCCCATGACCCAAAGAAGTATCCTTCAGGTCAGTGCCACTCTCAGAGTTTTGATTGAGACAAGAAGCATTGTAACTAAATCATTTATACTTAATACCAAGAAAAAAGGGTCCTGATAGAGAATATGAGCGAATGAGCTCCCAAAAGGATTTTTTTTCCATTATAAATGGTTATTTGGGCATTCTGCTTCATGTAAGCACCTCATGTAAATGTATTTCTGAGAACCCAAGCACCTCTAAGTAAAAGTTCAGCTTTTGGACATTCAATACTCAGGAGCAAATATTATGTAGAATGGAAACTCTCAAACTACATATTTAGAGTGACATGTAACATCTCCTCGACAAATGACATTTGAAGGATAATTTGGTATTTTCCATGTTGTTAGGTACTATGAACAAGACCACAGGAAACTATGTCTTTGGATGCATGTAATAGTGGCTATCCACATGACAATAGGCCCCACAATTTTTTAACTATATATCCCTATTAAAAAACAAATAAACAAAACTAGAGCATACCCTACAATACATGTATATTTATTTACACAATATTTACATATATTACATCTGAAGCTCTTGTTGCTACTTAGGGGACTCTGTTTTAGAGAATAATACCTACATTTGATCTTTTCTCTCCTCAATTCCTAGAGACACCATTGCCCATGTCAAAGACATGTACATTTGGTTTTGATTATTGTTCCCAAATAAAGTACAAAATGGGAACTTTTTATGTCTATTTTGGTAAAATTATACCTTATACTTAAGCATGTATACAATAGTCATCATAGTGTGTAGGAATAGAAAGACCATGATGAAAAAAATTGCCAATACTTGTGGTCAATACTGTGTCCTACATATACCATTTGACTTAATTGATTAGGATGATTAGAACACTGCTTCATGTTGAGATGCCACATGCATGTCAAGAATGATGAAAAACATTAGATTTTACTGTATGTGCAAGGTAAAAAGTTAGCCTGCCGCAGTTTAAAGCTGGCAGAGTCAAGAAACTCCTAGGTCAGAGACTAAGGACTGTATTACTCATGGCAGAACAAGCAGCAGGTGCTTCATGTTTGCATCAGATAAGAAAGGGAAAGGGATGCAGTATGATACTTGCTATAATAAAGGCCCTTCAGGTGCTATGGCAGACAATAGAGAAAAGCCTGGCTAGATGCTATGCATGCAATGAGTATGCACCAAAGAAGCCTGAGCTTAGAAAACCCAACTCTTTTGTAATGGAATGAAAGCAAACATGCCCTTTTCCCCAGAGGGAAATATTACCACTATTATTCTGGAAAGGAAACAAACAAATATGCCCTCTGCTTTGGAGAGAGATACTGTCTCCCAAAACTGCCTGTATAAAACCATCCTTAGAAAAGATAGGCTAGAACAAAATGGCAGTTAGTGACTTGCTTGCAAGATCTGCAGAAACTCAAAGACCTATGGTGAATTGTCTGTCTACAATTATGGGCTAAGCAGCTTTGTACAAATAAAAAATTATTTTGGCTTTCTGGTGTACTTCAGTGCATATCATTTGGGGATTTAGTCAAGGACCTTGTACAGCATAGTATGGATTGTTCAGCATAGTGTCTTTCTAGGTTAGGAGACACAACTTTATGCCTTTTCCTTATTGTTGGGATGGGGTTATATCCTTGTATGAAGATCAGCATATCATCACTACTGGCCCTGATACTTTATATTAACATAGTGATTAAAGATACCATCTCACACCAGTTAGAATGGCAATCATTAAAAAGTGAGGAAACAACAGGTGCTGGAGAGGATGTGGAGAAATAGGAACACTTTTACACTGTTGGTGGGACTGTAAACTAGTTCAACCATTGTGGAAGTCAGTGTGGCGATTCCTCAGGGAGCTAGAACTAGAAATACCATTTGACCCAGCCATCCCATTACTGGGTATATACCCAAAGGATTATAAAACATGCTGCTATAAAGACACACGCACACGTATGATTACTGCAACACTATTCACAATAGCAAAGACTTGGAACCAAGCCAAATGTCCAACAATGATAGACTAGATCAAGAAAATGTGGCACATATACACCATGGAATACTATGCAGCCATAAAAAATGATAAGGTCATGTACTTTGTAGGGACATGTATGAAGCTGGAAACCATCATTCTCAGCAAACTATCGCAAGGACAAAAAACCAAACACCGCATGTTCTCACTCATAGGTGGGAATTGAACAATGAGAACACATGGACACAGCAAGGGGAACATCACACACCAGGGCCTGTTGTGGGGTTGGGGGAGGGGAGAGGGATAGCATTAGGAGATATACCTAATGTTAAATGAGGAGTTAATGGGTGCAGCACACCAACATGGCACATGTATACATACGTAACAAACCTGCACGTTGTGCACATGTACCCTAAAACTTAAAGTATAATAAAAAAAAATTAGAAAAATTTCAAAAAAACAAAAACAAAAACAAAACCAACCAACAAGGGGCTATTTTGGCTATACTCAACATAGATAAATTCAGTTATTCAGTAATACAGGTAGGAGGTTTTTAAGCAAAAACACACAGGATCAGAAACCACATGGGGCTTAGAACTGGAAATCAGTTGGAACACAAGCAGTTTGGGGACAGCCCACCGTTGCTGTTTCCTACTCATTTCTGCAAGCACTCTCTCTTTGTAATGCTCTTTTTTCCTTGGCCTCCCCATCCCTCTCTGGGTGTCTGCTGCACCTTAACTCTGGCTGCCTTCCCCATCCTCTACTCTTCATCCTTATTTCGTCTTACTTCTAACCTCATCTACCATCTTCTGCTTAACTCAAGCGTCCTTCTACATGCAGCTTTCTCCTGAACCAAAAGAGCCTTGACTATCCCTTATGACTTCTGCTCTCTGGGCATGCTTTCATTTTCGGTTCCTGATGCTAATTGTCTGATTCTTGTGGTTTCTCTTGGTAGGATGCAGATTGGCTCAGCTCATCTCTTCATACAAGTCTTTGTCATGAGTTACAGGCCAGACTCGTTTTAAGCATTTCTTGATTATGCTTGTTCCAAGGATGCACTTTTTAAAATGAATGAATGTATGAGTTTGGGTAAAATGGCCTGTAGTTCAGCCTCTTTGAAAGAAATTGTAGGCTTTGCACCGGCATGTTTGAAGTGGCTCATATGTTTTTGTTAATCTAATTTTAAAAAATTAGAAGCTCAAAGGATTTAACTGACATACTCAAAAGCACCAAGAAAATATTTTCTTAGTGTCACTGTAGTACCTTAAACATCTTTCTTTAATATCATTCATTTTTCCCTAGTATAGAGTATTTTTAACAGGCCTATTTTCTTCATTAGTCTATAACATTTTTGAAGGTCTCAGTATTTCTTATATTCTTAGCTCTGAGAATTCCCAGGCCTAGAGTCGACACTGTATAAATGTCACATGAATGAATGAATGCTTTATTGAATCAATTAATGCATGATCTTTGAGGACTCTTTCTTCTAAATTACATGGCAGAATAAAGAAGGAACGATGGCGAAAAGCTCTTATACTCATTAATGAACAACTACTACATGCCAGGCACGGTCAGAAATATTTTCACTTATTTACTGCAATTCTTACAAAAAGCTTACAAGGTAGTTGTTGCAGGCTAACTTGGTCAACAAGATGAAACACGCTATCAGATCTCACAATGCAAGTAAAAATCAGAATCAGAATTTGAATCCAGGTATGTCTGACCGTAAAGCGTATGGTTTTTTAAAAAATTAAACTGTGTTAGTATCCACAGCTGCCCTGATTGCTGATGCAGAACAGAATGAAATAGTAAAGAGAATTCAAAATGAGACCCAACAACAAACAATTTACGGGCTATGAAACCACAAGGAATATGCATATAGGATGTTCCAAAAATGAGCAACTCTATTATGCTGAAAATCGTCACTTCATTATAAATGTTTCCATTCTAAGCTCCATCCCTCACTCTCTGTTAATAATTCAAGCATTTAAATTTTTATTAGATTGTAAATTGGCACACAGGTCATGAGCCTGACTTCACAACTGTCATATTCAAAATTGGAATGGAATGAATCTCTTTCTGCTTCCAGTCAAGTCACCCATTTGCACTATCCAAATATGCCTAATGGGAAGGAGAGACACACTTGATGGGAGGAAAAAAAATCTCATGGAGTTAACATTTGTAGTGCAATCAAATTAAATTTCCATCGGATTTTAGTTTAAAATGGTGCTTGGCTAGTTGCTGCTGATACATCATCTCCCAAATTTCCACTAAAATATCAATGAAGACACAGAAAAAAGATAAAAAATATACATCATCTACAGAAATGAAAATTTCAGAAGAGTCTATTGCTCAGAATAATAGAGAATGTTGACTAAATGTAAAACCGAAGAAGCACAATAGAAAAATATATATATATTACTCTAATGATGCTTATTCCCAGGAAACTGAGAAACCCTTCTCCCCTGGAAGGAGATAAAGAATTTTATTTCTTCCTGCATGTCAGTCCATGAATCAGTCTTAGATTTTATAATGACAAAAGTTAAGTATGAAGTCGCCCCATTATTGTATTTGTGCTTATTTTGTAGCAGCTAAAATACCAGATCCATGCCCCTTTGCATGTCTTTCTATATCTCAGAGATGTTAATTTTAGAAAACAAGAGGGTTAGAGACAGGGGAAGGTATGCATTGTTATGCACTAGACTTCCACAGAAGGTTTTACTACTTGAACAAGTAATTCTCTATTTCTGCTGCTGCTGCTGCTGCTGTTGTTGCTGGTGATGATGATGAATAATCAGGGACTTGGCAAGTGGGAAAAATGGCAAATCCTATCATGAGCATGAAATATTCTTAATTGGAATTAGTGAAAGAGTACGAAGAATAAGCTTGAATGAGATAAGTTAAAAAGGTCTTGCCTTTAGGTTCAGCCAGATGACATTCATGGACAGTCTCCTGCTGTGGCTGGGTTGCTTCTGACGTTCATTCTGGACTCCAAGGACAGGCTTCCATTGGCACTCATCCTGAGTGCTGGCTCTGAGACTTAAATCTCTGTGACTCCAGGCTGGCTGCTTAAATGCTCTGAGTCTCAATTTTCTTATCTGTAAGATGGAGATTTAACACTCATATCAACAGGTTATTGTGAGAATTAAATATGATAATGAATGTGATTAGACACCATAAAGCACATGTAAAAGCTTGTGATTGCACTGCCATCCAACACCATTTAAGGTCTGTGTAACTCACTGGGTATTTAAAAAAATGCTTCCAGGGAGTTACCGTTTTTTTGTGTATGTTTCCCTCCTCTCCCTCCATCCAGGCTGTGGGCTCATTTAGGGCAGAGCCTGCTTTTTATCCCTGTTTGTAGTCCCTTCTGCAGTTCTTTGCCCTGCACTGACTGAGTGCTTGAAAAATGCAAGCTGATAATGATGGCATCAATTTCAGTGCTATCATTATTCAGGCATTCTCCTGTTACAGAAAAGGGCATATTTTTCTTCTGCAGGTATGAATCACTACGTTTAATAGTATTCTGTATGTTTCAGTAAGAATAATTATCAGGGAGTATAAGGTTCTAGAGGGCAGGAATACTTTAAAAATATTTTACTTATTCATTTACGTGTTTATTTGTCTGCACATTGCATAGAGCCAATTGGAGATAGAGTGTTAATAAATCAACCTGATATATATTGCTCTGATGATAAAGATGCAATCTTTAGCCAGAAGGTATCATAGAGTCACACGTCTACATTTAGTTTTGAGCTGTGATAGCTAAAAAATAAAATGTAAGTACTCTGTAACAAAGTATTTGCTATTCTAATTCACAACGCAAACCATTATAACAATTTATTACAAAAATTTTCATATTGCTATACATTTTGCCAAGGATTATACCACCCTTTTTATTCACCTTATTATCTTTTATTAGGTTCCTATACTATGCTGCTGTCCATTTGTAGGGAGCTATATTTCCCAGTTGTAAAACCTGGGGAGTTGTTTGTCTTCTGAAGAAACCATGGAATTGGAAAGGAAGTCCAGGTTTAAAAAGTTTTAGCAACTTCTCTTTTTTCCTGATAGGTCCTTCAAGATTGTATACCTTTGGTAGGCCTCTGCCAATTAACGTTCAATTGCCTTATAGCCTTTGGGTATAATCAATGCCATACCGTATATCCTTTCATTTGGTGCAGAATAACTGTTCTTGTCGATCTCTGGTTTTTAACCGTTGAATGTCTTTGTATTCTGGGGAGGTATTGATTCAAGGGATCTGTCCTGAAAAACAGCCCTTTGTGTTGCTTCTCCCCTGTCCCCCTTTTCTTTTCTCTTCTTTGTCATATTCTATCACCAGTTTTGATTCTTCTCTCCTGCACAGGAATCTTTTAGTTTTCTTTCAATTTTTGCAGAAATCCTTTTCCCCCTTTCTATTAGCCACAGAAAATAAAGAAGTACATGCCTGGCTTTCAATGGTAGAACCTCGAGTAGGATATACACAGAGCACATGATTACCTTGGGAATGGAGAAGACCTGGACACGTTTCCTGCAGACTCATTTTCTGTAATTCCTGGAGCGCAGGGTTAAATACAAATGAGTAGGTAACTCTAACATGACCTGGGACTGCTTCTTTGCTGGGCAGTGACATCAAGGAGGAAAAATAATACTTTAGAAAGAGGGACTTCGTTCCTCCTGTCAGCTAGGGTGCAGTGCTATTTTGTACAGGTGTAGGCACTCAGTATAGCTCCCTGCCTGCCACCAGATGCCATCAGTCAGGAAATCAGGAATCCCAGAACAATGATTCTCACTTGTGCCACTGCTGAGGCCTCACCTCAGGTTCACCCCGGAGAACCTGATGTAATTGTCCAGGCAAGGGCCCAGGTATCCATGGTTTTCAAAGCTTCCCATGGGATTCAAAAGGTGGAGAATGGCTGTTTTAGAGTTTTCAGAAGCCATCAACTCTTTCTGCTTTTCTTCCTTTTTTATTCTTTCTTCTTCCAGATCATCTTGACAAGTTATACCGGGGATTAAATGTACAGTGCTTATAAGTGTCCCCAGTGGAGCAACCTCCCTATTCCCTAGCACCAGGATCACCAGGAGTCCTGGGTAGTGCTGCAGATTTCCGGGTTTCATTGAAAACTAAAGGATCAGAATCATTAAGGGTGTCATAGAGTGACCAGTTGACCTACTTTGCCCAGGACTGATAGGAAATTATTCTAGAACTTTTAGCCATAAAACTGGGATAGTTCCAGGCAATCTGGGACTGTAGTTCACTCTAGGAAGACCTAGAATTTTTAACCATGTTCCTCCTGCAAAGTAGGGTAGGGAATTCCTACCCTAACCTTTCTCAGGCCAACTCATTTTCTTGGGTGCAGAAATAAGTCTTTAGCAGTGACGGAGTTTCTTTTGTCTGCCAGAGAAGGAGCCTGGTTCATCTCTTGGTTCTACATGTTGTGAGAATGAGTCTCTTGCTGTTGGGTCCTGTCTTCTGTTTCCCACTCCGACTTTCCATATGTCGGTTCCACATCGTGAGTCTTTTCCCTCTGTCTGCTGCTGCTGATAGCTTCAGTTGCCTCCTCACACCCTCCCACTCAAGCTGTGTCCCTGCGGTGCATTTGCCTGCTCGTCTCCATCTGTTTCCCACCTTCTCCTGTCTGGAGAAGCCTCATGATATATGGCTTCTGAGAGAAGTGCTCCTTCCATCGCATCTTTTATGCCAGAGCCACCACTTAAAACACCCCGTGGGCCTTTCACCAGTATTGTCTAATAAAAGTCCCAAGAGAAGGCACCAGACCCCTCCCCTCTTCCCCAGGCTTGCCAGAACCATGCTAGAAGTTATTCGGCTTCCAGGCCTCCTAAGGGGAGTGTGGATTTTCCAAGCAGGCAGAGTGGCAGAGAAACTTCTCTGAGTGGCAAGGGCAGGACACAGAAAAGCTGATCAGCTCAGTGCATGACCTGGGTCCTGCTGAGCCCTAAATGAGCCATTCATCCAGTGTGACATCTGGAGCAATGGAGTTGAGGCACTCAGGGAAGTGCTTATTTATTTAGGGAAGAGATGAAGCTGTGATTGCTGCCTTCCCACCAGTCACTCAAAAGGGTGGAGAAAAAGGCGAGGACTACATCTGGACTCTGTAAATTATAAAACCATGACTCTATTTTTGAAGATTTCAGAAAGAGACTATAACCTGGAGGTATGAGAGCTCAGCAAAACTCTAAAATGAAGCACAGTGTTTTGTTGGTTTGTGCATACATGCACTTCCCTAAGCCTTAATTTTAATTATATTCTCAGTGGGTTCTATGCCTCAGAAAAAAAAAAAAGTTAAGATCATTGCTTTAAAAAATAATACAGGGAGTTCAGGAGTCCTGAGTGCAAAGATAGGTTCATTTTATTTTTATTTCCTTTTCTTCGTAGCCCACATGCCCTAGCATAGAGCTAGAGGCAGAGAAAGCACTCAGAAAGTATTTTTCCAATGATTTTCTATTGCTAACATCCAGACTCTAAAGAAAATGAAGGAGGGCAACCTGCAAATATTCACTCAGGAGTTTTGGCTGGGATTTCAAAAGCTTTAGGGTTTGTTCCTAGTTCTATCATTCATCCACTCTGTGGTTTGGGGCAGGAAACTTCACTTCTTTGGGCTTCAAGTTTCTTCTCTGCCTTTGTGTTACATAATTTCTGAGTGATCTTTCAATTTTGAAAGTTGAGTAATTTGTCCTTGCTCAGTGCAGGGTTAGAATTATTCTAAGATTATAGCAAACAAAACCAGAGAGCCTAATCCTTTCTCTCTGTGTAGAGAATGTGGACTTTCACAGGGATTATGAGAGGGAGTGTCAGATTATCTTTGTATGCTCTGATACTGAGGTCAAAATCTTGTCCTCTATTTAACATTCTACAAGGCATTGGCCCAGTTGTAGCTTCATAAAGTTGAGCACCTCCTCTTCGCCAGAATTAGATTGACAGTAGTAAAATATCTGGATCTTTTTCTCAAGTATCTTACAACCTTGTAGATAATATGCAAACACACAAAACAGGGAGAAGAAAATTAATTGTGAAATTACACGCTAGCAATTATAACTGTAATAACCCTGAGGACTGAAGTGATCCCAGAGGTGTTCAGGGGAGGTGGGACTTAAGCTGTGTCTTGAACGTTGGACAGAATTTAAATAAGTTGTAAAGGGAAGATACTCCCAGTGGAGGTAAATGGGAGCAATATGGGCAAAGGGTGGAGGCAGGTGTAAGGAGTGTTAGGAGGAAAGTAGATCAGTGTTATCTGATGAAAGTAGAAGTTGCTCTTCAAGGAGTGTGCGATATTTATGTTGGGTGAGCCTTGAAGGCTTGAAAGGAAATTTAGGGCATTGATACCTACCTGGGGGAGCTTCTGTAGGTTGCTGAGCAGGTGCCTGTCACAGGGGAGCCACACTGGAAGAGCAGTCATGTCCACAATGGGCCGGAGACAGGGGTGCCGCTACAGTCGTGTGCATGTGCCTTCATAAAGGCCAAGACGATATTGGAAGCAGCAGGAACAGACAATCTCCCGGCGAGTCACAAACTCAGACACTGGGATCGCAGCAGCAGCAGCTGGCAGTGCTCGGGGGCTGCGGGGGAAGCTCAGTGTGCATGTTCTTGAGGAACATAAAGAGCCCACACTGTTCTCTGCTGACATCTGAAGTTTGGGGCTGGAATTGTTCTCCCCAGGAAATGCTGAATCTAAAAATGGCTCTTGTTTTTATCCATTTATGAGTGGAAGGCTACTGACTAGAGGAGTGGATGACTGAGGGCCTCTCACATTCTACCTTCTCCACTCCCTTATTGCCAACAGCTCCCAGTGGTGGTGCCCTGGTGTGCAGGGGAGAATTCTGTGGCTGTGTGAGAGGTTGGTCAGGGTGAATTAGCACCAGTCTCTGGGCTCAAACTTTAATAGTTAGTGTTAAAGATCACCTCCCCCAGCTAAGGTTAAGCAGGACTCTGGCAGGAGAAAGATTTTCTTCTTCAAGCGGCAGCATCATCCAGGCCTTTTAGGGAAAACAACAATAACAACGACAACAACAACAAAACCTAGTTTTGCTCTTAGACCAATAAAGCTTTATCTAAACAAAGTGATAAAGTGTGATACCCAGGGACACAAGTGACTGGATAAAAAGCTTTAATTTCATTGTTAATGGAGTGTTTCTCTAAGTTGCCTATACATATCACCTTGAGTGACCCAGTAGGATGCTCCATTTCAGGGTAAAGGGAAGGGTGTAGCGTTTAATTCCTGGCAGCGCTGTGTGTGTGCCACCTCCCACTCTAATAAGCCTGTCATGTGTCTCATGGAGGAAATGTCAAAGATGTCTTTCCATTTCCAGGTTCAGAGAGCCCATGGTGGTTCGGGGGAAGCATCAGTGTTGTCTACAAGAATATGGAGCCCACTCCAAATGAAATAATCAGATAACATTGAAAAAGAGGAAATCCGCACAACGTCCAGCTATGGAGTAGCTACATGGTGAAATGCCGGGAAGATGTCCAGGACAGGATGTGGTGACACTGTGGGAAGGCTTTATTGCAGAAGGGAATTCTAAGAAGTGTGGGAGAACCATGAAATTTAGCCCAGAAGAGTAAGAAACATTGTGCCAGGATTGGAAAGGAACAGCTCTGACAAGGAAACAAGAATAGGAGAAAAATGCCAGTGCAGATAGAGGGAAGTGCTAGTTGCTCTAGGCAAAGACCATAGAAAGATTTGTCAAAAGGAGTCTTACGTTAAATATAGAAAGTCTGCTTCTCAGATTTGTGTTAATTCTTTCTCTTGATTTGAAACTGAGGTAAGTGCATGATGAAGAGTACTGACTTTTTCAGTCTTCTATGTCCACAGGTAGGTAGTTTGTGGACAAAATTTTATCTATCCTAATGAAATCACAAAATGATAACCATTGTCATCTTTTATTGAGCTTATACCCTGTGTCAGGTACTGAGCTAAGTGATTTACATGGAGTATTGCATTTCATCTTTACCACACCTCTGTAAGGTAGGTAGTACTATTTTCTCTAGTATATAAAGAAATGAAGATACAGAACATTCCTTATCTATAGACTGCAGATTATAATAATGGTACCTCTCTCACCAGAGTAATTGAGATAATCCATGTAAATTGCTTAGCCCTGGATCTGGCCCTTAGAAACTGCCTAATATCAGTTACTCATTTTTACTAATGCCTCATAGCCCATAATTTCTAATTGCCAGAGTAAATGCCAACCTGGTGTCTCCATCTCTAAAGCCCATCTCTTGCCTGGATGAAAGCAGTCATCTAAGAGTTCTTGATGTGCCCTTTTCTCCCCTCTAGTTGGTTCTCAACTCAGCAGTTAAGAAAGTCAGACCACAAACTCTTCTGCTGCAGTTCTACAGTGGTCTAGAAGGCTTCATAAAATCTCCCTCCCCCATTAGCTTTCTAAATCATCTCCTACTTCTCTACCCATTGCTTACCTGGCTCCAGTCCCACTGACCTCCCTGCTGTCCCTTGAAAATGGGACATACTGCCATCTTAGGGCCTTTGCACTTTCAATTTCCCTGCCAGAGATGCTTTCCCCTTATTTGCGTGTTCTTTTCTCTCACCTCCTTCAGGCCTATCTTAGTCTGCTAGGACTACTATAACAAAATATTGCAGACTGGCTGGCTTAACCGAAATGTATTTTCTAACAGCTCTGGAGGCTAAAAGTCCAAGATTAAGGTGCTAGCTGATTCAGTTCCTGGTAAGGGCCCTTTTCCTGGCTTTTGGATGGCCAGCCTCCTTCTTGCTGTATCCCCACATGGACTTTCTGTGATGCACGGGAGTAGAGTGAATGAGAAAGGATCTCTCTCTTCCTCTTCTTATAAGCCCTCTAACCCTATCATGAGGGCTCTACCCTTATGACCTAATGTAACCCTAATTAACTCTCAAAGGCTCCATCTCCAAATACCATCACATACATTGGAGATTAGGGTTTAAACATATGAATTTGGGGAGGACAGAAACCTTTTGTTCAATAACAAGATCTTTCTGTTTAAATGTCTCAGTGAGACCGTCCCATACCACCCTTTATATTAAATAGCACTTTCCACTCACCCAACACTTTTTCTTATTCTCACAGTAATTATATCTGATATACTATACATTTTATATAGTATGAAAATACCTGCTGCTTCTCTTCCCTCACAGGAATGGATGTTAGTCCAAGGCAGAACGTCCTTCTTTGTACATGGCAAATGTTAGGTGTTCACAGTTTGTGTTGAATGTTGAATGAATGAACCCTTCTAACTGCCTTAACCTCTGATAACTCTCTTATGATATTAGAATTTTGTCTCCATACTCAAAGGCAGGATATTACTTCCATTTTTTTTTCTGAAACTCTCTAAAAGTTAGGTAAACTAGAGTCAGCTGGCCTTTGGCCAAAATGAACAAGGGTTGTAAACTCTGCTTCACTGAGGAATAGCTCTCCGTCTTATTCTTCTTTTGGTATTCACTGTGCCCTGGCAGGGAAAAACTCAAAAAGAGAACATAATTAGGAAAAAACAACCCACACCAAACAGGCCCCACAAACACAGAAAAATAGGTCATTGTTCCTAATATAAGGAAGAAAAATCTTTGTTCCTAGCCGGCCTGTGTTCCACTTGTATGAAAACATCATAATTAATTGAATTAATTTAATTCTGAATGATGTGTGCCTTTTAGAAATCTGCCTTTATTTATTTATTTTTGTTTTGCAGATGACACATCTTGTCCTCACTCTGCATAGCTCTTAGGTAAGCTAAATGTTTGTTTCATTATCAAAGGGAAGCTCCTCCTTAGCCCTGCACGTGACACACACTCATGACCTACTGTGTGTGATCTCTTGCCTTTTAGCAGAGAACAACGAGGCTTCTTTTAAGAGCACAGACTATGTTCTCTAATTTTTTGTTAATGCTGCAGAATAACTAATAGAGATTTTCTCTTCCGCCTCATAAGTCTGGTGGATGAACTGAACATTAACCCTCACCGGGTAACCTTGAGAAGCCCTCATGAATGTGCAGCAATTACAATCCATCGCACTTGCCAGCGACCTGGTAAAAATCAAGGTGTGAGTTACAGTGACCGTTACAGAAACATTTCATACGATCCAGGAGACATTACCTTCCCTGGGCTCTCTTGGCAGGAGACAGAGTGTACAAAGCAAAGTTGCTGCGGCTGAAAGAACCACAAAGAAGGAGTCACATTCATATTTTCCTTCTCGTCTCTAATCATAAAACAAAAAAACAAAAAACAAAAAACCTGGAATCATCTTGTCATGTCCCCCCCACTTCCCTTTTTTTTTTTTCCTTTTTCTCCTTTTTTTTTTTTAGACAGGGCCTCACTTTGTGACTCAGGCTGAGATGCAGGTGCCATCATAGCTCACCACAGTCTGAAACTCCTGGGCTTGGGCCATCCTCCTGCCTCAGACTCCTGAGTAGCTATGACTACAGGCATGCACCACCACACCTGGCTAATTTAAAAAAAAAATTTGTAGAGATGGAGTTCCCACTATGTTGCTTTGGCTGGTTTCAAACTCCTGGGCTCAAGCAATCCTCCTGCCTTGGCCTCCCAGAGTGCTGGGATTACAGGTGTGAGACACCACCCTTGGCTATTATCTTGTCACTTTCTGAATTCTCATTTGCAGGTTTAATTTATTCTTTTTTTTTTTATTTTTGAGATGGAGTCTCGCTCTGTTGCCCAGGCTGGAGTGCAGTGACATGATCTCGACTCACTGCAACCTCTGCCTCCTGGGTTCGAGCAATTCTCCTGCCTCAGTCTCCTGAGTAGCTGGGACTACAGGCACCCGCCACCATGCTCAGCTAATTTTTTTGTATTTTTAGTAGAGGCGGGGTTTCAGCATGTTGGCCAGGCTGGTCTCAAACTCCTGACCTCAGGTGATCCACCCACCTCACCTCCCAAAGTATTGAATTACAGGCATAAGCCACTGTGCCCAGCCTATTCAAATATTTTACACATACCAAGGAATGCTAAAATATAAATCCCACATAAGATTCAAGATGCTGCTGGGATAATTATGAAGAGTGATGTATGTTTTGTAAGCAAAGAAACAAAAAATATACAAAATTTAAATAAAAGTTAAGAAATAGTTTCTGCATATTCCTCCTCTTCCTAAACAATTACCCCTTACCCCTTTTTACAAAGAATTCAGTCTTTAGTTAACATGAGAAATCTACTTTTGACATAAAAGTACAGTTGATGGAGAATGAGGCTACATTTTCTCTGGGTCTTCTCTAGGCTTCAGTGAAGCCTAGATAAGATTGTCTTTGAAATTTTTGAAATTTTTACTTTAGACTTTATTCAACCTAAAGCAGTCAAGAACTCTCCAGCTTCTGTACAAAAGATGACCCAAATTCCCATCAAGATGCTGGTTTTGTTTAATGTATTATTCTCGTCAAAGGTGAAGAGAATAATATTTTATCCACAGAATTTCAAAACCCAACAACATGCTAGTTAGCAAAAGATAAACTGTATTCTGAAAGAGTAGATTTTCGCAGAACCCTATAAATCACAACATATTTGTGGATCTCCTAAGTATAAGACTGGCCCTATAGTGACAGTGGATCTGTATGAACTTAAACATATGAGAAGTTTGTTGCTGCTCATTGAATATACACTGGGGAAGAAATCAACATCTTGTAAGTCATTCTATAACCCCAAGTGGACACACAGTTATGAACCTTCACAAATACTTGTCTTGGTGAAGTTTTGGTCCTAATTTTCTTGGCAGAGGATAAGTTAAGTGTATTCTATTTATCCTCCTTTATTGACAATCAACTTAGCTCATTTGCCTAGCCTGAAAATTGCTTGCTGGCAATTTTTTTCCTCCAAGACCTGACACTGTGAAAGACTTTAATACACATGATTTGCTATGGCAGTGTGGTGCCCCATGCATGTTAAGGGTACCTTTAGATGTAATGCCTTTTCTCCAGCTCAAAGTCACATTAAGGATTGAAACTCTGTTCCAGGAGCTTTACCAATCAGGAGTTAGCTATTTTCAATGACTTTCTCAGTAACATTCAATCCTCTTTGACCTGCTTCTCTGCCTTTCATTTGCATACTAGCCTGGCCCAAGGAGAGTGATTGCCTGTCCTGGACTGCTTCTTGGACGGTGTTGATTTAGTGGTAACACTGTGCTGTATAATTCGTTTGCTCCTCGGGCCTGTAATGACTTGGCTTATATAGAGTACAAAAGTGAATAGTAATCTAGGGACCTTGGCCCTAGGGCATTAAGAGCAGCAAAGGAAAACTCTTGTTTCAGAGATGGTCCCTAACCAAGTGTCAGACGGGACACTTCAGTGATAGCTGATTATATACAATATAAGAGGGTTCAGTTTTCTATATTATATGATGAGATTTTTTTTTTTTTGCTGGGGGAAGGTTATAGAAAATAAAGTTAAATGTAATAAATACCTACAAAGAGACAGATACTAGACCAAGCACTTTACATACGTTAAATTATTTCTCAAAACAACCAATGAGGAAATGTGACTGAGAGGGTTTTATGGACTGAGTGTATGTGTCCTTTTAAAAATCCATGTTGATGCTTTTAGCCCCAGTGTGGCTGTATTTAGAATAAGGCAGTAATTAAATAAAATGCAATTATAAGTGTGGGGCCCTGATCCAATGGGATTAGTGTCCTCAAAAAATAGACAGTAGAGAGCTTGTTCTCTCTCTACCTTGTGAGGACACAGTGAGAAAGCAGCTCTCTGTAAGCCAAGAAGGAAGTCCTCACTAGAAACTGAGTCATCTGTAACTTAGATGATGGACTTCTAGCCACCAGAACTGTGAGAAAATAAGTTTCTGTTGTTTAAGCCACCTAGCCTGTGGCATTTTGTCATAGAAGCCTGAAGTAAGTTAACACAGAGGAGTTAAGTAACAGTCCCAAGACCACACAGCTAGGAAGTGATAGAGGTTAGAACTTATATTTGTCTGATGCCCAAGACTGTGTCATTAACAAATTCTACTCTGTTTTTTCATCACATTGCCTTTGTCTCCTATCTGTTAGGATAGGCTAACTAATGCTTTGGTAACAAATAGTCCCCAGTCTCTGCGGCTTGAAACAAAAATGTTTACTTCTCCTCCAAACTAAGTTATTGCCCACTGTGGGTCAGCTGGAGGCTATGCTCTGTGTCATCCTTTGTCAACGATCCAGGCTGGTAGAGCTGCCACTATCAGAAATGTTGGGGTCACCACAGCTGATGGGGAAACTGCTGTGCCAAATCACATTATTCTGATTGAAGTTTCTACCTGGAATTGGTGTATACTTCTTCTGTTTACATTGCGTGGTCATGCCTAAGAGCCTGGGAAGTGCAACATCATCATGTAAAGAGAATGGGAACATTTGGAGAGCAGCACTAATGATTACTATATCTACTCAGGGGCATGAAAATCCCATGGAGTTTCTAGATGAATCTAGAATTCCACAAGTGAATTCACTTGCTACCAGTGTAGCCCCTTGGTCCACTTTTGCTAATACTTGACCATGGAAGATTCATTAAAACATATGATACCTGACATGAATATGTTAATTAGCTTGATCTAACCATTCAACAAGGTATACATAGTTCAAAACATGTTGTACATGATGAATATATATAATTTTTATTTGTTGATTTAAAAACTAAATAATAACAAATAACACAACAAAAAAGCTATGACCGTGAGCTGGAATATTTGTGAGTGCATTTGGAAAAAGATGTAAGATGAATGAAAGTGTTTGCCAGGACTAGGGCAAGACCATGGGTTCTATTAAAAAAGACAGTGCTGTTCCTGGTTGGCACAGCTGGCTTAGTATAGTCACTGCTTAATTGGAGAGGCTTGAATAAGCTCCAGATGGGACATTTGCTGACCACCATGATAGCATTCTACAGGCAATTTTAAAATTATTTTGGCTAGTATGATGGTTAATATTGTGTCAATTTGATTGGACTGAAGGATGCAAAGTATTGATTCTGGGTGTGTCTGTGAGGGTGTTGCCAAAGGAGATTAATATTTGAGTCGTGGGCTAGGAAAGGCAGACCTACCATTAATCTGGGTGGGCACCATGTAATCAGCTGCCAGAGTGGCTACAATATAAAGCAGTCAGAAAAACGTGAGAACACTCTAGACTGGCCTAGCCTCCCAACCTATATCTTTCTCCCATGCTGGATGCTTCCTGCCCTTGAACATCTGACTCCAAGTTCTTCAGTTTTGGGACTTGGACTGGCTCCCCTTGCTCCTCAACTTGCAAATGGCCTATTGTGGGACCTTGTGATTGTGTGAGTTAATGCTTAATAAACTCCCCTTTATATGTATATCCTATTAGTTCTATCCCTCTAGAGAACCCCGACTAATACAGCTAGCTAGGGATATTGAATATGAACACCAGCTGACTTCTTTAAATATGAACACCAGCTAACTTCTCTCCTAATTGTATAAAATGATACCTCATAGACAAAAACAAGAAGTAGTTACCCTCTAACAGCTCAGAAAGATGACGAAAGAGATCAAAGAACCCTAATCGGTGTTGCCATTTATATTTCCCATTCATCTCTCTGATATTGTCACCTTTTTTTTCTGCCAAATGGGAAGCTTCCTATTCATTGTGATGAAGCATAACTTATCCACCCAATTAGATTTACCTTTAACTTAAGAATACTTTTAACTCTACTCTTGTTTGTTTGTCTAAATCTTTAACATCTAAATGCATTAGCTATTAAAAAACAGCCAATAAAACAACAAATAAAATTAAAGGGTAGCATTTCTTAAAGGGTCCAGGTAGTCATTCTACTGCAGATCTCAATATAGGATCAAGAGATGTTATTTTTAAAATAATGATCTTCCCAAGAAAGTAATAATAGTTAAGCAGATTGTTCCAGTCCTGTGTCTGGGTAAAGTGAAGAGGAGCTTGTGGCTTCCTCAGGCCTGTGCATGCTTAAAACCCTTGACCTCCCACCTTCTTGAGTTATATCAATAACTCCCACTGAGACTGACAATACAGATGGTGGTAGCTAAACATCTATACATTCATATAGCATTTTATGATCTTCAAAGCATGACTGCTATTTATTTACTCAATTTATTTTCAAAGCAACTTTGGGAAGTACATGTGCATTTTACTGATCTTAGCTGTGGGTCTCTCTGAATATCCAGAGAGAAAAAGACATTTGCTATGATTGGACAACTAGTCAGGATGATGGATACATCTTGACTTAATTTGAGGTGTGTTTCTTTACCCTCACCCTCTACATTTCCTGTTGACTTTTTGTGTTTTCCCTTAAAAGGCCTTATCCATACCCTTAATCAGCTCTATGCCTGAAGAAGGCTCTAAGTATTTCCTGTCTCATTAGTTATTTCTATTTTCAGTAGTGGGCAGTATCTTTTTATTTATCATCTACACAATGAACTATCATGGTGATTAAAAATAAGTCCAAATGCTTCCATCTGGCGCTCAAGCCTCTTTACATCTTAATCTCATCTCATTTCTTTGTTTCCCCTATTACTGCTTCTCATCCACATGACACTTTCACCCAGGAAGACTGACTGTGACCAGAATATATATGCTCCTTGGTGTCTTGTCTCTGATTGTACATTTCTCTCAACCAGAAATATTCTGGCTCCAGATTACCACCTGTTGAAATTCTCATCTTTCCAGACCCACTTCTTGATCAGTCTCTTTCCTGAATCTGTTACTAATTACAATATGACCTTTTCTTCTTCTGAACTTTCCGAATGGCACTCGTAGGATAGAACCATGTATTCTGAGGGCGAGGAAAGTTGTCAGCCCTGTGTCTTAGTCATAATAGTAGCTTAATTATATTTGTGGAACTGTAACTGTGGTTCTCAGACTTGGTCTCAGGACCCTTGACTCTCTTAAAAATTACTAAGTACTCAAAAGAGATTTTGTTTATATAGTTTTTATGTGTTGACATTGGCCATATTAGAAATAAAACTAGATAAATTCTAAATTACAAGCCTGCTTAAGCACACATCCATTACCCATAAGAATGATGATGGCATCCCAGTCCTCTCTATTCTTGGGCACATAATTCCTAAGCATTATGATGAAAACAGTTTGACCTTACAGATTCTCTGAAATGGTTCAGAAGATTATCAAGGGTCCCCTATCACACTTACCTAAGTAGTATTACAGAAAAAAAAAACCTTCAGACTGAGTCAAGAGCTCTAGGTTTAGAACCTCTTTCTGCCATAAACATGTTGTTTAACATTTATTTGGTCTTTGGCTACCTTCTTCTGAAAGTGAGGCATTTGGGGGTAAGTGATCTAGGAATTTCTCCTAGCTCTACGCAGCTGCTCCTAATCCTCTGCATATCTATAGAGTAATTCTCTCCAGGGGCTTCCCATGAAGGGGTTTTCCTCCTATTCAGCATGAGCCTTCTTGCTATTAACCCGGTTGATCTATAAATGTTACTGCCATGCCTAGAAAATCATAGGACACATTTATGGCATTATAACATGTGAATGCCTGGAAGAAAGGCAACAGAAAGAATCTCAGACACCATTTTTGAAATAGGGTTTCTCTCAGCAGGGGTGTCATGTTAGGGCCCTGTGAGTTCTAACAGGATTGGTTCATGAGACAGATGAAACTACCTAGAGAGAACTGAGACTTAAAGAAATTTATAAAGTGCATAAAAGCTTTCTAGAATTCAGTCCTAGCCCCTTTAATTTACCCATAGATGTCACAACACCCCTCTTGCAGCAACATCATACTTGGCCTTCTTATGTAATCTCCCACTTTATCCCAAACCAGGCATCCACAGTTAGTTCTCTTTATTATTCCACTCCCTCTGTATCAAAAGTTGTCTGTTTCATGTCCCATCTTTTTATGTTGTACTCAAAAGCTGAGTTAACTAATTCAGGAATATAAGTGATCAGGTGTTTCCAGGATTTAGTAACTTAGTATGTTATATCTAGTAGGTGTAACTGTGGCCTACAGTAGGCACTGTTATATTTTTTAAAATGAACTCATCTGAGTCTGTTGCACTGGATGTTCTGTGGTGAAAATTATTTGGGTTAGAGAGCTTTTGGCAACACAAACCATGCTACTTCTGAGTCTCTGAATGTTGGGATTGGAAGTGTATGGAAAACTTGAGTAAGTTCCTGGCTCTGCCACTAAATAGATGAGTGAACTTGAACAACTTATTTAAACTCTCTGAGCTCCTGTTTACTTATCTGTAAAATGAAGATATTTAGAGTTAAAAACCTAGGATATTTAGACTTAAATTTAGACTTAAATTGGCTGCTGCTTTGGTTTCTTGAAAGAAATACTTTGGTCCTTGGCCTCCAAAGCCTCTGCTTAGCTGCTTTACCGATTCTATGTGGTATGTCCTCCTTTTTAGGTTCTTTGTTGCTGTTTTAAGAGAAAATTTCCAACTAAATGCTTGTTTCTTTACAGATAAAAATAAACCGTATGTTGACTAAGATCCCACTTGGCCAGGCGCAGTGGCTCATGCCTGTACTCCCAGCACTTTGGGAGGCCGAGGCAGATGAATCACCTGAGGTCAGGAGTTCGAGATCAGCCTGGCCAACATGGTGAAACCCCATCTCTACTAAAAATACAAGAATTAGCCAGGTGTGGTGGCTGACGCCTATAACCCCAGCTACTTGGGAGGCTGAGGCAGGAGAATCACTTGAACCCAGGAGAAAGAGGTGGCAGTGAGCTGAAATTGTGCCATTGTACTCCAGCCTGGGTGACTAGAGCAAAACTCCATCTAAAAAAAAAAAAAGAAGAAAAAGAAAAGACAAAAATTCCATTCAAGGCTGGAGTCTTAAATATAGAATCAACAAGCTCAAAGGTTTTCATTTAATAAGAAGAAAAATCTCTTTTATCTTCACCAAAATACTTTATCTTCACCAAAAAAAATTTCATCTTTGGTTTTTTTAAAAAGGATTATGACTCAAAGATAATGAAATCCTATGGAAAAATAAGTAAAATAGAATCTTGACTGAGCATCCAGTAAAATAAGATAGAGTCAAGGGAAAGACCAAGATTTAGGATTGTAGCAAAGGAGAACTCATATCTATGTAGGAAATTCAAAGATGTTTTACAGCACCTTCTTCGCTTTAAAAAAACGTTTCTTTTTCTGGATTATAGAATTCCAATTTTAATAATGTTATTGATTATTTTCTGGCTTTCTTTATTCAGCAATTAACTGTCAGCCTTACTGTTGCTCATTTGAAGGCATTGTATCCTTTCCCTTGGCTGCTTTTAAGATTATTCTTTCATCTTTGTTTTTTTAGCAGCTTTGCATGATGTGCTCAGGTATGATTTTCTTGATTTTTACTCTACTAAAGATTTGTAATGATTCTTGAGTCTTTGGTTGGCTGTCTTTCAGTTGGAAGGAAATTCTTGGTTATTAGCTCTTCAAACATTTCTTCCGCCCATTCTCTCTCTTTTCTATCTGGAACTCCAGTCACATTTATATTAAATTGTTTCACCTTGCCCTATATGTCTTTTATGTTCTTTACTGAATTTTCAATAATTTGCTTTCTGTGATTCGGTCCAAGAATTTTCTACTGATCTATTTTCCAGTTTAATAACTGTATTTTCACTTGTGCTTAGCCAGCTTTGATATGAATCTCTTGAGTTTTGTTTGTTTGTTTTTGAGACAGGGTCTTACTCTGTTGCCCAGGCTGGGATGCAGTGATGTGAATATAGCTCATTACAACATTGACCTCCTAGGCTTAAGCAATTTTCCTGCCTCAGCCTCCCAAGTAGCTGAAACCACAGGTGCATGCCACCACACTTAACTAATTTTTTTCTTTGTATACAGATGAGGCCTTGCTATGTTGCCCAGACTGGTCTCAAACTCCTGGGCTCAAATGACCCTCCTGCCTTGGTCTCCCAGAGTGTTAGGATTACAGATGTGAGCCAATCCACCCAGCTCTATTGAGTTTTTAATTTCAGTTATTGTATTCTTCAGTTCTAAAATTTCCATTTGATTCTTTTGAAACAGATTCTAGTTATTTAGTGAACTTCTCCATTTTGTCATCCATTTTCTTGAATTTTTAATCATAACTATGTTTAAATCTCTATGTGATATATTTTATTTATAATTCTAATCTATCAATTCTATTGTTGGTTTTTAACTTCCATTCCTTCTTCTTGATATACATGGTAGTTTTTTATTATCTGCTGATCCTGTGTAGAAAGTAGTGTTCTGGATGGTGCTATCTTTTTATAGAAAAGCTCACTATATTGTTCTAGATGGTGGACTTTTCTTCTGTGAGGCAACTAGACTGGAGGCTGTTCACTTTAGCCAATTAGGAACTAAGCTAACTAGACGTTGGGTTGTATTTTTTGGTCTGGATTTATCTAACTCTGGCTTGCCTCAAATTAAAAGCCATCTTATTGGTATTTCTGCTTTTATCTCCAGAGTAGCAAGAAAGCAAAACACACCACTTAACTTTTCACTGTTTTCTTGGCATCTCAGCCTCTTACCTCATGTTAAGAATGAATAAATAAGTTGGAAGTCATCAAAAATTAAAACTTTTGTTTATTAAAGGGCACTATCAAGAAAGCAAGAATGCAAACTACAAAATGGAAGAAATATTTGCAATTCATATATCTGAAAAGGTTATAGTAATAAGAATTTATAAAGAACTATTACACTTAACAAGAAAAATAAGCAACCCAATTAAAAAATGAGTAGAGGACTTAAATAAACATTTCTCCAAAGAAAATAAACAAATGACCAATAAGCATATGAAAGATGTTCAACATCACTAGTAATTAGAAAAATGCAAATTAAAACAACAATATAATACCACTTCACACCCATTAAGATAGATATATAAAAAGGAAGTATATATACTTTTTCTTTATAATTATATAGGTATATATATTTCCATATTTATATTTATATATATACGCTGGTAGGACTGTAAAATGCTGCAGCCACATTAGTAAACAGTTACGTGGTTATACAAAGAGTTATATATATAGAATTACCTTATAACCCAGCAATTCCACTCCTAAATATACCCTATGGAATAGAAAAAAAGTATTCAAATGAATACTTGTATGTGAATGTTCACAGCAGCACTACTGACAATAGCCAAATGGTGGAAACTACCCAAATGTCCATCAACAGATAAATTAATAAATGTGGTATGCTCATACAGTGAAATGTTACTCAACCCTAAAAAGGAATGAAGTGCTGATTCAGGTTAAAATGTGGATAACCTAGAAAACATTATGCCAAGTAAAAGAAGTCAGGGATAAAAGGATACGTATTCTATGACTCCATTAACTTAATATATTCAAAATAGGTAAATCCATAAACACAGAAAGCAGATTAGAGGATACCAAGAGCTAGGGCATAGGAATGGGGAGTGATGGTTTAGTCTGTACTGGGTCTCCTTTGGCAGTGATGAAAATATTTTAGAATTAGATAAGGTGATTATTGAATAACACTGTGATTGTCCTAAATGCCAGTTAAATTGTATACTTTAAAGTGGTTAATTAATTTTATGGAATGTTCAAGGAAGGGAAAGATATCTACAAGGAGAACTACAAAATGCTGATGAAAGAAATTGTAGATGACACAAACAAATGGAAAAACACCCTATGTTCATGGATTAAAAGAATAAATATCACAAAAATGACCATAATGTCCAAAGCAAGCTACATATTCAATGTATTCCCTATCAAATCACCAACGTCATTTTTCACAGAATTAGAAAACAAGCTTAACATTCATATGGAACCCAAAAAGAGCCCAAATAGCCAAACCAACCTTAAGCAAAAGAACAAAGCTGGAGGTGTCACATTACCTGACTTAAAATTATACTACAAGGTTATGGTACCTAAAACAGCATGGTACTGGTACAAAAATGAACACATAGATTAACAGAGCAGGATAGAGAGCCCTAAAATAGAATCACATACCTACAACCAGCTGATCTTTAACAAAGTCGATATAACTAATAGAGACAGATAGCAGGACAAGATGGATGACTAGAAGAGCCAAGAGAGCCTCTCCTACCAAGTGAGATCAAAATGTGGGGTAAGTCATCATACTTTAAACAGCTCTTTTTAGAGAAAACACTCTAAATCAAGAGAGAGGCACTGACATTGAAGAGGAAGGAAGCTTGGAATCCTACATGGGATTGCTGACTACCAGGACTCATTCCTAGCTCTGAACAGCTCCTAAGGAAGTAGTGAGTGGAGCAACTGCAGGGCAATTCACTCTCACAGTGGACTTCTGGGATCCTAGGTGCAACAGATCTCATGATGCCCAAGGATAGTTAAGCTGGCAGGGAGCCTCCCAGAGAGTAGGTAGAGACACAGCTGGAGCTCAATAAGATGCAACAGAAAGTTGAAACCCAATCTAAGGAATCCAATAAAATAATCCAAGAGTTGAAAGACAAAATAGCTATTTTAAGAGAGAACAAAATTGAACAAATGGAACTGAAAAATTCACTACAGGAATTCTATAATACAGTTGGAAGCATTTAAAATAGAATACACCAAGCTGAGAAAAGAATCCAAGAGCTGGAAGACATGTCCTTTGAATCAATGCCATCAGACAAAAATAAAGAAGAAAGAATTTTAAAAAATGAACAAAACCTTTGAGAAATGTGAGATTATGTACAGAAGCCAAACATATGACTCATCGGCATTCCTGAGAGAGATGGAGAGAGAATAAGCAAGTTGGAAAACATATTTGAGGACATAGTTTATGAAATGTTTCCCAGTCTTTCTAGAGAGGTTGACACACAAATTCAAGAAATTCGGAGAACCCTTGTGAGATACTATAAAAAACAATCATCCCCAAGACACAATGGCATTAGGTTTTCCAAGGTCAACTCAAAAGAAAAAGTATTCTTTAAAACTGCTAGAGGGAGGGCCAGGTCACTTACAGAGAGAACTCCAACAGTCTAGCATAGGACTTCTTAGCAGAAACTTTTCAAGCCAGAATAGACTGGGGGACTATTTTTAACATCCTTAAAAAAAAAGAAATTCCAACCAAGAATTTAATTTCCTGCAAAACTAAGCATAATAAGTGAAGAAGAAATAAAATTATTTTCAGACAAGCAAGCAAACACTAAGGGAATTCATGACCACTAGACTGATCTTACAGTAGGTCCTTAAGGGAGTGCTAAACATGAAAACAAAAGAATGATATCTGCCACCACAAAAACACACTTAAGCACATAGCTCACAGACACAATATAGCAACTACACAATCAAGTCTATAAAACAACAAGCTAACGACACAATGACAGGATCAAAATTTTACGTATCAATATTAATCTTGAATGTAATGTTCCAAATATCCCACTTAAATTGGCATAGAATGACAAGTGGAATAAAGAAACAAGACCCCACCGTATGCTGTCTTCAAGAAACCCATTCCACATGCAATGACACTCACAGGCTCAAAGTAAAGGAACAGAGAAAGATCTTATATGCAAATGGTAAACAAAAAAGAGGGGTTGTTGCTATTCTGATAAAACAGACTTTAAACAAAAAACAATTCTCTCCTGCACACAGTACGTACTCTAACATTGTCCGCATCCTTGGCCATAAAGCAAGTCTCAATAAATTCAAAAAATTGAAATCATGCCAAGCACACTTTCTGACCACAGTGCAATAAAAATAGAACTCAATGTCAAGAAGATATCTCAAAATCATACCATCACATGGAAATTAGACAACTTGCTGCTAAATGACTTTTGGGTAAACAAAATTAAGCCAGAAACTAAAAAATTCTTCAAATGTAATGAAATCAGACACAACATACCAAAATATTTGGAATGCAGTTAAAGCAGTTGATATGGTTTGGCTCTGTCTCCCCACCCAAATCTCATGTTGAATTGCAATCCAGTGTTGGACGTGGGTCCTGGTGGGAGGTGATTGGATCATGGGGGTAGCTTCTAATATTTCAGCACCATCTCCCTAGTGCTGCCTCATGATAGAGTTCTCAAGGGGTCTGGTTGTTTAAAAAGTGTGTGCCACCTTCCCCTTTGCTCTCTTTCTCCTGCTGGCCATTTGAATATAGGACTGCTTCCCCTTTGCCTTTCGCCATGATTGTAAGTTTTCTGAGGCTCCCCAGAAGCAGAAGCCTGCATAGCTCACAGAACCATGAGCCAATTAAGCTTCTTTTCTTTATAAGTTACCCAGTCTCAGATATGTCTTTATAGCTGTGTGAGAATGGACTAATACAGCAGTGTTAAGAGGAAAGTTTATAGTACTAAACACTTTTAAGAAGTTATCAAGAAGCTAGAAATATCTCAAATTAACTATCTATGATCACACCTATAGGAACTACAATGAAAAAGAACAAAACAACCCCAAAGCTAGTAGAAGGTATGAAATAATCCACATCAGAGGAGTACTGAAAGAAATTGAGACACAAAAATCCATACAAAAGAACAATGCAAACAAAAGTTAGTTTTTTGAAAGGATAAACAAAATTAATAGACTGCTAGCTAGATTAACACAGAAAAAAAGAGAGAATATCCAAATAAGCACAATCAGAAATGACAAAGATATTATTACAGCCAGCCTCACAGAAATACAAAAGATCTTCAGAGACTATTTTGAAGACCTCTATGCACACAAATTAGGAAAACCAGAAAAAATGGATAAATTCCTGGAGATACACAATCTCTCAAGATTGAACCAGGAAGAAATTGAAAACCTGAACACACCAATAACAGTTCTGAAACTGAATTAGTAATAAAAAACCTACCAACCAGAAAAAAAAAATTATACAAGCAGTCAACAAATGTGAAAAAATGCTAATTATCACGACTTATTAGAGAAATGCAAATAAAAACAACGAGATATCATCTCACACCAATCAGAATGGCTATTATTAAAAAGTCAAAAAATAACAAATGCTGATAAGGCTGTAGAGTAAAGGGAACAGTTATATGCTGTTGGCAGGAATGCAAATTAGTTCAGCCACTGTGGGAAGCAATTTTGGAGATTTCTCAAAGAACTGAGAGTTGAACTACCATTTGACTCAGAAATCTCATACCAAAGGAAAATAAGTGATTTTATCAAAAGGTCATATGTGTCTGTATGTTCATTCCAGCACTATTCACAATAGCAAAGACATGGAATCAAATACGATGTTCATCAATGGTGGATCGGATAAAGAAAATGTGGTACATATACACCATGAAATACTACACAGCCACAAAAAGTATAAAATTAAGTCCTTTGCATCATCAGTATGGATGCAGTGGGAAACATTATCATAAGTGAACTAACACAGAAACAGAAAGCCAAATACCACCTGTTCTCAAGAATAGGAGCTAAATATTGGGTATACATGGTCATAAAAATGGGAACAATAGATGCTGGGGAATAAAAGAGCAGGGAAGAATGGAGAGGGGTAGGGGTTGAAAAAAACTACCTATTGGATACTGTGCTCTTTACCTGAGTGACAGATTCATTTGTACTCCTAATCTCAGCATCATGTAATATACCTATGCAACAAACATGCACATGTACCCCCGATTGTAAAATAAAAGTTAAATAAATACATACATAAATAAACAATGGGAATGATATCCTGTTCACTAAATGGTATTGGGAAAAATTGGCTAGCTACAGGCAGGAGAATGAAACTAGACTCCCATTTCTCACCATATACAAAAATTAACTCAAGATAGATTATATGTAACTATAGCTTGAAGTTAAATGTAAGACCTCAGATTATACAAATTCTAGCAGAAAACCTAAGAAAAACTCTTCTGAACATTGGTCTAGGCAGAGAATTTATGACTAAGATCTCAAAGATAAATGCAACAGAAACAAAAATAGACAAATGGGACTTATCTAAACTAAAAAACCTTTTGCACAGAAAAAGAAATAGCAGAGTAAAAAGGTAACCTACAGAATTAAAGAAAATATTTACAAATTATCTCAGACAAGTAATATCCAGAATCCACAAGGAATTCAAACAAGTCAACAAGAAAACAAACAAACAAAAACATTAACAAGTGGGGAAAGAACATAAACTGACATTTCTCAAAAGAAGACATACAAGTGGCCAACAAATATATTAAAACATGCCCCACATCGCTAACCATCAGAGAAATGCAAATTACAGCCACAGTGAGATACCATTTCACATTAGTCAGAATGACGATTATTAGTAAGTCAAAAAACAACAGATGTTGGTGTGGATGCAGAGGAAAGGGAATGACTATACACTGTTTGTGAGAATGTAAATTAGTAGACCACATATGGAAAACAGTATGGAGATTTCTCAAAGGACTAAAACTAGGACTAACATTTGACCCAGCAAGCCCACTAGTGGGTATCTATCTAAAGGAAAATGAATTATTATATTAAAAAAGACTCCTGTGCTTGTATGTTGATCACAGCACTATTCACAACATCAAAGTCATAGAATCAACCTAAGTGTCCATCAGAGGTGGATTGGAATAAAAAAAATGTGGCATATATATATCATAGAATACTATGCAACCATAAAAAAGAATAAAATCATGACTTTTGCAGCAACATGGATGGAGCTGGAGGCCATTATCCTAAGTGAAACAGCTTAGAAACAGAAAATCAAATTCCACATGTTTTCAGTTATAAGTGGTAGCTAAACAATGGGTACACAATGACATGAAGATGGAAGTAACAGACATTGGGAACTCCAAAAGTGGGGAGGTTAGGAGAGGGGTAAGGGTTGAAGAATTACCTATTGGATAAAATTGTCACGATTTGGGAGATGGGGACCCTAGAAGCACAAACCTCACCTTTACACAATATATCTATTTAACAAAGCTCCACATGTACCCTATGAATCTGAAATAATTTTTAGAAAGAAAAAATTTCTGGTATATTAACTTGACCTCATTTTTTTTTTTTTTTTTTTTTTTTTTGAGAAGGAGTCTCGCTCTGTCGTCCAGGCTGGAGTGCAGTGGCGTGATCTCGTCTCACTGCAAGCTCTGCCTCCCGGGTTCACACCATTCTCCTGCCTCAGCCTCCTGAGTAGCTAGGACTACAGGCGCCCGCCACCACGCCTGGCTAATTTTTGTGTTTTTAGTAGAGACAGGGTTTCACCGTAACTTGACCTCAATTTTTAAAAAAAGATTAAGAAAATATCTTGAGAGTAAAAGCAATATGCAGACTATTGACCACACCTCAATGGGCTTCCTTTCTTTCTAATATAATGGTTTCTCAATACTTGGTGTCTTCATCAGCTCTCTGATGCCTTCACATACATGCTTTTTGTTGTTATATCTTACCCATATTTGATGCTTTCCTGAAACAGTCAAACTCATGCTATTCTTCCTCTGACTTCCAAGCTATTGTTGGCTATTATACTATAACTACATTGTAATATATCTAATCTATAGGTGTATCTAATCTATAGAATGTTAATTATCTTTCCATTTATATTTGGCTGGATCTTCAACCAGCTTATATTCTCCTTCACAATCAGAATAGTTTGTGTTTCTAACCTCCAGTACATAGCATAATAGTCTTCAAAGGCTAGAGCAAATCAGAATCACTTGGGGCAATTTATTAGCCCTAACCCTAGAGATTCTCAATAAAAATTCTGGGATGAAACCAAGAAAAATATATTTAGTAAACACAGATGTCTGAAACCCATGAGTTAGAATTTCAAAGAAACACTGCTCAATAACCTTAATATAAGAGATACCTAATAACTATTTGTTGCAAGAATAGCACGCTTGATTGAATATAAACTGCTTTAAAATGTTCTTCCCAATCTCATTACCTACTGATGCTGCAATACCCTATCCACAAACTTACATTTCACTCTTGCCTGCATATCACCCACTGTGCAATCAGAATATGCAAAGAAGCCTATACCATCAGTATGCATGATATATCAAATTGTGGACAAGGTGAGTCAGTTAATGTTGCTAAGAGGAATTTCCACTTTGCATATCATGACTTCTATCTTAATATTGTATTGATATTCCATGATCTTTGACAAGTAATTTTACTCTGCCGATTGCAATTTGTTCTCTGGCCTACAAAAAGGCTGATATATCAGGCATCATGAGTAGTGGCAGAGATAAATGCAATGAACTGCTTTGTATTTAACCATGATCAAAGTAAAGAAAGGGTACAGGGGGATGAGGGGCAAATAAGACACCAAGTGGTGTAGAGATTGTCCTGGAAAAGACCTAGTAAAGACTGCTGTGTCTAGACAAGGGGAAGATGGAGGCAAATATAAATCATTTTCATAGTATTCATGCTGAAGTACTATTGCCTTGATTACCTCAATAGATTAATTAAAGTATTTTGGGAATCTCTGCGACCTAGGTAATTGACTTCATACCCTAGTTACCTTTTAGGCAGAAGCAGACACATAACCACAAATTTTAGCTCAGACTGAGATATTTGAAACTCTGAGAGAATTGGCGAGAGCATTGCAAGCCTCAAGCTCCGCTTTGCTGCTGTCTCCACATCTAGATCGCCCCCAGAATATCTCTGGTTGTCATGAATAACTCTTCTTTTTGTGAAAGTTTAGTTCTAGGAAAGTTCTGTGATAGGTTCTACTCTCAGATTTTACCATCAGTACATTCTAGAACCAGGTACTGAGATCAGGAAATTGTGCCCCCAAAACAACTGTCACTTCCAAAATCTGAAATTTTGATCAGATAATTCAGCCATTCTAAACCTCAGTTCCCTTATCTGAGAAAAGCATCAACACCTACTATATAGGATTATTATGAATAATAAATGATATGATGCCAATAGAACAATATAGTCCTTTTAAAAATGAAACATCAATTGATAGAGTACTGTTTTCATAGGAGTCCAAAGTAAGTCGTTTTGCATTTTGTTGTTTGGTTCTAGCAATGGGGTCCATACCATGTTGCCTGTGACATTTTATGCTCTTTAAAGGATCTTGGCCATATTCTGAGCCACCTATACCTACTTCTACCCTTGTTTTACTGCTCTGTACACAAGTCCTTCCAGTGACAACTGTTCTTCTCTCTGGATCCTGATTTATTAAATGGGGTGTGCCAAGTATCCTGACTTGTCTGATGGGATCATCATTTTATACCTGATAAAGGGGTATATCTAGATTACATGCTCTTCCTTGTGGGACTGTTTGGTCACTAGTTCTTGGCTGCTGAATCTTAAGTGTTTTTCTTCAACACTACCAAAAAAAAAAAAAAAAAAAGGAAGGCTAGGAGACGTAGGAAAAAGAGTAACAAAATTATTTTTCCGAGTATTTTAGAGTGGTCAGATGTAGTAGAAAGATCATTGAATCCTCATTATGGCATTTAAAAGCCATGCGACCTGAGGCCAGTCAGTATGTACATGTAATGGTTGGTGTACAAAGGAGATAGAATAATGGATTAGCAAGTATTAGAAGAAAAAAAGGAGAAAGTGAGTTTTCGCAGGTTCGGTATTAAATGCATTACAGATTTGGAAAAAAACTATAATGACATAAATAATGAAAGGCAACATTTATTTTGTGCTTCACATATGCCATAACTATGCTAGACACTAAGACTTATTTTATTTAATTCTCCCAACAACCCTTTAAGTAAAGTACTATTATTATCTTCATTTAACCTTGAACAAACAGGCTTAGTAAAGCTAAGTAAATCACCCAAGGTAATTCACCTTGTAGATGTCAAAGCAGGAATGTGAACCTAGGTTCTTCCTGCTCGAGACTTTAAGCTCTTAACTAATAGCTCTTGAGGAAAGTTTCTCTGGAAATTTCCACCAAGATTTATTTATTTATTTGTTTGTTTCACCGTAGTTCACCCTATTCCAAAAAGAATTTGAGCCATTTTTCTTATGGTTGCTTGAAGGAACTTTCTTCTTTTTCAAAAAATATTCATTAATTTATGTATTTAATATTTTAAAATGTTAGGTTAGGGGGTACACATGCTGGTTTGTTCCATGGATATATTGGGTAATGTTGAAGTTTGGACTTTAATTGAACTCATCATCCAAACAGTGAACATGGTACCCAATAGGTAGTTTTCAACCTCTCCTCCACTCTGCCTTCCCACATTTTGGAGTCCCCCAGTGCCTGAAGAAACTTTCTAGAGAGATGCAAAACATTATGAAAATAAGCATCTTTAAACCAGGACTTTATGCAAATTTGGGGCTTTGTGGAGGTGCCTCAGAGCTGCCAAAGGGAGCATGAGAGGTTTAGTAGACATGGCTGGGAAATATTTTTCCCTGAATCAACTAAGGATAACATACTTGTATATAATTTGTAAAGCAATATTTTGTGAAAGACAAATGTCAGAGAATAAATAGCTTCCACTATTGGAAAAAAAGTTTGAAATCTCTGTTCTTTTTTATCAATTAGGAAATATCTTCCTAATCACATAGGGATCTCTGGGCTGAAGACCTACAGATGTGGGTTTCTTCCAATGGGCTTCAAGGAGGGATCTTGGACTTCTGAGTATAAAATCATGCTATTCCATAGTGTCTAGTTATTGACATCAATAGGACATACAGGGTTGACTGGGTCTTTAATGCAGGACTATGTGCCTTATTGAGTGTCTAGGATAAGAATGATGTACTTACAATAAGCATACTTATTAGAAGGTTAAATTGTAGGTCAAGAATGAATAGCTGAAGAGTTAGGTTCAGAAAAATGAGGACAAAATAGCAACAGGGTTCTTTGTAGCAAAATAATACTAATAACACTAATAATAATAGTCTGTCTCTTCAGGCAACTGTGACAGGGGTTAGGTCAATATTAATTTTTCATTCCTGTTCCCTCAATGCTTAGCGGAGCAGGCCAGAGACAAAACATAAGCCAATGCAACACAAAGCAAAATGTTTTCTGTATTTAATCATGTTTCTAGACAGTCTACTGTCACTTTATTTCTGATAGTCTGACCAACTTTAATAGACTGAGCAGGAAAAAATAAATTGCCCTCTCTCAATATACACAGATTAGCTCCCAAAACTCTGAAGTTTTCTTCATATTAAAACTATTTGGCCGGACACGGTGGCTCACGCCTGTAATCCTAGCACTTTGGGAGGCCGAGATGAGCAGATTGCCTGAGCTCAGGAGTTCGAGACCAGCCTGGGCAAAATGGTGAGACCCCCATCTGTATTAAAAAAAAAAAAAAAAAAATCAACCGGGCGTGATGGCTGGCGCCTGTAATACCAGCTATGCGGGAGGCTGAGGAATAAGAATTGCTTGAACCTTGGAGGCGGAGGTTGCAGTGAGTCGAAACTGTGCCACTACACTCCAGCCTGGGCAACAAAGTGAAACTCTGTCTCAAAACAGACAAACAACCCACAAAAAACAAAACAGACAAACAAAAAACCCCACAATTTTTTACTCCCTTTGCCTTCTCTAAAGGCCCCTCAGAACAAATGATTAAGCTTTGTCAGATATTTATGCTTTACCGTGACTAATAATTCCTCAGAACAGGATTTCAGAAGAGTAGAAAGCAAGAGGAAACTCTGGACAAGTGTGAGTGAGTGTATGAAAGGAGTAAAGGAGAGGTCATTGTCTTTGCGTTATTTTTGTCCTTGGTGGGACCATGAATAATCACACTGTTACTGCAATTTTTATACATTATGAAATGGAAGTTAGCCATCAATGTAGCCTATGAGAGAACAAACCACAAGAACACAATCAAATGTAGCAATGAATATGAAACACTGAAAAATAGTGTAATGCTATATAAACATATGCTATTTATTACTGTCTCTTAAGGGAAAATTGAACAACTGGTCAGTGTATGTAGAAACAACATGTAATAGTATTTGTGGAGAAACAGAAGAAAAATGTGAGGAGATTTTATTTCTCTTCTGGAAAGATATCATCATACTATAATGTTTTATTTGTTGATTTGTTACATTTTGCTTTTTTTTTTAAAAAAAAACACATTCCATAATAAAATATTAACAACAACAAATCAGCTCCATATAAATAAAGTGCATAAGTTACGGGAATACATACACTCAAATACAGAAAACAAAGTTAAAATACTACAAGTACAAAGGATTTAACACTTAGTGTATACCTCCCAAATACCAAGTACTTTACATACACTATCTTTCTTAATTCTCACAAAAATGTATTTAAGACTTTATATATATATTATATATATAAATATAATATATTATATATATAATATTTGTATTATATATATTATATATTATATATATAAATATATATATAGCTGAGAAATTGATTCTCAGAAAAGTTGAGCAACTTCACTAAAAATCACATAGCTTGCAAGAGATTGAACATGTATCTAGCCTAGTGCTAGCAGATACAAAATTGGTTTTTTAAAAAACATTATGCTCTTTCAGCATTAATCTAGAAGGACTGAATTTTGAACTGGACTTTATTAAAAAAGGCCTGGATGGGAAGATTCAGAATAGAAGTATTCTTGGTAGAAGCATTTGGATAGTATTTAGAGTTAACTCATAAGAACCTCATTTGGTAGGAGGCTATTGCGTTTCATTAATTCTTCAATGTGCACTGGTATAGAGACCTATTATGTGAAACTTTTCCAAAGGGGGTGGGGAATCATATAAGTCAAGCTGAGACTTTTCAAGTTATTCAGAGATTGTAATATCACTGAATTTAAACCATGTGAATGGAAAATGCCAACCATTGGAGCAATAATTGCCACTAGAAGAAAAATCCATTCAGCATACATGAAAATCAAAGGATTCTTGCATTGAAATAAAAAATGGATTCCAGAAGCATCATTCCCTGGCTTTCTGATGATAATGCCACCCACTGCAGGTAATCAGTGCAGGACGTCTGGGAGGTGGCTACACAAAGAGCTGTGTAGAGCGGGGTGCCTTTGACAATTCACTGGGCAATGCCTGCCCCTCTGGTTAGTGTGCCAGTTGAAAACAAGTGGAAAGGAGCTGAGTTCTGAAAGTGGCTGCCCAGGACTGGCAACCTACAAGAGAGCATGAAGGCAGGGCTCGGCGTCCTACATACAAAGGAGGTCATAGACTGGGGTGTGGCCAGGAGCCTCATTGGTTTTGGATCTTAGATCCGTACCACATGAATAGCACATGTATACATATATTTTTATTTTATTATCTTATGTCTCTGTAGTTATAAGACACAAAGTCCAATTCTGGGTAACTTTAACGAAAGCATACTTATTAGCAGGTTAGTTTGTAGGTCAAGGATGAATAGCTGAAGAGTTAGGTTCAGAAAGATGAGGACAAAATAGCAATAGGATTCTTTGTAGCAAATAATAATAATAATAATAATAATAATAATAATAATCGTCCGTGTCTTCAGGCCATTGTTACAGGGTTAGGTCAATATCAATTTTCATTCCTGTTCCTGCAATCCAAATCCCTGAGATTGTCCATTATCCTAGACTGGGTCATGTGTGTGCCACCTTGGCCAGGAAGAAGAGGGCAGACACCCTGATCAATAGTCCTACCAAGACTTCCCATAGTGAGGAAGTTGTATCTGGGATACGAAAATCAATATGTTATTTCTAGAAGTTAAAAGAATGTGGGGCACATGAAACAATTCATCTCAGATCATACACTGTTGTTTCTGAGTATAGGTCAGTTCTTCTAGAATGCAGTCTAGCCTACAGAATTGCTCTGCAAAATGGATACTTTTTACACCTGAAATGAAACAAAAATTAAACATCTCTTTCCACACATATTCTATTTGTGGGATAAATATCCTATTTTTTTTAAACATTTGTTTCTAATAATTTTGTTTATATATACCCAATTTTTCTTCATTAATATTACATGAGATAAATTTCCTATGTCATTAAATTTATCCAAATATATTATTTTAATGACTGTTAAGGCAATATGGTTAACTATAATTTATTTATTGTATCTTCATTTGCAAAAATGGTATTTTAAAAACATCAAACATTCTATAATGAATAACCTTGTACATAAATCAATGTGCACAGCTGCAATTATTTTCCCAGGATAAATTCCTAGACATAATCAGATCCAAGTCAGTGAACATTTTTAAGATACATCTTGCCAAATTTCTTTCCATAAGAATATTTATTGCCATAGGAGAAGGCCCTGCAGGTCGCTTAAAATGAAGGCAGAGACAAGGGACTAGCCCCTTAAAGAGTATTATTGGAACCTTCTCTGGCATGATGCAGTGAAGTCAGCCCATCTGATCCTTTCAGACTCATCCTTAGGCACATGGTAAATACTCCCAAGGTAGAATGGCTACAGATTTTTGAAGTAAATTTGCATCCCAAGAGTACCAACATGAGAGGATCTGCAGGTAGGGATGCATTTGCAATTGTTAGCACCAGAACGACTATAAACCAATCTTAATAAAGTACCCGCAGCATGTTTAATTATGAGTAGTGTATCATTCTGATGAAAATCTTCAAGATAAACTAATTGCAAATGTACCCCTAGATAATTAAATGAGATAACTAAATCACTGTATTTCCTCTTCCAGGATTATTTGCATTTTATGTCTTCTTTCAAAGATGGAAGTTTGTGGTATAGAATCAAATAGAGGTGGAAGAGATATTACATAACATCTTAACACAAGAGGCAAATATGAAGAATGTGTAATTCATTTTCCCCTAGTCAAGACCCATAGCAAACATCAATACTCTATCAGGCAATCTTCTCTGCTCAGTCCAGATTTTGCTTCAAAATCTTTCTCATCACAGCAGCTTAGGCAGCCAATAGTGCTCAGTTGGAGCTGGTATTTTATTCATAATCTATTTCAATCTCTGATAGCAAGTAAATCCTGCCTATAGCATCAGGAAGAGCCTATATTTACCTCAATACCTCCGTACTTTCCATCTCAGCTTTATGTTCCCATGTGAGTATTAGCTAATGTTGATGAGATATGCTATATATTGGGTAAAGAGCTACACAGAAGTTGCTGCATTTAATAGTATTAAATGATACTGGGACACTTGCTCTGCCCCAGTTTATGACTAAAAATATAGGAGCTTAGTGAGAGCAAATAATTTGCCCCAAATTTCCTGGTTAGTGAGTGTCAAGAATGGTGAACGGTCTGAGATTGTACCTTATCTGCAAGCTGACAAGTTAACGTGACACCCTTTCATGGACATACATAAAAGACATCAGACTCCTAGGTCAGACCTGAAGGACAACTTATTATTCACAGCAATATCAATAGCCAGAATATCATTTGCATCAGTTTCCCAAGTCCTGATTCCCACTGGGCTATATAAATAGAGCCAGGTGACACCTGCGCATTCAATGGGTTATTATGGGAGAGAAACCCTGAGTGCAGAGAACAAAAATATTTTTTAATGGAAAGTGAGCATGTCTTCCTTTTGCTCTGAAGAGAGACATATTATAGTGGACAGTAAGTATGTATGACATTTATTCCAAAGGGAGACATTCTGTCTTCCAAGGTTGCTTGCTATTCAAACGTCCTTGAAAAGAGAGTCTGAAACAAAGATCGTTGCTCCAAAGATGTGTGGAAATATAACAGATTCGTGGAAAACCATCCTGTAACACTGAGTGAAGGAGTCAGAATTTAAACCCAGGTCTGCATAACACCATAACTAATGTTCTTAATCAGTATGCCTCATTTTTTTCACCCACTCATTTTCCCTTCAAACTGGCAAAGTTCAGAGACTGGTCCTATCAGAAATGGGCAGTTAGGGAATTTTACAGGCATGAAAAATGTTCCATATCCACTAATTCATTATTCTGATCATACTGCATTTTAATTGCTCACTTATTTTTATATTCATTCTAGACTGTAAGTACGCTAAGGTCTGAATCTTATTCACTATTATATTCCCACTTGCTTTCTCAATAGAGGGCATAAACATGGTGCTCACGATCAGAAATAGCTGAGTTGGGTTCCTAACTCACTCACCAGTTGTGTGATGAATGTAAGCCTCAGTTTCCTCATCTATACGATGGAATTAATAATTAGTATTTTTCTAGGTTTGTTGTGAAGAATAAATGAGATTATATATATATATGTAGCGTTTAACATATTTATTGTACATGATAGCCATTTTATAATATTTATCACTCAATGTATATTTCTTGAATGTTTAAGCAATTGTGATTTTTCTTTTTTACTATCAAGAACTTTTTTTTTTTTTACTAGATCCCTAGATTCTGTACTCATGTGTTTCTTTTTTCTTTTCTTTTTTTTTTTTTTTTTTTTTGAGACTGAGTCTCGCTCTGTAGCCCAGGCTGGAGTGCAGTGGCGCGATCTCCGCTCACTGCAAGCTCCGCCTCCCGGGTTCAGGCCATTCTCCTGCCTCAGCCTCCCCAGTAGCTGGGACTACAGGCGCCTGCAACCCACGCCTGGCTAAATTTTTGTATTTTTAGTAGAGACAGGGTTTCACCGTGTTAGCCAGGACGGTCTCTATCTCCTGACCTCGTGATCCGCCCGCCTTGGCCTCCCAAAGTGCTGGGATTACAGGCGTGAGCCACCACGCCCGGCCTCATGTATTCCTTTTAATTTTATCTAAGTGTTCTCTGGCTACCACTTCCTTCATATTGGGGCTGATAATTTTGTTGCAGAGTTCAGAACTGTCATTGCTTCTTGGTATTCTTCTTTTTCCTAACCTTAGTTTACTGCACCTGCCAACTGCCTGAGAGGAATAGCCTCTGTTGTCTATGGTCAGAATAAGTGATACATATGTGCGTTTAATTTCTCCTTAATCACCTTTACTGATGGGGACCACATGACCTTTAAAGTCTTATGAGCCATTAAGTAGCTCTCATGCCTAGAAAGTGTTTTTTTGTTGTTGTTACATGCACACAGAGATACACACACCACACACATTGAAATATTTTCTCATCAGCATCTACTCATGATAAACAGCATCCTCTGTTTATTATATCTTTCAGGTAAAATAACAATATGGACCTCTCAGTCTTTTCTCTATAAATGGCACCCTCCCTATTCCTGTCGGTGTCCTTTGCTTACCCTTTAGTTGAATCCATGTTACCATTAAAATGTAATGTCCAGAATTGCGCACTAATCTTTAGAAGAGATCTGACGGAGCAGCATAAAGCAAGCCTATCTGCAGACTCAGATGACCCCTGGGTAAGAAACAACAAATGCCAATGAGTTGATAGAAAACATCTTATTTGAAACAGAAGGTCTTTCTAAAACCTGTAAAATCACCTTGTATGAGTTTGAGCTCTGTCTTCAAACCCAGGAAATCCTCAGATAAGAGCTTGAGTGACATTGTCTTATTTTTCTTTTCAAAGATTTCACTTCACGTTGTAAATCAGGCAGCGTGGGGCAGCACTCTTTCTCTTCCTCAACTGAAGTTAGAATCAAGATATCTGGATTTAAGCCATGTCCCTGGATCTGTGAGCTGTGTGACATTTGACACATCCCTTAAACTTTCTGGGCCACAGTTTCATCATCTGTAAAGTGGACGTCATATGTGGGTGAACTTGCGGGCTTATTGAATCAGGTATGATAACTTACATTGTAAAAATCATTTGAAAACTGCAAAGAACCATAATAATATAAAGACTCACTATTTTAAGAATTCACTTTGACTTTTGGCTGGATGTGAGTAGACTTTGGTAGTGTCGCTTGCCTTCCCTTAATATGTATATCAGGCACTTATGGTGACAATACCCTGTAATTGACTGACCCTGTGATGTTACTTCTTGCTAGGGCACCTAATGGGACTCTTTTAGTCCTCATGTCTCTTAATCTCTTGGCAGCACTCAACACTCCTTTTCACTCCCCTTGAAATGCTCTTCTCTTGGATTCTATGAAAATGATCTTGGTTTCCTCCTAGATCTCCAGTTAGTTCTTACTGTTCTTAGCCAACTTTTTGTATCCATGTTTTTTATGTTATAACTTCTCAGGGCTCAGTGCTAGAACATCCCCTGTTCACTCTCTCCCTACAGAAACTCACTAATACCTGTGGCTTTGGGCAACTTCTCCACGTGAGTGATTTCCAAGTGTTTTCTACCTACAGCCCTCTGGGTTATACAAACATGTATCCAGCTGCTTCAATATCTGCTGTTGGGAATCTCACTAGCACCCCACAGTCAACATGCCTAAAGCCCAATTCATGACCTGTCCCTCAAAGCAAGCCCAAGGTCCATATCTCAGGGAATGTTAGCTCCAGCCATTCATGCAAGCAGACAGAGATTATGGAATCATCTTTCACACCTTCCTCTCTATCTTATTTCATTCATCACCAAATCCTGTTGATTTTACCACTCCCAGATATTTTTATCTTTGTGACCACTACCCTAGGCCAGATTATGACCATCCTTTGCCTGGATATTGAAGTGGGTTCCTATAGTGTCTCCATTATTATATTTTGCCCTACCCCGCCCCCACCAAATAATCCAGAGCAGCCAGAGGAATCTTTGAAGAAGAAGAAGAAGAAGAAGAAGAAGAAGAAGAAGAAGAAGAAGAAGAAGAAGAAGAAGAAGATGATGAGGAGGAAGAAGAAGAAGAAAAATGGTCCTCTTTACTCACTTCTTAAAGTATTTTCATGTCCCTGACATGGCTTTTTCACTACCTGTTCTGATCTCATTCACCCTCCCATCTTGTTTCACATAGTTCTCTTTTTCATTCCCTGCACTAGAAGCCCATTGGTTTTCCTTCAGTTCCTTGACATACATCCTCCCTCATTACACTGGACTCACTGTGAATAGTCTCCTTTCTGCCTCAAATTCTCTTCCTCTGCCCTTTACACACAAGCACACACATGGACACACACACATTCTTGTAACCCAGTTGCCTGACTACCAATTTTTTTTTTTTGAGATGGAGTCTGGTTCTGTCACCCAGGCTGGAGTGCAGTGGCACGATCTTGGCTCACTGCAACCTCCGTCTCCCAAGTTCAAGCGATTCTCCTGCCTCAGCCTCCCGAGTAATGGATTATAGGCGTGTGCCACCATACCCAGCTAATTTTTTTGTATTTTTAGTAGAGATGGGGTTTCTCCATGTTCACCAGGCTGGTCTCGAACTCCTGACCTCAGGTGATCCACCTGCCTCAGCCTCCTAAAGTGCTAGGTTTACAAGCATGAGCCACCATGCCCGGCCCTGACTACCAATGTTTTACTCCTCAGCCTTAATCTTTCTTCTCTGGATAAATTTCTCTTACCTCCTTGAATAAATCAGAACCCCACGAAGAAAATATGTTTCTTTTTTTAGTAGCACTTATCACAGCTTGTAAATATCAAAATAATGTGATCTTTTTTTTTTGTTTTTCTCCACCAAAAGCCTAAGCTCTACGTAGGTAAATGCCTTTTCTGTTTTGATTCATTATTATTTCCTCAGTGCAGAGCAGACAGTAAATACTTGATAAATACTTGTTAAATGAATGAATGAATGAACTTTCCATTTTACAGATGAGGGAAATTAGATTAAGAGAATCTATATAACTTCTCTAGGGTTGTATAGTTTGTGAAATGGTAGAAGGAAGTCTTCTTTTTCTACTTTTATTTTAGGTTCAGGGGTACATGTGCAGGTTTGTTACATGGATAAATTGCTGAGGTTTGGCATATGAATGATCCTGTCATCCATCACTAGCAAAAATGCTAGTAATGCTGTGAGCATTTTTTAATATATTTGTTGGCCACATGTACATTTTCTTTTGAAAAGTGTCTGTCCATGTCCTGGGCCCATATTTTTAAAAGGGATTGGTTTTTGCTTGTTGAATTGTTTAAGTTAGAAGGAAGTGTTTCACATGCCAAGTATTTTCTAAACCCCCACGGTGTGTTTTGGGTAGGGTTATATTTTTGAGATACTTGTACCCATTTTCTTTCCTATCTTGGGTCAGTTACAGACTTATGTATGCCATAGCCTGAACCATTGCCTCAAAGGCTTTGCTGCAGAGAAATCTCCTTTGTGAGAGGGAAATTTCAAAGAAGCAAAGCTTTGGAAAAAAATCTATGACCCTTTGTCAGGTCTGTCCATGTTCTTGGTACAAGTAAGATAAATTATGATTAACTGAAACAGAAAAGGCATCTAGTAGAGGAACATCAAGGTGTTTATAGAATGAATGAGAGGGCTAGAGAAGCAGGCTTGATCTCAGGGAAGACGGGCAGCAGCCAAGGTCACAATCTGGGAAGAGTCTGGTCACACCCCATGGACACCATGGATATCACTACTGCCAGAACCTCTAGTGAACACTGCTACAAATAGACAACACCACCATGCCACCACGCATTTCCTCTTTCAAGAAATTCTAAATTGGCCTTGCAATGTATCATTTAATCAAGCTTTGACGACACAGATAGGGCCCTCCAGTTGGCCTGGAGTGAGTTCAATGCCAGTGTCCTGGATTCCAGGGAGGGGTGGGGGCTCTTCTTACCAGGATCCACACAATTGGGGATCCCACCTGTAGGTGAGAGAAGATGGGGCATCCAACAAAACACCACCACAAATGTACTATAATAGGGATATTAATGCCAGTAGCAGAGAAGAAAGAGTTTCTCTCAGGATCAGGATGAATTAGACTCATATGAGTGGTCTGGCCTCAGCAGAACCTCTCCATCTGAGTGCTGTGTAACAGCTGAGGGCAAAGAGCCAGGAAACCCAGAACTCAAAACCAGTAATAGGAGATGGACATATGGCAAGGCTATCATAAGGAGTAACATTGTCTTTGAAGATATAGTCATTCTCAGTGGGGGACTCTTAACTGTGTGTGTCCTAAAGGCTGGGTGTAACAGGGATGTCACACACGAAGGAATATTGCAAGCATGACACCACTGCTCCTATTGTCCCGCCATGGCAGCCATAGTTAATCAACCACAACATGATTTTGGAAGAATCCCAGTGCAGTCTTGCCCCCTGGTTCTAAGGCAATCTTTCTGAATATTTCTGACTTGGTGTGTGAGATGAATTGCATTACTAAAGGCTATGCACCAATCCTAATTCCATTCTAAACATAATGCATATTCCTCATGACTAAAAAGAAAAAGCATAGTTTGCTCATTTTTCTCTCATCTTTCAGATGCTGCTGTCTTCAGATGGAGTTTTGTTTGCAGATTTATTGCAGTATTTCTTACTTGATCTCTCCCTAACGTGACTGACTTTCTCGTTCATTGTTTAATGTCTGTGCTTTTGACTTCCTGTCTCTCAAGTTATCTGATCTCCCAGGAAAAGGACCAGAGTTCTCCATGTAGCTTTCCCAGGTGCAAGTTTCCTAAGTTGGCTGGGGTGAACTTTTAAGGATATATAGAATTTACTTCCTCTTTTCCTATTTCTTGCTTACATAGATTGAGCTGTTCTTTCCTAAAAATAAATCTTAGCTTTCATGAACCACCTTCATAGACATCTTTGCCCAACAGATGAGAGAAGCCCCACCTTTTATATGGACATAGATGAGCCAGTCAGAGTCTATTTTGGAGTAACTAAGACGTAGAATGTTTACTATATTTTTATGTCTAGAAATTTTGTCTTACAGGTGCTTCTTTAATTGAACTTTTGGGACTTTTCAAAAGGCTTTTGTGAAAAAATGTAAATTTTACCTGGAAGGAAATTGAGGAAGTGAATTTGTTTCTCATTAGAACACACAAATTCATAAGATTGACTCATTACTGCATTAACAGCCTGGAGAGTGTAGACAAAGTTCTAGTAAAGCATGTTGAGAATGACGATGTGACCTCTAGATCTGGCTTAGTCACTGATTTTGCTGTGAGTCTTTGGAAAAGCATTGTCCCCCTCTGAGTCTTGGTATTGTTCTCTTTAGGTGAAATGATTTACATGGTTCTTTCCAGTTCTGCTAATTATATTCATGAACTTATGCATATAGGGAGAGTTTCACTGCAGTGAGGTATTCTGAGGGTAACTGGGGGCCCCTGAAGAAAAAAGGCCAGGGAAATGAGATGAAGTGGAGTTGAACATTTCCCAAAGCTTGATCTGATAACGAATTCACATCTGTGTCATTCTGGCTCCCTAACTTCTGGGATTAGAGTGAAGTTAACTAAACAGGGGAAGAAGTAGAAGTTGCAGCATACCATTAATTCCTGAATGGGTGTGGGTTGAATGTGTGTGCATGGGCGGTGGGGGAGGGCAGTAAATTCTAAAGAACATAGAAAATATGGGAGAGGGCCTAGTTCAGTATCCCTGAACCAACAGGCAAAGTCTAGAGAGTGTTTTTAGTTTTATTTAATCAACCAACAAGGATGTTGTCACCAAGGGAGGCTTTTTCCAGTTGCTACTAAAGATACATAGAAAGTGCTTTTCACTTCCTAAATGACCTCCAAAACTTGAAGGACAGAAGGGTGCAATGATTTGCATTATCTTATCAGTTCTCTCCTTGCCAGATCACATTCACATCATTTTAACTGATGTCAAAGAATCGCCCTCTCTATGAAACATATAACCACAATGACCTTTCCTTTTCCCTTCTTTCCTTTCTTCCTCCCTCCCTCCATCCTTTTTTTATTCTTCTCTTTCTTCCTTCATTACTTTGTGAATTACACAATATTGTATTAGCTCAAACTCTTCTTAAATTTGTCTGTAATTTTTGTATAGCCTTATTTCCCCAACATGCCCTGCCCTCAGGATGCTCCTAGTCTAAATGATGAAACTGAAAGTATCTTGATAGTAATTCATTGTGTCACCTGTCCAGGTTATGTCCTTTACAACTTCTGTACATCATCCAATAAACAGGCAGCTTTTTTTTTTGGCATAGTGCAGAAAAAAAGCTATGCTGTTTTGGAGTTATACTCTTTAGGTTCAAATTCTGGTTCTGCCAGCATAGTTTTATGACCTTGAGGAAGTCATTTTATCTTTGTAATCTCCTGTTTCTTTATCTTCTCAAAAGGATAGCTTAAGGTTGAATGGCAGATACAAAAGTATAGCTAGACAGGGAAATAAGTTCTAGTGTTCTGCAGCGCTATAGAGTGACTATAACTAGCAATAATTTAATGTATATTTTCAAATAGTTAAAAAGTGGATTTTGAACGTCCCCAACACAAAGACATGATAGCTGTTTGAGGTGACAGATATGCCAATTACCATGATTTGATCATTACACATTGTATAAATGTATCAAAATATCACACAGTACTCCATAAGTATGTGTAATTATTATGTGTCAATTAAAAATAATAACAAAAGCAACAAAACCACACCATACGAATGACCAACAGGTATATAAAAAATGCTTTAAAAATTGCCTTTGGAGACATACGTTAAAAAATAGATCATCTCTAGTTTATTTGTGCCCATAGTTCATTTTTAATTTTATATTGTAATTGAGAGATAATTTTTGTTATTTTCATGTTACACTTTAAACAATTAGGTGATTTTTCACTGTTTTTAATACTCATCAGTAGTTCTTTTCTGTATTGATAAACCTATATTTGAGTTCTTCATTTTGATTATTCTGTGAATCCTAGAGCAGATATTTGTTAAGATATTTAGGAAAAATATTATGGGTCTTTGACTATATCATCATTTCTATGTTATGCATACAGGAATAAATGTTGGCTGGATACACAGCTTTTGATTCATAAACTGTGTCCTTCAAAGCTTTATATACATTGTGTGTTTAATTCTAATGCTTAGTTTTAGTGAGGAAGAATTGCAGCCAACCTAAATTTTATTTTATTTTGTTTGGAAGTAAATATTTTGTTTACTTCTTTTCTAGATTTGTGTAGGAATCATCTTTTATTGATTGAATTTTAAAACTGTACTGGGACCTGTGTAGGCTTGCCTGGAACACGATGAATATTCTAAATTTGAACCCACAGTCTTGCTTAAATTGAGAATGTCTTCTCTATTTCTTTATAGATTGCTCCTGCTCCTTCAGTTCTCCTCACTGTTACAGAAAAAGCTATTATGTGTAGATGGTGTTGCTTGAATATGTCTTATTATCTTTTCTAATAGGAGTTTCATTTCTAAATGTTTGCTCCCTGTATAACAACTTACATTTCTGATGATTCAAAACATCCATCTTGATTTTTAAAATTTGTCTGTTGCGTTTCTTTCAAAATTCTGATAGTTATTCTTTCCCTTGGCCTTCCCTCTTAAGTCTGCCTGCTGTTGTTCCCAGAGCAAATGTTGTCATAAAACTTGTTGAAATAAAACTTTGATTTTTTTTTCCATTTAGAGCAGTAAATCAATTTTTGAAAGAGAAATACCCTGCACACCATTGGAGCATTAGTGAATTTTTGTTCTTGAGCTGTAGAAATGCTTTTGAGTGCTACACATCAGTTTGGCTCTGTTTCTCCCCACAGTCCAGGATCTATACTATTCCGAAGGAAATGTACATAATCAAGTTGGAAATGGACAGGGTGTGGGTTTTGACTAAATTTTTCCAAGGTCATGCCTTTAACGCCAATCCCTGATCAAGGGCAAATGAATTAAAAAACAAAACAAAATACAACACTCTAATTGTTTAGCCCTGTAGGATTGCTGACCATTTTTAAAACGTATGTTTCTACATGACATGCTTGCTTCCATTAATAAATATGGAAAGTGCACCTTAGAAGAAAACATTAAAGATTTTTCTACAATCCTACTGATGTCTCAATGTTATTTTCCCCAAGGAGAGAGAAGTGGAAGTGATTGTTGCTAGGAGGAGACCCTCTCCACCTTTCATGCCATTCTTATATTCAGCATGGCTTTTACTTTTCCAATTCAGAGTGTAGGTGAAGGGGCAAGCTATCTACCAGAGTTTATTCCTTATTTCTTACTGATTACATTGCTTAATTCCAGAAGTGTTGGCCATCGTCTTTTTTTTTTTTTTCTTCTTCTTTTGCAGTGCCTCTCTATTGCCTCTGAGGTTAAAATATACTCTTCCTAGTTTCTGGTATGTATATAAATACTATCCTTTATTCTGTCATACCCTTGCAATATATTTGTCTTTTATTCACAAGCCTTTGGGTTATTTTAATAACAATTCATGTGGATGGAGGAGGGCTATTGTAGGCAGCTGCCCCTCACTGTTCTTGTCAAGAATCCCTAACCCCATCTCGCAATGTTAAGTACTAATTTTGCCAGTGGTATGAAGATCCCAAAATAGAACTGTGGCAGAGCTGATATATGTCATGACATATATTTAGATAAAACAGAACCTATGGTCAGACAATTCTAATCTGCTGTTCCATTATGACTATGTGTCTCAGCATAACTAGTACATCCCAATCAAATCCATCTTTCTAATCAAGCACCTACGTATTTTGTTCTCGAATCAATAATCTACTAGTTCACTCTTTGTTATTTGCTTTCCCCCCTTTTTGCTGAATCCTTTTGATAATTAGCCTTCAGAACTATGGAGTTCATAATGCTTTTATATGTAGGGTTGTGGATGAAATTGAAAAATTTCTCTACAGCCTGGAATAGCAGAAGCTGAGGACAGCACAGGAGAGGTCCCTATGCACAGGGACCAAGGATCCTGGGAGCCAGGAAGAAGGCACAAAGACAAAACAAAGCCGCTCTCCATTCTCCAGTGGAGACCCACTGTGAGGATCTGGGTCCGTGTAAGAGAATCCACTGGGATTAGAAGCAGAATAAGAAAAGTTGAAGGAATTTTCTGGAAGGCATAAGAAGTGAGAGGACAGAGGGCTTTAGGGAAAGAGATTTTCAAAGTTAGACTTAAAGTAGAGCAATTAAATGATGGTAGGGTATAAGTTAGGGCTGTGTGAGGATCTGACTGAAGTGAAGGGAGGGGACCAGGACCTAAGTTGACCTTTCTGTCTCATTCAGGTTTTATACAATGCTGGATAAACATCCCATAGACACCATAATGGAGGACTCCACAAGAGAAGGGCATGTTGGTTTTGTTTTCTCAGGCACTTCTAGGTAAGTGGGATCCAAGAGGAATGAAGACTGGCAGGGAGTGTGGGTAGCTGAGCCATTTGAGATGAGCAGATGAAACATCCACCAAAAGAGATGGCAGGCAGAGGGCAGAATGGTGAAATTGTGGTCTAAATGAAGGGTATGACATCAAAAGAGAAAAAAATCTTGAACTCTTACTGGCAAAATGCTACATAGAGGTTGAAAAATGCAGAACAGAACTAATTCCTAACGGGGTGAGCCATAGGTTCAAATTCCTTTTTAACTTAAGAGCTTTATGAGGAACACTAATTCCCCCTCCAGATGAATGAGCCCATGGCTCCATAATTGTTTAGCTCAGTGTATTAATCTGTTCTCACAATGTTAATAAAGACATACCTGAGACTGGGTAATTTATAAAGGAAAGAGGTTTAATTGACTTACAGTTCCACATGGCTGGGGAGGCCTCACAATCATGGTGGAGGACAAAAGGGAAGCAAGACAGGTTTATATGGTGGCAGGCAAGAGAACATGTGCAGGGGAACTCCCCTTTATAAGACCATCAGATCTCTTGAGACTTAGTTATTCACTATCATGCGAACAGCACAGGAAAGTCTGCCCCCATGATTCAATTACCTCCTACTGGGTCCCTCTCATGACACGTGGGAATTCTGGGAGCTACAGTTCAAGATGATATTTGGGTGGGGACACAGCCAAACTATATCACCCAGCCAGGGGTGGCTTTTTCTTGTTACCTCTTTGAAGGGTGAGATGCGTTGCTTCAAGGCTGCTGAGGAGACAAAGTCAGGGCTTAGAATCCACCCAGAGAGGAGGTGGTGTTGAGTCCCGTGAGTTTCACTCAGGACTGACAGTTATACTGTCCTTCTGCCTTCATCTTGTCTTTCTGGAAAACCTCTGCTGACTCAACCCTCAGTTGTTCCTACAAACTCTGAGTCTTGAACTTGCTTTGTTCACTTTCTGTAGCCCTAGTTCTGCTGACATTGTATGTAACCTGTCTCCCCTCTGCATTTTAAATTCCTTCCTTTGCTTTGCTCTTCACCAAACCTAGACCTGCTCTTGTTTTACAAGTTCTCCTGTCTCAGTGTGGACAGCTGGTAGGACTGATCTCCTCTCAGCACAGCCTGGAATTAGTGCCAGGTAGAGGTGAAAATTCACGAGGCAGTGAACGATGACACCACCACAACCACTACTTCCTTCACTATTGTGTACTGAGGCCTCTCCATGGAAGAAGCTGTTTTACAGACAGAGGCCTCTAGCTAGTGGTTTTCATCCCTGAAGCCTGTCATGTTTTTGGGCCTTGGAGGCACCCACCCTGCTGGGGCAAATTGCAGGAGTGATTCACTTTGCTAGAATGGAAGCACTAAGAGAAGAGTGATGTCTACGTCAAAGCCATTCTTGTAGATAAGAAAAGCAAGTAGCCAGATTGTGGACTCATTTGAAGGGAATTTGGAAGGCAGCATGGGTAAAACACTTCCCAAATCCCTATTTTGCCAATAAGACACTTTAGCTGAAGACTTTGAGATCTCTAAGTGTCTCTCATCAGAACACAGAGACATCCTCCAGGAAGGAAATGCCTCATGCTACTACAAGTGAAGGGCCTGGAATTCGTGAGGATAGCAGAGATCCAGAATCTTGGGGGGAATGGTAATCAGGACAGATACTGGGCATCCTGTCAGAAGTTCAGGGCCCACTGCACACCAGTGTAGGTGTGCAGATGAAATATCTGCCAAGTGTAGGGGATGCCACCGTAGGTAAATGTGGCCTATGTCCAGGCTTCCCAAGGCAAGCGTTACTCACTAATGATCCCTCTGCTCATACCTTTCTGTTCCCTGCCACCTGATCACAAGTTAGACAAGTAATTTGTATTCTACATCATTCCCTTCCACATTAGAGTTATTTACAGCTGGCAGGTAAATATCCACATACTTGTTCCCGGGGTTGAGATAGTAAGCATGATGCCCATCTATGTTGTTTCTAGGAACAGAACAACTGTGCTCCGGAAAAGGATACAAGGCAGGAAGCAGTGGCCCTGCTATTTGAGGCCTTAACTGTTTAACTGAACATTCAGGCACTGTACTGGGCTGAATAGTGTCCTTCCAAATTTCAAGCCCACCCAAAACCTGTTATTGTGACCTTATTTGGAAATAGGGTCTTTGCATATGTAAACAAGTTAAGATGAGTTCATGCTGGATTAAGGTAGGCTGTAAACTCAGCATAACTAGTGTCCTCATAAGTAGAGAAAGTTTGGACACATAGACACAGACACCCAGAGGGAACAATGCCATGTGAAGACAGAGGCAGAGATTAAAATTATGTTGTCACAAGCCAAGGAATTATCAGCAAGCACAAAGTGGTAGGAAAAGGCAAGGGTCAGAAACATCCCTTGAGCCTCTGGAGGGAGCTTGGCCCTGCCAGCACGTTGATTTCCGACTTCCAGTCACCAGAACTGTGAGAGAATCAATTTATGTGTTTTAAGACATCCAATTTGTGGTAATTTGTTTTGGCAGCCCCAGAAAACTAGGACAGGCCCATTGTAATAGGACTTTCTTTCCAACCTCTTCTCCCTTTTATATCTTCCTAACATGCTGTACTCAAACCACACTCTACCTTCATGGATGCCTCATTGAATAGTGTTTTTCGTTATCATCCTCATCATCATCATGATCAACATCATAAAAGCTAACACACTACCAGCCCTTAATACCTCCTAGGTCCTTAAAATCATCTCTGCAATAGCAAATGTGAATACTCATCTTATAAATGAGGAAATTAAGCTGCAGATATATGATCCCCAAATTCATATGTCTAGCCAGACAAGGAGCCAGTTTTGAAACTTGACAATCTGTTATGAATATCTTAGTCATTTCTCAATTCTACTGCCTTCAACTTTCTTCTCTAGCTTACAAACTCCTTCTTATGCTTCTGTATGCTCTTCCACAGTCTTCCCAGATGCTCTCTCTCTTTTGCTCCTTGAAAACATGCTTCCTCTCCTTCCCTTCTCTGAGATCCTACAGGCTTACATTTTTCTCCCTGTACCATTGTCTTCCACCTTTACCTTTTATGAGGTATTTGTATATTGTGCTCTCTTCTGAACAATGAGGGATCTTTTAAGGCCTACTCTGGATCTAATTTAAGGAGATACATAGTGGGCCTATCAGCCCCCATAACATTCTGATGGAGATTTTTTACTTCGCTTCCCTTCTAACTCTTCTCTCTTTCATCCTGCTGCCTGGACTCCCAAGAAGTGGTTTCCTTAGGCCTTTCTTCCCTCACCCCCGCAACCCCATGCCCAGGGCATCTTTGTGACATAGACTCATTCCTCCACACCCTACCTTTGCCTACTAGTCTTCTGATTTCACAGAGTCTTTCCAAGGAGATGGCTAGACACTGTGCCAATCAGAATTGTGTGAATGTTAATGGCAGGGAGGCAGCTTGCCATCCCCCTGCCCCTTCTGCATCCAGGTGAAATGTGCACATATTAGCAGGAGAAAATACTTTAACCACTTTGAGGCCATTTACAGACTAGTGAGGAGGAGATTTTTGATATGAGGTGCAGGAGTCCTTTCCCTGGTACTTCCATATAATGCCACCTAGTGTCCCTTTTAGCATTATCTGTTGGTGCCTGTTGAGACCTGGTAGCCTTGACAAATGATCAGCAGCCCCAAGGCAATAGCAGAATCCTTTGTTATGACCATAAAGTTGAAACCAGCTGAGCTTAAGTATGTTGGATATCTAATGAAATTAAATTTTTCTTTCATTTTTCAATAGCCTTAGTCTCACAGGTGAACAGGAGAATGAAGACCAGTATTCAGGCTCAATCCTGTATTCCTGAGCAAATATGAATTGTTAGTCTGCCATCAATTCTGAAGAAATTTAGCCATTATACCTCTTGGATCCAAGGGTTATGGCAACTGATTTAATTCCAAAGTTTATGCTTCGGGCAAAATAATACTCAAGCAAGATTTATCGTCACTCTTCTCCATCTAAGAGACACCAATAATATAAAATACTGGCACCAGCGTTACTTTTTAAAAGTATTCCATACATGTTATGCATTAGACAATGTTTCTGAAAATGACAGAATCTAAGACAGGCTACCAAAGATAGTAGAGTTATATTTCTTCCCTGAAATTGATGTCCTGACCCAAGTATAAGAATCATGTGAAATTCCCTGGAGAGGTATGCAGGAAAGCTGTTATTACAGGCATTTTATCATCTAGAAAACCAAGATCCAAGAAGAGAAGTTGTTGTGTTGAAATTACACAGTTAACATCTTCTTGAGCCAGATGGGAGCCCAGGCCACCAGATCCAATGCTCTTCTCCTCTAGGAGACCAGCCTCCCCACTATGTGGTTAGGAGACCCCTCAATTGATTATGCCTGTACCTCTCCATGAAGGCCTTTGAGATCATGATGTCATAGGATCACCATGGACCTTGTTGCAATTTTGTATTCTACACTTGGTTTTTCAATTAAGTTTAAGGGCTTTTTAAAAACACAACTTGAAGCTCTAGTTTTCTAGATCTCTTATAGTGTACAGCTTTTCATATAACTGAGCTGTATTAAAGCTTGTTCATTCATTTTGCAGAGATCTATGTGAGAGTCACTTTAGAAAACTCCTAACCAGCGTCAAACATGTCTAATTTTTGTACCTCAATTTAAAAATCATGTTATAAATGACTAGCCCATTCCTATGGCCCAAGAAAGACAAGTATTTAAGGGGCTCCTGAAATATTCCTTTGTAACTTTTCCTGAATTTAAAGGAGAAAGAAAATAGATTTAAAAAAAACCTAGGTTGTATAAAGAGTGGATTCTAGGAATTTATATCCTCTTTTAAAATAAGCCCAAACAGTCTTGACTGCTTCTTAAAATGTTTAGAACCTGCTATTACTTTTGAATATTTTTCTTCCAATCCCCTACTCTTATCTCTAGATGTCTGGTTTTTTTTTTTTTTGCTTGTTTGTTTAGTGATATTCTGCATTCATGAATATGATGTTCCCTTAGCGCTTTAGTCATTTTTTCCTTTTCACATCCCTCAACACCTTCATTATTATTTGTTCAATGTCAAGGCAGACATTGATAGATTTTGTAGTCCACTAAGGTAAAATCATGCTCAATACATGCTCAATAAGTGATGAATGAATGGGTGATGAACTAATGAAAGAACAAATAAATGCTGATGTAACCAAGTTCCTGTGTTTAGTCTCTACAAAAACCCAACAGCTTTATTCTGTTTTATCATCATAAACGTCCACCTCTAGGCATACACTGACTCTAAACCCTCTTGAATTGACTCTTATACAAAGTTAGGTACTGGTCTCTCTAAACATTTCACACACCCACATTCCTAAACATGCAAGTCACAAAAATATGATGATCAAAGTTTGGTAGAGAGACACACCTCCCCAAAATGCCACTGGTTTAGAACATTTTACTGAGTGCCTGCAGAGAAGCCAAGAGGCAATGGTCAGCAGTATGATAAGTGTTGTGATGAAACAAGAACAAGGTGCAATGAAAGAACCCAGAGGGCAACCTGAGATTCTGGGGAGGCTGCCTGGATGGAGAAGGTGATGCTGCTATAACTACTGATCCCCCGTCCCCACAGTGACCTGGCCACAGAGTGTGCTGGGCAGCATTGTTCCATTGCTATCATTTCACAATGCACTGGGGACACTGCATTCAATACATTTTTCCTGATTGATTTTACCTGGGACAGTGACTATCTTGTTTTATAAGCCACTTGGAGAAAGGAGCTTAATTGCCTTAATGTTTAGCATATAGGGTCCCGAAATGCTATTTGAAGAAATCCCGAAATGCTATTTGAAGAAAACAATGAAAACAATGACATTCTTATTTTTGTACGAACTCTTGGAATCCCTGTAGACAGTTTGCAGCCTTTCTCGTCTCTCTCTTTGCTTTCAGGCAGGCGGAATTTGAACAATCATTCTAACAGAATACATCTTTAAAATGGTTTGAAAGGTAATCCCATCGCCTATAAGATCTGAGCCTTAGGAAGCTTTGGGGATAAATCAAACTTGGTTTTCCCCCCATTGATATACCTATTCCTATTTCTCATAGTTCAGTGCCCTTCTTTTTTGATACACTCTCTCTCCTATGTGTCTGCACCTGGGGGAGATTTTAGGAGGTTTTGAACCTATCTCTTATCTTAATCTTCCAATAAAAATGAGACCATCCTTTGCGTTTCAGAAGATAGCTTTGTAAAGCAGCTTCAGAAAGCCGGGGATTTGAGACTTATTGAAGGGTGGTGGATTTATGTAGCTCCGTTTTATCAGCAATACCATACTCTGCCGAACCTGGCCCTATTTCTTTATTTGGAGGCACTGCGGTCACAGGTTGCATCTTCATTTCTGGTAGTGTTAAATACGGTTTTGCTTCATGCTGCCTCCTGCTATGCTTAGGAATGGACAGGAAGTGGTGGCTTCTGGGCACGAACCATTCAAGATTATTTCCTGAAAAGTGACTGACACATGTGTAGTGTGTGTACGTGTGTGTGTGTGTGTAGTGTGTAGTGGGTGTGTGTGCACTCTGGGCCTGTGACCTTCAGGGACCTACTGGGACTGCCCACAGTTCCTGGGGGCATAGAAAAGAAATGCTCAGTTTCCTGGGAAGCTTATCCAGAGGCTAATAGCAAACAATGGCAGCTGCTTCTCCTTTTGATTGACTGGATGTAATATTTATTTTTATTTTTAACTGTCCTGTCTTGACTTACTAGCCTGTTTTGAAGTACTGGCTAAAGATTAGTCAAATTCCCTTCTTGAGCAGGTGGTTAAGTCCACACCCAAACCACCTTTCTTATGGGATTCTCACACACCTCCCACTCCAGGGCCACTATGCCTCAGCCCCCATGCCCTGGAGCCTGGTACCAGACAACTAGGACAGCACTTATGCCCCAGAAATTACTCAAATTAGCCAATCCAAAGGGAGCCTTTGAAACCTAACCACACCCTGCTTGCCATGCATACTCCAACAAGCTGCTACCCTGCCTCCAGGTGGGTGCCCCTATGTGGCCCTGCCTGGCAGCCTTCTCTCATTCAGAGCTGCAAGTAACAAAATAGTCTGCCTTTCATCTATCCAAGCGTCATTATGTTATGTCTTGCCATCAAAAGAATTTTATAAAAGAGCAGGACACTGTTTAAGAGGGCTTCATTTTCAGGACTGAATGCATGGACTCAATTGGCTTAAGCAACAAGAAAATTTTCTCTCTTCTGTAACAAGAAATCCAAAAGATGGCAGCTTCAGGTACACACTGTTGAAGGCTTACTTTCCTCTTCTCTGTATTTCTGAAGGTTCTTTCCTTCTTAAATGCTGATTTTTCCTTTAGGGTGTTAACAAGATAATTCCCATTGTTCCAGGCATCCTGACCAGATATAACAATGGCCATAGGTAAGAAGAAGAAAAGAAAACAAAACTCTTCCTGTTATCTTCCTTTAAGAGTGAGAAAAAAACTCTTTGAGAAACTCCCACCTCCCTATACCCAAAAGACTTTCCCAGGAACATCATCAGACAAAATCCTATTGTATATTACATCCCTAATCCTGCACCAATCACTAAAAAGGGAAGAACCAACAGATTCAATTGAACAGAATTCTGAATGAGGTCAGTCTCCCTTGAAACTTGTGGCAACATGAAGAAGGTAACATGCCAGAAAAAAATTGTGGATCTGTTTTTTTTGTTTGTTTTGTTTTACTTTGTTCTATTTTTTTTTGAAGAAAGTATAAATGGATGTTGAGTATGGGACCCACAGTGTCTGCTGCACCTAGCTATGCACCTTATTTACCTTTATCTTCTAAACTTACTGTTATAAGCTCTTATTACCAGCTTCATAACCTTGTGCAAGTTACGTAGACTCTTTGAACTTGGATTTCCTCATGTATAGTGTAATTTTAGGAAAAATTATCCATGCACTTTTCTCATCTTTAATACATAGGCCAAAGCATAACTAATGGCTAGTATTTCTTGACTCTTTAGACAAAGTCATATCTTCCTATGTGAGGAATCTGCTTTAGAATGTGAATATTTCTGAGAAGGGGAATAACTTACTCTACCACTAGGGAGTGGCTGATGTTAGATCCTGCTCTGTGATCAGGTTTGGCAGGGGAACATGAAACATGGAAGAGCCTAAACATACTGGGGATTTGAAATTTGAGGGTGGGACAGGACAGCACCAAATCCTGTTTATCCTCTACACTGCTCCTCTTATTCCTAGCATGGGAAAATACCCCAATGCCTGTGATGAAAGATGTTAAGAGAGATAGAAGATACTTTCAGGGAAATAACCAGGCATAGAAACTTGGAAACTTCTCTCGCAAACCATAAGAGTAATGCCTCACTAGTGAAAGCCACAGGGAAATGGGCGAGCTGAGGTTGGTGAGGTGGAAAGACCGTTTGACTGGGAGACAAACACCAAGTTCAAGTTCAGCTTCACCATTTCACTTAATTTTACCCTGAGTAAGTCCTGAACCTATTTTAGTCCCAGTCCCCATTTGTCAAATGACAATAAATGTGTCTTCCCTCCCAACCTCTCAAGGGACCATGAGAATTGAATGGAGCAATGGAAATAAAAATACCTTGAAAAACATTGTCATAGAAGTGGATGAGAATATGCTCTGTGTCTTTCAAGATAGCCTGAGTCCCCACACCTAACCTTTCTCTTTACTAGTCAGATCAACCAGCAGATGTATCATATGGAAAGAAATATCTGGGCTAAGAGTATTTTCTAATGTGAGAGTTTTGGAAAATTGACAATGCAAAATCCAATCCACTTTCCCGTAAGTAACTGATGTGAGAAAGTATTCAGGAAAAATCCTTTCCAAATGGTTCCTTGCTAATAGCATATATATACGGATGTATAAAAATGGAACACCACTATTAAAGATATCTAGATAATGCAAAGCCAGGTCAGTGTCTCCATAAGACAATGGCAAGACAATGAAACGAATGTGGCAGCCCCCCGCAGTCTATATCACCTAAGAGACTATTCATTTACTGCTAGGAAACTTCTCAAGCAGAGTCTTCCAGCCCTTGTTGATGACAATTATCTTAGTTCCTTTGAAGACATCTCCTTCGGGAGGGTAATCTCGGACTGGGGGATCATTTCCAGGATAGCTCTTGCCTATAAAACAGCTTTATTACAGTTTTGAATTATTAATTGTTCCCTAATTAGTTTCTGTGATCACAGTTGTCCTTTCATCTCCAATGATGTGATCACTGTAATTTTTATAAATAAAAAGACTAAAGGCATGGACTTCAAATGCTCAGTAGTGGCATAGTTGGGGATCATATGTCTGCTGGGATGATTTCTATGTCTGTTTAAAGCCTTGTGGTTTGTGGGACTCTAGGACTGAAACGTAGGATTTCCCATGCATGTACTGCTCTGAGAATGTGTGTGTTTGTGTATATGTGCTCATGTGCATTTGTGTGTGTGTGTGTGTGTGTGTGTGCAAACACAGTGGTGGCAGGAACTAGGTGAGGTTGACTCCAAAGACCTGCACCTTGTCTCTGCTCTCTAACTCACGAAGGTAGCCAGAGACAGTCAATGTCCCTTCCTGTCCTTGCGCTTCTTGTCTGTGTAACACTAAGATCATAAAATCTGCTCTGCTTATTTCACAGGACCTTCATCAAAATTAAATGGTACATCATAAGAAAGCATCTATGAAGGAGTTACTGTCAAAGACACTCATCAGACACTCAGCAAAGAGAACCCCTAGCCAATTCTTAGCAGCCAGCTTATATCCAACTTTTTCATAAACTATTTCTAGCCTTCTTCAGCTAACACATTTATTTCTTCTCTCAGCTGCTATAGAACCAATAAAATTTCACACAACTCAGCCCCAAATTACTTTCATACGTATTGGTTTCTATGTGAGTCTTGTCTCTGTGGATGAACTTTAAGATTCTTGCATTTGGAGCCAATGCCCTACGTAAGAGGTGATAGACTAGTTAAGAGCAATTGTTTCAGAGTCATCAGACACTGGAACAAATCCTGGTTTTGCCAACAAAGTTGCTTGACCTCTTTAAGCCTTAGTTATTGTTCTGAAAAATGGGAATAATCTCATTAACATCTAACTCAAAAAGTTGGTGTGATTATTAAATAAGGTAAAACATCTACACCCTTTAAGATGGTTTCTGGAAAATATAATAGTAAGTACTTAACAAAGGTAGTTGTGATTACGTAATAACAGTAGCCAAATCCATTACAGTATTATCTACAATTATGACCTTGAGATACTCTAAGATCCTAGGATACTTTTAGAATCAGTGAAGAAAAGTTACATTCAAGTTAAACACACAGTTAGTCTTTGGTGTGTTTTAATAGAATTGTAATTCTTTAACTGTTATAACTTGCCTAGACTTTTGGTACTTCAGGTTGTCTTTATTATTCCCAGAGAACAAAATTGGTGATTTGGGCCCTCAGTACTTTCATGTTGTTCCTGTTCTTATGGATTCGTCAGGCTGGTGCTCTTTCATCTGAAAAAGGCTACCATAGGCCTGACCTGACCTCCCTTTCTGCTCTAGATTCTGATCCATGCTCACAGTTCCTCTGCGCAAAGCCTGTGATCATCTCACACATGGGCTGGTCTGTAGGTCTTGCCGGTGGATTCCAACATCTACAAGGCTGTCTCCTACTTTGAGTGCAAGAGTTCAGCAGCAGCAAGAGGCAGAACTTTACTTTCTGTCTTTCAGGTAGACTCTTCTCAGCCCTGGGCTTTACGTTATGGCAAACTAGAATTTTTTTTAGAGCAACATCATTAAGTACTAGGAAGAAGCTATAATACGCCCTGTGCCTAGGTTGGTTAGAAGTACAATAAACTCCAAGTCTCCAGTTATGCCCTCCAAGGGGCATTTGGTATGTGGGGTAAGTCCCATGGAAAGCTAACACAGATCACAGCAGGAACCCCTGTCACAAGTCCTCCACTTTCTGAAACTGCCATTTTCTTCAAGATCTTGGTAAAAAAAAAAAAAAAAAAAAAAAATTGAAACGTAAAGGTAGGTACTATGAGAAGTCTGCTGTGTGCTCCGCAAAGATGCTTGAGATGGGCAAAAAGAAGGGAGATTTTCTTTGCATCAGCCATTGATGAAGCTGCCTGGTCTCTGCTGTTGTCATCTCCTGATTTTGGCCCTCAGCTCCCAAGACTGGCTCAATTTTCATCACAGTAAGCTACTCTTTCTCCCTTCATTGACTAAAAATATATCACTCAAAAAATGTTTATCTGATAAATACTTACTGAAGGATATGAAGATACTGAGAGGTAGTGCTAGGGCTGGGAAGAAAAATAAATCAAGATCAATGTCAAACAACACAATTGCCTGAAATTCCCCAACCAATACCTGGGGCCCCAGCTTGCCCCAGTGGGTGGGGCTCTCTTCTTCTTTGCCTCTTATCTTCCTGCTTCTTGCTTTTTCCAGGATTCTCTTCTCCTATGCCTCATAAGATAAAGTGAACAATTCTCAAATGCCTCTTACTTTCGTGGGCAGAAAAGTTTTAGTGTCCATTGTGTTTTATTCTTACCTTCCAGAAATTCCTGGGAAAAAATGGGAGGATAGGGTTGTTATGTATACTACCATAAGACAATCATCAATTTGTTTGAAACATAAAAAACTAATTCTCATTTTTGGTGATTTATCTTACTTCCCTAATATATAAAGGCAGCTCAGTCACTGCTTTTTTTTTTAAATAAATTACCTGCATTAAGTTTACAGTAAGTAAGGGGAGAGGAGGTTGCTGTGGATGAAGATATTCAGAGGAGGCAGTAAAAATGTGGCTTTAGCCTGAGTCCTAAGGTCTTCAGAATGAGACTGAAAAGAAAGGTGAAGAAATATGGCAATATGACAGAGTTCTAGCCTTCATGTTCTAGCTCCCTTGCAATCAGGTGTGTTTGGCCAATGGAATGAATGGGCATAATGTGAGCCATCCTTAGGTAATGCACTCATACTCTTTCCTTTCTGCCAGCTGAATCAGTAGGGTGCTGAGGACCTGGAGGAGAGAGCAACAGGTGCAAGAAGTCTGGATCTCTGAAGTCTGGACTGCATGAAGCAGAACTCTTCTGCCAGTGTATAATGGGTTTTGAAAAATGTCCACATAATTTTTGTCTTGATCCAGAGAGGTGAGTAGTATGTTTGTTAATCTCTACATCTACTTTTACCTGGGTCTTCCTCTCTACTTGGAGAAAGATCTCTTATGTTTACTGAATAGAGTCCTTTCCTTATCTTTAGTACTAGCCTCAGCCGTCACCAGAAAATCTTTCCTAATTTCTAAGTGACTATTAGCTCTGTATTTCAGTAGTAGTCAGTTGATATTAGCATAGTTTAAACGAAGAGGTTAGCATTTTCTTTATTCCTTCAGATGAATATGAAGAAGTAGCAGACTTCTTGGAAAAGGAGTTGGTAACTTGTTCTGTAAACGGCCAGAACGTAAACATTTTAGGCTTTGCAGGACATACAATTTCTACCATGACTAATCCACTCTGTTGTAGCAAGAAAGCAGCTGTAGAGAATAAAATGAATGAGGATGACTTTGCTCCAATAAAATTGTATTTATAAAAACAGGCAGCAGGCTAGATTTGGCTGTAAGCCATAGTTTGATAAACCTTACTTTAGAATATTCCTTAGGCCTTCACAATTTCCTGTAGGATATAGGGTACACATCTTCCCATCCAATAGTGAGCACCTTAATGATATAAGCACATAATAATGATATATGCATCTCTTCATATCAGAGAGTGGAGCCAGTGCTTGGAAACCAACAACATCAATCAATGTTTCTTAATTCAAAGTGAACTGGAACCTGGTAAGCTTTAAACAGTGGAGTAATAGCCACCCTGGAGTAAGAACAAGTCAATGCATATTCAATATAAAATGTATTTTTTTCTTCTTTTTTCTTTTCCCCATCTAAATTCTACTGTTTTCACCTTTGTGACTGGATTACATTTGAATTATAGCACCAAGAAGAACAACGATGAAGAAAAATAACTAAATCACCATTCTTAAGTCCAATATCTGGACATGACAATACATGTGGGTATATATGCATTATATATGCATGCATTATGTATGTGTGCATAACATTCTATCTATACATGTTAAAATCAATACAATCGAAGTATTTATATTTGGTAGAATTTTTTTTACAAAAACATATCATAATAATTATCTCAAGTCCCTATATAGACAAATAACTTCAACCTAACATTTATCTTTTATTTGTTTAAGCATGATAGGTGACCAAGAAATATTTTTGAATGGGCAACAATCATATATTTTACTCTAATCTTGTTTGTAATGCTGCAGAATTTTTCATTAATATGTAGATATTTAATTTAAAAATTAACAAATTTCATCTGTTAAAATTATGTCCATATTGATAAATGTGTTTATTCCAATGTTTTTTCATTCATTTTTCAATACTTACTATATTAATGTATTAACATAAAATCATAAAAAGGTCAAAATATTTGTCAAAATTTAAGACTTTTATAGGCCTTGATAAATTTGCAGATGGGCTGGAATTTGAATGAAGGCAAAACAAATGATCAGCCTGCTCTATTTCCAACCAAATATATGAAATAAGGGATATTCATTGTTTCATAAATTTTGGAGTGAGAACCCAGGTAGAATTTGAGAAAGAAAGAAAATAGGCCATTTCCTTATGACTTGGTAGAACACTCTGATGAAAGGAGTCCACCAAATCAATTCAGTTCATCCCACATTTATCGAGTTACTAGTATGTAAGTCTTTGGCTTTGATTTTACTCAAATGAGCTTATATTCTGGCTGAGCAGAGTCCATGCAAGAAATCAAATAACCCAACCCAATCTATGAGGCCAGTGTTACCCTGATACTAAATTCAGACAAAGATATTACAAGAAAATAAAACTATGGACCACTACCTGTTATGAATGATGATGCAAAAGTCCTCAATAAAAGAGTAGCAAACTGAATCTAACCATATGAAAAGAAACATATACCATAATCAAGTCGGATTTATCCCAATAATGCGAGATTTGTTTAACCTGTGAAAATCATTTTATGGAATGCACCACATCAGTAGAACAAAGAACAATAGCCACATAAATATCCCAATAGATGCAGGAAGAGCATTTTACAAACCCAATGCCCATTATTGATAAAACCACCACCACAACAACACTCAACAAACCAGGAATAGAAGGTAGCTTTTTCATCATAATAAAGGGTGTCTATGGAAACCCTACATGTAACATAATACTTAAAGATCAAAGACTGAATGCTTTCCCCTTAAGATCAGGAACAAGACATGAACGTCTGCTTTTTTCAATTCCATTTAGCATACTAGTGAAGGTTCTAATAAGGGCAATTAGATGGAAAAAAATAGCATTCAAATTTGAAAATAAGTAAAATTGTCTGTATATACAGGTGACATGATCTCGTATATAGAAAAATCTTATGAAATTCACAAGAGAACTATTAGGGATAATAAATGAATTTAGCAAGTTTACAGGATATACAAATATCAGTTGTATTTCTTTATACTAGAGATGAAAAATCCAAAATAAAATTAAGAAAACAATTCAATTTATAATTATATTAAAAATAGTAAAATGTTTAGGAATAAATTTAACAAAAGAAATATAAAGCTTATACTCTGAAAACTATAAAAACTTGTTGAAAATACTAAAGAAGATTTAAATGAGTGGAAAGAAAGCCTGTGCTTATGGATTGAAACCCCTAATATTTTAAGATGCCAATTTATTCAAACTGATCTACAGATTCAACACAATCTTAGCTTCCATTTCGGAAGAAATTGACAAGAAAATCCTAAAATTCATGTGGAAATGCTGGGATGTCAGAATAGCCAAAACAGTCTTGAATAAGAGAAAAGCTGGAGGACTCACTCCTTCCAGTTTCAAAACTTGCTGCAAAAGTAGTGTGGTACAGGCATAAGAAGAGACACAAAGATCATTGAAACAGAACTGGGATTCCAGAAATAAACCATTACATATATGGTTAATTGGATTTTAACAAAGGTGTCAATACAATTCAATGGGGAAATAATTATATTTTCAATAAATGGTGCTGGGACATCCTGATATCTATCCACATACAAAAGCATGAATTTGGACACCTTCCTCACACCAAACACAAAAATACTCATAAACTTAAATGTAAAACCTAAAATTATGAAACTCTTTTAGGAAAACTTGGGAGTAATCTTCTTGGATAAAACACCAAAAAATGCACAAGTGACAGATAAATTGGACTTTATAAAAATTAAAATCTTTTGTCCTTGAAAAGACATCATCAGTGAAAATATATGGCTATAATTAAAAAGACAGATAATAACGTGGTGGTAAAATATAGAGATATTAGAATCCTTATGAATTGCTGGTGGGAATTTAAAATGATGAAGTGAATTGGGAAAATAGTTTGACAGTTCCTCAAAAGGTTAAACATGGAGTTATCACAGTACCCAAAAATTTCACTCCTATGTATATACACTAAAGAAATGAAAACGTAGGTCCATACAAAAACTTGTGCGTGGATATTCATAGTAGCACTATCCATAGTAGCAAAAATGTGTAAAGAACTCAAATTTCTGCCAAATGTTTAATAAATAAATCAAATGTGCTCTATCCATAAAAGACATAAAAGAGAATATTATTACACCATAAAAATGAATGAAATATGGATATATCTTAAAACTTGAATGGATTTTACTATGCTGAGTAAATAAAAGCCTGTCGCAAAAGACCATGCATTGTAAGATTCCATTTTTATGAAAGATCTTAACTGGGCAAATGCATAGGAACAGACAAGTAGCTTAGTGATTGCTTATGGCTGGATAAAGATGAGGAGAAATAACTGACTGCTAATGGATACAGGATTCCATTTGGTTGTAATGAAAATGTTCTAATATTGATAGTGGTAATGGTTGTACAGCTCTGTAACTATATGGAAACTATTGAATTATTTACTTTAAATGAATAAGTTGTAAGCTGCATAAATTATATCTCAATAAATCTATTAACAATTTTTTCAGTCAAATAAGTCAAGAAATAAATAGACTATAAGAATGGTGGGGCCAACTTATCAAATAAAAATCATAATCACCATTGAAGGTCAGAAGAAAAAGAGAGGAAGAAGAAGAGAGAAAACAAGAGGGAAGGAGAGCCCTAGAGAGAGAAGGTGCACCTATTACACCCAAATAGTAACTTAGGGAAGTGATTCATCCTTTTGTTTTTCTCTGAGGTTCATAGTGAGGCTAGAAGCAAAAGCCCTAATTCATTTCCATTTTCCAAAATGTGCCTTTGAGCCTATTATAACCTTTGTGCATTAAAGGATCAGTGCAAGAAGTCTGCCCATAAATGATGACTTCATGGCACTACCAACAGTATTCACATACCTGGGTATCAGAAAGTAAATGAAGTGTCTGGAGGAAACACAGTGTAGCCTTTCTCAGGGAAAGAATTTGAAACTCTTTTTTAGGCTGTGGTATGGACATCCTACTCTAGCATAGCAGAGTGCAAGATAAACTGATCACACTGAGCCAAAATGGGGCCCCAAGGAACAATTCCTATCTATCTCTGGAACAAATGTTAAAATGAAAATTGGTCAATAGAATATGTAGACCAAAACAAGACTTTGGTCCATGCCCCTGAGAGGAAAGATGCCTAAAATTATTCTAGACCTGGAGCCATTCATTGGGGTCTCTATTCTCTGAGCCTTATTACTACTGGATCCTCAATATAACGGTGCACTGCACCCCACCCTCCACCCCAGAGAATTTTTTTTATTGCTGTTTAAAATTGTGCACAATTAGGCCCACGCATATTCTTCCTGAGAGGTTGTTTACATTAGCCTCCAGATACCATGGACCTAAAATATATCTGGACCCAACATAACGAGAACTTCTATGCCAACAGTCCTGTTTGTGTGGCAAGAACTCCTAGGTATCACTTCTATGAGATACCTTCTACTTCTGCATTTTCTACGGGATTTCTGGTTCTCTCCTCTGGGGAATGCTGCAGTACTAAAGAGAATGACAAGTCTGAGATCCCTTGGGCCTGAAATACTGGTGGTTAGAGTCTGGAGACATCTGACAATAGTGAGGGAGACAGGAGTGGCTGAGTCTAGAGGGCCTGAAGCAGAAGGAAAGACCTCTAGAAAGGAAAAATGATTCCTCACCTTAGGTGAGTGAGTTAGGAAAAATGACTAACAGCACAGAAGGATGCCCCATCCCTCAGCAAAGAGCACACCTAGGAAGGCCTTGTTGTCATCAGGACCTCTCAGTCCCCATGTGAGAGAGGCTCTGAACAAGCGCTGCATTTGGTTCTCACACCGGGTCTTGCCCATCTCCCTGCGGTCATATGAGGAGAGTTCCTTTCCAAGAATTCTACAGTTTCTCTTTGTGCACTTCTCCCCTCTTACCCCCAAACACACACACCCCAATCCCTGATGAGACTGAAGGACCTGCCATGCTGGGCTCTATGGGCAGGCCTCAGAGCAATGCTACCCTCTTCCTCATGACCCCAGGAAGAAGACAGACCTGCATGTTTCTGTCAGAGTCCCTTGGCCATTCTCTCTGCTTCCTTGAGTTGAGCTCTTGGGACCACATTAGCTAATGTGGTACTGCAGGCCTGTTTGGTGGTGTATTGGAAGTCAGTAAAAAAGTTTGTCAAGAACATGAGCTCTGGAGTCAGTCTGCTTGATTTTGAACTCCAGCTCTGCTACTTCCTAGCTGAGAATCTAGCTAAATTGCTTTGCCCCTCTGCACCTAATTTCCACAACTACCTAAAAGAAATAGTAACTATACCAGTATTATTATGGTGAGATAATACATGCAAACTACATAGCATAGTTCTTGACATACAGTAAATGTTCAATTAATCTTAAATATTAATGTTATAGGTCTGCTAGCAAGTGCTCTGATTCTCATATACACATCATATTTTAATGGTGGTATGTGACCAGACTGATGTGTTTGGAGAAAGTTCTGAAACCATAAACTGGAGAGTTCAGTCCAAATTATTACACTAGTCCCTCTGCTCAGAAGCAATTACACACATATGAAGCCTGTCTGTTCCCAACTCCAACTATAAAATGCAAACGGGAGCCAAGGGATAAAGTATTACATCTGTTGGAGGGCTTGAGGATGTTTTATAGCAGATTAATCAAAGTCATTGAAGTGATTCTTTCTCTAGACATCAGCATTTTGGTCCTTTAGTTTCTTGTGAGATACAAACGTGACCAATACTGTAATCTAATTAATTGCTCTGTGCACAAACACTAATTGCAAAGAGATAAAGTTTAATACTAGCTGTATACGGGGCGTTAAGCAGCCAGCTAGTTTTTGAAAGGAGAAAAAAAGGAACTCATTTCTTGGAAAGGAAGATGAAACAATAAAAGTGATTGGATATAAGCTAGTAAAATCCATCAGGATAAAACATACCCTTGTTTTCTTACCTTTTTGATGAGATTGCTGTGTGATTCATGCATCTCATCTTTGCAGGGACATTAGAATTGTGACAAACATCCAGCTGTATATTTTGTTCTGTGAATGAAGGTCAAGAGTATTATTTAAGCTGGGTGTGGAACACCTGTATTACCAAAGGTTTCATCTACAATGCATAGACCTTAGCCCCTATCCTGGAATAATTTTTAAATAGGGATCTCTCAAACCTGGTTGAGGAATATTTTTCTTACTCCAAGTTTTGTTTGATTTTGCATTTAAACACAATCTAATACCTAACAGGTGCCTGTCATAATTTCTGACACACAAAGTACTCAATAAATACTTGCTAAATGAATGAATGAAAAATGAGAATAACGGCGTGGTTAGGAAAGACAGAGTATACACACTATGAAGGGTCAAGAAGAAGATTTTACATATGAATGAAAGTATACACAGTTCACTTCACAAGTAAGCAAAAAGACATTGACTATGTTATTGGAAACTGCAGAAGAATGACTGGCCAACTACACATTTCTATCAGTACCTCTTTCTACTGACTAATGTTATACATTTCAGTTAAAACCTTATGCCTGGGTAAAGGTCAGGCATAGTAGCTCATGTTTATAATCCCAGCACTTTGAGAGGCTGAGGTAGGAAGATCGCTTGAGGCCAGGAGTTTTAGTGCAGCCTGGGCAACATGGTGACAAGACCCTGTCTCTACAATTTTTTTTTTTTTAAACAGCCATGCATGGTAGCATGTGCCTGTTGTCCCAGCTACTCAAGAGGCTGAAAAGCAGAAGGATCTGTTGAGCAGGAATTCAAGGTTACAGTGAGCCATGATTGTCCCACTGTACTCCAGCCTGGGTGACAGAGGAAGACTCTGTTTCAAATAAAAAACAAAAACAAAAATAAGACTGCCCTTAGGAGAAAACGCATAAATAAATTGCATGTGTAACTACCTCCAAAGGAAAAGACTGACCACATTAATTCCACATTTTAAAGGTCTGAAGACTGCTTCTGCAAATGAGGCAACCAATAGATCAGCTTTGCTAGAGGAAGGATGGTGTGATGCCTGCAATGTGGGTCTATCTAGGTGGGCAGAATTGGGGAGCACCGAGTGGGGGTTTGTAGCAGTAGTAGAATAGTATGAGATCACTGAGCACCTCAAGATGGGAGAAAGGGTCAACTCTGAATTGAAGATTAGGGATGTGGGAAGTTGCTGACTTTTAAGCGACTGTCACCGGGGGACGCACTATCTTTTAAGTACAGTGAGTGGACATCTTTTGTTACTATTTCACATTCTGACCAATAGTGACAGGTGATTGTAGAGCATTAGCACCAAACAAGTCCTTAGAAATCATTTAAGTTAATCACCTCTTTTTTTTTTTTTTTTTTTTTTGAGACGGAGTCTAGCCCTGTCGCCCAGGCTGGAGTGCAGTGGTGCGGTCTCGGCTCACTGCAAGCTCCGCTTCCCGGGTTCACGCCATTCTCCTGCCTCAGCCTCCCGAGTAGCTGGGACTACTGGCGCCCGCCATCACGCCGGGCTAATTTTTTGTATTTTTAGTAGAGACGGGGCTTCACCGTGTTAGCCAGAATGGTCTCGATCTCCTGACCTCGTGATCCGCCCGCCTCGGCCTCCCAAAGTGCTGGGATTACAGGCGTGAGCCACAGCGCCCGGCCAATCACCAACTAAGTAATTTGGACAGAGTCATACTTAAGGCACTGGTGACTAGAGCTTCCTACTGTTGGGCTTTTTTAGTTAATCAACATATGCAAGTTATAATTCCTGTGCTTTCTTTATTCCTCAAATTTCACAAGTATGAAAATTTAGGATTTCCAAGCTGAGGTGTAAATCACCTAATGTTCACCACTCTGTGGCCCAATCTGAGCACAGATGGCCACTCTAAAGAAATACACAAGTCTAAGAACCAGAGAAAATGAAGAACAATTATGTTATTCAGTTACTCAGAAAAAGACATTAGTAACATTCACCAATCTTAAAAATATTTTTTTCTGGAAGTCTTACTCATTATAGAATATCTGCCCCCAGTCTCTCTTCCACTTTCTCTAATTTACTTCAAGTTCTCCAGGCTATGCTGGCTTTAACTATCTCAGTTTCTCAATTCTGCATTGATTTATATCTTTAACGAGAGAAAAAAATCCTTTTAGTTTTCTAAAAATTGGTTGCAGCACCCAAGTTTCTTTAAATCCTTCTCCTCACCTGTTAGTTCCTATATGGACAACAACACCCAATAAGTGCATGGGCAAAGACAAGATTTCTTCAGTAGTCTTGAGAAGAGGAAGAGTCTGTTAATAATCTGAGGTTACGTGATAACCAGTGACATTAATGGAAGAAACATAAGAGTGGTTTAAATGTATGTAGGAAAAGCATATAAAATAATTCAGCACTTAGGTTCAATTTAAAAATGAAAGGTCTTAATGAAAAATTTAAAAGTGAACTGTCCAAACTATAAATATTTTCAAAAACCTCCATAATGAAGAAATCTTAGAAACATTTTGTCGAAGTTAGGAATATACCAAATATTTTATTATCACCATTGCTCTTAAGCATAATATTGGAAGTTCCGACTAATACAGTGAAACCCCCAACAAAGTGCAACATAGTCTAAGTACTTGAAAATAAGAGATAAAACTCCTGTAATTTGCATATATTATGATCCTTTATACAGAAAACTCAAAAGAATAAACAGGCTATTGGATACATTAGATAAAATGATGAAAAGTAAAATACCAACATAAATAAATCAATAGTATCTTTATACTGGCAATTACTGATTAGAAAATGTACCTAAAAGAAGATAGCATTTATGAAAATAAAAATGCAAAGTATAAAGCAATTGACTAATAAAAATGTGAGAAATTTTATGGAGAAAATTATAAAGTGTTATTGAAGGACAGAAGAGAACTGAAGCAAAGGAGAAATGTACCAGATTTGTGGAAATGAGTGTTAAAAATTATAGTGGGCCATTGTTTTGGATCAAGCTTCTGTACTAGGCACCAGCAGACCAAACTAAAAATCAAAGTGGAATTACACATGCTAAAGTTTCTAAGGAAAACTAAGTTGTTATCAGACCTTTAGAGAAATCAGGAGCCAGAGATAGCCAATCTCCTAATTAGACCAGTTTAAATCATCAATCTGTATGATAACAAAATTCTCTCATCTTACACAAATATGGTAGCCTGAAGTAACCTGATGTTAACCAATCAGTTATTTTTCTATTGTTCTTTCTCCTTGTTCCTGCCTTACAAGGAAAGTATTATAACTTTGAAATAATCAATCTGCTTTTTGTTCTTTGTTTCTGCATTCTTCAGTCCTTTTTCTGTCTATAAAGCCATACTCCTCTGCTGGATTCATTGAAACACTTTTTATTTTACAAAATGAACTGATACCCAATTCTAGAATTGTAATAAAGCCAATTGAGATTTTTAAACTAAATTTGTGTAATTTTGTTTTTTGACTGAGGATTTAATATTAAAAATCTATCAGTTCTTCCCAAGTTAATCCAAATATGTAGTACAACTCCAGTTGAAACTTGAGGGAGTGGGTAGGTGGAATCACACAATATGATTATAAAATGCACATAAAAAAGCAAAGATTCAAGAAGAGAAGAAAAAAATTCTCAAAAAAAGTTGTGATATGTTAAAACATATTGCAAAGCCAAGGTAATTAAAACAGTGTAGAAATGGGTCACAGAGAGAGAAATAGACCAAGAGAACAGTCTGGAGAATACAAAAATATACTCATATATATAAAACTTCCTGTTTGATAAAGGAGACAATATAGGGCAGCAGGAAGGAGATTGATAGGCAAGATCCAGAAGGCTGTTTTCAATATGGAGAAAACTAAAATTAGATTGTATCTGAAAGAGTAAATAAAAATAATTTCCTGGTAGATTAAAAATAAAAATATTAAAGGTAAAACTTCAAAATCATTTGAAGAAAATATGCAATAGAGAAGGAAAATAATTTCTTGAACAAAACCTCAAGAGCAAAAAAAAAAAAAACCATAAAATGAAACATTTAGTGGATTTGAAAATGTCAAAATTAGGTGGTAACTGGTTATCCATATGCAGGAGAATGAAACCAGACTCCCACCTCTCACCCTATACAAAAACCAGGTCAAAATGGATCAAAGACCTAAATGTATGACCTGAAACTATAAAACTTCTAGAAGACAAAACAGGGGAAATGCTTCCGGACATTGGTCTGAAAAAAGGCTTTATGAATAAGAGCTCGAAAGCACAGGGAACAAAAGCAAAAATAAACAAATGGGAATATATCAAGCTAAAAATCTTCTGCACTGCAAAGGAAACAATCCACAGAGTGAAAAGACAATCTACAAAATGGGAGAAAGTATTTGTGTTAATATCCAGAATATACAAGAAGCTCAAACATCTCAACAGCAAAAAAACAAATAATCCAATTTAAAAATGGACAAATGGGCTGGGCGCTGTGGCTCATGACTGTAATCCCAGAAATTTGGGGGGCTGAGGTGGGTGGATCACCTGAGGTCAGGAGTTTGAGACTAGCCTGGCCAACATGATGAAACCCTGTCTCTGCAGAAAATAGAAAAAATTAGCCAGGCATGGTGATGGGCACCTGTAATCCCAGGTACTCAGAAGGCTGAGGCAGGAGAATCACTTGAACCTGGGAAGCTGAGCTTGCAGTGAGCCGAGATCATGCCACTGTACTGCAGCCTGGGCAACAAGAGCAAAACTCAATCTCGAAATAAATAAAAATGGACAAATCATCTGAATAGACATTTCTCAAAAGAAGACATCCATATGGCCAATAAATATATCAAAAAAATGCTCAACATCATTAATCATCAGAGAAATGAAAATGAAAATCACAGTGAAGTGTCATTTTACACCAGTTAGGATGGCTATTATCAGAAAGAAAAAAAACAAATGTTGGTGAGGTTATGGAGAAAATCAAACTCATACACTGTTCATAGGAATTTAAACTAGTTAAGTCATGATGAAGAACAGTATGGAGGTTCCTCAAATTCTACAAATAGAACTACCATATGCTTCAGCAATCCCACTACTGGGCATGTATCCAGAGGAAAGAAAATCAATATATTGAAGAGACTTCTGTACCCCCATGCTTATTGCAGCCTAATTTACAATAGTTAAAATAGGAAATCAACCTAGGTGTCCAACAACAGATGGGTAAAGAAAAGGTGATATATATACACAATAGAATACTATTCAGCCATAAAAAGAATAAAATCCTGTCATTCACAGCAACATGGACATTGCTGGAGGACATTATGTTATGTGAAATAAGCAAGGAACAGAAAGTTAAACACCACATGTTCTCACTCATATGTGGAAGCTAAAAAAGTTGATCTCATAGAAGTAAAAAGTAGAATAGAGGATACTAAAGGTAGAGGAAAAGGAAGGATAGATTTGTTAAAGGATACGAAATTACAGCTAGATCGGAGGAGTAAGTTCCGGTGCTCTATAGCACTGTAGGAAGACTATAGATAACAATAATATCTGATATAATTTCAAATAGCTAGAAGGAGGATGTCGAACATTCCCAGCACAAAGAAGTGATCGACATTTGAGATGATGGATATGCTCATTACCCTGATCTGATCCCTATACATTATATGTATCAAACTATCACTGTGTAACCATAAATATGTACAATTATTATGTGTCAGTTTAAAAAATAAAATAAATGTTAGAAAACCAAAAAATTATTAAGTATTAAATAGTTATGGAGTGGGAGAAGAAATTATCATATGTATGACTAAAAAAGGATTAATATCTAGAGTATATCTTATGCCTACAAATCAGCAAAAGAAACATAGTAATCTCAACAGAAAGCTGAGGAAACTATGAATGGGATTCCACAAAAGGCAAAACCAGAATGGCTAATGCACATGTAGAGATGTCTTATCTCATTAGTTATCAAAAACCTGCAATTCAAAATAATGTTAATACATCATCTTATAGCCATTTGCCTGGCAAAAATTAAAGTCAGATGAAAACAGGTTCTGGTGAGAATGTTGAAAACACTGGACTTGAAAACTATTATAGTTATTCTGGAGAGCCATTTGGAAGTATGTAATAAAATTAAATATGCACATTTCAAATACTAGATATGGAAAAATTCTCACACAGATACCCAGAGGTATGCATAAATGGGGCAAAAATATTGCTTTCAGCATTGTCTGCAATACCTAAAATTTAAAACAGCCTGTGTCCACCAAAAGTGTGTTATATTAGAAGGATGGAGTGTTATTCATCAGTCAAAAGAAATGTTCTAAATTGCCTTTTTTAATTTTATTTTTTAATTAACAAAAATTATGTGTATTTATGGTACACAACATGCTTTGATATATGTATACATTTTGAAATGTCTAAATCAAACTAATTAGTATATGCATTATTTACATACATTTTTTGTGACAACACAACATCTATTTAGTAATTTTCAAATATATAATATATTGTTCTTAACTGTAGTTGTCATGATGTACAATAGATCCTTTGAACTTACTCCTCCTGTCTAACTGAAATGTTCTGCCTTTTGACCAAGAATCCCTCAATCCCTTAGTACCATTTTACTTTGCTTGAGTGAGTTCAATTTCTTTAGATTCTGCAGTTAAGTGAGATAAAAAGGTGATTATCTTCCTGTGCCTGATGTGTTTGACTTAACATAGTGTCCTATGGGTTTAATCCATGTTGTCGTAAAAGACAAGATTGCCTTTTTTTTTTTTTTTTTGAAATGGTGTCTCGCTCTGTTGCCCAGGCTGGAGTGCAGTGGTGCGATCTCAGCTCACTGCAAGCTCTGCCTCCCGGGTTCACGCCATTCTCCTGCCTGAGCCTCCCAAGTAGCTGGGACTACAGGTGCCCGCCACCATGCCCAGCTAATTTTTTTGTATTTTTAGTAGATATGGGGTTTCACCGTGTTAGCCAGGATGGTCTCGATCTTCTGACCTCGTGATCCACCTGCCTCAGCCTCCCAAAGTGCTGGGATTACAGGCATAATCCACCGCACCCGGCCAAGTGCCTTGTTTCTTAAGGCTGAATACTCTCCCAAAGAAATGTTCTAAATTTCTATCTATCTATAGATTGATCTATGTTAACCTATATTGACAGGTGGATAGAGAGATGTCAACATTGGTAGGTTTCAGAAAAAGTCATGTGTGGAATAGTCAGAATTCTTTATATAAAATAATATCTATGTAAGCAATAATGTAAATTAACTGTGGGTAGCTACTGGGGTAAGATCGAGAAAGCAAAAAGAGTGTAGAATATAATAAAACATTGAAAAGATACCATACCATGCACAGATTAATAAAGGTAGTAACACAAACTCTAGGATCAGGATCAAATCTGCATCTGTGCACCTGAATTTACCTGTATACATGCAGAAATATATATATATATATATGTGTATATATATGTATATATGTATATGTATGTATATATGTATATATGTATATATATGTGTATATATATGTATATATATACACACACACGTATCTACATATATGCATATATACTCACGGAGATGTGTTTGTGTGTGTGTGTGTATATATATATTTGTGTGTCCTATAACAATTTTTAAACTTTTTTCCCAATTAAATATTCAAGTTTTGTTTTATAATCACTTGACATTTTCTTCCCTTCAATCCCTATGACTAGTAACCTGAAATGCACTGCTTTGCCTCTGTACACACAGAATTCCCCTTGTCACTATTATGTCCACTCCCACAAATTTTGTACAAAACCCCACTATAGTCTTTCCTTGTCATCTTGGTTTGTCACACTCAAGATAGTTTGGAATTCTCTACAAAGATGAAGATCTCATTGAATATTTTACTCTACAGTTTATGCATAAGGATGGCGGATAAGATCAGTTGGTATTCAATAAAACCCACTACTTTAGTCAGCAATTCATTTCTTCATGCCTCACTGTCCAGATCTTTTATGAGCCCAAGTGCCATATTAAAAAGAGTCTACATGTCTCCCTTATGACCAAAAACTCTGACAATGTCTATCTCTGGTTACCCAAAGTTTACTCCCAATTTGGCTTTGCTCAATTTTTCATCTTTATAACCACAATAGATACCTATTGAGTTCTTAGCAGACGTTTATTGAGTTCTTACAATAGTGCCATGTATTTTAACAGAAAAAGAACCATTGAGGGAGATCTTTTCCCTCATTCTATGAGGTACGCTTAATCCTTCGGTTTATGAGTCTGCAATCAAGGTATATTTGGCCACCTGGGATATCCTATTTGTCTGACAAGTGACTTCTCCTGGGGACATTAGTCTGCCTCACCTGGGTGAGCCTTGGAAATTCAATCCCTTAATGTAAGTGGAAACACCAGAGTGGAAATTGCATTAAAATCCAATGTATTTTTCTGTGATTCAACCAGTTTTAGAATACTAAGATACTGTTCTGGGATGGATACACCAGTTTCTTTGTTCCTTCTCTAGAGTTACATGTACTGTGAATAAATAAATGTAGTGAATTCTTATAACTTTATGTTGCCTTGGCATCCATTTTCAATATAAATTTAAGTTTTTCGTACCAGAAGCAGAATTTCAGTCACCCTTGACGCAGTTTCCAGTTTTCTACCTGCTCCCAGTTCCTCAGTGTGATCGATTTAGATATGTGCCTTATACAACCAGCTCCTAGTGACCACATCCGTAAAGGACAGCTAGATACATGCTACTTGACCTGCCCCACTGGCCCCCACACCCTGCATGGACTGCCAATATGTGCCACAGTGAGTGCTCCCAGTAGCAGCATACTCTACTGAGCTCAGACTGCTTGCTGTAAATCCACCAGTTAGAATGTCCTGAGGGAAATCTGCATGGGTAATGCTCTGGATCTCAGTGAAGACTTTGATCCATGAGTCTCTCTTATCTCTCTATCTTTCTCGCTCTCTCTCTTATTCTTCATCTGCTTGTTAAGTGTGTGTCCCAGGCATCCAGGCATTCCCTCAGCCCCCACTTCCCATTGGTCCTGTGAAGGCTGCAGCCCTCTTCTCCCTGGAATCTGTAAGTAATAAAATTGCTTCTGTAATTTCATGTGTTTTGTTGTGTGGTCTCCTCTGTGCCTTGCCTCATCAACACGGCTGAACCTAACCCTTTCCTCATCAGGGCTCTCCTAGAGAGTGACTGTCTTGGTAGAAAGAAGCTGAAGAGAAGTCAGACAAGAGCCATAAAGACATCTGACAGCATAAATAAGTTTCTTGTGAGAGGGACACTTGGTCATGAGTTGGACTTTTAGACATTAGGTTGTCCACCAGGATTAAGAAGTGCACCCTGAAAGACACGCTTGTAAATATACATGACCACCTCCCCTGGAGCTCATTAGGGCAGGGCAGGAATTGATAGCCCCTCTCCCAGTAGAGACTTCAAGACCAAAATAGAAATAACTGATGTTTACACAACAACAAAGTAGCCTGGAGTCAGAGGAACCTGGAGAGATTGTTTCGGGGTGTCCCTGGGATAGCGTGATGTAGTGCTTTTCTTAGCCCACACCTCATTCACAAGGCCCCACTTCAGGACGTGGATCCTGGGTCAGAACCTCCAGTTTCTATTCCATCAGAGTGTGAGTTGAAGACCTTGTGTTGAGGATGAGACAAGGTTGATTTTCCAACCTTGTTTTGTCTCTGTTTTCAAACTGTGTTCTTGGACTGTAAACTGAAAATAATAATAACAACAATGCCTGTCTCCTGCAGTCAAAAATCAGCATAGCATCCTATGTAGAAGACTGGGCACAGATTCATTTGGTCCTAGAACAAACCTGAGACTTGCTTTACTAATTATGTTTTTGTGGTCAAGTTGGTTAACTTCTCTTTATGTTTTATTCTTATCTGAAAAGCAAGGATAATTTAAAAATACCTATATTCTGTGTGGTTGTGAGGCTGAAATTAAATTGGTCAAGTAAATCTGTTAACAGAGGTCCTGACATGTAATTAGAGTTCAACAAATGTTGGCAAATTTTATTATTATGGTTGTTGAAAAATTTGAAATGATAGCTATTTATGCAAATCACTGAGCTTTATGCCTGGTGCCGAATAGACACTCAATTCATATTAGTTCCCTTCTTTCTCAGCAAGCAGAAAATCTAGATCTAATTTGCATGGTACTTGAAAGGGTACTTTCTCAAAAAACAGTCCTGTCTTAAGGAATTACAGTCACATTTGTCAGTAGGTTTCTAGACAACCCTCTCAAGATACCTCAATCTTCATTAAGAAGACAGCTAATATTTCTTGGTCAGGAAAAGATAGCTGAAACTCTCTAAAGAAAAGACTAAAGAAGTAGGTTAAACACGTCAGAACTCTGTTCTGCCTCTCCCACATTCCTTGCAGCTACTCTTTACTCAAGTGACAGAGGGGAAAGGTGTCTGATATTTTATAAGTGAACAGAGCTGGTCTAGTTTGACCTTAAACACTGAGAAAGGCAAATGGCCACTCCAAGCAAAAGGAGCAGGGATGCTTCCCAGTATTGCCAAGGAGAGAATGAATAGGAGGAACCTGAGCCAGAGATGGAGAGAAGAGAGGAATGGGAAATGTGAGAGGTAGGCATTGTTATCATGACTCTCAGAGATGTAGAGTTTGATGTCACTAAGTCTTTTCAAATAAACTCCCTCTTCAAGTCAAGGGTTCTTTTATTTATTTATTTATTTACTTATTTATTTATTTATTTGTTTATTGAGACAGAGTCTCTCTCTGTCACCCAGGCTGAAGTGCAGTTGTGCAGCCTCGGCTCACTGCAACCTCCGCCTCCCAGGTTCAAGTGATTCTCCTGCCTCAACCTTCTGAGTAGCTGGGATTACAGGAGCCCGCCACCACACCCAGCTAATTTTTTTGTATTTTTTGTAGAGACAGAGTTTCATCCTGTTGGCCAGGCTGGTTTCGAACTCCTAAACTCAAATATGATCCACCCGCCTCAGCCTCCCAAAGCAGTAGGATTACAGATGTGAGCCACTGTGCCCGGCCCAGAGGTTCTTATTTCATGAGAAAGTCCAGATCTCACAGCTCTGACTCCAAGGGAGCCAGGTGAGGGATGACTCTCATAGTCTCCTATTGGGAAAGCTTCACAGGGATTATATTCTGACTGTACTCAAGGGGAGACAGGGGAGATAGGGGGGATGAGAGGTGGGTAGTGGGGCAATATGGTATATGCCAGGTGATGAACAGAGAGAAAAATAATCTGTAAGTGTTGGAATGGAGTCCAGAGACATTAGCAGCGAACGTAGGAGCATACAGCACTGGATCATTACCAAAAATCCTGTAGTCCACTCCAGGTTCCTTCTGCCTAAGACCATGGCTTGGGCCAACAGTAATCATCTTATCTGATCCTCTCCTTACAGAGAAAGTCAGGGCCCTCAAGCACAAGAGCTCTACACAGTAACCAGTCAAGAGTCAGCTTGGCCTTGGACATCTGCTCTTACATTCATTTAAGGAGTATCTGTAAACTGTGTTATATATATATCAGATTCTATGCCAGGGGTGGCAAATTTAATGGTGAATGAATCTCTGCCTTCGTAGTGTAGAAGGCCTGTATGGAATTGGAAAATCTTATAAAGACATGATAAGGGAGGTTCAAAAGGAGAGATATGGACAAGGTTTATTGCAACACAGAACAGGGGACTCAACACAGTTTAGACAGAAGAGAGAAAAGAAAAAGTAATTTCAGAAAAGGCATCTTGTAATATGGAATGTGTCAGCTAAGTCCAAATTCAAGTGAAGTTGATTAGGGGGTCATAGGATGGCATTTCAGAAAGAGAAAAGAGAGCAAAGCAGTCAAAGAGGTCAGGAAAAATGTTACACAAGAAATGGTGTTGGCACAGGTCAAAGTGTGAGACAGAGAGGAACCAAAAATACACCTGGAGAGGCAAGATGAAAGACTCGAACTTCATGCAAAGGGAGTGAAGAGTCACCAAATGATTTTAGCAGAAGACTGACATAAGATTTACATATCAGAAAGATCTCTCTAGCAATAATGAGGAATACAGATAGAAGGAGGGCATAGCTGAAATCAGAAAGACCAAATAGAAGAGTATCACAGTGGTTAGTGGAGAAATGATGAGAGTCTGAACTAGTTAGAAATGGGAGAATTTTTTAAGAAATATAAGATTTAATGAAACTTAAGAAATTTAGGAGTTAAAGTCTTCAGGTTTTAGGTGGTTGGGTGGAAGAAATTTGTGATAGTGCATCAATTGAGGTGGAGAATGTAGAAAGAATTTTTTCAACAGTATACTGATGTGGTTGCCATTTATAAACCAGTCTTCCCTCAGTAAATGAATTCTACATGATCCTTCCCCATTGGAGAGAGAAGAAAGTGGTGTAACTTCTTCTTTAGGGTCTCTGAGATCCAGGAGGATTCTATGGTCTATTGTTAAAAATACATATTTCCATATCTATACAATGGCATATTATTTAGGTATAAAAAGAAATGTGCCATGAAAAGAAATGGAGGAAGCTTAAGGTAAGTAAAAGAATCCCATCTACAAAGTCCATACCCTCCATGATTCCAGCTCTATGGCATTCTGGAAAAGGCAAAACTATGGAGACAGGAAAACATCACTGGTTGCCGGGGTTTGTGGCAGAGATGGGGAAGAAGGGATGAGTAGTTAGAGCAGGGGGAATTTTAGGGCAACGACACTATTCTGTATGATTACTGTATGAATCTGTATGATATTGGTAGATACATGTCTTTTTACATTCTTTGAAATCTGTTAGTGATGTATCAATATTGGTTCATCAATTGTAACAAATGTATTACACTAATGCAAGATATTAATAACAGTGGAAACTGTGTGTTGGCAGTTATACAGCAACTCTGTCCTTTCCATTCAATTTTTCTGTAAATCTAAAACTTCCCTAAAAATAACTTCTATTAATTTAAAATGCATATTTTCACCTACATCTGTTTCTAATTTATGGATAATAGTTAGCATATAGTAGCCTCAGCTCAATCCCAGTGTGACTTTATTCAAATATGAAAAGCACAGACCACTTAGAATTTTGCTTAAGGTCTGGAAAACTTTTTCAACCATTAGAGTCAATAAATCCTCAGTGTGATTGATTATTTATTATTAGGTCAGAAGTTTACCTTGTATACCTATTGCTGTGTCCACAGAACCCGAAGACTCAGTTACTATTTCTTCCCTACACACCTCATATTTGCTGCTTTGTGCATTATGATCCCCAGGATAAAAGCAGGGACAATTTATTTAGTTTGGGATTTTTAATTTCTCCCATCACCGGTTTGGCAGAGGGCTTTGAAAGAGAACAACCTCTTAGAATCGGGAAAGGAGAATTAATCTATAAAAATTCAATTAACCTGTACAATGCTTGTTGAGTCCTCATGGAACTTAATCAGAGTTTTCTTAACTTATTAGCCGCTTCACCTATTTTGCATCTTGTAGCCTATGACGCTGGCACTAAACAATCAGAATAATGCTGACAGGTTAAACAAACTAATAAACTAAATCCAAGGATTAGACTCTTCCATCACTTGCAGAAGACATCCAAATAAATCTCACCTGTGAGTTCCAATAGCAAGACTCTGAGAGCTGGTGGGCTGTCAGGACAGGCCATCACACCCTGCCTGACTCAGGAATCCACAAAGCAGGTTATTGCCTACTCCACTCCTGACTTGCTGTATCCACTTGGGGAAAGCTCCAGACGATACTAAACCTATGAGTTGAAGCTTGGGGACCCCATTTAATGAAGTTTATCTCAGACTTAGCATTCTCAATAATGAAGGAGAATACTTAATGATGATAAATTGTTCTAAGCTCTTCAAATGAAGAGCTAAGAGATCTGAATGGAATTAGGAGCTGTTTGGATAAGTTATTCAGGGATTCCAAGCTCAGTGTCTTCTCTAATCAGATAAAGGCTGAACAGTTAAAGGCTGTTTAGCAACCAACTATGCATCAGACACAGATTTGTGGGGAACATATTTGAAAGAAAAGAAGGTAGATTTAGTTTTGAATATTTAGGGCTTGTGATGCCTAGAGAATGTTCAAGTGGAATGCCCAGCGGGCAGACAGATTTGCAGCTCTGGAGAGATTTTTGACTTGGGGATAAGATTTGGGGACATCAGTGTCTAAGGGGGAGTTGGACCTTTGGGTATAAAAGAGGGATTATGTATATAGAGAAAAGAAGAGTGAATTAAGGAAAGAACTTAAGGAATGTGGAATTGGGAATTTAATTAAAGAAGAGCAGGAAGGAGACTCCTGAAGAGAGGTTGAGATGGAACCATCAGAGTTAGAAGAATCAATGAATGACATCAAATAACCCAGATTTTTGGGGGGTGATGCGCAAATGTTGTAGCGGTGATGTATAATTTGGATGCTTGTCCCTTCCAAATCTCATGTTGAAATTTGATCCTGAACATTGGAGGTGGACCTGGTGGGAGGTGTTTGGGTCAAGGGTCTGATTCCTCATAAGTGGCTTGATGCTGCCTTGCAGTAATAAATGAACTCTTTCTCTATTCGTTCCTGAGAGATCTGATTGTTAAAAGGAGCCTGGCATCTCCACCTATCTCTCTTGCTCCCACTCTCTCCATTTGACATGACTGCACCCCCTTTGCCTTTTGCCATGAATAAAAGCTTCCTGAGATCCTTACCAGAAACAGATGCCCATGCCATGCCTATGAAGCCTACAGAACTGTGAGCCAAATAAAAGTCTTTTTAAAATAAATCACTCAGCCTCAGGTATTTCCTTTATAGCAATGCAAAATGGGCCAAGACATGTGGTACCATAAATGATAATGACGCATTGGTTTAGAAATAATGATGCCTTGACTAAACTCTGGAGAACCAATTGCACAAAATGTTGGAAGTTTAAAACAGATTTTACAGATTTGGAGATCAAATGAGAGATAGATGAGTAACTATTTGCAGTTATTTGTTTCCAATGAGTGTGGATAATCTGCCTCAGAATTTGACTTCAAGAGAAAAGGAGAAAAAGTAAAGAGTAAAAATCAAAGAGAGTGATTAGAGTTAAAGCAGTTTGACAAAAGATTAGATAGATAGATAAATAGATAGAAGGAATGAATTTGTCTTGATAGAGTTAAAGCAATGAGTAGATGAAAGATTAGATAGATAGATATAGATAGAGAGATAAATAGTTGGAATGAATTTGTCTTGGCTCCAGTCTGCATGGTTGTATACTTTTCCTCAGCAGTCTTGGAATAGGTGTAGAGAAACCAAGGCTTGGTTGCAGGAGGGCAAAGGAGAGGAAATCACAAAATGAACCATGAAGTCTAGCTGAGGATATGAGAAAGTAAAGCCAAGTGGCCAACTGAGGTAATCTGGGTCTGTAGATCTTGATATTGTCATAGAATTGGTCTTTCCAGAATTTGTTTAAAAACTCTTGTTCAAATGTAAGAGAGTGACTGGGAAGAAAAAGAAGGATGTTTTGGCCAGATGGTCAGACACTGAAGTTAAGATTTCAGAACAGAAATGTTTCTAGGTTCTACTGGTTTCAAGATCTAGAGTGTTAGTGGATGTGGGTAGCTGAAATGAACAGAGGACAAAGGTCTCTCAAAGCATTTTTAGGTTTCAGCTGAGGACAGGTTGTTGTCAAAACAAACAAACAAACAAACAAACAAATGACAAACCAAAAAATCAAAAATCAAAATCATCTGGGATCACAGCAGAACAAGGAGTATAAGGAATTTTCATGTATTAGATGCCCAAATTCTCAGTAAGGGTGGAGGAGGGGCAGAGATCAGTATCAATGATACATGGGGACAAATCAGAAATGGTTGAATGATATGAAATAAAGGAGGTATTCTAAGGGTGATAAAACAATGGCAGCAATGCTCAGCAGGAATGCAAAGGCCCTACCTTTCTTATGAGGCTTGAAGGAAGAGAAAGCATGAGCAGACCCCAATTAAGAAGACAAAACAGAAGGCAGAAACTTGGTGTGGGAGGTAGGTGAACACTACTGGCACCATTTTTGAATGTAAGGAGTTAAAACCCATGCAAGCTTCCCCAAGCAGAGAGCTGTTTGGTTCTGTTGTTTTAGAAGGATCCTCTGGACAAAGCACCGCAAAAAGGGCATTACTTTTTGGGAGGTGAGGGCAGAGAGTGGAGAAAGATTCTCTTTTCTATAAATGTGTTTCTTACTTCATCATTCAACTTTCAGGTGCAGTAAACTCCATGAATATTGGGTCCTTGTCTGTCTTACTTTTTACAGCACCCACAGTGCCTACTACAGTGCCTGACACATATAGTAGGTGCTAGAGTGCATAATAAGTGTAGTAAATAAATGCACAAATGAGAGCTGTAAAAAAGCTATAAATGAGAAAAAAGTAGGTATGCTTTATAAGAAAAAGCCACAGTTTATATTCAACTCCTACTATCCCAGCAGAAACTTTTTCATGACTTTTAAAATCTTTAATTCTTTCCTGAAGCATAATGTATGTAGACAAAAACTCTTTGAAAAGTTTGCAAAGTTAAAAGTGCTATATGAAATAAAAGAGATTGGTGAAAAGAGCACTGTGATTCAAGAGTTAGATAATTTGGCATTCTCCATTCTACAGCTGGATATAAATGATGATTCCTTATCTGCTGTGGGAAATGTTCTTTAACATTGTAATGTTTGTATCCTGGATACACTATTAGATTTTAGGTCATCTGAGGATAAGTGTTAGGTCCACACCTTCTTCCTCACCTCTCCAATATTTTTGTTGAACTATTAATAAGTGTTTATGGAAGCCCTACTATTTACTATTTATAAGCATAGTAGGAATGAGGCAGAAAAAAGAAGAGAATACAAAATTTCTGCCTTTGGAAATTTTGTTGAGGAAAACAAAATTTCCCCACAATTTTGTTGAGGAAAACAAAATTTCCCCACAATTTTGTTGAGGAAAACAAAATTTCCCCACAATTTTGTTGAGGTAAACAAAATTCACACTCTGAAAACACTTGGCAAAGAGTATATAATTAAGTACTCAATTAATCCAAGTTGTATTTTAGGAAGAAGAAAGAGTTCCTTGAGAGGATGTCCTAAAGAACTGGTAAAATAGGATATGCAGAGAGATTGGAATGGAGGGTAGTTTCCTCTTGATATTCTCAAGGCACAAAATTTGTATTTTTATTTCATTCCCCAGCTATTGACCAGCTAACACATCAGCATCTGCCAGGAAAAGAGATTTTAAGAAGTCTCTCATTGCAACATATGGGCAGGGGTAGAAAAATAGGCACAGTTAGGACAAAAAAAGTTTGTGAGGGAAGAAGGGAGAGGGTGAAATAAAAAAAAAAGAAAGAAAGAAAGAAAAAGAAAAAAAAGAAAAGAAAAATCCAGCCAGGTGGAGAAAAGTCCCATTTCTGTTGCTTGGAAGAAATAATTGGCACTCTTTCTCTTGTCCATGGCCTTTTACTTCTGGCCTAGAGCTTGCATTTAATTTGAATTTTATTAACACAAGAAATCTAGTGCAGCCACATGATTCTCCCAATTCAGGGTGTTTAATTTTAAAAGTTGGCAAGTTGAGTAAGTGGCTTTGCAGAACATGGCAGGGTTTCTTCTCAGCAAGGTAAGTGTTGAGGTTATCTGCCGAAGTATAGGCTGGGAAAGAGGACAAAATGTGAGAAATACCTGGAGGAGACAATGGTTGCAGGTGCTAGACTGATGGAATGTCACAGAATGTGAAACAAAGTAAACTGAGAATAGTCAAAAAATAAAGCACAGTGAATATTCTGAATAGCCATGTAGCAATTTGCATGAAACCTGAAGATGAGCATACACAAATACACACACGCATACACAAATACACACACACACACACACATGAACTCACACACAAGTGCAATTGTGTTTGTAGGCATCTGTTCATCAAGACATTGTATACAATAGCAAATCAGTAGATAATATATCCATCAGCAGATAAGATCAAAATCAGTAGATAATATGTCAATCAGCAGATAAGATAATGACACAATAGATAATAAATTACAGAATAGTCACACATAGAATTATGATATTATATACTAGCTAAAGTGATCTAGTCTTACCTTTAGTGAAATGGATAATTATTCAGAACATATGGCTGAGTAAAAAATACAGGTTTCAAAACAATAAGAAAAGATAAAATGAAATATTATGCAAAATTCAAATAAGTTACTGAGTTTATTCCTTCTGATAATCTATAAAATAGACACCACTTATATTTTAACCCAAAGTCTCTATTTGGTATCTTGTTAGTACCATGTGAAAAAGGGTTAAGATAGGAGGTTGATGGTTTGGGGAAGAGAGAACAGATTTTGAATACTTGCTATGTTTCTGAAGCTGTGCTAGATACTTGGTATGGACTAAATTGTGTCCCACTCCACGTTCACATGTCAAATCCCTAAACCCCAATATGGCTGTATTTGCAGATAGGACTTAAGGTAATTATGGTTAGATAAAGTCACAAGGGTGGGGACCTGATATGATAGGATTAATATCTTCATAAGAATAGATACCAGAGAGAGCTAGCACCCTCTCTCTCTCTTTCTCCTTGAATTTGTCTCCTCCTCCAACTTCTCCTCCTCCTCCTCCTCCTCCTCTTCTTCTTCTTCTTCTTCTTCTTCCTCTTCTTCTTCTCTCTCTCTCTCTCTTTCTCTCTCTCTCTCTGTCTGCCATGCGAGGACACAGAAAGAAAGTGGCCATCTATAAGCCAGAAAGAGAGTTGGCACCTTAATCTTGGACTTCCCAGTCTTCAGGACTATGAGAGAGAAATTTACATTGCTTAAGCCACCCCATGTGCAGAGCTTTGTTATGGCAGACCAAGCGGACTAAGACAGTACTTTCCATACTTTATTTCATTCCATTCTACAAACAACTCTGAAAATAATATATTATTATTCTCGTTTTATAGATGAGGCCATCCTGCTGTATCTAAGATAAAGATTGACAGACTTATCCGAGGTCACATTGCTAATAAAGATTGAAGGTGAATTATTTGTATTTCATAGCACATTATAATTACTAATTTGAGCAAATTCTTACTTTTATTTTATTTTCTGTTTACCCTCATACTCATTCCTGTTTCTCCCTATTCAAAGACACCCACACTAATGTGTTTGTTGTAAGGGATCAAACACATGTCCTTGAAAAATAGTGTTATTTTGTATGTGTATTTTAATTTACATGAATGGCCTTATGTTAATTCTATTAGCTTTTGACCTACCCTCAGCTGATGGCAATTTCCTCAGCAAAGTCTCTTCCAACATTTCCATCCTCTATGCCTTTAAATTGCTTTATAGACTCCTTATTGTCTATGTACTTATTTGATTTGCACTATATTTGCCTTATATTGCTTTTCCTTTTAGCCAAACTGTAAGCTTCTAGGGGAGAGGGACTGTAGTATGATTTTCTGAGCACCAAACTGTTTTTCTCATATTTCTTAATGCATTCATATTAAATAAATGAATGAAAACACCCACAGAAACTAAGCAGCCAGTTTATGTTTCCAAATTTTTTCAACTGCAACATTTCTCATCCTGAATGAGAAATTGGCCCACATACCTCATGAAAACATTTATATTCTGCACATCTTCTAGGTAAAATCCAAAATGTGGCTCAATACTGCAAAACCATTGATGTCATCGATGGCCACCTGCATGCAAATAGATGTCTTAAAAAAGGAGGTCAGCTCTGAGAGCTCACTCAAGAAAGACCCACCAGATTTTGACTAGTGAGGGAATACTGCCAAGTGGCCTAGGGGAAAGCTTTTGGGGATGAATCAAAGGAAAGTTGAAGTAGAAAGAGATGAAAATGTGACAAAGAGATAAAGCAGGTAGGTGGTGACATATGGGTGGCTGCAGAATGCAGGCAATATTGTGGACCTTAACATTCTACCACTTTATGAGTGAAAACAAAGGTGATTGAACTAGAAGATTCTGACTAGAAGCCAGTGTTCAGCCCAGTGTGATACTGACCAGACAAGGGCATTGTCCCCACTCAGAAATGCTCCAAAAGAACTAAGGAGAAGGATTAGAGGAGACAAAATGTTTTTGCTAAATTCTTGCACTGAAGCCAGAGTTGCTCAGGAAATAACAGCTCAGTTTGTTAGCTCTGATCTCTAATTCCATCCCAAATTCATAACGTTATTTTTTTTGTTTGTTTCCATTGTTCATTTGTTGTGTGCCTCTTAGGATGTCCCTTTCCATCTGGGCCTCAATGACCTTCCCTGGGAAATGGGGTACTTGTACTTAACCATACCCCTGCTTCTAAAGACAAACTGGGAAAATTAAATGGAAATTCTAAAAGAAAGCTTCATCTTTTAGTTCCTTAGAGAACTAGCATTACAGTTGATTACCTAGGTGATGATTCAAGCTATTCAACCCTTGTCATTCTGAATGTACTTCTCTTCCAGCTTGCCTTGGAAAGAAAATCAGCCAGTTAAAGAAAGCATCAGCTGGAACTCTCTCAGCTCTCAGTGACTGCAGAGTGAACTATGGCATTCAGCATAGAAAATGTTCTTCCAGTGCTCCAATAAATAGCATTCAGTTTTTAGCCCCAGGGAATTCAGTGTAGCCCTGGTTACTCCTCACTGCCACAGCCAACACTGCTTCCTTGGGTAGGAGAAATGATTTATGGAGGTGAGCAGCCATTCCAAACTTTAATTAAGCACGTAAAGAACCATCAATTTTTTAAAGGGCACCAACCCAGAAAGATGAGAGCTGAACTCCTGTAGAACATAATTACCTTTCCAACATTTTATCTGATCTCCTTGTTTTACTTCTCTAAGATGAGCTGAACAACAGCCAATCAACCACCCCCACAGGTGAGCTCTACCCCCCAAAAGCCCTGGGTATCTGAAGTATTGCTCCAGGGGCTTGCAAACATCCCCCTCAATCCCGTTACTAATAACTCTGTCTCTCTGTTTCTTGTCTTTGCAATACAATATCTTGGCTGCCATGGCAATAGAAACCATGGAAATGCACAGGTAAATAATTTTCTTTCTGAATATGTATGTAATAAATAAAAATAAATACAACTGACACATGAACCAGCCAGATCCTCCCTAGTGTCCAAGTCACTGCCATGGGAGGAGACTATTCACAAATAATGTAGCCAAAGCACTTGATAAATTAGTAAATCTTTTTGGGTATTCACTTCCTTAGGAGAAAGGTTGAAATTAGGGACAAAAGACAGGGACCAGTAGCCACACATCTGAGTAAATGGGAGCTTATTAAGTTTGAGGGCACAAGTTGTTCACACTCTGTAATGGGAAATACTTTCTTCAACTTATGGCTCCTGGGAGGAAATGAAAGAAAGGAAGAACAGGGGAAGTGGATGCCTGGCAATTTGGGGTCCAAATACCAAATAAGTAATGATTATCTGTTATACCTCAGCAGGATAGGCCCAGGTGTGAGGAAGGAGATAAGAAATAATTTTATATGTCAGAAGATGGAAGAATTCCTGGATATATCATCTCTACATTTTTTCTTCTGGATATGTCTGAGACTGACATACACCTGACAGTCTCCTGGGATAGTCTCATTTGTTATGACAGCTGTACTTTGCTTTAAAATACTTTAGCATAGACAAAATAAGATAATGCAAATTTCAGTTACCTTAAGATTTAATTTTCTAGCCAGTCATTGCTTTAATCAAGAATTCATGGTTTAAGGGTGGTTACTTGTGTCATAGTGAAAGGAGAAAAGTTCCCTTATCCCCCTCACAGAGTGTGTGACAGAGGGAGTGGCTGGTGTCTTCAGTGCCCCACTGCTCAAACCTCTTGGGGGAGCATGCAGACAGGCAGGTCGTGGGGTTCTGACCCCATGGCAGCATCTAGGGGTGAATGTTTACAGCCTCTGAAGCCCCAGTGGGCGTGTATTACAGGGTGCTCTTTTAGTTTTGCTGTCTGTAGGCAGCTTGCGTTAGTCAGCGCAATTAGACCCCCTGCCTTATCACAAGGACAGAGGGCTTTCTGTATCCTGAGGTTTCTTGCCTTGGTGTACCAGAAGATTTGGATCACACATGGGCTTGGAGAATAAGTGCAAGGTTTTATTGAGTGGAAAAAGCCCTCAGCAGATGGGGAAGCCGGAAGGGAGATGGAGTGGGAAGATGGTTTCTCCCTGGAGTCGGGACTCCCCAGTCAAACTCCATGTCGTTCCTCCGGTTGATGGCCTGCCGGCCTGCTGGTGCCTGTTGGTGTACTCTTAAACTAGTGCATTCCTCTCGATGTCCAGCCGCTTGTGTGTTCTTCTGCTGGTGTGTTCCTCTCGACGATGAGTCACTTGTGTCTCTGTTTGCTAGGGTCTTGGGGTTTTTATAGGCACACGACGGGGGCATGGTGGGCCAGGGTGGTCTTGGGAAATGCAACATTTGGGCACAAAGGCAGGAGTGCCCGTCCTCACCTAGGTCCGTGGGCACAGGGCCGGAGGTGGAGCCCTAGGCAGGGACCACTCCGTTTCCTTCCCAGCACTTCCCTGCCCCGCTCCCGTATCAGTATCAAAAAGGACCACACTCCAGGGCAGTTGCTCCAGGGGCTTCTGTGCTCTGTATTTGATCAGTAACCAATGCTCTATTAATCAACATACCCAATGTTAGGGGTTTTAACAGTGATAAATGGTACTAGTTGACCAGTCCAATGAATGTTAAACATAGATTTTTTTGGTTTGATACTTAAAAGACTCTATGTTCAGGGCCTGGATTATAGTAACACAAATTAAGAGCCTACGGTGTAAACTTTAAGGAGTCTCTCACTCTTAGGGTCATGCAAATGCACAGTGGGCACCTGAGTATGTAGCCCCCTAACTGTTTCTCACTTGCACATAGCATCTCAATTGTTATAAACCTCTGAAATAGGTATGACATCTCCCTATATCACAGAAAAGGAAATATAGGCACAGAGAGGCTGATTATCTGGGCCAAAGTTCTCCAGCTAGTAAGCAATGCAATCAGAATTTATGGAGTTAAGCTCTAGAGCCCTCACTCCTAAGTATTATATTGGATGTAATGTCATACTGTCACCCTTGGTAAACAGGAACATTAAGGAGTTAAACAGAGAACTTGGTTGCTGCATTCTTTTCTTTTCTATTTCTTTTTTTGAGATGGAGTCTTGCTGTATTGCCTAGGCTGGAATGCAGTGGCGCAATCTCAGCTCACTGCAATCTCTGGCTCCTGGGTTCCTGCAGTTCTCCTGCCTCAGCCTCCTGAGTAGCTGGGATTACAGGCGCACATCACTACGCCTGGCTAATTTTTGTATTTTTAGTAGAGACAGGATTTCGCATGTTGGTCAGGCTGGTCTCGACCAACACCCGCCTCGGCCTCCCAAAGTGCTGGGATTACAGGCGTGAGCCACCACGCCTGGCCTGGTTGCTGAATTCTAACCAACCCGACTCATTAGCCCACCACTCGTCACATGTATCCATGGGAAACTGGAAAGTGAATATAATTTCCATTTTTATTAACAAACACTCACATCTTTTGTTGTCTTCATCATTAAATCTATATTTACCTATGAAAATTATTCTAGCTGCTCACAGAAACAAAACAAAACAAAACAACCCCCAAAGAAAAAAAACTAACATCCTTGCTTTCCCTGGCTCTGTCAGATATCATCCTCTTCACCTCAGCTGTGTGAGACTGAGGAGGTGGAATCTATAGTCCACCCTCTCGAATCACAAAGACAATAATGACAAATCACTGAGAGGCAAAGGCCCAATTTGGAAGAAAATAGATTCTCTCAGACTTGTAGATATTAGACTCTGTCCTTGGAAAATGTGATTTGGTTCACATACCCTAAAATTCTATTATGAAACAAACAAAAAGCAATCAAATTGTATCTTGACATGTCAGACATAATGCCTATAGTAGAAAAAAAGTGACTATCAAATAAGTGACTTGTTTTCTTTTTTCTGTTTCAATTTTGAGAAAATGTATCAGTTGATGTTCAATTTTCTCATTCTTATGATGTGTCTCATTAAAGAAGATCACACATTGTTTGAAAGTTCCCCCACTGAAAGTCAGTATCTATTCTTCACTCTTTTAATATGGCAAACCCTGTGATTGTTTTGACAAATAGAATACATTAGAAGTATTACTGAGCCAACTTCTGGGCCCAGGTGTAAGAGACTGGCAACCTCTAATTTCTCTCCCTTAGAAAAACAGCAGTTGGAACTCCAAAGCCACCATGGTATGAGGAAGCTTAAGCTAGCCACATGGAAAGACCATGTGGAGAGAGAGAAAGAAGAGAGAGAAAAACAAAGAGAGAGGGAGAGAGAGAGAAATAGCCATTCATCCCAGAAGCCAGATGCCAGGAATGTGAGAGTAGAAACTACTTGGATGTCCAACTCAGTCAAATCTTCCAGTAGCTTCAGCTACAGCAGTTACCTGAATTCCATCAATGAGAGACTCCAAGCGAAGATTACCAAGCTGAGCACACAGTGAACCCACAGACCCATGATGGATTCCAATACATTTTAGTTTTATTCACTAAGTTTTCAGGTAGTTTACTATGCAGAGATGGATAACTCAAACAGATGGTAAATTCAGAAAAGACCAAAAAGATAAAAGTATAAGGAGGAGCCAAGATGGCCGAATAGGAACAGCTCTGGTCTATAGCTCCCAGCGTGAGTGACGCAGAAGATGGGTGATTTCTGCATTTCCATGTGAGGTACCGGGTTCATCTCACTAGGGAGTGCCAGACAGTGGGCACAGGTCAGTGGGTGCGCGCACCATGCGCGAGGTGAAGCAGGGCGAGGCATTGCCTCACTTGGCAAGCGCAAGGGGTCAGGGAGTTCCCTTTCCTAGTCAAAGAAAGGGGTGACAGACGGCACCTGGAAAATCGGGTCACTCCCACCTGATACTGCGCTTTTCCGACCGGCTTAAAAAACAGCGCATCAGGAGATTATATCCCGCACCTGGCTCAGAGGGTCCGACGCCCGTGGAGTCTCACTGACTGCTAGCACAGCAGTCTGAGATCAAACTGCAAGGTGGCAGCGAGGCTGGGGGAGGGGCGCCCGCCATTGCCCAGGCTTGCTTAGGTAAACAAAGCAGCCGGGAAGCTGGAACTGGGTGGAGCCCACCACAGCTCAAGGAGGCCTGCTTGCCTCTGTAGGCTCCACCTCTGGGGGCAGGGCACAGACAAACAAAAAGACAGCAGTAACCTCTGCAGACTTAAATGTCCCTGTCTGACAGCTTTGAAGAGAGCAGTGGTTCTCCCAGCATGCAGCAGGAGATCTGAGAATGGGCAGACTGCCTCCTCAAGTGGGTCCCTGACCCCTGAGCAGCCTAACTGGGAGGCACCCCCCAGCAGGGGCAGACTGACACCTCACACGGCCGGGTACTCCAATAGACCTGCAGCTGAGGGTCCTGTCTGTTTGAAGGAAAACTAACAAACAGAAAGGACATCCACACCAAAAACCCATCTGTACATCACCATCGTCAAAGACCAAAAGTAGATAAAACCACAAAGATGGGGAAAAAACAGAGCAGAAAAACTGGAAACTCTAAAAAGCAGAGCGACTCTCCTCCTCCAAAGGAACGCAGTTCCTCACCAGCAACGGAACAAAGCTGGACGGAGAATGACTTTGACGAGCTGAGAGAAGAAGGCTTCAGATGATCAAATTACTCCGAGCTACGGGAGGACATTCAAACCAAAGCAAAGAAGTTGAAAACTTTGAAAAAAATTTAGAAGAATGTATAACTAGAATAACCAATACAGAGAAGTGCTTAAAGGAGCTGATGGAGCTGAAAACCAAGGCTCGAGAACTACGTGAAGAATGCAGAAGTCTCAGGAGCTGATGCGATCAACTGGAAGAAAGGGTATCAGCGATGGAAGATGAAATGAATGAAATGAAGCAAGAAGGGAAGTTTAGAGAAAAAAAGAATAAAAAGAAATGAGCAAAGCCTCCAAGAAATATGGGACTATGTGAAAAGACCAAATCTATGTCTGATTGGTGTACCTGAAAGTGACGGAGAGAATGGAACCAAGTTGGAAAATACTCTGCAGGATATTATCCAGGAGAACTTCCCCAATCTAGCAAGGCAGGCCAACATTCAGATTCAGGAAATACAGAGAACGCCACAAAGATACTCCTCGAGAAGAGCAACTCCAAGACACATAATTGTCAGATTCACCAAAGTTGAAATGAAGGAAAAAAATGTTAAGGGCGGCCAGAGAGAAAGGTCGGGATACCCTCAAAGGGAAGCCCATTAGACTAACAGCAGATCTCTCGGCAGAAACTCTACAAGCCAGAAGAGAGTGGGGGCCAATATTCAACATTCTTAAAGAAAAGAATTTTCAACCCAGAATTTCATATCCAGCCAAACTAAGCTTCATAAGTGAAGGAGAAATAAAATACTTTACAGACAAGCAAATGCTGAGAGATTTTGTCACCACCAGGCCTGCCCTAAAAGAGCTCCTGAAGGAAGCACTAAACATGGAAAGGAACAACTGGTACCAGCCGCTGCAAAATCATGCCAAAATATAAAGACCATCAAGACTAGGAAGAAACCGCATGAACTAACGAGCAAAATAACCAGCTAACATCATAATGACAGATCAAATTCACACATAACAATATTAACTTTAAATGTAAATGGACTAAATGCTCCAATTAAAAGACACAGACTGGCAAATTGGATAAAGAGTCAAGACCCATCAGTGTGCTGTATCCAGGAAACCCATCTCACATGCAGAGACACACACAGGCTCAAAATAAAAGGATGGAGGAAGATCTACCAAGCAAATGGAAAACAAAAAAAGGCAGGGGTTGCAATCCTAGTCTCTGATAAAACAGACTTTAAACCAACAAAGATCAAAAGAGACAAAGAAGGCCATTACATAATGGTAAAGGGATGAATTCAACAAGAAGAGCTAACTATCCTAAATATATATGCACCCAATACAGGAGCACCCAGATTCATAATGCAAGTCCTGAGTGACCTACAAAGAGACTTAGACTCCCACACATTAATAATGGGAGACTTTAACACCCCACTGTCAACATTAGACAGATCAACGAGACAGAAAGTTAACAAGGATACCCAGGAATTGAACTCAGCTCTGCACCAAGTGGACCTAATAGACATCTACAGAACTCTCCACCCCAAATCAACAGAATATACATTTTTTTCAGCACCACACCACACCTATTCCAAAATTGACCACATACTTGGAAGTAAAGCTCTCCTCAGCAAATGTAAAAGAACAGAAATTATAACAAACTATCTCTCAGACCACAGTGCAATCAAACTAGAACTCAGGATTAAGAATCTCACTCAAAACCGCTCAACTACATGGAAACTGAACAACCTGCTCCTGAATGACTACTGGGTACATAACGAAATGAAGGCAGAAATAAAGATGTTCTTTGAAACCAACGTGAACAAAGACACAACATACCAGAATCTCTGGGACGCATTCAAAGCAGTGTGTAGAGGGAAATTTATAGCACTAAATGCCCACAAGAGAAAGCAGGAAAGATCCAAAATTGACACCCTAACATCACAATTAAAGGAACTAGAAAAGCAAGAGCAAACACATTCAAAAGCTAGCAGAAGACAAGAAATAACTAAAATCAGAGCAGAACTGAAGGAAATAGAGACACAAAAAACCCTTCAAAAAATTAATGAATCCAGGAGCTGGTTTTTTGAAAGGATCAACAAAATTGATAGACCGCTAGCAAGACTAATAAAGAAAAAAAGAATCAAATAGACACAATAAAAAATGATAAAGGGGATATCACCACCGATCCCACAGAAATACAAACTACCATCAGAGAATACTACAAACACCTCTACGCAAATAAACTAGAAAATCTAGAAGAAATGGATAAATTCCTCGACACATACACTCTTCCAAGACTAAACCAGGAAGAAGTTGAATCTCTGAATAGACCAATAACAGGATCTGAAATTGTGGCAATAATCAATAGCTTACCAACCAAAAAGAGTCCAGGACCAGATGGATTCACAGCCGAATTCTACCAGAGGTACAAGGAGGAACTGGTACCATTCCTTCTGAAACTATTCCAATCAATAGAAAAAGAGGGAATCCTCCCTAACTCATTTGATGAGGCCAGCATCATCCGGATACCAAGGCCAGGCAGAGACACAACCAAAAAAGAGAATTTTAGACCAATATCCTTGATGAACATTGATGCAAAAATCCTCAATAAAATACTGGCAAAATGAATCCAGCAGCACATCAAAAAGCTTATCCACCATGATCAAGTGGGCTTCATCCCTGGGATGCAAGGCTGGTTCAATATATGCAAATCAATAAATGTAATCCAGCATATAAACAGAGCCGAAGACAAAAACCACATGATTATCTCAATAGATGCAGAAAAAGCCTTTGACAAAATTCAACAACCCTTCATGCTAAAAACTCTCAATAAAGTAGGTATTGATGGGACATATTTCAAAATAATAAGAGCTATCTATGACAAACCCACAGCCAATATCATACTGAATGGGCAAAAACTGGAAGCATTCCCTTTGAAAACTGGCACAAGACAGGGATGCCCTCTCTCACCACTCCTATTCAACATAGTGTTGGAAGTTCTGGCCAGGGCAATTAGGCAGGAGAAGGAAATAAAGGGTATTCAATTAGGAAAAGAGGAAGTCAAATTGTCCCTGTTTGCAGACGACATGATTGTATATCTAGAAAACCCCATTGTCTCAGCCCAAAATCTCCTTAAGCTGATAAGCAACTTCAGCAAAGTCTCAGGATACAAAATCAATGTACAAAAATCACAAGCATTCTTATACACCAACAACAGACAAACAGAGAGCCAAATCATGAGTGAACTCCCATTCACAATTGCTTCAAAGAGAATAAAATACCTAGGAATCCAACTTACAAAGGATGTGAAGGACCTCTTCAAGGAGAACTACAAACCACTGCTCAAGGAAATAAAAGAGGATACAAACAAATGGAAGAACATTCCATGCTCATGGGTAGGAAGAATCAATATCGTGAAAATGGCCATACTGCCCAAGGTAATTTACTGATTCAATGCCATCCCCATCAAGCTACCAATGCCTTTCTTCACAGAATTGGAAAAAACTACTTTAAAGTTCATATGGAACCAAAAAAGAGCCCGCATCGCCAAGTCAATCCTAAGCCAAAAGAACAAAGCTGGAGGCATCACACTACCTGACTTCAAACTATACTACAAGGCTACAGTAACCAAAACAGCATGGTACTGGTACCAAAACAGAGATATAGATCAATGGAGCAGAACAGAGCCCTCAGAAATAACGCCGCATATCTACAACTATCTGATCTTTGACAAACCTGAGAAAAACAAGCAATAGGGAAAGGATTCCCTATTTAATAAATGGTGCTGGGAAAACTGGCTAGCCATATGTAGAAAGCTGAAACTGGATCCCTTCCTTACACCTTATACAAAAATCAATTCAAGATGGATTAAAGACTTAAACGTTAGACCTAAAACCATAAAAACCCTAGAAGAAAACCTAGGCATTACCATTCAGGACATAGGCATGGGCAAGGACTTCATGTCCAAAACACCAAAAGCAATGGCAACAAAAGACAAAATTGACAAATGGGATCTAATTCAACTAAAGAGCTTCTGCACAGCAAAAGAAACTACCATCAGAGTGAACAGGCAACCTACAAAATGGGAGAAAATTTTCACAACCTACTCATCTGACAAAGGGCTAATATCCAGAATCTACAATGAACTCAAACAAATTTACTAGATAGAAACAAACAACCCCATCAAAAAGTGGGCAAAGGACATCAACAGACACTTCTCAAAAGAAGACATTTATGCAGCCAAAAAACACATGAAAAAATGCTCATCATCACTGGCCATCAGAGAAATGCAAATCAAAACCACAATGAGATACCATCTCACACCAGTTAGAATGGCAATCATTAAAAAGTCAGGAAACAACAGGTGCTGGAGAGGATGTGGAGAAATAGGAACACTTTTACACTGTTGGTGGGCCTGTAAACTAGTTCAACCATTGTGGAAGTCAGTGTGGTGATTCCTCAGGGATCTAGAACTAGAAATACCATTTGACCCAGCCATCCCATTACTGTGTATATACCCGAAGGACTATAAATCATGCTGCTATAAAGACACATGCACACGTATGTTTATTGCGGCACTATTCGCAATAGCAAAGACTTGGAACCAACCCAAATGTCCAACAATGATAGACTGGATTAAGAAAATGTGGCACATATACACCATAGAATACTATGCAGCCATAAAAAATGATGAGTTCATGTCCTTTGTAGGGACATGGATGAAATTGGAAATCATCATTCTCAGTAAACTATCGCAAGAACAAAAAACCAGACACCGCATATTCTCACTCATAGGTGGGAATTGAACAATGAGAACACGTGGACACAGGAAGGGGAACATCACACTCTGGGGACTGTTGTAGGGTGGGGGGAGCGGGGAGGGATAGCACTGGGAGATATACCTAATGCTAGATGATGAGTTAGTGGGTGCAGCGCACCAGCATGGCACATGTATACATATGTAACTAACCTGCACATTGTGCACAGGTACCCTAAAACTTAAAGTATAATAATAATAAATAAACAAATTTTAAAAAAAGATTATAAAGAAGATTATAAAGATTTAAAGAAAAAGATAAAGGTATAGTTCCACTTAATATTTCTAAGACATTTGGAAGTGGCTTAAGCTTTCTCAACCCTGTTTTTCTCATCTGAAAATTTCTAATTTTCTCATCTCAATTAAAGTAATCATGTAAAGGTATCTTGAAGATCAACCTAAAAAATTAGATGATAAACTACAAAGCACTATAAAAGATAACCATGTTATTATTCATACTTTTATTGACAGGGGACTATTATAAATTATAATTTGTAAAGCCACACATTAAGCTGGACTATTGGAAATATTCATGTAAAAATTTAGAAGCTACATAGTTGTTATTTTCTGGATATATAGCTAAGGGATATCAGCATCTCTACTCTAAAAACTAACATGCTCCTGGAATCTATGCCATAAATTGATAAATTCACAAATATAAGGCAAATATGTCTGCAATTACTTTATTATGTTTCTAGAAAATGCTAATCCTGGTATCAATAAACAAAAATGCTGATGAAGTGTGTGCTGTTGTCTTTGGTAGTTTCAGAAAGTTCACTTGTCAAATACTGAAACTGTGAAATGCACAGGCAAAAGCAAGGAGAAGTCAAGTATAGGTGTTCTTTGGTGATGTCAAACACTACAGCAAAACATTACTAAGAGGGACTGCTTATGCAATAATCACAGATGACTTCAGAGTAGTACTCACAGTTGAAAAAGCAGTTCTTTGTTGCTTTATTTGATTTCCACGTCAGTTGGGGTTATTTAATCACAAGCAACTCTGGATAAGGAAGGCCAAAAAATAATTTGTTTTGAGTATATAGGTCAGCTCAGAGAAAGGAAGAAAAACTGAGCAAATGGAGCCGTTAAAGGGGAGGAATCAGTGCTCTCTGAGGATCTGTGGGTAGGAATGAGTGACCAGTATCTTTAGATCACCACCATGGGGACCAGCTTCTTGTCTTGCGTCATCTGATCAAGATGCAGATTTCCAGATCAGAGAGTCTGATTAATGCTTTGCTTTGCAGGCCACCCTTGGACCATGACATACAGGGCATCTGACTGATAGTCCCACCAAGACTGCCTATGATCATGTAAGGATGGTTCTTGGTTTAGTTCCTGTTTCCCAGAAGCATATCTTGAGATGAGGATGTGTGTGCTAATGATGCTTTAGCTGGTGAAGCCCCATAAGGATGTGGGGGGTAGGACAGCAAAGAGGGGGAATGTGAACCAGGAGCAGGAACTCAGGAAAAGTTATGCTGAATATAGCTTCAGCCTGATCCTGCAGGGGAGATGTAGAGTGCAAACAGAGCTTCAAAGTGATCCCATCAGGCTTTCTAGTATGATACGGGTGTGTCATTGGTTCTGGCCTTTTCCTGGGCAAAGGAGTCAGGGTAGCCTGTAAATCCTCAGGCACCCAGGCACTTTCCTTTCTTCAGGTGTGCAGTCACAGCATGTTCTAGCCAACCAAGGGTGGTCCTCCAGAAAGAGCTGCACAAGGGTGGATGGCAAAGAACACATCCAAAGAGATCTGGGAGCTATAGGTCTCTCTCTCTCTCTCTTTCTCTCTCTCTCTCTCTCTCTTTCTCTTACACACACACACACACACACACACACACACACAGCATACAGGATGAATGCTGGGCAACTAAAAGCAGTAAATATTCCTGTGGGATTACAGTCTTTGTTACCCCAGTTTTTAAGCCCAAAGAGGTTGAGTATCTTATCACTGGTCTAGTGGAGGAACCAGGACCCCCTGCTCCGGGGATATTTTTTCCATCATACCCTACAACTGGTTTGGCTGTTTTGTGTATTTAATTTCTGTTTGCTTGCTTGCAGAAATGTCCAGCTGTTTGGGCAGACAGCAGTCAAGGCTGTGCTGTGGTGCAGGCATGTATAGAAGCTTCCCAAACTCCATCCCCCTCACATGTTTTTAGGCTTCCACACTGCAAAGATAAAAATAGAGTCCAGGGAAGGATTCAAGGAGCTGCTTTTTAGGGTGGAGGCATAGATCTGCCCAGGAGAAACAGATAATTATGGGTATATAAGAGGAAAAAGATGTGCTATTCTTTTTCCCTTCTGGAATTATGCAATGGTGAACCTCCGTATCCCTTGACAAATTGACGGTAGGACGGAAGAAGAATTTTGGAAGGGGTGAATGTTAGTGTCCTGTAGACCACAATTTCAAATGACCATTTTAATGTAGAAAACAAAGACATGCAAATAAGTTTGCGAAATATTAACACCAAATTCTTAGTAAGGTTGAATACATTTTCAGGATAGAGAGCAAAAGGGAGAATAATAACCTTGAGATTTCCATGGCCCAATAAGGTGAGGATAAAACTTCATTGACATTCAAGAGAATGTTCTGGGGAGATGGGCTAACAGGACAATGCTTAGGGAATGAACAAAACAGAATATCCTAGACTAATGGAAAGGTTCTATTTTGTTCTTCCCATAATTCCTACACATTTGGAAGTGTCAAGAAGAGGAATTGCATATGAGCTGTGGCTTCAAGCTCCCAAAATGTGCCCCATGGTCTTACCAAACTTTACTTATATACCACAAAATCAAAAAAGCAGTCATTTTGTTTAGACAGACTCAATGCATTCTGTCTAATTTTCCTTTAAAGATGTCTTTGGTTATACATAATTGCCAAAGGGAAGATCTTTTTCCTAGTGTCAACCACCAAAACTTTTCTGTTGTGGTCATGGAGGTGGCAGCTCATTTGTTACATCCTGTGCCTTTGTGTCAGTTACAAGTAACTGGAAGTTGGGGGCATGGACGAAAACTACCTGGGGATTTTTCAGACTCACCTGCGCAGACCCCATCTAATTTACTTTGGAGGAGGAAGATATGAATATTGAGAATTATCCTCAGGCATTTATGGTGAATTTCCTCCCCTCATTCACTTCCAATCCCACTGGGCAACAAATTGTTATACCATCCACTCCTGCCTTCTGAACTTTGTCTTTTCTATGCGAGGGCACACAACCCCAGTTACTTAGGTCTCTCTTCAGCAGGCTACATAATAAATATTTGCAGTTAATTTCCTGAGTACCTTGGAAGGGCTGGGTTTTTATAGATCTTTTGGAAAGAAAATAAAAGCTGAAAGTAAGAGATTCAAAATTATATTATTCAAAATAATAATGCAACAAATATTGAGATTAAAGGTTCACAACAAATGCTTATGAATCCCTGTTCCATCTCTCCACATCTGATTATCTGCACATCATCTCCCATAATCACCCTGCCATATTGTCTCACCTCAGGTTGACAGCAAGAGGCTGACCAGCTGACACTTTCTATGAATTCTCTGAGGGAAGACCCATCTTCTTGTTCTCCTTTCCCAGATACATTCTCTATGCCATACTGTAGTCCTATCCTCTATTCCAGCCACAGCAGAGGACCTGGCCCTCTTTACCCTCTTCTTTTCTCTGATGTATTGCCTGATGGCTTCAACTTGGATAACCCAGTCAGTCCCTGACACTCTCCATTATTAGCTTAGAATAGGGAATTCAAGTTGGTCTAGGCAATTAGCCTGGAGGTAGAGAGAGTCCTCTCCATTAGATGGAGGTGGGGCTCTTTCTTTGATGCTTATTTTATATCTAAATAGAAAAAATTAGGATTTCACTGTGTCTCCAAACAAGTACAACGGGGACTTATACTTTTCAATTTGCATAATGTAATACATTTTCAAAATTGCCCACAATTACATTTTTTTTTCGTGGGCTTGGGGATGTCATTTTGGATTTTGAGTCACATGTAGGCCCTCTCTCTTGCTGGCCTGAAGCTATGCTTTTGCTGTCCCTACAATACAATAATGCCCCTATTACCAATACCTTTCCCTATTACCAATACCTGTCTCCAATTCTAAAATAGTGACCATGCTCGCTCCTTCTTCCCCGTCTCTCCTCATTAATACAGAAAACTAAGTTAGATTTATCTTGTGCAGTTTGGACCTGATTGGTAATTGCCAATAGTGTCCCTGGGGTTGCTACTTATGACCCATTTTGATCCTCATTCTTGCCAGTTCCTGTAAACTTTCTCTTTTCTTGGCTCATGTCTCCATCCACGCCAGCTGCTTTGCAGCCAGGGCCATACAGTGAAGTAGGAGCAAGAGCCGATGTTGTCTTGGTTCTACAGTGGCCTGAACTTTCTAGACTTCTTCTATAAAATTACCTTCCTTCATCCTCCACCACCCTTAAGTATGCTGTAGAAGGTGAATTTGTATTTCCAAACAAAACCTTACATACGGAGGTTTAAACAAATAAATCAAAGAGCAGCAGTAGCCCAGAGCAGACCATCTTAGTTGTTCCTCACTCACATTTGCAACCTCTAGAGGGCTTTGGAGCACAGTTTGAAAAATGCAGATTAGGTCAAAATGTACTTTATTTGCTAGAGCAAATAAAGTAAATTGAGTCTGTGAAAGCCCCAAACTAAATGTCTGTAGCTTAACGTAATGATGATGGTCCCATTCGCCACTTTTTCCCATTCTTAAAAGCATCATTACAGAAGAGTGTAAGTTTTGGGGTCAAACATGTAGGTTTGAATCCTGGGTCTACCTCTAGCTAACATGAATTGAGCATCTTTGAAACTCAATTTTTTAATGTGTAAAATGAGGATTATAACACCTATGTCATAGAACTTTTGTAAAAATTAAATAGCATAACATAGGCACATGGGTTGGCTCAGAGAAAGGTAGGAACCGTCAGTCTCCTTGAGAAAGCCAGCAGTGAGAGGATCCTTAGGCTTTGGGATGCTTCAGGCTGACTGCTGTCTTGCCCCCAGGCTGCATCCTGACCTCCTGCCATAATTATCATAGTAGGACTCTGTCCCTTGATGTAGGAATCACCTATGGCTGATATTGGAATTCAGCTTTTAATAAATGAGCACAATGAGGCAGAGATTCGATCAGCCGTGTGGATTCACAGAGGCAAGCCAGAAGCAGCCGTATATTCAAAAAGATAAGAAAGATAAATAGCTTTTAATAAAAAAAAGAATTTTCCACTACATACAATTTCCTTTAAGCCGCTTGACATCTCTCTGGGCTTCTGCTGTTGCAATCCTGGTGCAAGCAGAGGTGGGAGAGAGTTTAAAGTATCATCCAAGGAACTGAGGATTTAGGAGAACAAAGATCCTGCTCTTTATCTTTTGCTGAGACAGCTCCTCCATGGCTCTCTGGTCTGAGATTCAAAGATTCATTTTCACAAAAGCAAAAAACTCGGTGGATGGGTCTTACTCTAGACATGTAAAATAGCAAACACAATGTGTGTGTGCACATGTTTGCATGTGTGTGTGTGCACATCTATGCGCATGTGAACATGCAGGCTTAGATGGTAAGTGTGTGAACCTGGCTTGTGATGACCACAGTGAAGAAGTAGAAATGGAAAACCTTTCTTATCTCATGTAAACAACATTTAATTTTCATGACAAGGAAACACAGGTGGACCATAAATACAAGGGGACAATTTTTTTTAAAATAAGGGTAATCATTAAGGCAGGAGGAGAAAACGCATAGATTACAACATGAAAGGAAAAGTAGTACAAAGAAAACTTTAGAAAACCACCAAAAGATGTGAAAAGAAATAAATAAAAGTTACACAAACACCGTAATAGACTAAAAAACAAAAATAGGCAAACAAAAGGTTAAGTATGAAAGGTATTCAGGTAAATAAGATGCAGACAAAAAGAAAGCCAGGTTGGCAATATCAATATCAGACAAAATAGACTTCAGGTAACAAACATTACATCAGGCAAAATGATTTACTTTTTATTATTGAAGGGTATAATCTACAATGAAGGTAATTCTCATTTACTTTTATGTGCCCAAGGAAATTGCATTGAAATAGATCAAACAAAAGCTATTAGAAAAATAAGAAAAAGTCGACAAAACCATAACATTAGGAGGATATTTTAGCACAACTTTCAAACTTGGATAGCTCAAACAGACTAAGGGGATAGAATAATATATAAAAACAAATACATAAGCAAGAATGCAGAGGACTTATGCGTAATAATTACAAACATCAACTATTTGAAAACCAAGTTCTTACAATAACCTAGAATGCTCTTCTTAATCTGCCCTTCACTTACTTCTGTGACCTTCTTTCTTTGTATTTAACATTCTTGCATATTTGCGCCTCAGTTTATTTGCGTATTCTGTTCCCTTTTCCTGGAATAGTCTTCCCAGGTGTCTGCATATCTCATTCCCTCACCTCCTTTAGGTCTTTATCCTGCCTGACCTTCACTTTATCCCATCTAAACTGAAGTCTGCCATCCACTCTGATGCTCCCTAGCCTAATTCTATGCTCCTTTCTTCTGTAACACTGTTTAACATCTAACATTCTATGCATTTTCCTTCTTATCTTTTTTTTTGATGTCTGCCCCTCCCCTCTGAATATAAATTATCTGAGGGCAGGGATTTTTATCTAATTTGTTTACTGCTGGACTAACACAATGCCCAATGCATAGGAGGAATGCGATAAAATTATTGCTGAGTAAATAAAAGTTAATTTTATATTTCCTCAAATAAATGAATGAACATAGGCTAAACAACAAATGAAACCTTGATATAATTCAAATATTATGCTACATAGCTGCATTTTAAATAATAACATCATAATATTAAAATAATAATATCAGACAAAATAATTTTAGAGATTACTATTTTTTTCCTGAAAAAAAGATCCTTTTTTCCTGAATTTCATCTAGAACCATAGTGTAGAAAACATGAGGGGCAAGAAAATTCTAAATTGATTGGTACTACTGTGAAGATTACTTGACATCTGAGCCTGGCAGATGTGTAAGTTCACATTTTCTCTTCAGTACCTTCATGAGTTCCTAGGGGGCCCTAGTGAGGAAATTAATCTGTATTTTTTTATGATGTGTTGCATTTTTGTCTGTTTGGCCATTCCCGTATCAGTCCACCCCATCTAGATTATCTTTTCCGGGGTCTTAGTGCCCCTACCTTTGATCCTCTTGGACAAGATGTAAACTCCAGTTACCTCTTTTGGGCACAGCCTATATGCTGTCATTTTGTCTTGACACAGCTTGAAATACTAAGCTTGCAACACAACCATTTCTTCTGTGCTTATGCTTTCAGTGAACTCATCTCTGGATTTAAGACTTTGTAAGGGTTATTTCAGGAAAATAACTGAAGCCTTCCAGGTAGTCCCACTGGAGCCCCTTTCTTTCCACTTGAGGTAAAGTTAGAGGCACCTCTATCTCTTCCCTTTGGGGTGGGTTCCCAGAGCATAGCTTTGTCCAAAGAAACCATCCCATGAGCAATTTCTCAACCATATTTATCCTTGATGCGGGTGAGGGATTCAAGAGCATTTAACAGCTTTTTGACTCTGCTTGCAATTCTTAAAGAATGATCTATTTCACAATCCATTTTGGTACCTGATATCTTTCATGTTGAGCTCAGGGAAAACTGCCATTTATAAATTATCATATATTTGAAACAATATTGCATTGCTTAAATTTTTATTAAATCTATATAATAGAAAACCATGGAGTCATTAAAAGTGATGTTTTAAAAGGATCCACATAATATATGGAGAAACCTCACAATATATGGTTGAATGTTTTAAAAGTTAAGCTGAAAAGCTATGTGTATATTGTTTCATATTTTATCAAAAATAATTATACATATCATTTCAAAAAATACTTGAATGATATATAGTAAAACATTAGAGAAGTTATTTGTGAATGTTAAGATAAGAGGTTATTTATTTTGTTATTTATCTATAATGTATATGCTTTTTATAGTAGAAGAATTCCTGTGGAATAAATAAGCTAAAGATGTTTTAGTAAGCAAGAACTAAAGTTCTATTTTGTTTTAAAACAATTTTTAGAGACAAAATATAAGATAGTGGGTAAATTCTCAGACTAAAAGTCCCCACTGGCATCAAACTCAGTGTATGCCCACAGACAATTCAGTCTTTAGTTCACTTTGTAATACTAATTAAGCTAACCACTCACAAGTCTCTCCTGGCCTGTTTCCTCATCTTTAAAATAGTGAGGTTGAGTTCTTTCAAGAGAGCTGATTGAGAACATAAACCATTCCTCTTACACATCTAAAATTACATGAAATATCAGAAAATATACAGAATTCAAAATAAGAAATTCATAGCAGCATTTGAAAGCAAGCTTATAATAAGCAATCCAGAAATATTAGCAATTTCCAGAAACATAGAGAGAAGATGAAAATATTTATGCAGAGAAATAAAACAAACAAAAAAATTAGAACTGAAAATACACAAGAAAGAAGCAGTAGGAGTGGAATGCCTCCAAGGTGCTCAGATCTCAGACCACAAAGAGCGGAATCAGGGCTCAGGTCAGGTGACAAGGCATGAATTGTGAAACTACTTTCAGAGATCTGGGGCGGTCAGCCCTTTCTCCCTTAAAACCCTTTTCCCATTTAGAAAAAAAAAAAAAGTGCAGCTTGCTGTCAGCGCTCATTTAATTTTACATAAACATGCTCTTTGAGGCTGAAGCAAATCTGACTAATTTTCAATGTGAAAATAAAATATAAAAACTGTTTTTGGAGCTATTTCTAAACAGAACTAACATCAGAATTGTCTGAATCATCAGAATCATCTATTTCAGAAAACCAGAATCATCAAGTGAATCTTTGGCCAATGACTGTTTGATAATGATGTTACTATAACCCATAGGAATGCTATGTTTTCTAGGATTGGACATTTTCAGCAATCAAGAATTACTATACTTTCTAAGTGGAAATACCACTCCTTAAAACAGAATGCTATAAATAGAATGATCTCTTTGTTTCCAAAGTCAATATACTAGAGCGAGGTGAAAATAATAATGAAAGCAAGATATTTTGTGGCAAAGTTATCTCAGGCTAAATGCTGCAGCCACAGGTGCCACCAGTGAGTATTCTCAGGGCAAATGGAAAAAGGATTAATTATAATGTTTTAATTAGTTGTTCTCTGTGTTTCAGTCTTTATTTGTAAACTGGAGATGATAATAATGCCTATCTGATAGGTTGCCCTAAGGATAAAATGAGTAATATCTGTGAAGTCTCTGGAACAGTCCTGATACAAAATAAATATTATATCAGTATTATTTGTTGATACTAACTGGTTTTGAATGTTGTTGCATGGTAAAGAAATACTTTGTGCTGAGAAGCCAACATGAAACCATAAAAAAAAAGACAAGCAAATTTAGTAGAGGAACACCATGTACCTTGATATGGCACTGCTAAATCAATCCTGGAGCCACCTAACATTATACTTTTCATTAAGTTAATAACTACCACCATAATCTAAGCCAATGTTTGTCCAATTGTCTGTTCCTTGCAACAAAACATAACCTAGTTAATAAAGTAAAACAAAGAGTCTGTCTGAAATAGGGATGAGTGTAAACATATCAGTTATCTCAATAAATGTAAATGGGTTAAATTTCACTATCAAAAGTTAGGTGAAAACAAGACAAAAACAGAATTCAGCCATTGGATGAATAGAAAACACATAAAAATTACAATGAAATGATGAAAATAAATGGGTGTAATTATTGCTGTTTAAACACTTTGTTTAATAAAACAAAATTTTAAAAATCCAATTTACAGTGGCAAGGTATTATACCAAGTATTCTCAAGAATCTTTTATCTAAATTTTAATTTCCTTAAGTGTAAAGGCTGTGTCTGTCTTGGTCATTTGTTTTATGCTCCAGTCAAATATGTGACTGGCATGATGTCCAATAAGTAATATTAACAGAATATCTCTTCTTGTTCTGAAATATCTTAAGAAGACAATCTAAGCTAGGAACATTATGTGATGTACTATATCAAAATAATTATAAATTATACACCATTTTTGTTTGGTTTTTGAAGTTTTTAATTGGAAGCTAATATAAAGAGTGTTTTGTTCTGCTCTCTTTTTTTTAATCTGTTATGGGCACATAAACAGGGAATCATCAAGAATTTTCAGGAAGAGATCTGAAATCTTGGTGAAATCAAGACTGGAGTTTTCATATAATTATTAGATCATACATTGCTCCTGGCCGCCAAATGTGTTGTATTTTTAGCACAGTAGTCAGTTGTCTACCTTAAGTGATTTGAACAGATAATATCACCAACTTTATAAAAGGGGTATCGTAAGTCTTAGAAAAGCTAACAGAGGTAGAGACCTTAAAATAGGACCTAAGGCATAGTTGGCCTTCAATAATGTTAGGTATTATTATTGCTGTAAGTCACTAGAGACCAGTATGAATTTGGTTCACACTAAGGACCTCATGAAATGGGTTCAGGGCAGTTTTGATGGGAGACGAGGAAGGTTATGGCATAGAATATGATCTAGGCCGATAAGGGCTCCATGGAAAAGCTTTCAGTAATCAGGAGAAGCAAAAAAATATACCTGCTATTCACCTGGGATAGGGATGGAGCCAAAGGGTAATGGAGAGATGTTGAAATGCAGCTTGAACTACTTTACAGCCTTTCCCATGGTCATCTCTGTTAAATTCCTCTTACTGGGGAAACTTCAAGGCCTCCTGACCTGCCCTAGGGACGTAGCCTTCTTCCTCACTGTCTGTTAGCAGTAAAAGTAGAGAGGGGAACACTTCAAAGAGTCAGACTCCTGCTCAGAGCGGGAGATCTGAGAGCTGCCTCCACCCACTGGTATGATCCTCTACTCAGACAGCCAGAGATCAAAAAGACTGTCTCCAGCTGCCTGCCTCTCCATGCACACATACCAAAAAGCTAATCACATTAGCTACTTCATAAGGAATAAATTGTTATTTCCTCGCCACTCTGATTCCCCAACTTCTGTCCCTGTGCTATGGCCAGTAAACAGCTCTCTCGCTATCAGTCTTTCCAAGAATTCTGTTTTCCTTATCTGTTATGTCACAAAAGCTATTTTATCTGGGTTTAGTGACCCACGTGTGCATTACAGGGGGAAGCCACCACCTGGGAACAGTGGTTTCAGGATCTAGACATGCTTCTATCACCCATATAAAGGCCACCCCTTCTCTAGGCTCTATTATCATGATATTGCAATAAAAAACCTCCCATAGCCAAAAAAATTGAAAAGCAATTTATTACTTACTAGAAGAATCGCCAAAGGGAGAATATATTTATTATTCACAGAAAATTTTCTTAAAAGCCTCTTTCCCTTCTCATCTCTCTCACTTTCATGTCTCATAACTTTTCCAAAGTCTGACTTCTGCCTCATGCCATGGCTCCAAAGTCAGACTATACAGACTTATTTTGCTTCTCTTTCTTTTCCAGCTCAGGTTTTAAATATGCAGCCTTCTGGCATCTTCCAGTTTTCCTGTTTCCTCATTTTTTTTTAAATCCCTAGTTTACTCCTGCAGAGAAAGATGTGCCTAAAAGAGAAGCAGCACCTACCTGGAAGACTCAGGAGACAAAGAGGGAAAGGTAGGGTGAGATGGAAAACCCCCTTAATGGAACACATGTTCTTTTATTCCTTCATTCCCTCAAACCACTCTGCTGCCCTGGAGCTAGTAACAAAGAAATTAATACTTAACTAAAATGGTGAGCTATGACCTCAAGTGCATTTTTTCAGAGTGGGACACAGTGGATTATGCTCACCCTGAGGGTTATCTGAGAAGATTTCTGAGAACCTGAGAGTCTCAAATGCCTGAGAGGTGGGAGCTGCATAGAGAGGAACAGGTAATGGGTAGTAGGGGCTGTGGGAATAGGCACCCAGCCTGTGCAATTGCTGCCATGTAAGAGCAAGGTAGAAGTCAATATCAGAGTCCAGTGTGTGGCCTGAAGCAGGTGAGCTCAATTACCAAGAATTAGCAAAGCAGGGGGTTGTTAGAAACCAGATAAGAGGCCTTGGGACTGGCGTCACTCTGATGTGAGAATATCAAGGCTGACATTAGCAAGGAAGCAGATTGCACATCAGAAAAAAAAGGACCAAAAAGAGAAGAAGAGCTGCAGGCTCAGAAAGCCAGAGTATAGTGCATGGTTCCTAAGAGTTTGGCATTGACTAAATCATGGGATTCTTCTTTGTCATATATTTTTTTTACAGTTTCCTTGAGATATAGTTCACATCTCAAAATTTACCCTTTTTAAGTGACCAATTCAATGTTTTTCCTGTGAAACTAGAAATGAATCCCCAAGATTTCCTGGGCTGAGCCTAACAGGATATGAGAAGCAGAAACTTCTGGATTGTGAGAAGAAACAAAGGAAGAAGAGAGATGCTCTATAGGAGAAAAATCACAGACAATAAGTGGGGAGAGCAAGAAGACAAAGTTTTGTTACTTTAATTCACCACTCCTATCCCCAGCCACCAGTGGCCATCCTGTACTGGATTCTAAACCCAGGGCCCTAAATAAAGTTTATAGCAGGTGATTTATCTCTCTGACAGCATTTCATTCTAGGTTTAGTTGAAGTGGCCCATGAGTTAGTGAACATGCTAGATCCAGGGGAAGTTAGTATGAAGAAAATATAGTTCTTGCCCTCTAGGAACTGGCAAGTAACAGGCACTTGATAGTAGTGCATACAATAAGAGTGATCATGTGTTATGCCCTCTGTGCTTAGGGGAGCCCAGAAGATGGGCATTTAACCCTGCTTGAGGGAAGTCTTCCTGGAGAAGATATCCTTTGAATTTTCTTCAAAGTGGTAGTTACCCAGGTGAAGAAAGAGGTAAAAAGTTTCTGGATAAACTGCAATGATTTTTGATGACTGCTTGAATAATAACCTGAGGAACTTGTTTTTTAAAAGTACAGATTCCAAAGCTATGCCTTCAGAAATTCTGTTCTATAGTATGTGCAGAGGACTTGGAGGGTCTGCAGTTTACTTATTACCCCAGGTGACCCACTGCGGGTTGCCTGAGGGCCACCCTTGGAAATCTTTTGGGTAGAACGAAAAGTGAACTTGGTGCTGCTTCCTTCAGCCTGGTTAGGCTCAGCAGTCTTTCCTTGCTGACTTCGGCACAAGTTTGCTTGGGTGTGCACATCCACTTCTCAAATATAGCCTTCCTTTAGCTGCTGGCTTAGGCTGTCAATATTTTAAGATCTTTGCTGTGGGATCACTGCATATTTTTCAGGTGCTTAGCTTTTTAACTGATCTCCCCCTGGGAGTATCCAGGAAGGAGTTGTGGATCCCTTTCATGCTGTATAAGAGCTCAGTACACCTCAGGTGTATTTTCTTTCTGTTCTGAGCAGTCCAGCATCAATTTCTAACATACCGCATAGATAGAGCCTTGGTAACGATCTGGCCCCTCTGAGGTGGCTTGAAATGCTCCCATTCCGCACACAAGAAAATGAGAAACAAGCCCCAACACAGAGGTTCTAACTAACCTGGTTGTGTCAAACACTTATTTCCAACATGGATAACTGTATTCAATCTGCTTGGAAAAAATGACTGGTCCAAAAAATGGACACATCGAAACCTTGGAATTTTTAGCTGCATATCTACTGCTGTGTAGAAAAAACAGTTTCTCCTCTGTTGTCACACCAAAAGAATAAACACAGAAGACTTTTCTGTACACATGTGTGGGTTTTTTCCCCACACACCACCCACGCAATCAGTTCTGTAGTAGGCACCAGCCAGGTGTCCTCCCAACACAGTTCAACTGACACTAGCTGCTGGAGATAACATCAGATCCCACAGGTTGAGGCCTCTGTTCCTCAAGACTGCCCCTGGCTTCAGACGCCAATCACAAGCCCCAGGTTGTTTTACCTGTGCCTCTAACCGGCTATAAATTGGGGTTCCCCTCACCCCCTCTTGAGTTATAATTAATTAGTGTGAGCAGCTCACAGAACTCAGGGAAACACTGCTTTACATTGTATGGCTTACTACAAAGAATGTTACAAAGAATACAGATGAAGAGGTGCATGGGGTGAGGTATGCAGGTAGAGGCACAGAGCTTCCATGCCTTCTCCATGGGGTGTGCCATCCTCCAGGTTGTCCATCTATCTCATTGCTAGGAACACCGAGGCCTCTTAGCCATCGCCACAGATTCCAGCAGACTAGAGATTCCTCTCTGTTATTCTGATCTTGCTGACCATTATGGTCATTACATCCCCTTTGCCTCTGATGGCTAAGAGTTGCCACCTGAACTATGCCAATCTGCAATCTCATCATGCCTGTTGATACTAGGTCAACTTGTTTTTAGCAGAATTCACTACCATCAGGCCCCTGCCTACAGGGGACAGCCACCATGAGCTTCTCAATATCACTGGCTCTCCCCTCACTAATTATTTCCTTTGTGCTTTTGAGAAGGGAATCTTCTGCAGGCTTCCTGAGGAACCCGGTCAGTGAGTGCTTTGATAATAAGTGAATTCTGCCTTGCTCACCTCTATGAACCTTTTGATCCCTTCCACTATATTCTGTCAAGGAAGTTCTTGCATCTTTATCTCCTATACTATAGGGCATCTTTGTGTCCAAGCTCCAAGGAGCCATCTCAAATACACATTAGGATTATCTCCAGGGGCTTTTCCAGGACATTAAAACAAGAGTCACAAGACAATTCCCCATATTAGTAAACTCTCTTTTATTTAGCTTTACATTCTGTCCCCACCACCAGTTCAGCATCCTCAAGATCTATTACCAGCTATTTTCTCGAGGTCCCACTACAGCTCTTTGGTGGGTGATAGTGTATTTCCCAGGAAGGCCAAGCTAAAACTTGACCTTAGTGATCAGTCTGTAAGAGAGAAGGCCTACCTTTACTATTAGTCATCTACTATGGTCTGAATGTTTGGGTCTCCCCAAAATTCATATGTTAAAACCTAATTACTAACCTGATGGTATTGGGAGGTGGGGCCTTTCGTAGGTGATTAGGTCATGAGGCCTCACCTCTCATTAATATGATTAGTGCCCTTATAAAAGAGACTCCAGAGAGCTGTCATGCCCTGCTGCCTTGTGAGAATATGGTGCAAAGGTACCATCTATGAACCAGATAGCATGTCCTCATCAGACAGTGACTCTGCCAGTGTCTTTATTTTGGACTTCCCAGCCTAGAGAACTGCAAGAAGTAAATTTCTGTTATTTATAAGCCACCAAGTTTATGGTATTTTTTTATAGCATCTATCTCAATGAAGTCTTTTCCTTAGACTTCTCCAGGCAAGAGAAGGCTGCTATTCCCCATCAAGGGGAACTGGGGGCACTTCTGTGCAGAGAAATATGAGGGTTCAAGGTTCTCAAGCACATCTATTCAGATGTCCTCATCTCAGACCTCAAGTGCACCCCTGCCCCGCTTTCCATCAGGGCCTTGACTTTAGCATACGAGACTTGCTGAGGATATGAATTAGCCTTCTTTGTAACCCAGTTATTCTTAAAATCAGATATTAAGCTCAAATATTAGGTCTAATTTTGAGTACAGTCTGATACCACTAAGATAGGGGTCTCTTTCAATGCTGCCTGCAATGAAGCCCTATTGCTTTCATGAAATACATGAAAATACATGAGTTGCCTGCCCTAAGCCTATGTTTTCTTCCTCTGGAGCACTGAGGGCACCGAGCATCACCCAGAAAGCTTGTATTCATATCTCTCAAATGCTGGTGATACTAGGTAAGTCAATGTATCCCCTATCACTCAATTCATTACAGGAAGAGTCTTACTAATTTTGATGTGGCAGCATGCCAGTGGTTATCTTTATCTTCACTTACCACCACCACCGAGATCTTGCTGCCAACCATCATGAAAGCAACCCCATTTCAAGATAGCATTCTGAAAATCCCTTCCTGGAATTACATTCAGTACCAGTTTTCTTAGTTTGGGTACTCCCAGAAGTGAGAGAAATATTTGAGTCAGGTGTTTTACATGGGATATTATCTCAGGAAATATCAGTAGATAAGTAAGGAATTGAGATGTATGAGGAAAAGGAATCAACAAGAATTTGTAACCAGACACATTACCACGGTGGGTAACTGACACTTGAGTCCACTGGGACCAGTGTAGAAATGTCCCTCAAAGTGATCTTCATCCAGGGAGGAGTTGGGGAATTTGTTCTTCAGATCCCAGAAGTCACTGCTTGGGAGCTGATCCTAAGGAATGTTAATTTTCCAGCATATCAGTCCTGCTGTGAAGGTGGTCAAAGCAGGCTGTAGGAACCAGAGATGCAAAAAAATGGAGGTACTAGCAGTTTGAAGTCAGGCCAGAATGCCCCAAAGCAGTAACAGTGAAAAGGTGTGGACACAGCACCAACAGCATTTGCTGAAGGTACAGTTGGTAACTTTTATATGTTTATTTAATTTGCTGATTAAATTGCTATAGGTACAGTTAGTAACTTTTATGTTTATTTAATTTGCTGATTTAAACAATCCTGCAGGCTATCAAAAATCCATGGCAAACCTCTTGAGGTCTCTAGAATAGTAATCTGCTAAACAATATTCTTTGTCTATGTTTGCTTATCTAAGAACTACTCCCACTAACTATACATGCACCTATTCTAATTTTATTATTTTTTTCTGCAAGAATCTCTGGAGAGATAGCTGAAATCCAGACTGACTGTCTTAAATATCTCTCTGACTTACAATGCTAATAATTATACACAAACAAATATTGAATCAAGTTTGTCATGACTTCTGAAATAATTTTCCTTCTTATTACCTCTGCCTATGGGGTCATATTTAATTTAAACATTTACAATTCTGTAAACGTATATGTTCAGCCAAACCCTTGGCTTTGAGATGCCTCAAGCCTCATTGAATTTTGTATTCATGTCATTTTTCTCCAGATGAGTGGCTCATTTAGTAGAAGACAGAAAAGAAAGGTTCCTGGGATCTAGGCTTGTCTTTAACTTTAAAAAGGCTGTTACCACAGCATCCTCATTTTGAAGATGAGTCTTAGGCTCTTTCCAGGCACAACATTCTCTGAATCAATGATTTCTAGACAGTACTAAGCAGAAAAGCTACATCCCTCCAATAGCCCTGACAGGCTGTCTTGGCACCATATGGAGCTGCCTTCTAGTCCTTTCCTTGACTGTCTCATTCCTGTTCAGCTCAAGGGTAGAAATGTATGATGTTTCACTAATCACCGGAGTCACCTGACTCAGATCTATGAAATATTCTGGCTTTTTGCCATATGTTGTGTGTTATCCATAGCTAATATTTGCAGTGACTGGTGAATTTGTCTCCAACCGGCAATTTGAGGCAGAGAAGAACCGAATGAGTAAAATTGTGATTGTGATTCTTTCCTAAAATGGTTCCTCAAAATTCAATACTGTTACACTGGAAGCATGTTAATATGGATGAGAGGCTAAATCTTCCTTATCTTATTATTATAGATCCTCTAAAAAGCTAATGAAAAATGCAGTGGGAGGTCTGTACAGAAGCAGAGCAGATGGGCCAGGGAAGCAGGAACAGAACTTCTGTGTTGTATGCAGAAGATAATCTTTCACAAGGTGAGGCAGTCTCGAATGTAAAGCTATTAGGACTTCCTCTCCTTAGCTTAAGAACATTGAACTTTAGTTGCTAGAGTAGCTTCAAATAGGTTCCTGAGAACTACCTTCTCTTCACAGCTGTGTTACTATGTGAGAGACTATAGAACACAACATATTGCTGTTTAAAAAAAAAAAATAGGTTGCAGCAAGATAAAAAGTATGAGGACGAGGGTACCTTTGGTCTTAATGGCTTTTGAAAAAAGTCACCATCCTGACTCCTGAGATTATAATGGCAGATTTTGTTCTACGGCTTTGAAGGACTTCATGGTGAACAATGGATTAATTTCACTCAGTCTGGTCATTTCAACTGCCTTAATTATCACAGCATTGCTTAAACTTCAGTTTTCTTTTTAATGCCTCTTTCAGTCTGATCATCTCATGATCAAGAGGAGATATGGAGTATGTACTATTATTTGCTCAATCATTTATTAAAATTAACTTTTTATAAAAAAATTAGCCATGTCCTAAACAATAATACCCTTAAAACTGTAGGTTTGCTAAGCTAAATATAATTTCTATTAAAAAATGCGTATTTTAAAGTACTTTACATGTATGGCTTAAAGCATCATCTCTACTACCAGTGGTATGAAAGAAAGAGAATTTAGTTGTGCTTACCATACCCTTAGCCCTTTAGATACAACTGGCTCTCACCCTACCACATAGCACACTAGGAGGCCTTTTAAAACCAGGTCTGGACAGCACTGCCTCTCACAAGTGGTACTTATGTTTCCCTCCTTCATTCCAGTTATATTATTTTCGTCCTGAGTTGTATTTTCTCTGAAACAAACATTGTTCCACTCACTTACATTTCTTTACATTTGCCTGGCTAATCTTCAACAATAATAAAGATTTGCATGTGTCTTTCTTAAGTGGCAAAATGTTGACTCTTGTTTTTATCCAATCTGAGCATTTTGATGTTCTGATTTTGAAAAGTATAGATCCCTTATATGCATTTTTCTATTTTGTGTTTCTATAATAGAATACCACAGACTGGGTAAGTTATAACCAATAGAAATGTATTTGGCTCACAGTTCTGGAGGCTGGAAAGTTCAAGATCGAGGGGCTGCATCTGGGGAGACCCTTCCTGCTGCTTCATAACATGGCGGGAGGCATTCCATGGTGAGATAGCAAGAAGGAGCCGAGCTCCCTTTTACAATACTCCCACTCTTGTGGTAATGAAGTTAATCTATTCATGAGAACTCTGCCTCTTAAAGGTCCTGCCTCTCAATACTGCTGCATTAGGGATTAAATTTCTTACATATTAGCTTTGGGAGATGGTATTAGTCTGTTTTTGCATTGCTATAAATAAATATCCGAGGCTGGGTGATTTATAAAGAAAAGAGGTTTATTTTGGCTCATGGTTCTGCAGGCTGTACAGGAAGTGTGGTGCCAGCATCTGCTTCTGGCAAGGGCCTCAGGAAGTTTATGATCATGGCTGAGGGCAAAAGGGAGCAGAAATATCACATGGCCAGAGAGGGAGCAAGACAGTTGGGGAGGGAAGATGTTACACTCTTTTAAACAACAAGATGTCTCATTATTTCAGAGCAAGAACTCATTCATTATTGTGAGGACAGCACCAAGCCATTCATGAGGGATCTGCTCCCATGACCCAAACACCTCCCACTAGGCCTCATCTCCAACACCAGAAGTCACATTTCGACATGAGATTTGGAAGAGACAAAATATCTAAACCATATCAGGGACACATTCAAATCATAGTAATTTGGGTTGTTTGTAGATGTTATCTTTTTTATGTATCCTGTTTTTCACACATTCTTGCTCTTTCATTGTTCAAAATTTTCCTTGTATCTTATAGACTACTCTATGACTGAAGTGTTTACTATTTTTTAATTTTTAAAAATGTAATAAACAGATTTTGGAGAGATAGCCTTTCACTATGTTACCCAGGCTGGTCTCTAACTCCTGAAGTGTTTACTATTGTAGATCTAGCACCTAGAATGGTGGTAGGGACTTGAGAGTTAACCCATAAATATTTTCTGAGTAAATGAATGTAGTAGTAAATGCCTTTTGCACTGTGGCTTATGTTTAAATTAAATTTACCTGCTGATTATGAAAGTTTACAGCATGTTTCACCTTCTACTAGAGCAGTGGTTCTCAAATCTCAGTAGGTGTCAGAATCACCTGGAGGGCTTGTTAAACCCAGATTGCCTGGTCCCACTCCCAAAGTTTCTGATTCTATAGGTCTGGAGCATGACCTGAGAATTCGCATTTTAAACCAGATCCCAGGTGATGGTGATGGTGATGATCTGAGACACATACTTTGGGAGCCGCTGAATTAGAGATTATCTCTAAGTTTCACAGAAATCTCAAGCCTAGTTTTTTTTTTCTCTATATTTTCTAGTTTTAAGAATAATACAATAACTTTTGGCTCTTGATTATTTAAATGAAATATTTTTTAGGATTTGAAATGATCTTATTTTTCTATTTTTCTGTCTTTGGGTTTTAGATCCACATTATTGATATTATTTAACTTGAAATTGAATTTTAACTTATTTATTGATCTTGTTTTTCTTGAGTCAGTGCTGTCTAGAATTTCACTGACAAAACGAAATCCTTTCTAAAGGGTTTTTAAAAACACTTTTCATGGCATAACCATGCCTTTCCCCTGCATGGTTAGAACATTATTCCATATAGGAGTACCTTTCTAAGGGCCCTATGTTTTGTTTATTTTATTGTATTTTTTCCCCACCTTCAAGTAAGAATCCTCTCTTTATTCAGGCTCAATGATGCTAAATGGCAGTGTGATTTCTCTTTGACCACTTGAGTGATGTTAAAATCTCTGTGGCTAATCTTACACAGGAGAAAGAATTAATATGCCCAGACCTAGACATGCTCCTGAGTCTAGAAGGCGTGAACCAGAGGCAAGGATATAGCCTACTCTCATGGCCTCCCCTTTTTCATTGTAAGGAAATTCCTATATAGATGACTAATTTGAAACACTTGTCTTCTACCAGAGGCAGTATGTGAAAAACTAGTTAGCTGAACAGTTTTCATACCTTTCCCTATCTCTGCTTTCACCTTTTGTTAATTGTTATAGACTGAATTGTGTTACTTGTAAATTTATGGGTTGAAGCCTGAATCCCTGATGTGACTGCATTTGGAGATGGAGCTTTTAAGGAGGTAATTAAGATTAAATGAGATCATAAGGATGGGGCCCTAATCCAAAAGATCTGGTGTCCTATAAGAATAGGAAGACACACCAGAGCTCCTTGCCCTCTCTGTGTGCAGGCACAAAGACAAGGCCATGTGTGGACACAATGGGAAGGTGCTGTCTGCAAGGTGAGGAAGGAGGTCTCGCCAGAAACCAAGCCTCCTGGCACCTTGATCTTGGACTTCTAGCCTCCAGAACTATGAAAAATAGTTATTTAAGCCACACAGTCTGTGATATCTTCATATAGCAGATGAATACACCAACTTTGCATCTTAATATGTGATGCAGGCTTCAAGATTCCCACTCCAGCTATTACTACCCTCACTTCCTATAGTGAGATGTGTGTCCCAGGGTCTCCACGTAGCCTGTTGATAATCTCATATTTTTATTGTGCAACGTGTATTATCCAGTTGCTTTTCTCCCTATTGTTGAATTTCTGGTGAATAATTATAAGTGTTGGTGAGACTGGGAGTATGGATGGGAAGGAGTAAATATCTCTGAATGCCCTGACGTGCTACTTCTGTACAGTGGTGGATGGTTGAGAGGCTTCTTCTTTGGTAGCTTCTGATATTGGGAGATAGAGCAGATTATGTTAAAGTCTTTTCCTGCCTCTTCTGTATCTACATTGATGGGTCCCAATATTTAGCTGACTGCTCACTTTTCTCAGTCCTACTATCAACATGTGCTTAGGGTAATTCTTCTCCACAGATTGGCATTATCAGTGCTGCCAGTGCTCATTTGACATGTCCTTATAGGCATTACAAGGAATTGCGGGGGAGGATGAATTAGGCCTATATAAAATATCTACCATTATAATTTGAATGCCCCCTTCTTCCTGGATTTGGCTTAAGAGTCAATCTTGAGTGAGGATGAAGGCCCAGCTGTGACCGTGGTGGGACTCAGAATTGGAGGTCAGCCTGTGATTGGGCTTAGGGTCAATTTCTGGCTAGTATTGCTAATTAGTGTAAGCCATGATGAAACTGAACTCAGCACTTTCAACTCTAACCACCCGGGGCACCAGAAATTCCTTCACAGAATGTGCGAACCTGAAGACAAACTTGCTGGGTGTCTATGGGGATAACGAATGTAATGTTCAGTTAAAAAAAAGTTTAAAAATGCTTTTACAACACTGTGGCTCTAGAATTATCTTAGATGACTTAAATGTCATCGTACTTCTAGTCTTTATTTCTATTCAGAAGCTTCTCTCAGTTCAGCAAACCCAAGTGACTAGGAAAATAAAACGTAAGGTAGACAGAAAACCCAGGTTTCCTCAGACGCTCCTGAGGTAAGGAGACATATCTAGCAAACAGAGCCAGAAGAATTTGTTTTGCTTGATTACAGCACCCATTGATTTTACAAATGCTCATGTGTTGTGGTCATGTCCAGAAGACTCACAGATTTGCTTCATTCTGTGCAAGGAGGGAGCTATTGAGTGGGAGAGAGACCGTGGGAGAACACTTCCTTGAGCTGATAGTAATGAGGCAAGGTGGGTGAGGCCTTTCTTGGTTGCCAGATTCAACAACAGTCCCACTTAGAACACCTTCCACCCAACACCCATGGCAAGCTGGCCAGCTTCAAGTGGAAGAGAGGCTCTGGTGAAGGGCTTCCCTTATTTTCTTGTTGATTCTGGGGAATGTTATCTAAGTCAGAAGTGACTAAGTGGGAAAACATCTACCAGAGGTATTGGCAAGTGGAGAAACTCCTAGGTAGCATCTGCTCCTATCTTTACTTTCTCATTTTGGAAAATACATTTAGCCCTAATGTAATAGTTTCTTGCACCCAAACTGACCAAATAAAGCTGCTTAAACATAGCATTGTCTCTTATCTATCTGCATAGGCTGGGGCCCAGACCATCTCTTGGTAAGTGTGCCAAGTCTGTTCCCAGAGTGTTTTGGTTCTTTTGTGCATTCTTCATGTTCCTTCTCAGTCCACCACCAAAGCCCTGACTGCAGCTGTGGTTAAAAGGTCACTCTGACAATCAGTGGGGTGGGAAGAGCTGCAGGTAGGCAGCCTGCACAGCCTTCTCACAGCCTTGCCTTCATGCTCTGTGCCCTCCACCTCACCCCTGGGCCCCCAACTCAAACTTGTCCTGTACCCTATCTCCTGCAGGATCCTGGGCGTTCCTGGCAATAAAATCATCCTCAGCTGTGTGTGCCTTGGAAGTTAGTGACTAGTGGGTTTCGTGGTTATTCAAGGTACACATGGCCCTACCCACACTAGGACTTTTGGCTGATTCATCTCAGATTCTTTTCCTGTTCACCTCTGAATGGGTTCTTTCTATTGATTCATACTTGAGGTGGGATCTGCACCTAGCTCACTCGGTTTCTGTAATTCTTAAGCTTTATTCTTGTAGCTCAGTTCAGTCTTTGTTATTTGGAAGTTGAGGAAGTAGGTGTGTGTTAGGAGGGGGTGGAGAAGTAAAGTAGGCTGATATGCCCCCTCATCTGCTCAGGAATCTAAGCAACAGGGAGAATAAGCACAGAAAGCATATAGCCAGATGGGGATCAATTCATTAGTTTTAATTATTAGTCAGTCAAGTACAAATAGCCGATAAAATACTGGGCTCCCTGATATAGCTGATTTCGTAGAAATAGGGATCTGATCACTCTTCCCCAGTTCTTAAACTTAGGACTTGTCAGTTTAGATAGCTCTGTTGTCTGGGAAACTCTTAATCGGCCAATAAGCTCTTAGGGTCATGCGTTTCACACCTGGAACTGGCAAAATTGAGACAACAAAAGATTAAAATATAGGCCTCACTTATCTTTAACTTGGAAAAACTGAAACTCACTGCATGCTCCATATTCGGTACAATCAGATTCGTTTGCCTTTTTTTTTTTTTTTTTTTTTTTTTTGGTAGAGGATTTGGCCTTGGCTTCATGGAGTCCTCCAGACCCTCCTCCCTGTAGGCCTAGGTGCACAAGTTCCCCTTCCATGTAGACAGGAGGACTTGGAGTAGAAATATTGGCCTTTGTTTCAAAAGCATTGAGCTTAGTCCTGTATTTTTCTTCCTAGTCTGCCACTTCTTCCTGGTCTGCCACTACTTGACATCCTCCAGTGAGCAATCTATTTTCTCTGAAAAACATTTTTTCCATTTTATCAAAGATATTTTAGAGACAACACTTTCACAAATAGAAGAGAGCTCCAATCATTGAGATTTCCAGTCTTATCTGTGCAGGTCTGGTGAAGGACATACAGATAGAAGCATCAGTAATAACAGTACTTTACAGATTCAAGTCCAGAGCTCTAAGATTTTCAAAGCGCTTTCATGCCATCATTTTATTTCATCCTTCAAGAGCTCTGCCAGTTGTATAGAACAGGTAGCTCTGTTTAGCAGGTTCACATAACTTGAGGGGAACTGCCCAAGGTCGCATGGATACAAAATGACCAAACCAAGAATAGAATCCAAATATTCTAATTGCTTCAAGAGACCAGTTTTATAAATTGCTTCATGCTTCACTCTACTCCCCATGAAAAAAAATTCTGCTTGGCATTTGTATGGGTTGAATTATCCACCCCCTGCCCCTCATCAAATGATGATATATTGAAGTCTTAACCCCAGTAGCTCAGGATGTGATCTTATTTGGAAATAGGGTTGCTATACAGGTGAAGTTAAGTTAGGATGCATTAATACTGGAGTAGTGTGGGCACCTCATCCAGAATGACTCTTCTCCTGGTAAGAAGATGGCCATGTGAAGACAGAGGCAGAAATTGGAGTTAGACATCTAGAAACCAAGGGATGCCAAAGATTGCCAAAGAAAGACTGGAAGCTAGGAGGGGGCAAGGGGGATTTGCCTTCATGTTTCAGTGGGAGCATTGTCCTGCTGACATCTTGATTTTGGATTTCTAGCTTTCCACAACTATGAGACAATAAATTTCTTCTTCTTTTTTTTTTTTAAGCCAACCAGTTTTGGTGCTTGGCAGCCCTGGGAAACTTGAACAGCCATCATACAAGAGCCTCCCGGTGACAGTTCAGAACAATTTGAGTCCCTTCATATTCCTTCTCTTCCTCTCAATTACTTGTTCTTTTAATCTTCTTAAATCCCATTTTACCTTTTGATAGACTCTGTGATGTATTCTTGGAGTGGTATGGTTCCACTTTCTTCTTTTTTTTCTTTTTCCTATGACTTCTTTTGAAATCCTGCTCATTTTTCAATATTTTATTTAAGTACCACTTTCCCTATGAAGTTTTTTTTTTTTTTAACCTACTTTCTCCCTTCCTCTGCCATTGCTTGTCATTTAGGGCATTATCACTCTTACAACAATCACAGTCAGAGTTCTATTAAAGTATTATTTGTGTGTCCCCTGCTTTCTCCAACTAAACCAACAAGCAAGCAAACAAATGAAACCTGGGTTATCCTTAAGTGTTTTCTGTTTCAGTTCTCTGTTTTCTGGTGTTGATTGGGCACAGTGCTTGGTGTGGAATAGGGAGAACATAGTGGCATCTAGTTGCATCAGGTTGCTTAGAAGCCAGAAACTTCAGCATGCTATTTTTGGTTGTGTATATGTGTGTCACATGGATTATTCTTAACTTTTACTATGGACATTTTCAAACATATACAAAGGCAAAAAGGAGAGTAAAGTGAACGTCCACGTATCAGCGGCTGAAACAATCTTTAACTTACGGTCAGTCTTGTGTCATCTCCGCTTATCCTCCTAGATCAGATTACTTCGAAATAGATCCAGAACCTCACCTTATTCCATGAGTAAATACGTTTATCTTTTTGTAGTTTGTGTGCTTTTCATATGAATGATGTATTACAAATAAAATAATATCATATCAACTAACATTTTCTGAGCACACTCTTTGTGCCAGCCACTGTGCAATAACATTTTATCTCATTTAATCTTGAAACTTTCAAACAATTAACTATTATTATCATGATCCTCATTTTCCAAATGAGAAAACTGGGGCTTAGAGAGACTGGTTACTACAGATTGAAGAACTGGGCAGTGACTGAAGCATTTACAGAATCCAGAGTGCTGACTCACGGGACATTGCCCCTTCTACTCCCAGGAGTAACTCGGACAGGAACGTATGCTTGAGCAAGTAGTGGATGAGATCAATACAAACTTGTTTCAGTATTACTTTCAGATCAAATGGGTCATAACGTGTGCATTCAAAACATAGTACTCTGCTGAAATTAAATAGTGATTCTTAGTTTTCTCCTCTGATGCTGGTGTCATAATCTGGTGTAATCACACAGCTTCACTGTGTTTTAATTATTTGATTTACTCTCTCATTTATTCATTTCATAGTCATTAGTGACTGTCTGCTATGAGTCAGGCACTGGAGATTCAAACATAAATGATGGACAGCCCCTGAGCTGGAGGAGGGGCTGAGTTATATCTTTATTTAAAATTTGTTAATGGCTTGTCAATGAACACAGAGAAATGTCCTTAATTGTAAGTTGGAGTTGTCGGGGTGAGGTGGCTGGAAAGAGTCTCAGGGAATTGATGATCTGTGTGTTTCTTCCCCAGCATCTTTGGCTCCCAGACATTTGGAGGTGAGTGACAAGGACCTTCCTCTCCCAATTCATCTCCTTTGTCTTCCCTTCACAGCACCAACTAATAATAGTACTAAGAGCTGACGTGGTAGTTGGCTTGTTTTCACTCTTGCCATGTATTTATTTATTTAATCTTCATAATAACTCCATGAGATAATTGTGAGTTTTATCTTCATTTTACAGCTTATGATACTCTGATGAACAGAGTTTAAGGTACCAGAATGGCAGGCTTAGTGGCTTGTCTCCAGAGCCTTTCTTCTCAGCTGATACAACACACTTGTCTGGAAAATTAATTTGCTCTTGACTTTGAGGAGCGTTAGGTCCCAAACCCTTAGTAGAATGTGGAATAAAGCTAAGAAACTTTCCTCATTTAATTATGTGAACGTTATCAATTGTCAAATCCCATATTTATGTATGTCTGATTTTAAGCTACACAAGGTGAATTTAAATAAACTTATGCATACAATATTACAAGAGTTAGGCTACTGTATGAGTCCTGAATGCACCAAGCTATTCCAGCTTCCTTCTGGAACTCCCTCTGCCATTTAGCCTTTCCACCACTCTTCTTTTGCTATGTTCCAGTCTTTTATACCTCAATCCCCTGATTCTTCCACGACCACCTCTCCAGCTACGATACTATCCTTTCTTTGTGCCATTACCCAATATACACATGCCTCAGTTGTAACTCTGCCATGCTGTACTTGTCTTATTTGTTTCACTTTTGCTCTCTATTCGAAAGATTGAGAGCTGATGTCTTATTTTCATCATGCAAAGTACCAGTAATGTACCATGTATAATTTACCTTCTACTTAGTAAATTTGGGAGCTCTGAATTGGAATCTGAACAAACATTCACTCTGTTCTGAAATATGGCAACTTTCCATGGTTGGAAAGAATAATTAGCAAAGTCATAAACAAGAATCATGGTTTTGATAGATGATGATGCTTAGCTGAATCTTATTCATTGATTACAGGAAATAACATATTAACTGGGATCCTGCAGTAAAATGCAACTTATAGAAAATACATATAATTCTACTTAAAATTACCTGGGATCTTAAGAGCTTGAGGAAAATTTGAGGCCATATAATACAGAGATTTCCCAAACCGGTTACACATTAAATCACTTGGGAAGTTTATTTCTAATGCATTTTCCAATACCCTCTCTCAGGTTCTGGTAAGGCCTTAAGATCCACCAGGGTGATTCTGCTTCAGCTAAACCATGGACTACTGTTTTGGAGGCAGTGCTCTAATGCATCATCCTTGCCCCTACTCTACTAGGCTGGTAACTCTTTCTAGTAAATGTGAAACTTCAAAGGATTTCCTTCCTATTTGTGGGCGCTAGGCACTTTAATAAAGGTAGGATATCTTATTTAATCCAGATAAACAATGTTGTCATTTACTTTCATTTTATTTTAAGTCCTATTTTGATTAAAACTTTAGTAAGTAAATTACAGCATTATTTTTCTGGGGCTATAAGTTGCTAATTCATGGGCTTGCTTACTAGTCTTTTCACTGCCTGTATTAGTCCATTCTTGCATTGCTATAAAGAAATACCTGAGACTGGGTAATTTATAAAGAAAAGAGGTTTAATCGACTCACAGTTCTGCAGGCTATATAGGAAGCAAGGCTGCATCTGCTTCTGGGGAAGCCTCGGGGAGATTTTACTCATGGCAGAAGGCGAAGCAGGAGCCAGCCCTTCACATGGCTGGAACAGGTGGAAGAAAGAGAGTGTAGAGGGAGGTGCTACACACTTTTAAACAACCAGGTCTCATGAGAACTGACTACACAGTACCAGGAAAGGATGGTGCTAAACCATTCATGGGAACTCCACACCCATGGCCCAATCTCTTCCCACCAGCCCCACCTCCAACACTGGATATTACAACTTGACATGAGATTTGGGAGGGACACAGGTCCAAACCATATCACTGCCAATATTTATTTTGCAGACATTCCACTTTGATCTGGGAAACTGAAATATAAGTAATAGAATTAGTCCCAGTACAATTTACTTTCTGCCCTACAGAGGGTAATAGGATCCAATAGTTCCTGGTTTGCAAGGTACCATTGTGATCCCCAAATAAATCTTGAGCATTTGCAACAAGTGGTTATCCAGAGAGTGCTTGATCTTACTTAAAAAGTCCGTGGGAGACGGTTCCATCTGAGGCCAACTCTAATTATTAGAAAGTTCCTCTTTGAGATAATCTATGAGCTGTCTTCCAAAACTTCTGTATCTTGGTCCCAGTCATTCTCCCAAAGGAGCCACAAACTATACATGTACTGTTTTTCTTACAGGACAGCCAAGCCATTCAGGCACTGATGACAGCTAACACACTCTGTTGGCTCCAGTCATAAACTCTATCACCGACAAATACACATGCTCTTCTTTTATTCCCAGTAAAACAAGTAGCAAAATGATCAGAAATGTCAATTATCTTATCAATAAAGGCAGACATCACTCTTGCCTTAAAACAGTTTGGACAAATGAATATAAATGAAGTTAAGTTCTGCGGCATAAAGGAAAGATGGTTCCTTCCTTGCTGTCCCTCTGTTTCCCTCCACCAGAATAAGCCCCTTGGGCAACCAATGTCCATTATCAGGCCTGAAATCACTAGACACTGCTGAACCGATTTGGGGTTCCTGGCAGCCTACCAGAACAGTAATATAAGTCAAGCTGTTTGAAAGCTCACCAAATTGTAATATTAACCCTGGAAGATAGATGCAGGCTGATTTGCAAATCTTATTTTGATCATTAACATGCACCAGTGAGAGAAAACAAACAGTAGCCTTTCCCTGCACATCTATTTCTTGTTTGTCCATGCTAATTAGTAGAATTTGCACAAATACATAAAAATCCTGTGTGTTTTTCAATGTATTCAGAGCTCATTTCTCATTAACTTCAGCAAATATTCCAACACTGCACAGAGATAACTCACCCTCTTTGACCAGTCCAAGCCCAGGAGCAGAAGCATCCCATCTCCCTGTCTTCTATTTATGGGTATATGGAATTAGAGCATATATCAGGCCTATGAGGAACCTTACAATTCATCTGACTAGCCACCTTTGTTCACAGATTGAGAAATTGAGACAGAGAAGTTAGGCTGTCCTAAGCCACACTCCCAGAACCTGGGTCTCCAGAATAAGCAAATGAGAATATGCTTCCATGACAGTGGCACTAAGGAAAGGCTTTATAACATGTATTACCCTAATGTTAACATGCTCCACCCTTACTTTCTCTTTATTAAATGCTGAGAGAAGAGAACTAGGAATTGGTATTAAGCCTATATAGTGATTAAAAGCATGGGTTTTCCATCACAGTGAAGTGGATTTCACTGCCAGCTCTCAACCAAATTAAAGTCCACTAAAAAAAAAAACAGTTGATAATAAGCAAGACAGCTTTCAAAAATGGGAGTAATGGGGGGGCATGTTGATATACCAATTATAAAATGCATTACAAACTTATCACAACATTAGTGTAATAGAAATAGAGTGCTGCTGGCTCAGGAATCTACAGCCAGTTTCTATGCATAAAAAAAAAGGCATAGCCCACCTTAGATGAATATAAACCTATATGACTGTGTATGATTAAAAAAACTTACAAATGAAGCTCGAATTACTCAGGAAATGGTCCTGGGAAATTGGCTAAGTGAAGGGAAAAATCAAGTTATACCTAAATCAAGTTATACCTATACATTGTACATTAAAAATAATTCTAGTTATATCAACAATTTTAATATTAAAAGTTAAAACCATATAGAAAAACCACAAAACCAGAGGTGAAGATTTTACCAATCTCTGAATGGGAAAAAGATCCAAGCATAAAATTATTAAACAAATTAACAAAATAAATGAAATATTTTATTACAGAGAAACTATACCTACTGTATGAAAAAAAAAAATCTCTTCCAAACATGCTCTTTTAACTTGAGGGACTGTTTCAAACTTGATCAGAAGTCAAGCAGTCTTTTTTGTAAACACACTCTTTATCCCTCAAGATGTTCCCATTTTTACCTCTATATTCTTGCAGAGCTGATAAGCTGAATGCATTTCAGGCATAAAGATAAGGTGTAAAGGGTCAGTCTGGGTAGAGAAGAATGTAAAGATCTGATCTCCACCTGTGCAGAGCCCCTTTCTGGTGTGTTTGATCTGTGTTGAATTCTTGATATCTATTCTCTGGCCTCTGACAGCTGACCAACTGAGAGCTGAGACTGTGTATTATTCCTGCCCCAGACCACTTCCATCATATTTTCCATATTTCTGGTGTACGCCGCAATCAGTGGCGGTTTAGTATATATTGCTGTATAACAAATTATCCTCAAACTCAATAGTCTCAAACAACAAATTTTATTTCTGTGGATCAGAAAGCAGGTCATGGCTTAGGTGGGTCCACTGGCTCAGTGTCTCTTACAGACTGCCACCAGGGTGTCAGCCAGGGCTGCAGTCATGTCCAGGCCCAAGTTGGGGAGGACCCAGTTCAAAGCTGACTCATGTGGTTGTTGGTAGGACTATAGGCAGACCTCAGGTCTTCATCGGTTCTTTACCATGTGGGCCTCTGAATAAGATTGATCACAACATGACGGCTGGCTTCCCCGAGAGTGAGGACTCCAAATGAGAGAGAAAGCAAAAGAGGTCCCTATGTTCTTTTATAACCTAATCTTGGAAGTGACATTCCATCACTCTGCTGTACACTATTGGTTAGAAGTGAGTTACTGAATCCAGCCCATACTTAAAGGGAAAGGTTCACACATGGGTGTCAGTACCAGGAGGTGAGGATGAGTAGGGTCCTCTTAGAGGCTGACAATCACAATAGCTGTGGTCCTCTGAGGGCTCTGCCCCATGCTGTTCCTGGTTCATGGTGCATTCCACAGCTCCAGGCAAGTAGGGAGACCCTGCAGCAGAAACAGCAGGGTTTTTTGAATCATGGATCAGTAACAGAGCATAAACTGGAAGTGGCTGCAGCCTGCTTCGGAAGCGCAGGTACAATGCAATGAGGTAAAATCTCAACACTCCTCTTGCTGACCACATCCCAAAAATGGGCATCTGGGGCCTTGGTGGCATTTCAGAGGAGCAGAGCTGAGCTGAACTGAACTGTACTGTGGTTTGTTCATGATAAAACAGATGGCATCAAACAGAACCTGTAGGAAGTGCCAGATTTTAACCATTACTACGGAGACATAGTACTTTGATCTCAGAGTAAATCATTTTTTTCCCAAATAAACTCGTTTGCATTTAGAAAATGAGCCTGGGGTAGTTATTTTTATTTTCGTAAACCCAGAGGAGCAACGTCTACACACATTGGACCTGAAGCCAAAAATTCAAATGTCTTTGGGACCAAGCGAGGGTGAGTTGAGCCAAGTGAGAGAGAAAACAGAGCAGAAGAAACCATGAGGATGCAGAGAGGCAGACCTAAATAAGGCATTCAAATGTAATACAAAGCAAAACACAGTGCATACCAAATAAAATATGGCTGTGAGCTGAATATTGTCTAAAGAGTGCCAAAATGTGAGTCCACAGGCCTAGCAGGAAGAATAAAATTCATAAACCAGATATGTAGCAGATATCCCAGAGACTCCTCAACAGGGCTTTGAGATAGGGCCATTCTTACGCAAATCCAGAAAAGCTACCTGTCTCGCTCAAGGGTAAAGGGAGTTGTGGCTAGAACTGAAGCCTCCTACCTCTGAGTCTAGGACTCTCTGCATAAAAACTTAAAATATTTATATTATTTCTGATCCTGGCACCTCAGCTGATACAACCCTTTCCAAGTAAACCCAGTAATTACAGAGGTGGAGCAGTATAGTTATGAGTCTGCAAGGGACCAAGTGGCTTCCCAGGCAAGTGTGCATACAGGATCCTCACTGTGAATATGCTGGAGCCCAACATAGAGACAGATCTTAGGAAAAGGCTTGCTTTTTGAGGGTTTCTGTAGACCTAAGTCTTGTTGAACAATAGAAATGCCTAAATAGGCTACAAACAGGCCATAATTCCCTACTAAATGACTTACAAGGGCTCAGGGTGGAAGCATACCTAATCTTCATTGCAAAGGGTGACATAGAGGCTAAAACAGACAATCCTGGGCAGTGTGTGGCAGTACTAGGCAGCTTTTCTAACCATCAAGGCTGATACCAGTGCAGTCAATGGGATGTAGCATGCTCAGGAGGAATTTTCATCATTAGCCTTGTTGATTATGGAACACAGCAGTAGCAAATGTAGCTGATACAAAAACTCAGGAGTCAGGCAGATGCAGTTCAAAGTGTTAATTTCTTATCAGAAGACCCAGGATGGGGAAAAAGCACCAATTTTAAAAACAAAGTAATGGCAAAAGTTAGTGGGGTAGCAGGGACCCATACTATTAGGAGAAGGTGAATGTGAGCTCCTAATCTAAAGAGGGGACTAAACATCTAAGTGGGAAAGCTGTTGGAAACTATGCAAGAAGAAGGTCTAATTCTCTGTATGGAATAAATAAAAAGAGAGTAAAATCAGGTTAAAAAGGGATGCAAAGACTATGTAATTCCAAAGTCTACAAACAAATACTCCAACTCACTGCCTCAAGTAGGCTTGAGTTAATAATTGGTTTAGGGTCAAACAGCACAGTTAGGAGCATTGGTGGACCTAACGGCTAAGGATTGAGGAAGGCTTAGGATACATTCAGGAGTTCCCATTGCATTTTGGAAGCTCCAAAGAAAAGCCCAGGGAAAGTTGGTAATCTTTCTGAAGATTTGAGTTATAAGACTCAGTCATTAGAGTATATAATTTGATTAACGTCCAGGTGATGTGATACATTCTGAGGTCACTCCTGGCTCCAATGAGAACTAACTCCAAATAACTAAGCCCAGCTCAAGGGACAACCCTTTTAAGTGCTATTAGATAGTATGTGGGGGAAATGGTAGAGATGATAGCGACTGATACTAATATTAAGAATAGAAGAATGAAACACTGGATTTATTGATGAAAAAATATGATGATAGCTAACATTTATTAGGCATAAATTAGCTATGTGTCAGGAGTTTTCATGCATTGTGTCTATTTAATCCTGTCCACTATATATTATTATTGCCATTTTACAGATATAGAAGCTGAATCCTGGAATATTTAGGTAACTTTTCCAAGGATTCACAGCTAATTAGAAGAGATGGGACTTCAAATTAGGACTGTCTGACTCCAAAGCCTGTGAAATTAACAGGTCCACATTAGAGCAGAGAGTTAATTGGTTCCCTGTGGTGGCTCTAGCCCAAGGCATGCTAAGTAACTCTGTGTTGAAAAACTGATTTGGGAACTGTAGATAGGGTGCTGAAATAACTGAAAGACGAAAACATTTAAAAGGGAAGGGAAGGGAAAAGCCTGGGGTTAAGTGTCTCATTCATACACATACAGCCTTGCTGTATTCCTGCAAAGCAGAAAGAAGCTTTCCTGCTTGGTACAAAGCTACATGAGTCAATCCAGTGCTATGTATCATTGCCAGGGTTGATGGGGGACAAAAGGAAGCCCAGGCCTGATGCACACCTTGACTCACATAGGGCTGCCAAGGTCCAGGCTAGTGAAGACTGGCAAGGCCAGTCAGGAGATGCAGATGATATGGCATTTATTTATTAAGCACAGACTACGGGGCAGGACCACTACCAAACCTCTTCTAGGCCTGCACTCCTCAATATGGTAGCCCCTGGATACATGTGACCATCCAGCACTGGAAATGTGGCTGGTCTAAATTGAGATGTACTTTAAATAAAAAGACATACCAAATTTTAAAGACCTAGGAAAAAATTATATTAAAAAACTCATTAATAATTTTTATATTATATATAGAAATTATACTTTTTTGATATATTAGGTTAAATTAAAATATTATTAAAAATAATTTTACCTGTTTCTTTTTACTTTTGTTTTTAACATGGATGGCTACTAAAATTTTAAAATAACATGTGTGGCTCACATTTCTGGCCTGCATTATGTTACCAATGAATAGCACCGGTCAAGACATTGCCTTGAAGGTCTCAGAAACACTATGAGTCAATTCATAATTATAAATTACAAATGGTAAAAGCAAGGCTCTGAGACAGTATTTCTGAGACAGATTTTCCAATGCCCCACTGGTCGGAAATAAATACAGGCTCTGACAAACTCCTGTAGGCTGCCCTGTGTGAATTTCCTATAGCTGCTGTAACAAATTATTACAAATTTGGAGGCTTAAAACAACACAAATATATTTTTTCATAGTTCTGGAAGCCAGAACTATGAAATTACTTTCACTTGGGATGAAGTCCAGGTGTAGACATGGCCGTGCTCCTTCTAGAGGCTCCAGAGAAGAATTCATTTTCTTGATCTTTTCAGCTTCTAGAACTGCATTCCTTTGCTCTTGCCTTCTTCCTTCATCTTTGAGGCCATCAACATGGCATCTTCAGATCACTTTCTGCTTCTGTCAAGTCACCTTCTTCTATGCTCAAATTTACTTCACCTTTGGGCCCACCTGGCAAATCCAGAATAATCTCCCTATCTCAAGAGTCTTAGCTTAATCACATCTGCAATGTCTTTGCCATAAAAATGTTGCTATTGATAATAACTGACATTATTGGTTAGTCATAGGTTGTATTTCTAGAGTCCTCTCCTCTTCTTAATCTTTTTCAAGATTAACTACTATTTGACAAGTATTATGCTAGAATTGCAGACAAAAAAATAATCAGGACACAGACCTGTTTCATTAGTAAAGGAGAAAACATGTAAATAACTAATTGCAATGCTCCAAAATAAGTGCCCTGATGAAGGTATTCACATCATTATAGTGGGACAAGAGCTGCCTCGACAGCAACTTAAATGTGGTACTTTCAAGCTCTTCAAAATATTTTCTCATGTTTATTTCATTTGATACTTGCAAAATCCCATGAGGCTAACAACTCTTATGTAATTCTAAAATTATTCAAATTAACAGTTAAAAGTAAGGAAAAGAATTCCACAATGCATGTTGGGCTGGGGGAGAAACTAGCGATATGAAGTGAGTTGTGTGAATTTTTCCAGGGTAAGTCAGTGGGAGATCACACTGGGGTCTTACGACTCCTTGTCTACAATTCCTCCCACATCCACAAGTGGTTCCTAAAAGCTGTCTCTGCCTAATACAAGATACTGAGCATGCCATGCTACATCTATGCCACGCCTGCCGGTTTCTGCAACAGCACTCAGGGTTTACTGAATACTCTATCCTGTGAGTGATTCATGATGCAAACCAAAGGCCATGAGCCCTAGCTTTCAGGTCTCCAGGATGCTGTAAATTAAGACGTCCAACTATGGACTCTTCTCTCTCTTCTTTCAGATGTTCAGTTATTGTACATCCTCTACTTCTACCTCAGATAGAGCTTGAATAGTCAGAAATTAGCAAGTATGTTGCCAAAGAAATCATAAAAACTTCCTTCTCTTTCAAGCTCATGGGCTCAATTGTTATTTCTTTCCTCACTATTCAAGGAAGAGAAGTGCTATTCATCATCACACTTAGTGTGGGTCCTTAATTTTATAAAATCAAACCAACAGAATGCTGATATGTAAACCTGCCTGAACCACAATTATCACCTGAAACCATAACTTTGATGTTTATTGGGTCTTCCCTATGTCTCATTCCTTTTGCCCTTTTCATTCCTGTCCTTGAACAAAAAGACCTCTAGGTCCCACTCCTGGAGCTAGAAGTGTTAATAAAGGAAAGAAAGATACTGACAGCTAATTCCTGTGGACTTGCATGACAGTTTCGCAGGTGGTGGGAAAACAACCTAAACCTATCATATACAGAAAATGCGTGGCATAGAATCTCAGCTGCAAAATACAGAAAATGAAAGGGACTCAGGACAGGAGGAAAATTAAGCAATACTAACAGGATAAAAAACCATTTTGTAGCAATAAAAAATGAAGTGGTGTACCCTGGTCTGGACCTTCCTAGTGTCCAGATAGAACTATAGGTCATAAAGGCTGGAAGAAATTTGAGAGACCGTCTTGTCCATACCCTCAAGTAAGTGTAGAAAATGAGACCCAGCAATGGTAAAAGACTTATTCAAGAAGTACAAAGCTGGGATTAGGACCCTAGATTCATATTTCCCAATCTTGAGCTCTTTCCACAAAATCAGACTCCACTTCCAGAGAAATTAAAGTTTAGAGAAAATCACTTATCTCCATAAAGCAATAATCAAAGTATTCAGCATAATGATGGATGCTAAGAGACAGCCTGGATTCGAATCTGAACACCAGAATGAAGAAGCAGGCTGGGTTTGGTGGCCTCTCTGAGCTATAAAATGCCTTGAGGCTTTCCCTGACTGAGTCCTGGGTTTTGGGATGAGGTCCCTGTCATCCCTGACTGTGGAGAGAAGATACAGGGACAGGGTCTCAAGACCAGGGTTTGCACCTGAAGCTCAAAACATTAGGAAAGACATTTGGGGCTGGGACCAGACAATGCAGGAGCATCTTTCCAGCACTAAAATATCTCTTAGAATATAAGTCCAATCCATGGTTATTTTCATGATCCTCTCAGTGATGTAAATCAGTGGGACTGAAAGGATATGTAAGCCACAATTTTATTTCCAGAGATGAAAACAATTTTAATCGGACTGAAATGCACCATACCAAAGCTAAAGTGAGTCCTTGCATGATTCCTAGAGTAGAGCTTCCTGGGAGGGTCTGGGTCCAGGCCCATCCTTGGGAAGGTGCAGAGCTCACAGACTCATTGCAAAAAGAAAGTAGTATATGCTGGTATCTTATTCATTCCTTTATTTTTGGAGATGGAGTCTAGCTCTGTCACCTAAGCTAGAGTGCAGTGGCACGATCTCAGCTGACTGCAACCTCTGCCTCCCAGGTTCAAATGATTATTGTGCCTCAGCCTTCTGAGTAGCTGGGATTACAAGCTTGCACCATCATGCCTGGCTAATTTTTGTATTTCTTGTAGAGAAGGCATTTCGCATGTTGGCCAGGCTGCTCCTGAACACTGGACCTCAGGTGATCTGCCCGCCTCTGCCTCCTAAAGTGCTGAGATTATAGGCGTGAGCCACTGCATCCGGCCTTGATGCATTTCTTTAAGGAAAGAAATCCTATGTAATTTGCACACTGATTTCTTTCCTTTTTTTTTTTTTCTTGAGATGGAGTTTCACTCTTGTTGTCCAGGCTGGAGTGTAATGGTGTGATTTCAGCTCACTGCAAACTCCGCCTCCCGAGTTCAAGCGATTCTCCTGCCTCAGCCTCCGTAGTAGCTGGGATTATAGGCACATGCCACCAAGCCCAACTAATTTTTGTATTTTTAGTAAAGATGGGATTTCACCATGTTGGTCAGGCTGGTCTCAAACTCTTGGCCTCAGGTGATCCACCCGCCTCAGCCTCCCAAAGTGCTGGGATTACAGGTGTGAGCCACTGTGCACTGCCTGATTTCTTTACAGATAACTATCTCTAAATGCTATATTGCTAGGTTTTCATACATTTATTCAACAAATATGTATTAAAAAAGAACAACATAATGAGCTCTGCTATAGCTGCAAGAGACAGCAGTGAACAAAGTCAGTGAAATCGCTGCTATCATGGAGCTTACATGTTGTGTCTCCAGTCTATCAAAAGTGATGGGTTTGCATGAACCCTGTGAATGCCCATGCCTGTCTTTCTACATGTTTACTATGCTAGGACTTCCTTTCCTCCCCATAGCTTCTGTGGGTAGCTGCACAAACATCCTCAGCATGAATTTACACAAACTTAGTGCCTGTGTTCAACAAAACTCGCCAAACAAAACAAGAGCCAGAAAACATAATAAAAACAAAAACACAATAAAAGCCAAGTAAATTATTTGTCTGTGTGTACATGATTAGCATTCAAGGGAAGAGCACAGTGTTGGATCAAATGCTGCACCAAACATTTGTCTATAATGTACACATGAAACCTTTGTCCACACAGCAGCAATGAGACGGAGAGAGACCAGAAGAGGTGGTATTAAATTGCAGGTGGAGTTCTGGGTGATAGTTTTGAGGAAGAGATCAAATGAGAAAATATGTAACTTACATGGAAACAATTCACCTACAGACAATATAAAAGCAGAACGGTCTCCAAAGTCCACAAAGAAGATGAGGCCCAGAGTAGGTGAGTAATTCCCCAACATAAGGAAGGGCAGGGAGAGAAATGGATGAGCTAGGAGAGGGCATAAAACAGCAGTGAAATTAGTGCCTCAGAGGGTGCCAGGGTTAACATCACCCTCTTGCCACATGCTCAGACCCTGCTTTCTGAAAAATAACAGAAAGGAAAGGTATAAGCAGCTGCTATACCTTGGCAAGTGGAACACGGAACTATCAGAGACAAAACAAATTTCCTGTTGCAAAAATGTGCACTCCCACATGGAAAGGTTCTCTCCTGCCTCCTTTCTTTTGCTCCCATTCTGTTCCCTATTCCCTTTTCCTATTCCTTACCCCTTCTCCCTTCCCTCGGTTAATCTTAACTTTTGGGTTCAGCTTAAAGGGGACTTCCATAGGAAGACTTTTCCTGATCCTCAGTAAGATTCCAGTTAAAAGCACCTGTAGTGCTCTGCACTTCTCCTTCAAACAATGCATTATGGTTAGAATTAGTTATTCAGTATTTTTCCACGCTTTATGTTTCAGGAAACGTATTTGTGTTTTCACCACCACAATCCTAATGCCTGGCAAATACCTGGTACGTGGAAGGGGCTTAACAAGCTTCGTTGCTAAAAATGAATAAATAAGGAGCAAGAGTTTGAAACAGGACAGGGGCGAAAGGAGGAAACATTCAGATCCTGTGACCCCTCCCTTCAGAGAATATTAGTGTCTCTCTGTAATACTGCAACAACAAATCTATAGTAACTACTGCACACTATGCCCTCTATAGTAAAACATACTGTTTAGAAAGAAGTACTTTTTTTACAAGTTGAGACAACTCTGACTGAAAAGCTTTAACCATGATGGGATAGTTCCCTTAACTACAATTTCCTCTGCCTTAATGTACACCTCTTCCTCTTTCACCCCTAGCCCACCTACAGTCAGCTTCCCTGACTGGATTTAGCTTTAAAAAGTTTTCCTCTTTATAACTGTGCTCCAACCCAATAATTTTAGATCTCTGTTCTCTTCTCTGACAGTTCTTTTTGGGTAAGGTAGACAATAAGAAAGAAGGCATAATAATATTTCTTTGCGTCTGTTTTATCATGAATATTAACGTGTGTGTGTGTGTGTGTGTGTGTGTGTGTGTGTGTATATATATATATATATATATATATTTCGAGACAGGATCTTACTTTGTTGCTCAGACTGGAGTACAGTGATGTTATCATAGCTCATTGCAGCCTCATACTCCCCCCTCAACGAATCCTCCTGCCTCAGTCTCCAGAGTAGCTGAGGCCACGGGTGCACACCATCATGCCTGGCTGATGCTTTTACTTTTTGTAGAGATGGAGTCTCCCTATGTTGCCTAGGATTGTCTCAAACTTCTGGGCTCAAGCAGTTCTCCCATATTCTCCTCCCACGGTGCTGAGATTATAGGCGTGAGCCACCACGCTTGGCCTAATATTAACATATTAAAAATGAATTCTAATAGCTCTCCAATACCTTCGTGGAATGGAGGAAATTTGAATATAGGTTTTATGTTAGGTGATGTTATTTTATTATTGTAGTTGTGGAGAAGAATGACTTGTTTGCAAGAGATGAGTGCTAAAGTGTTGAGAGAAGTGTCAGAATATTGGCAATTTATTTCCAGAGAGTATGTGGAGTTACACAAACCGCAAAGTTAGAAGGAATAGTCTCCACAAGACGGCCCCCACTTTAGACATAAAATTCGAATTAGGTTTCCCCAAATCACCTCCATGAAGAAGAGTTATTAGATGCAACAAACAAAAAAATTAGTATTTTGAGAATTGAAAAATGAAACAATCTCAAATAAATATAAAATAGGTATACTTGAGATATGCTAGTACCAATCAGATGTTTTTATTCTAGACTAGAATAAGAAGGATAGGAGAAAATGTTAAAAGAAATTACCCAAATGTGCCAGGCGCGGTGGCTCAAGCCTATAATCCCAGCACTTTGGGAGGCCGAGGCGGGTGGATCATGAGGTCAGGAGATCGAGACCATCCTGGCTAACACAGTGAAACCCCGTCTCTACTAAAAAATACAAAAAATTAGCCAGGAGTGGTGGCGGGGGCCTGTAATCCCAGCTACTAGGGAGGCTGAGGCAGGAGAATGGCGTGAACCCAGGAGGTGGAGCTTGCAGTGAGCGGAGATCGCGCCACTGCACTCCAGCCTGGGTGACTGAGCAAGACTCTGTCTCAAAAAAAAAGAAAAGAAAAGAAAAGAAAAGAAAAGAAAATACCCAAATGTGATTCGATGCTGTTTTTATAGGTGTTAGTCTCCTAACCCTGCACTTTGGAAAACAATGAACTAATTTAATTCTCCACCCTATGTAAAAATCTGCTCTGCAAATTCCAGATAAGCCATCATCTTTTCTACACCTTTAGTTACAAAGAACATGAACTGATGAAGCAGAATATTCCATCTTCAGACAATTCAATTGGATAGAAACTTTTTAAATATTTGATTAAAATCTACTTCCTTAAAACTTCCAATTCTTGGACCATATTCTGGAATACAGTGAATAAATGAAATTCTTCCCTTCATATGACAACCCATTAATTAAGCAAAAATAGACACCTATTTTTTTTCCAAAATCCTCCAGGTTCACTATTCTCAGCTCCTAAAATTTTGTCTCATCAATTGTTTTTCAGATCTTTTTACTGACTTAATGCTTCTCTCAGGAATTCACTCCAATTTGACAGCATTCTGCCTAGTGAATTAACTGTTGCAGTATCTTTGGATTCCTCACTCTGTTTTCAAGCTTAATCATAATCTCTTTAGTGTTATGTCATTCTCACTTTGCCACTGTGATATCATTTTCATCACTACTTTTATTTCTTCAATTGCCATATGAGGTTTATTAGTATTTGTTTCAGGACTATTGTGAAAAAAATGCACTTGTTTATAAAAAGCTGAACATAAATCCTGCTATTTAGTTAGTACCCAATAATGGTAACTATTATGATAAATAATGAATACAATGGATCAATTTGAGTTTTCTATGAGATTAGTTTACAGTGTGTGAAACTTTTAAAATCCTATTGAGAATGTGGAATAGGTTTATTACCAAGTTGGCCATCTGTGAAAAATTCCTTACCAAAAAGGGAATATGTTGAGTGAAGCCCAGAAAATTAAAGAATAGGAAAATCAGCAGGGCCTCAAGATGGATGGTTAAACTGGAAGGAGGTGGACAGCAGAGGCAGGGTCCCCAAAGAAGATGACCAGGGGAGAAATAAAGTATAGGGGATCCCAAAATGTAAAGGCCCACAGTGTCATCTTCTTGTATTGCTAAGTGTATTCTGGGTTATTTTACATTTCCCCAGACTCAGAACTGTTCTCTGTGGCAATCCCCCAGAAACCTCATTGCCCCTAAACCTCACTCCATTAACTGACACTCCTTGGGTATCATCTTCCAGCCAGTTACCAAGCTACCTTATTTACTTATTGTCTGTACCTCATGTCTCTGTCTTGACCACTAGGATAAATGAGATTTTATCACATATTTATAGAATTATGATCATTCCTTTGATCCAACAATCAATTGACAGTAGATTAACAAAATAAAAACTCAGAGATCATGTCCTTTACAGCAACATGGATGGAGCTGGAGGTCATTATCCTAAGCAAACACAGGAATAGAAAACTAAATACCTCATGTTCTCACTTATAAGTGGGAGCTAAATATTGAGTACACATGAACGCAAAGAAGGGAAGAACAGACACTGGGACTTACCTTGAGGATAGAGGGTGGGAGGAAGGTAAGGATCAAAAAACTACCTGTCAGGTACTATGCTTACTACCTGAATGATGAAGCAATCTGTATACCAAGCCTCCATGACACACAGTTTACCTATAGAAACATCTGCACATGTACCCCAGAAATTAAAAGTTTAAAAAAAAAAAAAGAAAACTGTGCCAAGCATGGTGGCTCATGCCTGTAATCCCAGCACTTTAGGAGGCTGAGGTGGGTGGGTCACTTGAGGCTGGGAGTTCGAGACCTGTCTGACCAACATGGAGAAACCCCGTCTCTACTAAAAATACAAAATTAGCTGAGTATGGTGGCACATGCCTGTAATCCCAGCTACTCAGAAGGTTGAGGCAGCAGAATTGCTTGAACCCGGGAGGCTGAGGTTGCACTCCAGCCTGGGCAATAAGAGTGAAACTCCATCTCAAAAAAAAAAAAAGAAAGAAAAAGAAAACTGGCCTAAATGTATTCCTCTACTGCCCCAATTAACAAACTAATCTTCCTTCTTTCTTTCGCCCTAAACATTAAAAAGCACTTTTACGTTCCTCGTATATTCCGGATATTAGCCCTTTGTCAGATGGATAGATTGCAAAAATTTTCTCACATTCTATAGGTTGCCTGTTCATGACAATGATAGTTTCTTTTGCTGTGCAGAACTCTTTAGTTTAATTAGATCCCGTTTGTCAATTTTTGCTTTTGTTGCAATTGCTTTTGGCAATTTTGTCATGAAATCTTTGCCTGTGCCTATGTCCTGAATGATATTGCCTAGATTTTCTTCTAGGGTGTTTTATACGTTTGGGTTTTACACTTAAGTCTTTAACCCATCTTGAGTTAATTTTTTTTGTTGTTGTTTTTTGAGCTGGAGTCTTTCTCTGTCACCCAGGCTGGAGTGCAGTGGCATGATCCATCTTAAGTTAATTTTTGTATAAGATGTAAGAAAGAGGGCCAGTTCTATTTTATGCACATGGCTAGCCAGTTCTCCCAGTACCATTTATTAAATACGAAATCTTTTCCCTACTGCTTGTTTTTGTCAGGTTTGTAGAAGATCAGATGGTTGTAGATGTGTGGTCTTATTTCTGAGATCTCTGTTCTGTTCCATTGGTCTATGTGTCGGTTTCTGTACCAGTACCATGCTGTTTTGTCTATTTTAGCCTCATAGTAGAGTCTGAAGTCTGGTAGCATGATGCCTCCAGCTTTCTTGTTTTTGCTTAGAATTGTCTTGGCTATATGAGCTCTGGGTCATATTGGGGGATGAGGTTGGAGGAAGGAAAGCATTAAAATAATAGCTAATGCACACTGGGCTTAATACCTGGGTGATGGGTTGATAGGTGCAGCAAACCACCATAGCACATGTTTACCTATGTAACAAACCTGCACATCCTGTACATGTACCCTGGAACTTAAAATAAAAATAAAAATTTATTTTTAAAAAGCACTTTTATTCTTGTATTTTGCCTTAGGCCTTATCTTAATTCTACCCACATTATTTGACCATTAGCAGTGTACATAGTGAAAAATATATTGCAAAGGATGCCTCTCATCTGTAATGTGGGGACAGAAATACCTACCCTGCCTAAGTCACAGTGGTTTTGTAAAGACCCAATATGATAATGGCTGTGAAAGAACAACATAATCTTAAAACACTACATTAATGGTAAGTCAAATCATTACATCATAGACATTCTTTCTTATGCTTATCTATTTCAATCCCTTCATATATATTTTCTCCTCAAAATTCTACATTAGCAATAACTGGAAAAATTAATACAGGCATATCTCATTTCATTGCACCTTAATTTACTGCACTATTGTACTTCACTTTTTTTAATACAAATTGAATGCTTATGGCAATCCTGAATCAAGCAAGTCTATTGGTGCCATTTTTTCCCAAGAGCATGCGCTCATTTCTTATCTCTCTGTCACATTTTGGTAATTCATATTATATTTCAAACTTTTTCATTATTTTTATATCTGTTATGGTGATCTGTGATCAATAGTCTTTCATGTTACCAATGTAATTGTTTTGGTTGAGGTTACAGTGAATCACAGCCATGAATCACAGCCATGTAAGATGGTGAACTTAATTGATAAATGTTGTGTGTGTTCCGACTGCTCTATGGATGAGCTGTTCCCCCATCTCTCTCTCTCCCCTTTGGCCTCCCTATTCTCTAAGACACAACAATATTGAAATTAGGCCAATTAATAGCCCTACAGTGACCTATAAGTTTTCAGATGAAAGGAAGAGTCACAGATTTCTCACTTTAAATCAAAAGCTAAAAATGATTAAGCATAGTGAGGAATGCAAGGTGAAAGCCAAGATAGGCTGAAAGCTAGGGCTCTTGCACCAAACAGCTAGCCACGTTGTGAATGCGAAGGAAAAGTTCACAAAGGAAATTAAATGTGCTACTCCAGTGAACGAACAAATGGTAAAAAAAGTGAAACAGTCTTATTGTTGATATGGAGAAAGTTTTAGTGGTCTGGATAGAAGATCAAACAAGCCACAACATTCCCGTAAACCAAAGTCTAATCCAGAGAAAAGACCTAACTCTCTTCAATCTTACAATGGCTGAGAGAGGAAAGGAAGCTGCAGAAGGAAAGTTTCAAGCTAGCAGAGGTTGGTACATAATGTTTAAGGAGTAAAGCCATCTTCATAACAAAAAAGTACAAGGTAAAGCAACAAGTACTGATGTAGAAGTGTCTGTAATTTATCCAGAAGATCAAGCTAAGATCTTTGAAGAAAATATTGAAACTAAGCAAGAGGTTTTCAATGTAGACAATGAAACAGTTTTATATTAGAAGAAGCTGCCATCTAGGACTTCTCACAGCTAGAGAGAAGTCAATGTTCAGTTTTAAAGCTTTCAAGGACAAGCTGACTAATTTGTTAAGGGCTAATGCAGCTAGTGAATTTGAGTTGAAGGCAATGCTCACTCACCATTTCAAAAATCCTAGGACCCTTAAGAATTGTGCTCAATCTATTCTGCCTGTGCTTTATAAATGAATGAACAAAGCCTGAATGACAGTATATCTGTTTGCAACATGGTTTACTAAATATTTTAAGACCACCATTGAGGCCTTCTACTCAGAATAAAGATTCCTTTCAAAATATTACTGTATATAGATAATGCACCTGGTTGCCCAAGAACTCACCCAAGAGATGTACAAGATGATTAATGTTGGCTTCATGGCTTCTAACACAACATCCATTCTGCAGTCCATGGATCAAGAGTTAATTTTGACTTTCAGGTCTGACTATTTAAAAAATACATTTCATAAGGCTGTAGCTGCCATAGATAGTGATTTCTCTGATGGATCTAGGCAAACTAAATTGAAAGTCTACTGGAAAATATTCACCATTTTAGATGCCATTAAGACAATTTTTCAGTCATGCTCCAATGTCAAAATACCAACATTCATAGGAATTTGAAAGAAGTTGATTCCAACCCTCAAGGATGACCTTGAGGAGTTCAATATTTCAGTAGTGGAAGAAGCTGAAGATTTGCTGGAAATAGCAAGGGAACTATAATTAAAAATGGAGCCTGAAGATGTGATTGAATTATTGCAATCTCATAAGAAAACCTGAACTGATGAGGGCTTTCTTCTTATGGATAAGCAAAGAAAGTGGTTTACTGCATTTGAATCTACAACAGCATCAATTGAAGATGCTGTGAACATTGTTGAAATGACAACAGAAGATTTAGAATATTACATAAACTTACTTGATAAAATAGTGTCAGGGTTTGGGAGAGCTGACTCCAATTTTGCAAGTTCTATAGTGAGTGAAAGGCTATCAGACAGCATTGAATGCTAGAGAGAAATCTTTTGTAGAAGAAAGAATCAAATATATGTGGCAATCTTCATTATAGGCATACATTAAGAAATAGCCTGATCAATCAGCAGCCATCGACATTGAAGCAAGACCCTCCACCAGCAAAATGATTATGACTTAAAGGTGCAGTGGTTCATGTGTGTAATCCCAGCACCTTGGGAGGCTGAGGCAGGAGGATTGCTTGAGACAAGGATTTGAGACCAGCCTGGGCAATATAGTGAGACCTGTCTCTAAAAAACATTAAAAAGAATAGTCAAACATGGTGGCACATGCCTGTAGTCCTTAGGTACACAGGAGGCTGAGCGGGGAAGATTGCTTGAGCCTAGGAGTTTGAGGGTACAGGGAGTTATGATTGCACCATTATACCCCAGACTGGACAACAGGGTAAAACCCCATTTCTCATAAGCAGGCAGGCCACACCTGGTAGTGATTCCACTCCAGTATTTCTGTTTCTGCCTGAATCCATCTGGTGGCTGTATCCTCCTGTTTCCCTGGGAAATATGTGGATGGCAGATTGGTCAACTCCACCTATCTCTGCTCCTCAGAGCCAGGCAGGCCACACCTGCTAGAGCTTCCAGCCAAGAAGTCCTGCTTATGCCTAAACTCAGCCAGTGGGGTAGCGTCCTGTTGCCCCAGAAAACATCCAGACAGCAGGGAAGGTGACTCGACCCATCCCTGTCACTGATAGCCAGGTGGGTCACACCTGCTAGAGCTTCCAGCCCAGCTGTCCTGCTTCTGTCTGAACTCATCAGGCAGGTGCAACCCCATGTTTCCTTGTGAAGCATCCGGACAGCAGATTAGATGAGCCCACCCACCCCTGTAGCACCTAGCTGAATGGAACTTGCTGACTTGCACAGTGTCTAAGCAGTGGCAAGCCCTTACTCTCGGATCACTGATAGAAGTGAGATGCTTGGGTTCATGGGCCTATGGAGGAGTGGTGTGTGCCTCCTTCTGCAGGGCAGGCCTGTCAAGGATATGGCCAGTCTGTCAACCGTGGCCTCTGCCTGGGGGAGCACTGTGGATTAGAGCACCTAACAAAAGAAATATGGGCATGGAGTCAGCGGTCAGAAGGGGCAACTCCAAGGCCCAGGAGCAGACCAGGTGAGGGGGCCATCTCTCTCCCCACCCACCACAGAGCACTACTACCAACTGCATTAAAACACAAGAGCCATGCAGCAGAGTAAGAGCCTATCTGCCAGCTAACGTTATGCACCACCTACTGGATTGAAGCCCAAAATACAACACTAAAATATTTTGCCAGTATACAGTGCCTGGGAAAACTAAGGCAAAGGTCCAGCCACAAATAAACACTTTGTACAGAGTGCTGACCCTCTGAAAACACCCAGAAATAAAGCCAACTGAGTATACTCAATCCACATCATAGTTAGAAGAATGTCAGCCCTTCCACATGAGAAAGAATCAATGCAAGAATTCTGGAAACTCCATAAGCCAGCGTGCCCCCTTACCTGCAAACAGACACTCTAGCCCCTCAGAAATGATAATTAGCTAGATTGAGATGACTGAAGTGATGGACATAGAATTTAGAATCTGGATGGTAAGGAAGCTCAATGGGATCAAGGAGAAAGTTGAAACCCAATCCAAGGAATCCAGTAAAACAATCCAGGAGCTGAAAGATGAAATAGCCATTTGAAGAAAGAACCAACCTGAACTTCTGGAGCTGAAAAATTTACTTCAAGAATTCCACAACACAATTGGAAGTATCAATAGCAGAATAGATCAAGCTGAAGAAAGAATCTCAGAGCTTAAAGACTGGCTCTTCAAATAAGCTCTCTCATACAAATATAAGGAAAAAAGAATTTTACAAAATGAACAAAACTTTCAATAAATATAGGATTATGTAAAAAAGTTAAATCTACAACTCATGGGCATTCCTGAAAGAGAAGGAGTAAGTAATTTGGAAACCATATTGAAGATATCGTTCATAAAAATTTCCCTGAAGTTGCTAGAGAGGAGAACATACAAATTCAAAAAATATAGAGAACTCCTGAAAGATACTACAAAAAATGACCACCCCCAAGGCACATAGTCATCAAATTCATCAAAGTCAAGGCAAAAGAAAAAATCTTCAAGGCAGCTAGAGAGAAAGGTAGGTCACCTATAAAGAATGCCCCATCGGGCTAGCAGCAGATCTCTCAGCAGAAACCCTACAAGCCAGAGGATGGTGGGAGCCTCTTTACAGCATTCTTAAAGAAAAGAATTTCAACCAAGACTATCATACCTCACCAAACTAATCTTCATAAGAGAAAGAGAAATAAAAATCCTTCTCAGAGAAGCAAGCACTAAGGGATATGTTATTAACAGACCACTCTTACAAGAGGTCCTGAAAGGAGCATTAACATGGAAACAAAAGACCAAAACCTACCTCAAAAATACTCTCAAGCACAAAGCCCACCAACAATAAAAAGAAACTACACCATCAAGTCTACAAAACCAAGTTAGCTAACAACATGATGACAGGATCAAAATCTTGTATATCAATACTAACCCTGAATGTAATCTAAGCACCCCACTTAAAAGACACAGAGTGGCAAACTAGATAAAAAAGACAAGATCCAACAGTCTACTCTTTTCATGAGATGCATCTCACATGTAATGACACCACAGGCTCAAAGTAAAGGAACGGAGAATAATCTACCAAGCAAAGAGAAAACAAAAAGGAGCATTATTCTTATACCATATAAAATAGATTTTAAACCAACAATAATCAGAAAGAAGAAACAATGGCTGTACATAATGATAAAGGGTTCATTTCAATAAGAAGGTTTAACATCTTAAACATATATGTTTATGCTCAACATAGGAGCAAACAGAGTCATAAAACAAGGTCTTCTTGACTTATAAAAAAACTTAGCCACACAATAATAGTGGGGGACTTTGACACCACACTAACAGCATTAGACAGATTATTGAGGCAGGAAACTAAAACAAATTCTGGACTTAAACTCAACACTTGACCAATTGGACCTAATAGACATCTAGAGAGTACTTCACCCAACAAGTATGGAATATATATTTTTGTCATCCATACACAGAATATATTCTAAGACCTGCCATATGCTCAGACATAAAGCAAGTCTCAATACATTTTAAAAAGTTGAATGCATACCAAGTGTGCTCTTGGAACACAGTGCAATAAAAATAGAAATCAATAATAAGAAAATCTCTCAAAACTACACAAAACATGAAAATTAAACAACTTGCTTCTGAATAACTTTGGGGTAATCAATGAAATTAAGATAAAGTAAAAAATCATTTGAAATTAATGAATATAGAGACACACCTTACCAAAACATTTGGGATGCAGCTAAAACAATGTTAAAAGGAAAGTTTATGTGCTAAACACCTTTATCAAGAGGTTAGAAAGTTCTCAAATTAACTACTTAAAAGCATAACTGGAGAAACTAAAGAAAAAAAATACAACATTCCAGCTTCAAAGCTAGTAGAAAAGAAATAACTAATATCAGAGAACAACTAAAAGAAACTGAGACTCAAAAGTCCACACAAATGATCAGTAAAACTAAAAATTTAAAAGAATAAACAAGTTTGATGGACTGTTAGCTGATTTAACAGCTGTTAGCTGAATTAACAATTAAGAAGATGAAAAAAAGATCCAAATAAGTGCAATCAGAAATGACAAAGACAACATTACAACCAATTCCATGCAAATACGAAATATCCTCGGGGATTATTTATGAACACCTCCACGCATAAAAATTTAAAAATCTAGAGAAAATGGGTAAATTCCTAGAAACACACAACTTCCCAAGATTGAATCAGAAAGCAAGTGAAAACCTGAAAAGACCCGTAACAAGTTCGGAAATTGAGTCAGTAATAAAAATCTTACCAACCAAAAGGAGCCCTAAACTAGATGGATTTACAGTAAAATTCTACCAGATGTACAAAGAAGAACTGATACCAATCACAGTGAAACTATTCCAAAAAGTTGATAGGGAGGGGTTTCTCCCTAATTCATTCTGTAAAGCCAGCATCATTCTGATAGCAAAACATGGCAGAGACACAATGAAAAAAGAAAATTCAGGCCAATATCCCTGATGAACATAGGTACTCGACAAACTGAATCCAGAAGCACATGAAAAGGTTAATTCACAGTGGTCAAGTAGGCTTTGTTTCAGGAATACAAGGTTGGTTCAACACATGCAAATCAATAAATGTGATTCACCACATAAACAGAATCAAAGACAAACACCATATGATTACCTCAATAGATGGAAAAAAAAAGTCTTAGATAAAATCAATCATTCTTCATGATAAAAATCCTAAATCAATTAGGCATTGAAGAAACATACCTCAAAATAATAAGAGCCATCTATGACAAGCGCACAGCCAGCATCACACTGAACCAGCAAAAACTGAACCATTCCCCTTGAGAACTGGAACAAGGCAAGGATGTCTACTCTTACTACTCCTATTCAACACAGTACTGGAAGGCCTACCCAGGGCAATCAGGGAAGAAAAAGAAATAAAAGGCATCCAACTAGGAGAATAACAAGTTAATCTATCTCTCTTTGCTGACAATATGATTCTATACCTAGAAAACTCCAAAGATACCACCCAAAGGCTCCTGGAACTAATAAACAAATTTGGTAAAGTTTTAGGATACAAGATCAGCTATAGAAAGCAGTAGAATTTCTATACACCAGTAACATTCTAGATGAGAATCAAAGCAAAGACACAATCTCATTTATAATAACCACAAACGAAATGAAATACCTAGGAGTCTATCTTACTAAGGAGGTAAAAAGTCTCTTCAAGCAGAACTACAATACATTGCTGAAAGAAACCAGAGATGACATAAATAAATGGAAAAATATTCCATGCTCATGGATTGGAAGTATTAATAGAGTTATTAATGGCCATACTGCCCAAAGCAATTTATATATTTAATGATATTCCTACCAAAATACCAACAACTCCCAGAACCAGAGAAATCTATTCTAAAATTCATTTGGAACAAACAAACAAACAAAAAGCCTGTGCATCAGTCTGTTTTCACACTGCTGATAAACACATACCCAAGACTGGGCAATTGGCAAAAGAAATAATTTTAACTGGACTTACAGTTCTACATGGCTGGGGAAGACCTCACAATCATGGCAGAGGGCAAGAGGCACTTCTTTCATGGCAGCAGCAAGACAGAATGAGGAGGAAGCAAAAGTGGAAAACCCAGATAAACCCATCAGATCTCATGAGACAGATTTGCTATCACAGGAATAGCACAGGAAGGACCCGCCTCCATGATTCAGTTACCCCCCACTGGGTCTCTCCCACAACTTGTGGGAATTTTGGGAGATACAATTCAAGTTGAGATTTGGGTGGGGGCACAGCCAAACCATATCATTCTTCCCTGGCCCCTCCCAAATCTCATGTCCTCACATTTCAAAACCCATCATGCCTTCCCAACAGTCCCCCAAAGTCTTATCTCAGTATTAACTCAAAAGTCCACAGCCCAATGTCTCACCTGAGACAATACAACTCCCTTCTCCCTATGAGCCTGTAAAATTAAAAGCAAGTCAGTTACTTCCTAGATACCATGGTAGTACAGGCATTTGGTAAATACAGCCATTCCAAATGGGAGAAATTAGCCAAAACAAAGGGGCTATAGGCCCCATGCAAATCTGAAATCCAACAAGGCAGTCAAATATTAAAGTTCCAAAATGATATTTGACTCCATGTCTTGCATCCAGGTCATCCTGATGCAAGAGGTGGGTTCCCATAGTCTTGGGCAGCTCTGCCCCTGTGGCTTTGCAGGGTACAGCCTCCCTCTTGGCTGCTTTCATGGGCTAGCATTGAGTGCCTGTGGCTTTTCCAGGCACATGGTACAAGGTGTTGGCAGATGTACCATTCTAGGGTCTGGAGGATGGTGGCCCTCTTCTCACAGCTCCACTAGATGGTGCCCCAGTATGGACTCTGTGTGGGGGCTTCAATCTCACATTTCCCTTCCGCACTGCCATAGCAGAAGTTCTCCATGAGGGCTCTACCCCTGCAGCAAACTTTTGCCTGGTTATCCAGGTGTTTCCATACATCTTCTGAAATCTGGGTGGAGGTTCCCAAACCTCAGTTCTTGACTTCTGTGTACCCACAGGCTCAATGCCACGTGTAAGCTGCCAAGGTCTGGGGCTTCCACCCTCTGAAGCCACGGCCCAAGCTGTACCTTGGCCCTTTTTAGCCATGGCTGGAGTGGCTTGGAAGCAGGATGCTAAGTCCCTAGGCTGCACACAACACTGGGACCCTGGGCCTAGCCAACAAAACAATTTCTTCCTCCTATGCCTCTGGGCCTGTGATGAGAAGGGCTGCCTGGTGAAAACCTCTGACATGCCCTGGAGACATTTTCCCCATTGTATTGGGAATTAACATTTGGCTCCTCATTATTTACCCAAATTTCTGCAGCCGTCTTAAATTTCTCCTTAGAAAAAGGGATTTTCATTTTTATCACATTGTCCATCTGCAAATTTTCCAAACTTTTATGCTCTGCTTCCCTTATAAAACTGAATGGCTTTAACAGCACCCAAATTACATCCTGAGTGCTTTGCTGTTTAGAAATTTCTTCTGCCAAATACCCTAAATTATCCCTCTCAAGTTCAAAGTTCCACAAATCTCTAGGGCAGGGGCATAATGCCGCCAGTCTCTTTGCTAAAACATAACAAGAGTCACCTTTGCTCCAGTTCCCAACAAGTTCCTCATTTCTCTCTGATTCCACCTCAGCCTGGACTTTATTGTCCATATTGCTATCAGTATTTTGGGCAAAGCCATTCAACAAGTCTCTAGGAAATTCCAAACTTTCCCATATTTTTCTTTCTTCCTCTGAGCCCTCCAAACTGTTCCAACCTCTGCCTGTTACCCAGTTCCAAAGTTGCTTCCACATTTTAGGGTATCTTTTCAGCAATGCCCCACTCTACTGGAACCAATTTACTGTATTAGTTCATTTTCACACTGCTGATACAGACATACCCAAGACTGGGCAATTTACAAAAGAAAAAGGTTTAATTGGACTTACAGTTCCAGGTGGCTGGGGAAGGTCACACAATCATGGTGGAGGGCACTTCTTATATGGTGGCAGCAAGAGAGAATGAGGAGGAAACAAAAGCGGAAACCCCTGATAAACCCATCAGATGTCATGAGATTTATTCACCATCACGAGAATAGCACGGGAAAGACCTGCCCTCATGATTCAATTACCTCCCACTGGGTCCCTCCCACAACATGTGGGAATTCTGGGAGATACAATTCAAGTTGAGATCTGGGTGGGGTCACAGCCAAACCATATCAGCCTAAATAGCTAAAGCCATTCCAAGCAAAAAGTAAAAAGCCAGAGGCATCAATCACATTGCCCAACTTCAAATTATACTATAAGTTTACAGTACTCAAGGAGCATGGTACAGATACAAAAACAGACACGTAGACCAATGGAACAGAATAGAGAGCCCAGAAATAAACACATGACTACATACTTTTGACCTTTGACAAAATTAACAAAAATAAGCAATGGGAAAAGGACTCTTTATTCCATAAATGGTGCTAAGATAACTGGCTAGCCATATACAGAAGAATAAAACTGGACCTTTACCTCTTACCATGTATGAAAATTAACTCAAGATGAATGAAAAATGTAAATGTAATACCCCCTAAACTATAAAAAAATCCTAGAAGGAAACCTAGGAGATACCCTTCTTTACATTTGTTTTGTCAAAGAATTTATGGCTAAGTCCTCAAAAGCAATTGTAACAAAAATGAAAATTGATAAGTGGAACCTAATTCAACTAAAGAGCTTCTGCCCAGCAAAAAAAAAAGCATCAACAGAGTAAACAGACAGCCTGCAGAATGGGAGAAAATATTTGCAAACTATGCATGTGACAAAAGTCTAATATCCAGAATCTACAAGGAACTTAAATCACGAAGCAAAAACAAATAATCCAATTTAAAAATGAGCTAAAGGACATGAACTGACATTTCTCAAAAGAAGATACACAAGTGGCCAAGAAACATATGAAAAAATGCTCAGCATCACTCGTCAACAGACAAATGCAAATAAAAACCACAATGAAATAGCATCTTACACCAGTCAGAATGGCAATTATTAAAAAGTCAAAAACAACACGTGTTGGCAAGGCTGCGGAGAGAAGGGAATGCGTTTACACTGTTGGTGGGAATGCAAACTAGTTGAGCCATTGTGGAAAGCAGTTTTGAGATTTCTCAAAGAACTTAAAAGAGAACTACCATTCCACCCAGCAATTCCACTACTAGGATATACCAAAGGAAAATAATTCATCCTGTCATAAAGTCCCATGCACCCATATGTTCACTGCAGCACTATTCACAATAGCAAGGACATACAATCTAAGTGCCCATCAATAGTGGACTGGATAAATAAAATGTGGTACTTGGTACTTATAAACCGTGTAATACAATACAGCGATAAAAAAGAACAAAATCATGCCCTTTGCAGCATCATGGATGGAGTTGGAGGCCATTAGCCTAAACAATCTAACTCAAAAACAGAAAACAAAATACAGCATGTTCTCACATATAAGTGGGAGTTAAACATTGAATGTACGTGATTGTAACGATAGGAACAATAGATACTAGGGATCACTAGAAAGGGGAGGGCCGTGGGTTGAAGAACCACTTGGTGGGTACTATGCTTATGGCCTGGGTGGTAAGATCTTTGGGACCCCAAACCTCAGTATCATGTAATTTACCCATGTAACAAATCTGCGTGTGTACCCTTTAATCTATAATAAAAGTTGAAATTTTAAAAAAAGATTATGACTCACTGAAGACTCAGATGATCATTAGCATTTTTAGCAATAGAGTATTTTAATTAAAATATGTATTATTTTAGACATAATGCTATTTCACACTTAATAAACTATGATATAGTGTAAACATTAACTTTTATATGCACTGGGAAACCAAAAATTGTGTGACTCACTTTACTTTGATATGTGTTTTATTGTGGTTGTCTGGAATCAAACTTGCAGTATCTCTGAGGTATGCTTGTAACATTGTTTATTTTATTTTATTTTTCATCCAGAGGGCTTTCACGCATATTATCTCATTCAATTCTCACTAACATTGTAAATACTAGTTAGAATAGAAATGAATATCGCCATTGCATAGATAATGGCATACATGTTCCAAAAATTAGAAGGCTTGCCAATTCTCCACAGACATCAAATGATGGAATAAATGTAAATTTATTACTTCTGCCTTCTAGTCCTACCCCTGGGTTCATTGCATACGTTGACCCATGATGTTTGCATGCCCAGATTAAAACTCGTTTGTCCTGTCTGGACAAACCTGGAGGAGTTACCTTTCCTTTTTTTCCAATCCCTGTCAAGAGCATGAACTTAAATTCAAGGGAAAATCCAGCTGATTAATAAGTTTACTCTGAGGTATGAAGGGCTCAAGAGACTGCTGAATGTGATAACCCTCCCAGGTATATTTTCATTTTTAACATAGAACTTTTCAGCAACTCCTGGCAGTGTGCTAAAAGCTGGAGGCTTGATTTTTTTTTTTGGAGGAAATTTGTCCCAGAGTCCCTCAGAGCTCTCCATCTGAGCAGCTGAATGGTTTTGCAACTACTAAAACAAAGTTCATGGCAGCGCCTTGGGATACAAATTCATGTTGCACAAGAGCCTGTTGCTAAGATGAAGTTACCTGTATCTCAGAAACATCCCCATGAGCTCTGCCACCATCATCATATGACCCTAGAATCCCCTGGTGCAATATTTCACATTTTCACATTCAATCTTCTTTCAGGTATGGATTTTAAACATATTTCAGCCTGGTAATAGGGCAATTTGGATTTGTTCATTTACTTCATGGTAAAAGATTCCAAAGAATAAATGGACTATTGTTTTTAAAAAGGGAAATAATAAGAAATATATTGATTGAGGTGCATTTAATGATATTTTAAAAATCGGCAAATTCTGGCACCTGAACACAACGTCCGCTATGCTCCCTATATCTGCTCGAATATCTGATACTTTTAATACCTGTGATCTGGAAACAACAGAGTGAGGGATCAGGTGAAACTGGCAAACGTGGCCACAAAAAATAACTGACATTAACTGAGCACTAATTATGAGCCAGGGACTGTGCTAAGCACTTTACATACACGACCTTGTGCAATACTCTCAAAATCTCTATGGGGTGGGCTCTATTGCTATTCCAGTTTTATAGATGAGAAAGTCAAGGTTTAGAGAGTCTAATTAACTTGCTCAAGAGGCAGATCTATAAATTCAGTTGTGTGTGACGGACAGTGAAGTTTATTTTTCATGAGTACATCATATAATCTTTCAAGGAAAAATAGCTTGCAAGTTGATGGAGATAAAGTTTCGTTTCAGGCTCGTTTTTGAAAGAATAAAGATGAAATTAGACTCTTCTTAGAATGCTGGCTCCACATGTGTAGAGAGCTATCCAGGGTGCTTCAAAGTCCAAAATAAAAGAAAACATGAGTAAGACTTTGGCACTCAGTTGATTTCTCACATAGGGCAAGTCCTCAACTAGTAGACAGAGATGTTGGTTTAAATTTTGTGGTATAAGATTTAAAATGAGACATTAATTTTAAAGAGGTAGCAAAACAAAACAAAACAGCCACACAACAAATGTCATCATGAGATCTAATGGTGTTGTTACATTCCATATAAAAGGCTTATTCAATAAAAGCCTTAACAAATGTTGCAAAAAGCCGCACATAGGTTTGCAGGAGCATTTTCATTGCTTGTTTATACTTTCTGCTTGTTCTGCACATAGTACCTCATTCTGGCTATTTTCCCAGTGGAAACCAATCTCATTCCTCACTTTATTCTATAACTCAAATATTACTCATTTGTCAAACTCCAGCTTAAAGATGTCCCTAGCAGTTGACTTTTGGTAATGATCAACTTCATTCAAATCTTTCAGTACCTTGAGTCAGGTGTAGCCACATGGGCCTTATATTTAATTGCCTCCTATTGTAAATGTTAAGAACATAAACTCCTAAAAGACAGGGGCCATTTTTCTTTTTCTCTCACCTTTCACACATCTCCTAGTAATTCTACAGATGAGAGTAAACACTCAAGCATATTTTTAGATGTTATATACTAATGGCTCTGAATATAAAAACAAGTGACAAGATTAATTCAAAGACAAGCTGACAATTAGGTTCCTTAAAATCCCAGATACTACTGTATACATAGCTTAGGCTAAAATTAAAATGACTGATAATACTAAAGGTTAGCAAGGACATGGAGCAACTGAAACTAGAACATATTGTCAGTGCGACTGCAAAATAGTTAAAATGATGCCCCTGTTTCATGAAAATTTCTGACATTTTTAAATAAAACTAAAAACACATCTATTTTGTGACCTAGCAGTTCCACTACTAGATATTTACTCAAGACAAATAAAAATATATATCCGCAAAAAGACCTGTGGCCGAATGCTTATAGCAGTTTTACTCATAGTAGTCAAAAACCAGAAACAGCTTGGTTATTCACCACATATAATAGATAAACAAACTGGAGTATATTTGTAGACTGTCATATTATCCAACAATAAGAAAGAAAAAAAATACTTAAATACACAACCACATGGATGTGTCTTGAAAACCTTATGTGATTAAAAATATATGAGTCCATATATATATAAAGCTTAATATATAAGTCCATATATATACAGCCCGAGAACAGTCAAACTTAATTTATAAATATTTATTTAAATATTTATAATTTATTAAAAATAATTATAATAATGATTGGCTCTGGGAGATGGTGGTGGAGAGCTATTGAAAAAGCATATGAGGAGACTCGTTGGGTTGACAGTAATATTCTGTATCTTGACAAGGATTTGGCTTGCACAGGTGTATATGTTTGTGTGAACTCATTGAATGATATCCAAACCATGCATGCATGCATGTCATTGCATGTAAGTTTTACATAAAATAATGAATATTGAAATTTAGTTAATAAGATGCATAGTAAAATATTTGTATATATGTCTGCAACTTACATTGAAATTTATCAAAAACTAAGATGGGTTGATGGATAATAGAGTGATGCACAGGTATATAGGTAACTGATAAATCAAAGAGAGTAAACTTAATTGTGGAACCTGGGTGATAGATATTTGAATGTTCATGGTAAAATTCCTTCAGTTTTCAATATGATTGAAATGTCAAGATAAAGCGTTGAAAATAATGTTAATACACACATATACAAACATCTTGGTGATTCATTGGTTTGGTAAAATTAACAGATTCATTTTGATCTTACTCATTAATGGGAAAGGAATCATTAAAATATTTGAGGCTGTTCTGACAATCAACAGACATAACCCTTTATGCACCAGCAGATATACACACACAAATACATATACATATATTTATATTTGTATGTCTTAAAAGCTATTAGAAATTTGAAAAGAAATTGATAGAAGTGCAATTGTCATTGAAGACTTTGGCAAAACTTTCAGATCAGAAATGTACAACGGAAGAATGCTTTTATCTCAACCTATTACTGATTTCAAAGTCTGTCCCACTCTTCTGTCTTCACTTCAAAATTATGTTCCTGTAATTCATGGGCCACCTGAATTAGAATCATTTGGAATATTAATTAAATCTGCAGATTGCAAGAAGCCTCTATTAATCTCTAAGGGGTTGAGTCCAGAAATCTGTTCTCCTAACAATTCTCATGTCTTGGAGCTTAGACCATTTATTGTGGTAAATAAGGAGATAGATATATTTTCCTATGCTTATGCATTAGGGATTTTGGTTGAGAAGCAGTGCCACCAACTGTCAGCTTATGTCATTCACCAGTCAATAATGTTGCATTTATATTTTTCTGGGTGTGGGAAAATAGGAGAATGGAAATAGAAAAGAGAGAAACAATTGATGGATATAGGGGCAATTAGCAGAAAGATTTCTATCCCTGGAGTGCTGTCTTACTGATGGGTGACTGATAGCATGTGCCTACTGAAAATAGACTGATGAGAGAAATTGAACTATGCTCAGTAACTACTTCGTCTAACTGGGAAAACATGGTCTCCACTCTGCTAAAGATCAATTCTGAGAAGGAAGAGTTCACAATGTACCCTAAGATAATTCATAAACTGAAGATGGAAGAAGAACTGTCTGAGTCCCCCCAGGATGTCATAACAAAGTAACATAGACTGGGTGGCTTATAAACAATAAAAATTTATTTCTCACAATTTTGCAGGCTGGAAGTTTGAGATGAGGGTGCCAGCATTGTTGGATTTTGGTGAGGACCCTTTTCTGGGTTGTATGTAGACTGCTAACTGCTTGTTGTGACTTAATATAGTAGACAGAGAGCTCTCTGGGTCCTCTTGTATTATTTATTCATTTATTTTAGAGATGGGATCTCACTCGGTTGCCCAGGCTGGAGTGCAGTGGCACGAACATAGCTCACTGTAACCTAAAACTCCTGGGCTCAAGCAGTTCTCTTGCCTCAGACTCTCGAGTAGCTGGGACTATAAATGTGCTCCACCACTTGCACTATGCCTGGCTAATTTTTTTTTTTAACTTTTTTTACAGACAGGGTATCTCTATGTTTCCAAGGCTGGCCTCAAACACTGGACTCAGCAATTCTTTCACCTTGTCCTTCCAAAGTTCTGGGATTACAGATGAGAGCCACTGTGTTTGGTCTGGGGCCTCTTTCATAAGGGCGCTAATGCCATTCATGAGAGCTCCACCCTTCTGATCTAATCACCTCCCAAAGGGCCCACCTCCTAATGCCATCACATTGGGAACTAAGATGTCAACTTATGAATTATAGGAGGGACATAAATATTCAATCCATAATAAGAACAGAGAGAGAGAGAGAGAGAATAAAGGAAGACAGGAAGAAAAGAAGGCAGGAGGAGGAAGGAGGGAGGGAGAAAGTTACCCTTGAAACTGATGTGAATGTTCCAACTAGAGGTATGTGCAAGTATTGATCTATGTAATATTTTCCTGGTTAACTTCTCAGGTCCCCCACCTGTGCTATCAACAGAAGATCCAGTATCTGTAGAAAGCTGGATGGGTCAGCTCGCTCCTGCTCCTCACTGCCACGTGGCACCACTGCTGATATTGACACTGGCCCTGCACCACACAGCAGCAGCCCTGTGTACCCTGGGTAGAGCGCCTGTCTGAACCAGATTCCTGCAGAAGGATTCCTACAGAAGAAGGATGAACTCATTCCCTCAGTCAAGGGTCATAAACTGGCCACCTGTGTGCCAAATCTGACCCTCAGTAGTGGTTTATTTGACAACACACATTTCATGGCTAATATTAATGTCTGTGTTTTACACACAGCCTCATAGAAGCCTTTATATCGCCTGCCTGGTGTCTCGAGGCATTTGTGTTATAATCCTGGTCCTGGTGCTGGGTCTAATCAGAGAAGCAGCATGCTTTGACTCCCAATTACGGGGCTCTCTGAACACAGCCAGTTCTGAGAACTCTCTCCTGGAATGGGGCACCATTTCCATCTCTTCCCAGAGATCCATGCCAGGGGCTGGGCAGCTTTTTCATTTAATCTCTGGACACAGAAAAGGCCTCATTAAATCCTTTCTTTGAGTAGTAGTACTATATAGCCACACAGCCTATACCCTCTACACTTCTGAGAGCCGTTATCTTCCATGACCACAAGTGTCCTCAGGTACCCTCCTGGGCTGGTGGTAGAGAGGTTCTCACATTCAATGACTCAAATCAAAGTGAATTTCCTGGCACCTTTTCTCACTAGAGAAGATTATCTGTGACTGGGTTGCCTATAAGCCATATAGATACAAACTTTTATCTCTAATACCAAGTCTTAGAGGGATATATTAATAGATCTAATAAATTTATTCTTAGACTTATTGTTTCATGGGCTAGTGAGTCTTTGCTACTGGAGACAATACAGACTTGTCAGTTTTTTAAAAAAAAAAAATTTGCCAAGCTAGCACATTAAAAAGATCTCCTAAGGCTATCATTTTATGAGGATGATTATAAACATTTCTGTGATAAATATCACCATAATAAACTGTTAAGTACAACTGCAAGTATACCCTTAGAGTGAATTCCTACAGTTAGAAATTTATATTTTTGCCAGCTGCAGTGGCTCATGCCTGTAATCCCAGGACTTTGGGAAGTCGAGGAGGGAGGATTGAGGCCAGAAGTTTGAGACAAGTCTGGGAAACATAGCAAGGCTCCATCTCTGCAAAACAAAACAAAAATAATTTAGGAAGGCATGGAGGTACAGGTCTGTAGTTCCAGCTACTTGGCTGAGGCAGGAAGATCGCCAGAGCCCAGGAGCTTGAGGCTGCAGCAGTGAGCAGTGTTTGTGCCACTGCATTCCAGCCTGGGCAACACAGCAACACCTTGTGTCAAAACAACAACAAAAACAAAACAAATTTGAGATTTTTTTTAGCTTATTATTATTGCTGTAATAAAATTATTGAATTTGTTCCTTTATTTCGTAATTGACTTGCTTTCTAGAAATTTTATAAGATAATGTTTTTGCACTAGAAGTCACTGCTGAGTTAACAAAGTCTCCCAACACACTGAAGCAGCATTTTGAGAAACATGAGTTCAATCTCAATGTTTATTGCTTGTTTATTTCTCAGTATTTATTATTATCACCTAATCTATGATCCCTTCCGATTGAGAAAGATTAACAATGTGTGCAGAGTTGTACAAAGATAAATACATACCTGTTTATCTTTCCTACAGCTCTCAGGTGAAGCTTTAATTATTTGGTGAAACAGTTAAAAATTTGGCTAAGGTCATGCTAGAATATAACTTATTGATTTCTATGAGGGTGGATACTTTTTTTCAATTTCCCAGTTTCTATGAGGAGAGATTTTTCCCTAGACAATCTGGCCAACCTTTAAGGTTTTCTACCAAAGTAGAATACCTTGTCATGTAGAGAATGTACAATGCCCATCTGCTTACTCTAAACAATCTTGTATCGCCCTCCTTGCCTCCTCCATCTGGCCCTTCTCACTTGGGCCACCTGCCCACAACATGCACTCCTGTGGCCTGTCTCTGTGGCCTGTAATTCTTACAGGGACCCACCCCAGAGGAGGCCTGAGGCTTCCTGGAGCTGCTCGTTGAGGTGGTAGAAAGTCTACTTCTGGGATTCAGTGTTAGAATTTCTATCATTCCTGCACCACAAAGCCACACTTGTAAACAGTTCTGCCAGTAATAAAGTGGATGTTTTTGTCTTCATCTGCCTTCCACCATTAGCAATCTCTTAATTAGTTCCAAACTTAGTTGGAATAAGAGATCTTAATTTTCCCACCCTTTGAATCACTCAGAACTCATCTATTCAATATACATTTACATATATATACACACACACACACATATATATATACACACACACACATACATATATATACGGCCAATTTTGAGAATTGTGGGTTAGATTTGGGGGAAGCGCTGATTAAGAGTTGAATCAGTCAAAGAAAGTGCAAAATATACTAGAATTTACAACAAAACTCTAACAAAAATGCAGAGTGAATCTGCAGAGCAGGCAATATCAATAGACATATGTGAAGATGAATAGGAAAACTCCTAGGAGGATACGAGTATCTGTAGCACTTTAAAGCAAAGAGCGCTTTCGAATAGCAGAACAAAGGAAGAAAGGATGAATTTCAGGTGCCAAAAGGTCCTAGAGATTCTTGCTGTTCACGAAAGGGTCACCAAAAGGATGTCTCTATCCCAAATGGCAAAGACACACTTATTCTCAGAGTTAGCCCAGGCACTCACTGTTTCTCCTCTGCAAATTCATTTGCCCTGTTCCATGGTGTGTTTTAGCAACTGCAATCTTTAAGCTTGCAGATACTTTATATAAGCTACGAATTGAGCTTTTATGATCCACGAATATCATGGATTTACCACTTCCAGGGTGCTTGCAGGTGTAAATGCACTTTGGTTTCAATTTTCGAGGCCATATTCTAACAGGCCACAAGATGGCGGTATTCCTGCGTACAAGCAGATCCTTAAAGTGACCTTAACCTCACAAGTTTAACAAATAAAGTAGTCACTAGCCACATATGGCTATTTAAATTTAAATTTATTAAACTAAGGTAAAATAAAAAGAATTAATTCCTCAGTTGCACCAGCCACATATCAAGAACTCAATAGTCACATGAGGGCAGTGGCTACTCTATAGGACGGTGCGAAATAAAACATTTCCATTTTCACAAAGTTTTAAATTAGATTGTTTTCCCATTTAAAAAGAGTGGAGGCTTTAGAAAGTGCTGATTCTGATTCTTTCTATAATTTATAACACTGAACAAATGGAAACATTTAAATGTTCAGCAACAGAATATTGGTCATCTAAATTGTGATATAAATGATATAATGAAATATTACATAGCCATTAAGAATAATGTTTTCTTAGAATGTGAAGGATGCTCATGGTACAATTTTAGGGAAAAAATAGGAGGAAGTAAAGGCGTTTACATATGTATAAATACAAATATGAAATATATCATTCAAAATGTGGCAATTTTGTACTATACATACATACACACACCCTTGCATAGAAAGAAAGACATCATAATATTACCAGAGATTAACTATGAGTGGTAAAATTATGGAGGATTTTATTTTCCTTTTAGAACTTTCCTTTATTTTCCATTTTTCTCCCAAGATTAGAAAACAAGTATCAATCAAAAATTGCCATAAAAACAGTATAAGTTTTTGAACTTTAGCAAAAAGTTACACAATGTCTGAAAGATTCTGGTAATTCACTTTTTGAAAAACTTTAAAGCAGAATACACTCATAATTATGCATAATTATTATCACCAACGCAGTTTCCAAGATCCGTGATTTGTACCATGTTGCTCAGGCCTGCGATGGTGGTCTCTGATCCTCCCTATAGTGCTACAGTAGTTTAATACCTGAACCCAGTGTTCCATTCTCCATGCAAACATTAGGAAGCAAACTGGCAACACTTATATTGTCAAAACTGTCCTAAATGAGAGTCTCTTCCGAGTCCCTACTGCTACTCCTTAACTCACAAACATTCTTTTTTCACTGACACTTACAGAAATGAAGGAAGCTGTGTGCAGTGGCTCACGCCTATAATCCCAGCTCTTTGGGAGGCTGAGGCAGGAGGACTGCTTGAGGCCAGGAGTTCACGACCAGCCTGGGCAATGTAGCAAGATCCTGTCTCTAAAAAAAAAAAAAATACACACACACACACACACACACACACACACACACACACAAAGTTCATGAAGATTCTGGTGCCTGGCTTAGGAAAGGAAGCTCAGACTCTACTGGACCCCTGTGCTTCTGTCTCTCCACTTCCTGCCTTTGGGCAGGGTGATGGAAGCCCTAGATGCAGCAGGCAGCCTGCTCTGTGGGAGAGGTGGGCTTGGCTGGGATCAGAGCCTTACCAATTTCTAGGCTTATACCTGATGTTCTGTAAGCTTCAAGTTTTTTATTTCTAAAATGGAGGAAGCATGGGAGGCTTTTGTGGGATTGCAACACTTTAAGTGAATTGCCTGAATCATGGAAGAAATAGGTTTTTATTTTATTATGTAGATGTTCATTCAATTAACAACCTCCTTTTTCCTCCTTTCATCAAATATTTTAAGCATGTGCTCCGTACCTGCTATGTGGTGTCACAAGCTAGTTAAAGAAGTAAACAACAATGTTTGCCCTCAAGAAGTTTAGTGTCTAGACCTGGGAGAGAGAAAATAGGAATTGGGTAGATAGGATGTTAGAATGAGGTTTTGTGTTTATCTGGCTAAGTCAGGCTATATTTTCAATTTGTGTAGCTGTAGGTGTCATAGGCTTTGATTTCCTCTAGAATCCTTGTTTTACTTTTGTCAGGCCTCTGAGCCCAAGCTAAGCCATCATATTCCCTGTGACCTGCACGTACACATCCAGATGACTGGTTCCTGCCTTAACTGATGACATTCCACTACAAAAGAAATGAAAATGGCCTGTTCCTGCCTTAACTCCTTGTGAAATTCCTTCTCCTGGCTCATCCTGGCTCAAAAGCTCCCCTACTGAGCACCTTGTGGCCCCCACTCCTGCCCGCCAGAGAACCCCCCTTTGACTGTAATTTTCCTTTACCTACCCAAATCTTATAAAACGGCCCCACCTCTATCTCCCTTCACTGACTCTCTTTTCAGACTCAGCCCCCCTGCACCCAGGTGAAATAAACAGCTTTATTGCTCACACAAAGCCTGTTTGGTGGTCTCTTCACACGGACTCACATGAAATTTGGTGCCGTGACTCGGATCGGGGGACCTCCCTTGGGGGATCAATCCCCTGTCCTCCTGCTCTTTGCTCCGTGAAAAAGATCCACTTACGATCTCAGGGCCTCAGACCCACCAGCCCAAGGAACATCTCACCAATTTTAAATCAGGTAAGCGTCCTTTTCTTACTCTCTTCTCCAACCTCTCTCACTATCCCTCAACCACTATCTCCTTTCAATATTGGCGCCACCCTTCAATCTCTCCCTTCTCTTAATTTCAATTCCTTTCATTTTCTGGTAGAGACAAAGGAGACACGTTTTATCCATGGACCCAAAACTCAGGCACCAGTCATGGACTCAGGAAGGCAGCCTTCCCTTGGTGTTTAATCATTGCAGGGACGCCTCTCTGATTATTTACCCACGTTTCAGAGGTGTCTGACCACGTGGGGATGCCTGCCTTGGTCCTTCACCCTTAGTGGCAAGTACTGCAGTTCTGGGGGGCATGAACCCCCCAACCCCTTCTCTCCATGTCTCTACCCCTTCTCTGCTTTTCTGGGGGCAAGAACCCCCCAACCCCTTCTTCACCCTTAGCTGCAAGTACCGCTTTTCTAGGGGGCAAGAACCCCCCAACCCCTTCTCCTTCACCCTTAGCCACAAGTACCGCTTTTCTAGGGAGCAAGAACCCCCCAACCCCTTCTCTGCATGTCTCTACCCCTTCTCTGCTTTTCTGGGGACAAGAACCCCCTGATCCCTTATTTCCATGACTCGACCCCTTATCTCTGTGCCCCAATCCCTTATTTCTGCACCCCAACCTCTTATCTCTGTGCCCCGATCCCTTATTTCCATGCCCCAACCTCTTATCTCTGTGCCCTGATCCCTTATTTCCATGCTCCGACCTCTTATCTCTGCACCCCAACCCTTTATTTCCGCACCCCGACCACTTTCCTGCTTTTCTGGAGGGTAAGAACCCCCAAACCCCTTCCCTCCGTGTCTCTCTCTTTTCTCTAGGCTTGCCTCCTTCATTATGGGCAACCTTCCACCCTCCATTCCTCCTTCTTCTCCCTTAGCCTGTGTTCTTAAAAACCTAAAACCTCTTCAACTCACACCTGACCTAAAACCTAAATGCCTTATTTTCTTCTACAATGCCGCTTGACCCCAATACAAACTTGACAGCCGTTCCAAATAGCCAGAAAATGGCACTTTCATTTTTTCCATCCTACAAGATCTAAATAATTCTTGTCGTAAAATAGGCAAATGGTCCGAGGTGCCTGACGTCCAGGCATTCTTTTACACATCAGTCCCTCCCTGGTCTCTGTTCCCAATGCAACTCGTCCCAAATCTTCCTTCTTTCCCTCCCACATGTCCCCTCAGTCCCAACCCCAAGCGTCACTGAGTCTTTCTAATCTTCCTTTTCTACTGACCCATCTGACCTCTCCCTTCCTCGCAAGGCCGAGCTAGGTCATAATTCTTCCTCAGCCTCTGCTCCTCCACCCTATAATCCTTTTATCACCTCCCCTCCTCACACCCGGTCTGGCTTACAGTTTCGTTCTGTGACTAGCCCTCCCCCACCTGCCCAGCAATTTCCTCTTAAAAAGGTGGCTAGAGCTAAAGGCATAGTCAAGGTTAATGCTCCTTTTTTTAATCCCAAATCAGAGAGCGTTTAGGCTCTTTTTCATCAAATATAAAAACCCAGCCCAGTACATGACTCGTTTGACAGCAACCCTGAGACACTTTACAGCCCTAGACCCTAAAAGGTCAAAAGGTCGTCTTATTCTCAAAATACGTTTTATTACCCAATCTGCTCCTGACATTAAATAAAACTCCAAAAATTAAATTCCAGCCCTCAAACCCCACAACAGGACTTAATTAACCTCACCTTCGAGGTGTACAATAATAGACTAGAGGCAGCCAAATAGCAACATATTTCTCAGTTGCAATTCTTTGCCTCCACTGTGAGACAAACCCCAGCCACATCTCCAGCACACAAGAACTTCCAAACGCCTGAACCGCAGTGGCCAGGCGTTCCTCCAGGCCCGCCTCTCCCAGGAGCTTGCTACAAGTGCCAGAAATCTGGCAACCAGGCCAAGGAATGCCCACAGCCCAAGATTCCTCCTAAGCCACGTCCCATCTGTGCAGGACCCCACTGAAAATCGGACTGTTCAACTCACCTGGCAGCCACTCCCAGAGCCCCTGGAACTCTGGCCCAAGGCGCTCTGACTGACTCCTTCCCAGATCTTCTCAGCTTAGCAGCTGAAGACTGACGCTGCCCGATCGCCTCAGAAGCCCCCTAGACCATCACGGACGCCGAGCTTCAGGTGACTCTCACAGTGGAAGGTAAGTCCGTCCCCTTCTTAATCAATACGGAGGCTACCCACTCCACATTACCTTCTTTTCAAGGGCCTGTTTCCCTTGCCTCCAGAACTGTTGTGGGTATTGACGGCCAGGCTTCTAAACCTCTTAAAACTCCCCAACTCTGGTGCCAACTTAGACAATACTTTTATGCACTCTTTTTTACTTATCCCCACCTGCCCAGTTCCCTTATTAGGCCGAGATATTTTAACCAAATTATCTGCTTCCCTGACTATTCTTGGACTACAGCCGCATCTCACTGCCGCCCTTTTCCCCAACCCAAAGCCTCCTTTGCGTCTTCCTCTCGTATCCCCCCACCTTACCCACAAGCATAGGACATCTCTACTCCTTCCCTGGCAACTGATCACAGGCCCATTACCATCCCATTAAAACCTAATCACCCTTACCCCGCTCAATGCCAATATCCCATCCCATAGCACGCTTTAAAAGGATTAAAGCCTGTTATCACTCGCCTGTTATAGCATGGCCTTTTAAAGCCTATAAACTTTCCTTACAATTTCCCCATTTTACCTGTCCTAGAACCAGACGAGCCTTACAGGTTAGTTCAGGATCTGCCCCTTATCAACCAAATTGTTTATACTCTCATATCCTCAATACCTCCCTCCACAATCCATTATTCTGTTCTAGATCTCAAACATGCTTTCTTTACTATTTCTTTGCACCCTTCATCCCAGCCTCTCTTCGCTTTCACTTGGACTGACCCTGACACCCATCAGGCTCAGCAAATTACCTGGGCTATACTGCTGCAAAGCTTCACAGACAGCCCCCATTACTTCAGTCAAGCCTAAATTTCTTCCTCATCTGTTACCTATCTTGGCATAATTCTCGTAAAAACACATGTGCTCTCCCTGCTGATTGTGTCCGACTAATCTCCCAAACCTCAATCCCTTCTACAAAACAACAACTCCTTTCCTTCCTAGGCATAGTTAGTGCGGTCAGAATTCTTACACAAGAGCCAGGACCCCACCCTGTAGTGTTTCTGTCCAAACAACTTGACCTTACTGTTTTAGCCTAGCCCTCATGTCTGCGTGCAGCGGCTGCCGCTGCTTTAATACTTTTAGAGGCCCTAAAAATCACAAACTATGCTCAACTCACTCTCTACAGTTCTCATAACTTCCAAAATCTGTTTTCTTCCTCATACCTGACGCATATACTTTCTGCTTCCTGGCTCCTTCAGCTATACTCACTCTTTGTTGAGTTTCCCACAATTACCATTGTTCCTTGCCCGGACTTCAATCCAGCCTCCCACATTATTCTGGATACCACAGCTGACCCTCATGACTATATCTGTCTGATCCACCTGACATTCACCCAATTTCCCCATGTTTCCTTATTTCCTGTTCCTCACTCTGATCACATTTAGTTTATTGATGGCGGTTCCACCAGGCCTAATCGCCACTCACCAGCAAAGGCAGGCTATGCTATAGTATCTTCCACATCTATCATTAAGGCTACTGCTCTGCTCTCCTCCACTACCTCTCAGCAAGCCGAACTAGTTGCCTTAACTCAAGCCCTCACTCTTGCAAAAGGACTAAACGTCAATATTTATACTGACTCTAAATATGCCTTCCATATCCTGCACCACCATGCAAGAGGTTTCCTCACTACACAAGGGTCCTCTATCATTAATGCCTCTTTAATAAAAACACTTCTCAAAGCTGCTTTACTTCCAAAGGAAGCTGGAGTCATTCACTGCAAAGGCCGTCGAAGGGCATCATCAGATCCCATCGCTCAGGACAATGCTTATGCTGATAAGATAGCTAAAAAAGCAGCTAGCATTCCAACTTATATCCCTCACTTTCAGTTTTTCTCCTTCTCATCTGGCCACTCCCACCTACTCCCCTGCTGAAACTTCCACCTATCAATCTCTTCCCACACAAGGCAAATGGTTCTTAGACCAAGGGAAATATCTCCTTCCAGCCTCACAGGCCCATTCTATTCTGTCGTCATTTCCTAACTTCTTCCATGTAGGTTACAAGCCACTAGCCCATCTCTTAGAACCTCTCATTTCCTTTGCATCATGGAAATCTATCCTCAAGGAAATCACTTCTCAGTGTTCCATCTGCTATTCTACTACTCCTCAGGGATTATTCAGGCCCACTCCCTTTCCCACACATCAAGCTCAAGGATTTGCCCCTGCCCAGGACTGGCAAATTAGCTTTACTCACATGCCCCGAGTCAGAAAACTAAAATACCTCTTAGTCTAGGTAGACACTTTCACTGGATAGGTAGAGGCCTTTCCTACAGGGTCTGAGAGGCCACCGCGGTCATTTCTTCCCTTCTGTCAGACATAATTACTCGGTTTGGCCTTCCCACCTCTACGCAGTCCGATAGTGGACCGGCCTTCATTAGTCAAATCAGCCAAGCAGTTTTTCGGGCTCTTAGTATTCAGTGAAACCTTTATATCCCTTACAGTCCTCAGTCTTCAGGAAAGGTAGAATGTACTATTGGTCTTTTAAAAACACACCTCACCAAGCTCAGCCACCAACTTAAAAAGGACTGGACAATACTTTTACCTCTTTCTTTTCTCAGAATTCAGGCCTGTCCTCAGAATGCTACAGGGTACAGCCCATTTGAGCTCCTGTATAGACGCTCCTTTTTATTAGGCCTCAGTGTCATTCCAGACACCAGACCAACTTGGACTGTGCCCCAAAAAACTTGTCATCCCTACTATCTTCTGTCTAGTCATACTCCTATTCACCGTTCTCAACTACTCATACATGCCCTGCTCTTGTTTACACTGCCGGTTTACACTGTTTCTCCAAGTCATCACAGCTGATATCTCCTGGTGCTATCCCCAAACTGCCACTCTTAACTCTTAAAGTAAATAAATAATCTTTGCTGGCAGGGCTATGCTGAACCTCCTTAGGCACTCTCTAATCAGATGTTCTGGGTCCTCCCAATTCTTAGACCTTTAATCCATTTAGTTTTTCAATTCATACAAAACCATATCCAGGCCATCATCAATAATTCTAAATGACAAATGTTTCTTCTAACAGTCCCACAATATCACCCCTTACCACAAAATCTTCCTTCAGTTTAATCTCTCCCACTCTAGGTTCCCGCGCCGCCCCTAATCCCGCTCGAAGCAGCCCTGAGAAACATCGCCCACTATCTCTCCATACCATCCCCCAAAATTGTTGCCATCCCAACACTTAACCACTATTTCATTTTATTTTTCTTATTAATATAAGAAGACAGGAATGTCATGCCTCTGAGCCCAAGCTAAGCCATCATATCCCATGTGACCTGCACGTACACATCCAGATGACTGGTTCCTGCCTTAACTGATGACATTCCACCACAAAAGAAATGAAAATGGCCTGTTCCTGCCTTAACTGATGACATTATCTTCTGAAATTCCTTCTCCTGGCTCATCCTGACTCAAAAGCTCCCCTACTGAGCATCTTGTGACCTCCACTCCTGCCCGCCAGAGAACAACCCCCCTTTGACTGTAATTTTCCTTTACCTACCCAAATCTTATAAAAAGGCCCCACCCCTATCTCCCTTCACTGACTCTCTTTTCAGACTCAGCCCGCCTGCACCCAGGTGAAATAAACAGCTTTACTGCTCACACAAAGCCTGTTTGGTGGTCTCTTCTCACGGACGCGCATGAAAAGTTTCCCTTGTTGTCTTGGAATAATACTCTAAAAACCCCTTCTTAAAGATAGTCTGTGTTTTTCAGCTCTCAGTTGTACAGTGTGCCGGAGACTTTCATACCCAGAGTACAATTACAGGTGGGGAAATAAATGGTTATCTTTACTAAAATGAGAAGGGAGAGTGTGAAAGGTAAGATTTAAACAAACATCCACTTAAAATCATGGATTCCTCCTCAAGAAGCTCAAATTTGAAGAGTATCTGAAATAAATGTAAGACCTAGAAATTGATTTATATGCTCTCAGTTTTGAATTCCAGTTTTCATTTTATATTTGGGAAGTTTCAGGTAGACAGGAAGTGGAAGCAGAGCCTCTAGTGTTTGTGGGGAGAAAATAAAGCTATTGAAGAGATAAAGCTACAGTACTTCATTTTTCCTCCCCCAGGCGGGAGAGGGAGGGCTTCAGAGACACTGGGATTTGTACTGGAGGGAAGAAAATTTAGGGGCAAGTTACATCATCTCTTGGGAATACGGGGATTGGGGGACACATCGGAATCTCTGGGAGCCTTTAGGAAAAACATTGCATGTCCTCACTTGCTCCAGGTGATGGGAACAAGTGCTCAGCAGCAGCAGGAGGTATCTGGAGGAGTAACTTGGTGCAGGGCTCCTGGCAACCAACTAGAGTAGACACTCTGCAAGAGAGATCAGAGGGGACATGAAGACCTTCCCCTACTGTCACAGAAACCAAATATCCTCTCCTCCCATGCATGCAACACCAACCCAAAAGAAACTAAAGACAGGACTCAATTTATAAGCCTGAACTGAGATTAATAGATTGAGCTAAATGTTTTTCTCCTCTTCTCCTCACCTCTCTCACACACACTGTGTGTGGGTGTGTTTGTGTGTGTGCTGTGGGAGGGGACACCCAAGAGGCAATCAGATCATTCCAGGTAGAAAGAAAAAAAATGAACTCTATTTCCTCTGTACATTTAAATGTAATGAATATATTTGCAATTCTAATATGTACTTTTATTTTAATCATATAAACTGTGTCTAGTTTTTTTTCTTTTATTTAAGCTGTTCCCTCAAATCCTTGTCTTTTTAAGAAAAAAGTCTCTTACTATTTGCAAATACTTTCAAATACTATTTGGGCACCTAATGAATGTGCAACATTGTGCGAGATGTTAACAAATCTCCACGTGGGTTCCTAGCCTGGAGTGGAGGCCTGACTTAACTTCTGCTTCTGCTTAAACACACACACACACACACACACACACAATATAGCTTGACTCTGTAATCTCAAATTGGGCATCTAGGGTGTGCCTTCTGGTAGAAACAGTGGATGGTCATAATTCCTGTCATTAATTTCCAATACCCCCGCCACACCCCCGCCCCCCCAACACACACACACAGACTACCAAGAAAACTGTTGATCAGGCAAAAGAGAGACTTTAAACTTACTGCAGCTAGGTAGGGCATTTTAATAGAGTCATCAGTGTCCCAACAGGAGAGTATAGGGAAGGATGTTTACAGGATTTTTAGGCCTGAGCTGGGTGATTTTAAGTCAAGTCCGGCATGAAAGGGAACTGATGTAGTTGGGCAAAATCTTCAAGGACCCTTAAGGAGTAATATTTCAGACCTGATAGATAAGCTCTTTTAATTGGCTCAGTCTCATCTTCCATGTGCATGTATTTTCTGGTGCGTCTGGTTAACTACAAACACAGGAAAGTATTTCTGGTCCCAGTATTGTTTAACAGTGAATCATTGGTTTCCATTCTCATTAGCATTAAAAGACAGTTTTCAGAAAAGTGTAGAATCATGACTCTCACTGATACAAGAATAAACATGTGTGAAAAGATTGTATTTTACTCATTTAATGAGAGAACCAGGTAGATGTTATAACCAGTTCTAAAGAGAAAGAGAAAAAGAACAAATATGTATCGAGTAAAGAAAGTAAATTGCATGTGGAGACAAAACTGTTTTTTCCACCAGAGGGAGAGCAGTCAATTAAAACTCTACTGAGCAGGACAAAATTTGCCTGTCTATCCAGTCATAAAATAGCTTAAAGAAAATAAAAAGCTAGAATCTTGTAACCAAGAAGGATGGGCCAAATAGATACAATGTATACTTTTCTATAGAAACAGAGCTTTTTCTATATTGGTATGCTTTTAAAAAAATTTATTTTTTATATATTTTTTATTCTGTGTTTCATTTGTAGAGATGGGGTTTAGCTATGTTGCCCAGGCTGGTCTTGAATTCCTGGACTCAAGCCGTCTTCCTGCCTCGGCCTTCCAAAGTGCTGGGATTACAAGCGTGAGCCACCATGCCCAACCTACATGAATATCCTTTAAGGTTATTCACTACCTACATTTATTATCATGCAGCCATTTCATCTCCTTCACATCCACATGAGTATCATTACCAAATATTTTGATGAGGGTGTTTCTACCACATATCTCTGATTTACCCAGCTAGTCTCTGTCAAAGAAGGAAACAAGAGTAATATAAAGTTATTCATTCCTGATGAATCCATATTTGCACTTCTCTGCAATCATAAATTAAATTTTAATTAATTTATAGTCACAGCCTAGGTTTCAATAGCAAATTATGCCAGCTTACACACAGCTGTACTGAGAAGGATAAATGAAGAGGGCCCTGAATGGGAACCAAAATACCTGCTAACACAAAAAGCCTGAAAGAAGATGTGTAGCTTGACTGACAGCCAAGATTCAGCTTGAAGAACAAAAGAACTATCCACTTAGAAGAGCAATTACACCACACTTACCTCAAGTCACACAGCCAGTTAGCCACAGAGCCTAGTATTCAAATCCTAGCCCAATTCCAAGTACGTATACTTTCCAGCATATCTCTTATATTCTTTTTCCTCTCTAGTGTTTCAAACCGGATATCCCCCATACTAACAGGAATATAGATTTAGCTGAAAAACAATTGTTCTAATGATTAGATCAGTCAGCTTCTAGCAAACATATCCTTTCCCATCTAGGTGAGATGCACTTCATTACCAGCCATGAGCTCATTGTTAGAGAATCTTGACATATGTTTCAAAAATCTAAATATTACTCATTTGCACCCATTGCAGAGCCATTCTATTTACCCCTTGCAAATACTAAATGCACAGGATAATTAAGGAAATGATCTTACCCAGGCTATTGCAATTGGAGAAATGCCCATTCATGATGGGCATTTTAAAGAAAAGGAAAGTGGCCTGGAGATTTACAGAGGCAGGTGGCAACGGAGTCATCTGCATCATCTGTAAGTCTATGGGAATCAGGAGGGAGAAGGGAGACTGGTCTTATCTTGAAATATGTGAGGGCAGAGTAGACCTTGGTGGCTAACCATTTCCCAGAACACAGAAGGGTAAGTGTGTTTTTAAATTATCCAACTGTTTCTGAGCCCACAAGGCTCAGGTAAAGTTTCACCTCATTGCCACTCAAATTTTTCTCTCTACTCCAAATTCCAAAGGAAAATCTTGCAAAACAAGGCAGTTCTTTGGTGTCCTGCTGGAGACACCATGGTCCTAATGTTTTCCTCAGCCTCTTCTGGTGGACTCCTCCATCATCAGGGAGCCATCAGAGTGGGAAAAAGCCAGCAAGTTTTACAAACTAAGAGAGATTTTCTGTCTCAGATTGGATCCATTTCTTTACTGGCCATACCAGCTCTGCAGGGAGCCACTTCTTGCTAAAAAGCCCCGAACCACCACTTGTTCTTCATGGCCCATGACAGAAACTTTCTTCACAAATGTTGGTACGTAGTTCACTGCCTTTTGTGTCATTCGATTCTAGAAATCTGTGATTTTTATGTGTTGGAGTGATAACCTAAGTAATAGTAATTTGGGCTACAGATTTAAATGAGGGCCCACTGTGGCTGCAACTTTTCAGAAACTCTCATATTATTTTCAATGTCACGACAAATTTTCTTGTCATTACTTGAAGGTAGAAGCAGAATGGGGGGTTACTTCTGGTTCTCCTTTACCTTAAGGGGTAGCTTTAGGTTAAAGAGGTGGTGGTCTCCTACTGGACTACCTAGGTGAAACCGGGGCTTTGAATTGCATATTCTGCCTTCATGAAGTCTATAGTCACACTCAAAGAAATGTCCAGAATTAATACTCAGTTTTGCCTGTTTTGCAAATACTCCCAGGACAAAAGTGGCTATAGTGCTGAGATTCTAGTTTTCACTTAGATTTTGTCATAATAATTTCTGACCATTTTGTCATTTTTTTGATACTTTAGAGAGGTATTTTTAATAGAATATCTGGCACTTTTAGTTGTTTTCCATCAAAGAGTTTGTCTAAACAATGTACTTTGCCACATTGCCAGAAACAGAACCTCCACTGGGCCTTCCAAGGGAAGAGATGTGATACTGTCACCTACACTCAGGGTATTTTTGGTTGCTAAGAAGAGAAAACACAACTCAGCTTACACAGTAACTGATCAAGTAGCTGAAAGATGCAGGGATTAGAGTGGCCTTCAGGAGTAGTTTGATCAGGGATCTATCTTTATCCTCTATGATTTTATTGATTCTGCTCTTTTTAGTGTGTTGGCATCATTCTCCAGTTGGTTTTATGAGATGAATGCTAAAAGAGACTGGTACCATATCTTCCTCACTCACAGTTATGGGGAAAGGATGGCTGCTTCCAACAAACACTGAACTTATCACTGTGTCTGGAGAATTTAATTATTGCAGCTAGCTTAGTTCATTTAAGTTCCTCCTGAAGCTGGGGATGTATCATGGTCACTCATATCAAAGTTGCTACACAAAGAAGATGAATAAATGAATATTCAGAAGTCAAAATGGTGAGAAAGGAGAGGAGAAGAATAGGAAGGTTTAGAAGCTCCAAGTGTGAGGGAAGAGAGCCAAAAGATCAAAAGGGTGCATAAAAAGCACACTGGGATTGACAAAGATTGACCTCCCCAATGTCGCTGAGGACTGGCCCTTTTTATCTTCACATGACTATGGAAAAGTTAATACATTTAAATATATTGACCCTGTAGCTTCAAATCAGAGACTTCTGCTTCTTTGTATATTTAAAGGTACTAGTCAGGTTCTTTTTTTTTTTTTCTTATTCAAACATTATTATAAAGAAACTTTTTTTCCATAATTGCCGAATTCTAACTCAGAACTGGGCACTCTTTGTATCCTAACACAGATCTAGGCACTTTCTGGGTGAGGAATCCAATTCTTAAGTGCTTTATTTTAGTAATGCCTATAAAGTACACAGTCATTTGGTAAATAAATGAACAAAAATGCTAAAAATCACATATACAGCAGACGTGCCACTTTTATTGCTATTTTTACAATTTAATGACTGTTTTAAAAAGGGGATTTAAAACTTTTGACTGTTTTTTCAGCTTCTTAGGAAGGCAGAAACCTACAGCTTTGAAGTCTAATGGGAAAAAAGCAAGAAAGGGCCGAGCATTCAAAACCTGTGCAGGAAATATATTGAGAGATCTCAGACAAATTACTTCCTCTCCCTGAACCAGTTTTCATCTTCAAATGATTGATGTATCTTTATGTCAAAAATTAGATCATTGGCTTTTCAGGTTGCATGGAATCATATCAGGAAAAAGATATTTATAGGCAAGTATGCTCTGTTTCATTGACCTTTCCCACTAGAAGCTTCACGAGGCAATGGAGAAATGGTTTCACTATCAATGAAGGTTGGGCTCAGGGGAAATGAGGACCTATGCTTTGTGAACACCTGGGTTTTATCATCAGTTCAGACTTTCCTGTTGAAAAGTGAATTACTGTAATGAGCTCTTATACATGCAGTCAAGCTGAAGAAATAGCAACAGCATACTGGTTAACTAGAGAATCCTCTGTTCCTTAACAGTCTTTTTTATGTCTATACTCTGAGGTTTTCAGAGCCCAATATTTCATTGCCTCTCAAAGGGGCTGTTCTAACTATCTATTGCTGAGTAACAAACCACTGCAAACTTCATAGCATAAAAGAACAGTAGCTGTTTATGATTGTTATCTTTCACAGTTCTGGCTGTTGACCATGCTTAGACAGCTCTTACTGCAGGTGTGAATCATTTGGAAGCTTTTTCTCTCATGTCCTGGGAAGATTCAAATATCTGGAGGCTGCAACAGCTGGGATACCTAAAGAATCTCTCCATGTGGTCTCTCCAGCATGGTGTCTTCAGGGTAGCTTATTTTTTTATATGGAAGCTCCAATCTGCCACTGTATGTGTCCTGAGAAAGAGCCACAAAGAAGCCATATAACCTTCTATGACCCAACACCTTATAATTCAGCAGTGCTGCTTCCATTGCATCCTATTATTCAGAAGAACTGAGTTGTTCAATGCCATATTCAAGAGAGAAAAACTAAACTCTGCTTTCTGATGGCTATTGCTCTAGTGTGAATGTTATTGCCACTCCAAAATTGATGTGTTGGACACCTAATCCTCAGTGCAACAGTGTTGGCAGGCGGTGCCTGATGCAAGGTATTTAGGCAATGAGGGCTCTGCCCTCAAGGGTTGACTAATTCCATTATGAAAACGGCCTGTGGAGGTGGGTTTCCTCTCTTCTGCTCTTCTGCCATGTGAGAACGTAGCATTTCTTTTCTCTGGAGGATGCAACAATCAAGGCACCATCTTGGAAGTAGGATACAGCCCTCACCAAATAACTGAACCTGCTGATGCCTTGATCTTGGACATCCCAGCCTCCAGAACTATGAGACATAAATTTCTATTTTTTAAAAATAAATTACCTAGTCTCAGGCATTCTGTTGTAACAGCACAAAGAGGACTAACACAACTGGAATGTCAGAGAATTATGGACATATTTTAAAATCTCCTCAAAGACTCATTTCATCATGGGAAATTCATTTCTTTAATGAGATTTTACAGAGTCTTATATCCAAAATAGAATAATTGCTGGTAGTATAAAGAGCTTCATTCGTGATCAGTTCCTTATATAACTAGAAATTGGCACACAAATCCATAAAAAATTAAGCACTGGGAACATTAGGAGTAGAAAAAAATAAATATCTGCAAAGAGGGACAGGAAAGACTTGCCAGAGCATAACAAAAGAAATAGGTGTCCGATGAAGAAAGAGCTGCCAAAAGGCAAAATAAATGGCAGGTCAGCGTGGCATTCCTGAGCTGCAGCTTCTGTTGTGCCACCAGCCTTCAGTGTGACTTTGGTTGACAGGCCACTTCCCCTCTGGGACCTCTGTGTCCTCATTTGGAAAGTACAATATTGAACTAGATAATTTCAAAGGCACCTTATGGCTCTGATATTCTGCAATCCCATTATTATTACTTTAAATGCTGAAGCATTTCCTTAATAGGGAAGAAATTAAATGTCTTAACCCTTGGCTATTAATATCATCTGTTCCTACATTTAATGGGTTGAGATGAGTCACAGAGGATGAAAGACACTATAGCTAAGGATGTCAGCAGAGGTGACAGCCACTTCTACCTCAGGTGACCATGGGAAGCAACAGCTGGCATATTTTATACAATTCAGATGAGACAGGGAAGAACAAATGACACCTTTGGGCCTTCATTGGAAAAAAGTAGTCTAAAAGCATCAACTGCTATCCTTTGATGCTCAGATACTGCCTCCTAGTTAATGAAGGCAAAAGTATAATTTAAGAGCAGTGGTTAATGCTTTGACAAAGAAAAGGCGGCCCTGAAGACTTGATAACCTTTCGTTCTTGTCCCTGAAGAATTTTTGGATATGTTATGTGCAAAAAACATTTTTGCATTTGATTTAAAAACTATGCATTGTCTATCATACATGCTTCTGGGCAGTGGGTTCCAGAGCCTGTTCATTGTCTTTGAGCTATTTTGCACCTGTTTTTCAAATGCAGGTAACTGATGGATATGCAAACTGTGTCTTATCCAGCAGCATTTCCATTGGCTTCCCTCCCCACTGTGGAAAAAGTCTTTTTCCCTCCATTTGTAATTCGATTTCTTGACTCTATATGTTTGTGCTTTTTGACATTTACTTTGAACTAGTTCCTTTATATGAGTTAAATAAAATCTTTAACATATGTTTCATTTATATGAGTCATGATTTTGCCATTTTCTGAATATTATTTTCTAATGAATTTGGATCTGCGCTTAGTTTAAAATAATAACTGGAGTGAGATTTAAACAGTTCTTCATTAGAAATGAACAGGATTTTGGAGATTTGGGGACTGCCAACTTTCAAAGAGGAGAAAACATGCAACCCCAGAGCTGTGGGAAGCAATAGGAGAGTCCCAACAACTTGGCTACCTGTGGGGATGGGGAAGAAATGAGAGATGATGGAGGTGGCAGGGAAGGCGAGAGAAGAGAGTAGTAGTGAGGAAAATGGCAGGGAAGAAAGATAAGCTGTCAACTGAGAAATTCTACATGGAAGAAAGGAGTTAAAGAACTTTAAATCCATTCGGATCTACTGGTAAACTACATTGATCTCTGTTTACTATGCTTCAGGACCCTCTTCTTTCACCTCAAAGCTTTGTTAAAAGCAACTGCACCCACAGCTTTGAATTTGTGACCCTTTTGGGGATGAAATATGGAGATGCTATCTTTCATGGCTAGAGCCATGTGAGAACAATGGCTGGGCTTGTGGGAGAGAGATGCAGACTGTAGTAAAGACAAAACAAACAAACAAACAAACAAAGAAACGTAGAACCATAAGCCCTTCCACCCCCAAAATGTATGGAAACATTGAGGGAACTTCACCTAGTACAAGGGATGTAATATTGAGCTATTCTCTCATAGGATTAAAGAAAATGGTGACAGAAGCATTGAAGATGTGTTGATACCAAGGGAGCTGAAATTTAGGTTACAGGGGAAACGGAGTTAGGTTTCTGATATGGTGCATTCACGCAATCTTTCTTCTAAGAACAACTAAAATCTGCAACTGCCTGTAGTTCCAGATGTTTGGGAGGCTGAGGTGGAAGGATCACTTGAACTCAAGAATCCAAGGCTGCAGTGAGCTGTGATTGCACCACTTCAGTTCAGCCTGGGTGACAGAGTGAGACCCTGTCTCAAAAAAATAAAAAAAATAAAAAAAATAAAAAAACAAGTGTGTGGAAATTATCTTTTTTGAAATCTGACTGAGAGTACTGTGAAAGGAAAATAAATCTTGAGACTCCAAAATCACCAAGCTAAAGAAGAAAATCAAGCTGGGAACTGTTTAAGGTAAACCTGCTTCCCATTCTATTCAGTCATCCCTCTGAGGCTTACCTGAGACAAATGCATGTGTCATTGCTTCCTCTGCTAATCATTTATGTAAAAATGCAGATTCACTGAGCTGGAGTAAATTGTGTATTCAATGGAGGCTGATCAAGGACTCAAAAGATTACAATCATTTGTCTCTTATCTACTTCTAATCTGGAAGCTCCCACTTCAAGTTGTCCCATATTACCGGACTGAACTAGTGTACATCTCACACATATGGAATGATGTCTCATGTCTCCCTAAAACGTATAAAAGCAAACTGTACCACTGATCACCTTGGGTACATGTCTCAGGATTTCCTGAGGCTATGTCATGGGCATATCCTTAACATTGGCAAAATAAACACTATAAATTGACTGAGACCCATCTCATATATTTGGGGTTCACATTTTGCTAACCACGAAGGGATTCTGAGTGGAAGAGCTGCTGACCTTTGAGAAATCTCCTATTAGGGCTTGGTACCAGCTTGAGTTTCTTTATGGCTCAAACCAGTAGGACAATTTGCTGAGGCCTGGAAGCTCCCCCTCCAGAGAATCCCTGATCTCCCAAAATCTGGTCAATATTTAAAGATTATTTTGCTAGGAAAAATAATTTTTATTTCCAACTCTTGTTGGAAGAAGCTTTACTTCCTTCCAACAAGGAAGGCAAGCTTTCCTGCTTCCACGACAATGGAAGGCAGGTAACTTCTTTCTGGAATTCGAGCTCATTTCCAACAGGGAAGGAAGGTGAATTTGAGTTTTTTCCTGCTTCTAGGATGGTAGAGAGCAGTCTTCAGCCTGAGACCCATCCTCAGGTAAGTAGCTGAATTGGGGTTTTGTCTTGGCTAAAGTTAAGATGAACAACCAGCTGGTCTTAATTTCTCCTTACCATTAGAGTGCTCAGTAATTATATAAATTGTGTGATCATTTGTTTTGCTTAACTGTTTTTGTTGTTGTTTGTTTGTTTCTGTTTTTATTGTTTCAGTCTTTTTCCCATTGCATTTGACCAGCTCTATCTGACTTGACGAAATCTGAAGGAAAGTTCCAATTCAAGGGGAACAAAGCCTCTGATGTGGCTAAATTTCCACAAAAAAAGGGGGGGGGAAATGTTTTATTTTGATTACTTAAGGGGTTTTATTTACATAACAAGGCCATCTTTTTGCTAGCCAAGTCAAACTGAAAGAGCAATAGCTGTTGCCCCACATTGTAGTTTCATAGCTAAGGTTCTGACATCTGTTTTTTTTCTTCTTTACCACAATAGCCTGGGTTTGGTTTCTAAATCAAACCCTTTCAGATTTGATACTTATTACTTCCGAAATATTGGCAATTTGTCTTTGCTAAAATATGGTAATGAGATTTAAAAAGTTTTTTTTTTCAAGGAGCTCAATGGATTAGCTTAATGCAAATGTAACATCCAAGATGTGTGTGTATGTGTGCCTGTGTGTTTGTATTAAAAGGCCTTCATGGTTTGTTTTTGTTTTCTCCTGGGACCTTGCCTTTTTGAACAAGAGTTTTTGTTTGTTTGTTTGCTTTTTCCTCAATTGAATGAATTCTGTTTCCTTCATTTACTTCTGCTGTTTCTCCTTTCTCTTGTCACCCTCTGCTGTATAAGGAACCTAAAATAATTTATAATAGCCTGCAATTCCTTACAGAAAATGGAGAAGGTGCCAGACTCCGTTTTGCGGAGAAATCTCTGTTTTTCCTTATGGAACCCCAAAAGTGTAAATAGACAAGTTTGTTTCAGATCTTAAGTTGCTTGCTTTTGTATTGTGTTATCTGATTTTTTGTCTAATTTTTTTTTTTTTTTTGAGACGGAGTCTCTCTCTGTTGCCCAGGCTGCAGTGCAGTGGCGCAATCTCGGCTCACTGCAACCTCTTCCTTCCAGGTTCAAGCGATTCTCCTGCCTCAGCCTCCAGAGTAGCTGACGCTACAGGTGCCCGCCACCAAGCCCTGCTGACTTTTGTATTTTTAGTAGAGGTGGGGTTTCACCATATTGGCCAGGCTGGTCTCAAACTCCTGACCTCAAATGATCCACTCTCCTTGGCCTCCCAAAATGCTGGGATTACAGGCAGGATACTTTCTTAATCTGATACCTTCATGATGGGATTAGTACTGCCATGAGAAAAGACTAGAGAGTGGTCTCTCTCTCTCTCTCTCTCTGTCTCATTCTCTACGTCTCAATTGAACTATTCTTGCATAAAATTAAAGAAAGTGGTGGCAGAAGCATTGAAGATGTGTTGATATCAAGGTAGATGAAATTTAGGTTACAGGGAAAAGGGAATTAGATTTCCGTTATGGTACATCACACAATCTTTCTTTTAAGAACAACTAAAAATTGTGCAACCATCTGTAGTCCCAGCTACTCAGGAGGCTGAGATGGGAGGATCACTTGAATTTAGGAGTCTAAGTTCTATAAGCCAGGAACAGGACCCTCACCAAAAACTGAATCAGCTGGCACCTTGTTCTTGGACTACCCAGACTCCAGAACTGTGAGAAGTAAATCTCTGTTGTTTAAGTCACCTAGTCTATGGTATTTTGTTAGAGAAGCACAAACTGACTAGTGCAACTATTATTCATATAGTTTTTGTGCTGGTCAGTCCAACGCCACAAAATGACTGCTGAATTCTAGTAACTACACTATATTCGAGATAAAAAAGGGAGAAAAGAACCAAAAAAGGGCTATATCAGTTGTTAATTACTGTTTTTTTAATAAGGAAAACAAATGCTTTCCTAGAAGTCTTACATTAAAAACAACCACAATAACAACAACAACAACAAAACACTTTTCTTTTTTGGGCAAAATTGAAGCTTATCCTGAACCAATTACTGACTATATCAATGTTGGGTTATCATTGTTTTATTTGTGGGGACAAGAATAGGGAACTTTGCATTTACCTAAACAAGCAAAGATTCTATTAGTAGAGAGGGGTGGTGCAGGAAAGAACACAGAGCACACAGTTAACAATGTCTGCCACACATGTTATAGCCTCTCTTTGCCCCGTAGGGAAAAATTTTTGCTTCAGTGGAAAACTTTGCATTCCGTTCCTGGTTATCTGATTCTGATTCTATGGGAGCTATTTTACAACTTTGTAAATTGTAGATAACTGATAATGATGCAGAATAATTCTCATCTATAGACAGGCATGTGAATTCTGTATATTGGCAGATTTTATTTCTGAGAAAGTCAGTTTGCTTCCATTTGTATACTCATTGCAATGTTAATGAAACAAAAATGTGTCTGTTCTTTACACTCACCTTTGCACTGATTGTAACATCTTACCAGTTTCCTCATGAATAAGTTAAATAAAAATCTTAAACACATTAATCTTTTTATATCTCTGTAAGCCATGATTTTGCTTTTTTCTTAAAATTGTATTTTAACAGCCGGAAAACTATAAATTTATAAAATGAATAGTTGGTTTGTTTACTTGCTTGTTTATTTTTATTCTCAGGTACCAACACTATGCCTAAGACATTAGTAGCTCAAGTAATATTTGATAAATTGATCAATGAGTAGCATCAGTTAACCAAAAAGCAAAAGAGCTATATGGTAGAATTATTATTTATTAAAATCCTATACTTGATGGGAATATCTCTTAAGAATATACAATTCTTTTGCTCCTTTTGGTTTGTTACCTGCAATTAATATTCTACTGTGTAAACTTCCTCAGAGAGAGTCACTCTTCAAATAACTAATGCTGGTTTATTATCTGGGATAAATTTTCTTTGTGATTTTCATTTATGAAATAGCTTTTGAATTAGATTCCCAGAGGGAAGTTAATATAGTGTCTAGAGAAAATACAACTTCATGTTGTTTTGTTGTTTATTTAGATTAATTTTCTTTTTATTATAAAACCAATCCATGCTTATTTTCACCAAATATTAAAAAATGCACAAAGGAAAATGTATTTTTACCTTTCTCAAGTTAGTAAGATTTAGGTTATCATGGTTAAAAATTTGGTGTATATCCTTCTACATCGTTTTCTAGAAAATGGATCTAAGATTTGTATGAACATTTTTGTACCCTCATTTTCTTAGCTGTGTAGTTTACATCAGGTTTGTTAACATATCTGAATCCCAGTCTCCATGTGTATGAAAAGAAGATAAAAATGTACCTGATGGCTGGGCGCAGTGGCTCACACCTGTAATTCCAACACTTTGGGAGGCCAAGGTAGGCGGATCACGAGGTCAAGAGACTGAGACCATCCTGGCAAACATGCTGAGATCCCGTCTCTACAAAAAATACAAAAATTAGCTGGGCGTGGTGGCATGCGCCTGTAGTCTCAGCTACTTTGGAGGCTGAGGCAGGAGAATCTCCTGAACCCAGGAGGCGGAGGTTGCAGTGAGCTGAGGTTGCACCACTACACTCCAACCTGGCGACAAAGCGAGACTCCGTCTCAACAACAACAACCACAACAAAAAAAGTACCTGACAAGGATCACATAAGTAAAACCCACGGCACAGAGGCTAGGTAATCATGGATGCATGGATGATCAAGAAAAATTAATAGTAACATAAAACGGGATGAAACTCAAATTTCTCAAGGATTTCAAATAGCCTGTTCCTTTGCATCTCTTTAGAGTTATAGTTATCATTTAACATTATAAAAATATGCTAGGCAGATTGAATATACAAATGGACAATGGACACACCATACATTATGGTAGAACTCTGACCCACAACCTCAGCAGCAACAAGCACTGAAAACCAAATGACAACCTCTGTAGCAATTGGCCCAGAGAAGTTAGGACTTGGTCAATGACTGGCAGCTTCTATATTTTGCCCCAGTTTCCAATTGAGGTCCAACCAGGGAAAGCCAAATACTCTTCAAACTAATCACATAAGATGCTACACCTTTTGTTAGCTCCCTCCAGCTTCCCCTTACCACTTTTGTTCACTCTAAAGCTTTTCCTTCATGCCTTTGAGTCTCTGCCAAATTCAAGTGATGGTGGCTGACTTTCTTGCTATAGCAAGCTCTGAATAAATAGTCTCTGTTTGTTCTAATTCGGGTGCTCTTTATTTATTTCCACATAGTGCATATCTCTGGATTTGAGAGCACAGGAAAAAGAGATAATATTGTAATTTTCAGCACTTTGCATGTTTCAAGCTTTGAAGAAATGATCACAAAAGTTTTTCCTAAGGGCTGGTATCACAGGGGAATGAGAAAAACAGATCCAGAGAAAAGGAGGCAAGTCTTGCAAGGATATGAGAAAGAATCTGAAAAAGAGGGATGCTGATGGTACCATTTCATTCTCTTGCTCTACAAATATAAATCAGAACCATGAGAGATGCTGAGAAGAGATAAAGAAGCATGCATCCCTAAACAATAATCCTGCAAAACAAAACAGCTGATCACACACATTTTTGACCCTAAGCAACCTCAACAAGAAAACTTTGCAAGTCTTCCCTGAGATAGCACAATTTCAACTTCCCCACAGTGCAACAAATTTGCTTTGCAGAGAAGTGAAGTAAGTTGGTGTATAAAGCAGAACATTTTGAAATATTTTAGAGAAACCTCTACAAAGGTCTTAATGTTATTCAATGCTTTATTCATGGACGGAACCAGAATAATTATTAAGTATAAGGTACCCCTGGGCAATTGTACAAAATAGATACTGTTCAAAGATAATTTTAAGAAAAAGGTAAAATCAGACTCTCATACTGATTGAACACATAATAAATATTTTATTTGATTCACATGATAGGAGGGAACTAGGCAGAAGTTGTAACTGGTTTGAAGGAGAAGTTAAAACAACACTGATTTATATGGGTAAAAGAGATCTCAATATGACTTGCAAATGAGCAAAATTGATTTTTTTCAATGGCAGGTTGGGGTGAGTGAGGAAGTAAAAAATCACTACTTGGCAGGAGAATATTTGAGCACCACTAATTCTAACATATCAGTTAAAAAGGCCTAAGAGAAATGCATTTCAAACTCTAGATACTTAAAACTGACTTCAGGCTGGGTGCGGTGGCTTATGCCTATAATCCCAGCACTTTGGGAGGCCGAGGCGGGTGGATCACGAGGTCAGGAGTTCGTGACCTGCCTGGCCAACATGGTGAAACCCCGTCTCTACTAAAAAGACAAACAGCTGGGCATGGGGGCTCGTGCCTGTAATCCCAGCTACTCAGGAGGCTGAGGCAGGAGAATCGCTTGTACCTGGGAGGCGGAGATTGCATTGAGCCGAGATCGCATCACTGCACTCCAGCCTGGGTGACAGATCGAGACTCCATCTCATAAAACAAACAAACAAAAAACTGAGTTCATCCCCCTACTTTCCACCCTACCTCTGCACCTCTGCCCCCTAATTTCTTATTTACCTTTTATATTTGAAGGTCTAGAACTTTCATTGAGTGATATGTATTGATTCAGCTCCCTATGCCGGGCCTTGCTTTGTGTGAGGAGGATTCTGAGATGATAAAACTTGCTCCTTTTTCAGATGATATGACACATCCCTCTGTGTCTCACTCAGGTATGTGTGTCAGAAGTAGTGGATGGAAGGGATAAATGTATTAAGGTCCCTGGGCTGTGAAAGCACTGCAGAGGCCTGCTGGCATTATAATGTCTGATTTTCATTCTTCTGATTCTGTGAGTACAACAGGGTTGGTTTCCTGGTCTGAAGCAGGCAGCAAATACATTTCTTTTGGTTAGTAGGACTAAACTGAGACTGGTCAGGATGATCTGGTGGGAGGGTGTGGTTGTAAAAGCGATCTTGCTGTTAAAGCCTAATCAGCTAAAGACTACCAGAGACAAGCTTTAGGTTGGACAAAATCAGATTTAATGATTCAGTGCAGTGAGAAAGGACACCCCACAGGAATGATATGTTGCTGCTACCCAGAAGGAAGAAGGGAAGTCTCTTTTATGAGGTTTGAGTTCCTGATGAAATATTCTGAAAAGGGTCCCATTTCTGCATTTGGTGCTATTTCTGAGGTAGTAGAGGGAGCAATTAACTAAGGATTCATTGCTGCCATGATGTGAAAGAGGCTTAGCAACTGGCTATCTCCTGAAATAGAAAGAACAGAAGGTCTAGAGGCATATTGGTAAGAAAGCAATAGTCACGCAGAGATGGGATCACTGTGGCATTAAAAATTCCTCGGAAGAACACTGTGAATGTTTCAAAGAAAGCACCTGAATACTAATGCATGCCAATTCACAGTTCCTTCTCAGTGGTGGCAATTCCAAATGGCGATGTGAGCCTTATTCCCCAGGCAGGGCTTGGAAAATCCAAAAGAACAAAGAGAGCTTTCACGAAGTATTGCTTGAGGTTATTAAGTTGCAGAAAAAGAACAATTTTCTCTGAGAAACAGTGAAAGAAAAAAGCAACATTTCAGATTCCACTGCCAAACATAATCCTCTGGTGTCTCTGAAATGATTGTGCTTTTATAAGTAAATTAGACATTTTTGTGAACCACTCAAATTTCTCTGAAGGTGGAAAGTAGAGGCAGCCCAGGGATCCAGTGACAGCTGAAGGAGATGGAGCTCACATATACACAGGGCAAGGAGTTTTACCTTTGCCACATCTTGAGACTGACTGACCTGGCAGTTTGGGCATCTGCCCTGGTGGTTAGCAATGAACTACAGAGAAGCCACTAGCATCATATTACTGTGGCTACAAGTTTGCTCTGGGAACTAAACATTTTTAATAAAGTGTCCTGAAACCTATTTGCTGACCTCCACTGCATTTAGGGAATTGGGTGTGTCTTGCCAGAGAAAGACCAATAGCCTGGGTTAGGCCCTTTGGATCTGGGTCCTCAGGAACCAGCAAAACCCATATTAATCTAAGGTAGTCTGAAATGGAATGATATAAGTGGACATTCCCAAGTCTCTTCCAGTCAACTGACTCCTTAAGAGTTGAAGGCCTTGGTAGATGCACCTTCTTGCAATCCCTTGAAAGACCCTGCTGTATACTCACATGTCACCTCTTTTAACAACTCTAGCTTGCCCTCCACCAACAGTTTTATTCACAGCAGCTCAAAAACCCTCTCAGTATTCTTACAGCTGTGCTTAGAAATATCAGCTGAATAAACACTAGAGATGACAGGCTATCTTTTGAAATTAAGCTTATGAAGGATGGAAATTTTCACAAACAATTTACGTTCATGCCTCCGAATACATAACATCCAAATCCAGCAGGAAGAACAGGCTACCTGATATATAAAACAATACTCATAAAGTTACTATAGTACATATAAAAATAGCAAAATATTTCCCATGAAGTTATCATAATGATAAAAATGGCAACAGCATGCACTATGTGCAAAGCAATGTCGTAACAATTTACATGTATTAACCCACTTAATCCTCAAAACTACCCTGTGAAGTAGGTACCATTATTATCCCTTGTGGCAAATGAGGAAACTGAGGTATAGAATATAATTTCCATCAATAAATAAATTGTCTTTTAATGGAGACAAAGATGTTTACCTATAGACCATATCTTATGCTTAATATACAGTCACATTGCTTCTAGAATGAAATATCTTTGTTTCTTGAAGCTACATTTGTATAATTGCTTCCCTCAAAGCCTACTAGAGATGCCCTATTTGAAATTGGAGGTCAAAAATGGAAGGCAAAGAGCAATTTCAGTCATACATGACTTAATATTGGGGATACATTCTAAGAAAAATGTGGTTAGGTAATTTCATTACTATTTGAACATCCTAGAATGTAGTTATACAAACCTAGGTGGTACAGGCTACTACATACTTTGGGTACATGATATAGCCTACTGTTCCTAGGGTACGTACCTGTATAGTATGTTATTGTACGGAACACCGTAGGTAACTGTTACACAATGATAAATATTTGTGTATCAGAATATAGCTAAACATAGAAAAGGTACAGTAAAAATACAGTATTATAATCTCATGGGACCACAGTCACATAGGTGGTCTGTTGTTGACCAAAACATTATGAGGCATGTGACTGTATAAAGAGCATGACCTAGCAAGAAACTGGAAAAAACACTGAAATTTCCACCCAAGTAGAATGAATACATTATAGTAAAAAATTAAAATATCATACATGTGGATAAATCTCACAAAATTATGCTAAAAGGAAAATACCAAGTTACAGAAGAATATATAATATTTACATATAGTGTAAACTTATACAAAGCAGTACTAAATGTTGCTAGGGATACATGTAACATAGTAGAAGTATAAAGAAATGCATGGCAATGATAAATGCTAAATTCAAGAGGATAGTAACTTGAAGGGAGGAGGAAATGAATGTGATTGGGTAGGAGTAAACAGAATTCAAGTGTACTGTTAGAGTTCTATTTCTTTAATTGTATCATGACTCTTTTCAAATTATCATTCTTCACTTTTTATATATATAATATTTTAAATACTCTTTTGAAAATTGAAAGCAATTACAATTTAATAGAAAATCTACAATTCTTGTCACCTACTTTATTCAAGGGGCGAGGAGGATGGGAAATAAGCCTTTGGGGCCCACAGAACAAAGAAAAGCACAGCATCTGTCATTCATCAACTAATTTAAAAATATTATTTATTTCAGATAGAGAAAAATTTCGTCCATCATTTGATTATGTATATCAGCCTTTACATTTTAAATTAGATAATTCGCATGTCTTATATTTTGCTATCTCAAAAATATTCAGCTTAAACTCAGAATAATGCCATCTGGAACTATAGGCAACACTTGGTTATGCGTTTCAGAATTTTAACTGTGAGCGAAAAAATATTTGACTTTTCCATGTTAGTTGATGTCTACCCAGACCATCATGGCCTGATGTAGTTTAACTGCTTTCAAATGAGAGTCTCATTTATGTAAGTGAGGAACATGCAGGGTTAAGGTCATGTTCCAGGGCTACTTTGTGTTGAACACTGAAGCTGAGCCTAAGCTGTAAGAGTACAATATGCAGCACAAAGCATTTTGTGAAATGAAAATGAAATCTTAATTCCCCTGACCAAGTGAACAAACCCCTTTTGGCCAAGGAGACCCCAGAGAAACCTTAGCAACAACGTTTTCTAGCCATGATGGGTGTGGGAATCAGTCACGCCTCGTTACACCCCCTCCCTCCCAAATTGCCATTAGACTTTTTGTTCTAAGAGTTAAACAGAAACCAGCCCTGGAAAAAAAAAAGAAGGAATAACTCACTCTTCCACCGACTTCAACCAATAGCTTCGCACCTTGACCGGATCCCCTCCCCTTTTGTGGTTTTGACACAACAGCTGATCAACATTCCTTCCTGGTAAGTGACCAGCAACCATGGAATGGTTCTGAGGGATTCATGGAGGTTGTGTGAGGCATCTCTGCGTCCTCCATTTCACATTTTCACATATACAGCCTAATTTTATCACATTTTGATGTTAAGTCTGTACCCCAAAATGAACTTGGTACTATGTGACATAACATGTTTGCTTACCACACATGCTTGTGACTTCCCCTCATGAACATTCCTAGCCCCTCCTGTAACCTGATAAATATGTATATCTAACTTATCAGCCAAGTATAAAACTCAGTGACACGCTCCCTCCCTCAAAGTTTCTACTTTCGGTCTCTACCAGAGGCTGTGCTTCCCAGCCTGCAAGTTGTAGCCCTTCATAAGAAGTAAAGTTCTCTTTTCCAAATTTATAGATTTTGTGATAAGTTGACAATTTCCATCTCTCAGTATATGGTTAGGTTTAGGGCCCTTGCTCATGGTAGGCATTACAAGTTTAGTCTGTGACCAAGGTTAGGGTGGGTATCTTAACAGGGCTGGGTTCTGTATGACATAAGATTAATAACAAAGTTGAGGCTGAGGACTAGAGCTCTACAAGGTCAACACAACAGTTAATTGTCTCATCCCTGTTGCCCTTTAAGGAAGTGTCAGATGAAGACAGATGATATGCCATTACAGTGTATGGAGACACATGGTCTGTAAATCATTTGTTCAAAATGGAACTTAGCTGACATCATTGGAATGCTTCCCTGAGGGGAATTGGAGACTAACTTTGTTCTGATTATTTAAAGTGCTTAAACCAACTGTGAATCTGCAACAGCACTTGCAGCTCATTTCCCGCCCAGTCCCACACTTTTCTTCCACACCCACCCTGGACCCTGGGCTCCAGCAGTCAAGCTTATATTTCTAGACTCTGACAGTGTGTAATTGGACTAGAATTTTCCAGGCAGTCATGTTGGCAGGCTTTTGAACATGACTGTATTTGCTCTTATGTATGAAAAGGTAGAAAAGCCAGTCTGCGGAGAGCGAGAAAGCTGAACTAACAAAGAGGGAGAGATAGATGACTATGGGTAGAGTGAGAAGATGGCAGGAAGAGACAGGGACCACATTGGGCCAAGATGATTTTCCAGTTTCTGGATGAATAATCCTCTGTTAAGCTCCCCCTGGCTTATTAAAATGTATTTCTCTTACTTGCGACAAAAAGTCCTACTGAACACAACTCGGGTACATAACAGATAATTCAGGGAACTTACTATTTTCTAGTATAGGTATTCATCGGTAGCTCTCTGTGTCCTCTCACTGGTGCCCCGTCAAGCCATCATTTTCCCACTTTGGTACATGGTTGGTGGCCTGTGAATGTTTGCTTCCTCTCCAGGTGTGGCTACTAAGCCAAAAAGTAGACTTAGAAAAATCTTTCTAAACGGCAGGAGTCTACTTTCCAGCCTCAGAAAGGTCAAGCTAATGACAATTATTGAAAAGGAAAGAAAACATTTGTTGGCCACCTATTGTGTCCAAGTATGGTGATCATGAATGTAACTAATAGAAGAGAGGAATGAAATCCAAGTAGAAAGTGGTTATTACATGGGGCTTAGACTTAAACAGACGTTGAAATTCACATTTCCCAAGCAGCCAAAAATTTGAGAAACAAAATCGCAGAGAGAAGGAAACTACAGGGAACTAAGCTTCAAAATCTGCCTATAATCTCCCCTCTAAGCATTTGCCAACTCCTAAATTAAAAGGGTGATTAGTACAGATAGAGCAAGCAGAAGATAGTTGGTAGAATGTAAAGGATTTGAACAATTTGGCTTAATTGACATATTTGGAACATCCCAATCAAAAATTATTAGTATGATTATTGGTTTTAAACAATCCATGGGTCAGAGGAGGAATCACAATGGAAATTAGGAACATTTTGAACTAAATAAATTTCATTAAAACTTATGGTTTGCAGCTAAAGCAGTGTTAGAGAAATATAGTTTAAAAACATTTGGTAGAAAAGAAGAAAATAAATTGTGCCTTAATTTTCCCCTCAGCTTGACTCAACTTTACACAGGCTTCTTCTTGACTCTAAGTCTTGTCCTCCATCCTCTTAGAATAATTGCTTCAGAAAATTCTTTATTGTAAAATATTTCTTTGCACCTTTGCGATCTAAATCTGTTAAAAAGTCTCTTGTCAGTTTCACAGCCCAGGACCCTTCCTCAAGTACTGGGAGCTATCCTTTTGAAAGGTAATCATCAAGAAGAAATGGCCCCTATATCCCAATATCCGTGGGAGAAAAGGAGCTTAACTCCAGAGGGTGCCTTTCCTACTGTCAGAAGATTAGAGAAAGTTTACTTTTCCTTTGTGTAAAGCCAATTACCAAACACAGATGGTCTGTAGTTTCACTTGCCCAGCTCCTGAAAACTCTCCTGCCTTTTGCTTCAGCTGTGCTCTCTCCCCTCTTGCAGCAATATTATCGGAATTATACCATGGTGATATGATCAGAATCAACTTCTGTTTCCTTATCTTGTCAAGTACAATCTTTTCTTTGTTTCCATTTTAAAAGAACAGAGAAGAAAATAACAACTCTTGGAGAGTAGAAGGATGGAAATAATATGGTAAGACCAGACATCAATGAAGTAGAAAATAAAAGCATATTCGAGAAAATAATAAAGCCAAAAATTGGCACTTTGAAAAAAATCTGTAAAATAGGTACACATCTAGAACGAATGATTCAGAATAAAAAGAAAGGACAAATTATCAATATCAGAAATGAAAGAGGAGATTTTTATTTTACACATTTGTTATTAAATACTGAGTTATTCTTTTTGTGTGCACTGTGTTATAAACGGAAGTGAATTAATTTTTAACTTTATTCCTTTATTGAGTAGAGTCCTGTGTGCCAACGTGGGTCTAACCAGCATCTTGATGCTTGAGTTTCTCAGAACACCTAGATACTCACAGAAATTGATTCAACAAGTATTTGTTAAACATACGCAATGTGTCAGACACTGTATTGACCGGGTGTGGTTTGACCATATTTAATAATACAGATAGTGCCTGTTCACATAGAGCTTATAGTTCATCTCTGCACTAGTGATTTTTGAACTACTTTAATCAAATAAATAACATTGTGTATTGCTTTCAATGGAGTGGAGGGTAATTTTGACTGACAGAGCTTAAATTAATAAAGTTCTCTCTTTGAGCAAGCATAAACGTCTTTCACAACACTAACTCTCCAGTCTAACCCCTTCAAAGGAGCTTCCTCTATCCTCATATTTGTGCTTTTTCCTCCACTACTTACTCCCTGACTTTAAAATATCCTCCATCTTCCTTTCCACCTATGTGAATTCAACCTGTCCTCTAAGATCCAACTCAAGTTCTATTGCCCTCCCTTCAGTGATTTTTCTTCTCTCTGAGAATACGGTATTCTCTGTTGTCTATTGTCTGTACCTCACATTTGCCTCACAACCTTTGTTGCCTCTCCCATGCAATCCCCAAGGGATGCTATTTTTCTAACTGATTAGGTTCCAGCAATAGGTGGGGTCACTGTGCTAACTGTGCTAGTGGAGCAATACTTGCAAAAATGAAGTGCCCCAGGTGACACTTCTGCCTCTTCCTACCATGAAGCCAGAAAATGATGAGAATCAAAGCAAGGTTTAATGATTGGAGGTCGAAGCAGAGCAAGAATCTCAGCACGACCAATTTAGGAAAAAGATTTTCTATATGGTCCAGCCCAGCAACAAAAACTTCATCACTGGGGTGAGGAACAAAGTTTGCTTTTCTACTCTATTTTATCTAGTCTAGAATGTCATGCATCATAAGATATATGACTGCTGTACTTTGGGAAAAAATAAACTCTTTTTAATGAACATATTAAAAATCTTAATAGAAAATAATATACATATATCCATAAAATTACATAACATTTTTCTCTTTAGTTACCAGCTTTTTATTTAAGCATCTTTAAAATCTCTTTTGGACTCAGAAATTATGATATCCTCTTGCTGTTTTTTGTTAACTGGGCTTATGATCTTGATTAACTAAGTCCTTTTAAGTCTGAGGCTAGTTGAAGAACACTAAGTTTTCATATGTGTTTATTACTTGGTTTAATTTATTTTGTATGTTTCTTCCTAATAACTCATGTATATCCTGATATTTAAACAATGGTATTGACAGAAAATGGGCTTATGTTTGAATGACAGAATTTTATGAACCACTAACCAGTCACAAAAGTCTTTCCTACTTGAAACTCTTGAGCATTATTTTAATCCAAGATATTTAGCAGTTCATACTGCCTTTGATTATTAACAGGCAGCCTTCTGTGAAATCATGAATTTTTTGCTACAATGATTCTGGTGTAAATCTTTGAACACATTTTAAGTAACAATTAAAGATGCATAACAAGTTAAAATGTGCTACCAATACATATGACTCAAAAGGATTGAATAGAAAACTTCTCATATGCTAAAGTTTCTCCATGTGTGACCAATGATTATTGGGTCATAGCTTTTCTGTCAAATTTCCTTTATTATTAGTTACACATTTAAAATTAAGAAACTTAAAAATAAGCGTCCTTGTGGTCCCAGCTACTTGGGAGACTCAGGCAGGAGAATCACTTGAGCTGAGATTGCGCCACTGCACTGAATTGCTTGAACCTGGGAGGCAGAAATTGCAGTGAGCTGAGATTGTGCCACTGCACTCCAGCCTGCGCGACAGAGTGAGACTCTGTCTCAAAAAAAAAAAAAAAAAGAAAAGAAAAGAAAAGAAAAGAAAAGAAAAGAAAAAGAAGTGTCTTAGAATAAAAAGCATATGAAAATACAGTGTTAAGATTTTTTTCTTTGATCCTTCTACTAGGGAATTTATGGATATATCAGACACAAATGTGGATATTTCTTGGTCCTCTTGATATAATACCATTCATAAACACCCCCATTCCACCATTATTTTCAATAATCAGCTATAAATTATTTCAGAGAAATGACCTTACAGGTAGGGATGTTTTATTCTTCCAAGGTCTTTCAGGTTTCAAAAAATAGAAGGTTGCATTGTATAAAAGAGGTAGAAATGCAGGAAAACTGTGGTGGACACTTACTGAATTTTCAGCCTAGAACTTTGTTCCCATAAAGTAGCTTCCTTTTCTAGCCACAAAGTGAGAATGGTTGCTTTCATGCGCAATGAAAACCCTTCCCTGGGAATTTGGAACACACAGTGGTGAAGTTTTGTCTCTCTGATGGTCAGACTGTAATGTGAAGACTGAGAGCCACTGTATTTTAGGCTATGACAACGGGAGAAGTAGAAGAAACTGGCGTACTGTTTCCTCTTAAAAAGAAACTCCCTGAAAAGGGATTGAAGCAGGGAGAGGTGCAGAGATAGGAGAAAGGAATCAGCCTCATGGCTGTGGCCCTGGATACAGGTCTTTCATTGTACCTAACAATTTTCCTGATATTGGTGATGTGAGACAAGCTCTTATCTTTATGGTAAAATAATGTATTTATTGCTTAAGTTAGTTGAGCGCATTGATTGCTTCTAATAAAAAAGAACTCAGAAACTATCACATAAAAGTGAAAGTGTTTTAGTTCAGGATACAGCAGACATTCTGGTATACCATGAAAAGTAGAGTGCTCATCTCTTATGAAGCAGGCACTCTTATTTCTTATCCTTGTCACCTCCTCTATCCTTTGATGTGGCTCCAGTAATGATTGTTTATAGAATAAAATGAGTAGATGGATAAATTCATGTCTATACTTTTTACTTCCTTTTGCCACTTCTCAAAATGTTGGTATTTAGATTTTCAAAGATGAAAATATCTTTGCCATGTTTAGACACTATCAAGTGTAAAGTGTGAGTTTTAAGCAGATACCTCAACCCAGGTCACCTCATCACCAAGAAAACCCCAGGCACCTAGCCTTAGTCTAAACAGCTGTTGCCAGAGTAGTAAAATATTGTGGTATAAAGTATGGTAATCTGAAATAATAATCCTTCTGTAGCAGCTTTGCTCAAAAGGTGGCTGCATAACTGGCAGGCACTTTTAAGTTTCCTAACTTACCAAACACATGCAGCTGCTGGTGTGCTGTCTTAAAAAACATATATCTGACAATAGCCTGTTGATTTATACACATACTTCTGTAAACACCACACATCTTCCCTTTTCCTTCACTAACAGTCATTGGCAATTTCACCCTCCATTCCCCTGTTCCCAAATCAGAAAAAAGAAACTCAAAAGAACACAATCTAACATCCCCAAATGACCAGTTTTCTTGGTGGGAACAACAGTGACATAATTAACATTTATTAAATACTCTTCTGTGTCAGACATTGTGTCATTATAAGCATTCTCTAGTATTTGGAGCACCCATGAATTGTAGAAGTACTTATCTAGGTATTGAATTTCATGGACTAGATATGATAGGCTGTAATAGGTTTGCTAATTCTGTATTTTATTAAAAACAAGACAAAGCAAAACAAAATATTTACTCTCTATCCTCATCATCATTTATAAATACAGGACATTCTAATGTCCCAAGATACATGAAAAACATAATCAGAGGTGAAATTAATTGAGTAAATTTAGCTTTATAAAGTACTCACCAAATTCCTTTTTTTTTCTGTTCTTGGTACAGCCGGTGAAGATTTGAGATGGACTAGCACAAAGTACATCTCACAAGCCTTTCAAAGCTGCTGTTACATAACCCTCAAGATTTCCCGAGGTGGAAAGAAGACCTTCATTCACTTAAATCAGAACATCGGTAGACATTACTTCCCACTTGGATGATTGTAGCTTCCTTCAGCATAAGAGGGTGGAGTGTTAAAAGACATGATATGACAGCTATTAGGCTCAATTTCTCTTATCCTGAAAAAAATTTGTGATAATGAAGTAGCAGTGACACATACAGTACAGGCTATGTGTATTCACTTGCAGAGGAGGAGACTCCAAATGTTTCAGACATACCAGATGCATATGATGTTCCCCCAGGACTCTCTCAAAAGTTTTCTTTGTGTCAGGTTTCCCTCTCTCCCCTTGAAAACAGATCTCATTGTGTTAACCTCTAAGGCAGCCATTGAATTCAATGCTATCCCATGGACCACTGTGTTTAGGTCTGCTAAATATGGTTTTAGCACAACTGGCATCACTGACAGCCAGCCAAGAATTGATATAAACCACAGTAGCATATCATGCTAAACAAAAGAGAAGGGAGTAGTGGGATATGATAATATCTACAATAGTATCGACCATTTCTCTGTGGAGCTGCTCATGTGGCCAAACAAGGGTCTGAGAGACAACACAAAACATGTCTAAATGTGATTACTCACTAGCCAGGGGTGACTCTCCTTGAATCTCAGCAGGATGAGCGAACACTTTTCTAAGGGCAGAACAGAGAAAATGGTGGTGAAAGATGTAGAATTGAGTTGGAGATACTACATTTGATCCAAGATAAGATGAAGAAGATTCAAAACTCAAGAACTTGATGAAAAACCCAGTTGACAGGAAAGCTGTGATAGAAGTAGCCAGAAAGAGCCAGCTTCTGTAGAAAGCTTGGTAACCTGGTAAAATAGAGATGAAGGATGACAAGGAACCCCTACAAAGCCACAATTCAGAAAGAAAGCGATAAGACTCAGAAAACCTGCTCCCCTACTTCTCACCTTAAGAAGGGCTACAGAAACTAAGCTTGGATAAGTTGCAACCTGTTATGGCTGCTGGCACTTTTCATTCTAAGAAATTTCAGGTTGCTTGGGCCTATGAAAACAGAAGACTTGCAGACTTCTGCCATTCTAGCAGATGCATTTTTGTCATACTCTCACATTTCTAAAATCAGAAAGAGTCTTTTAATCACTATGCACCCTTTTATGGAAATATCATTAATTCAGTGGTACATCATATTAATTGCTTTTTATAATGGTGACACCATGGGATTGAGGGAATAATATCTCAAAACTTCATTTATAACTTGGAAGAATGGTTCTTTGGACTTCAGATTTCATTCTTTCCAGTACTAACTGCTACTGTAGCCTCAAGAAAGAATTGCAATAACTACAATAGAGGAGTTAGGCCTATGCAAATTTGAGAAGTTTGTAATATTTCTTTGACCTTTTTTTCCTGGCAACAAAATATAATTGGCAGTGATTGGGGGGAGAAGGAGGTGAATTATTTATATCAGTATGGTTTTGTCTTCTGTGCTTTATGGTTTTTAGAGCAATACTGACACCTCTGTTCAAATAAATTAAATGCCCTTTCCAACAGACTCTCTTGACAAGAAAAAAAAATACATATCTTCAACTCCCCTCTCCCAAAGCAATCCAGCTGAAGGAACAAAACCCTAAAAGAGTATAGTAAAATTCATCTTTAATTAACCTGCCACAGGTCCATATGACAAACTTTGTCAGATACATAAAATTTGGGTCAAATCAAAGATAAGCACAAAAGACTTCCCATGGTAAGTCCAGTGCAGAGGTCTGAATATAAGACAAAAGTTAGAATAATGCCCTGAAAATGACCCTTTTTTGAAACAATAAGGATAGGGAGAAATACAGAAATTTCCCCCGACTGGAGTAATTTTGTTTTACTTTTTACATTGAAAATTTCAAGAATATACAAAAGCAGATAAAGTCATGTAATAAGCCACGTGTCCATCACCCAGCTTTAACAATATTCAATTATAAATGAAGCAGGCAGAGCAGATGTAGAGATATACTAGGTTCTTGGTAGTGGATCAATCATTACATAAAATTAGCTTAGCTTCTGTATTTTTATTTACACAAACAATACCCCAAACAAAACAAAAATTCTATGGCTAAAGTCATTGGGTTTCTTAAGTCACAAAAAAATCCCAAATGGTATAAGATAAGCAGGGTGGAGAATATTGGATAACAAGGAGCAGAGATCTAAGTTTGCAATTTTAGATGAAAGTCAATAGAGATAAGTCCATAGCGTGCAACAAACGTTTGGGAGATGAGGGCATTGTATGGTCACTGGTTTCCCAACAAAGTAATCTGCTGTCCTCAAGCAAGTGAAAGGATGAGCTCTAAAGTAGCCGCACACTTCTAATCAAGGGAGCACACATAGCCCTGAGGCAGATGGTATTTCAAATTTGGCAAGTGCTAAGAAAGAACTTACCCAAATTAGAGTTACCAGCTGACAGCTGCTCGTTTTGCCAGTTCTCAATTCCGCTGCCACCTCCCACGCCCAAGCAATACAAAATCTATCAGATATTACAAACCACCAATACATAACCTGCCAACACAGGCACTAAATAGAAAATGGAAAGTATCCAAGGAAACAATGAGAGGAGTTGAGTAGAATCTTCTAATGTTTTTCTAGGGCAAAAATAATGATACAGATATAGCTTCTTCTAGTCAAAGGTGAATAAAAAGAACAGACAATTTAGCCTGGTGTCTCTGTTAAGATGTGTCAAACAAAAAGAAAGACTTAGATATTATAAGTGAAAATTAAATGGAGAGTACATGTTGTAATTCGAGAGATAGAAGAAAGACTTTGTAAAAAGTTTTTTTTTTTTGTATTATCAAAAAACAAGAAGCTACCAATGAAAGGAAGAGAGTATTGAAAGTAGAAGATGACAGACTAAAATGGGAAAAAAAGTTATGCCAGTGATATCCATTTCTTATTCTTGAAGTTTTTCATCTAGCTTCTCTCTCTCTCTCTCCTTCTCTCCCTTTCTCTCTCTCTCTTTGTATCTCTATCCTCTCCCTGGAACATAGTGAACCCAGAAGTCTCTGTATTCAGTTAGTCTTTTATTTTAGTTTTATTTTATTATTGCATGACTATTTTTATATTCTTTTTGTTCTGTGTTCTTTTTCAGTTGTACAAACTACATCTTCTAGTCTCTGTAGTCTGTATTATGTATGTATCATATTTTACTAAGAAATAAAAGAAAAACAAAAGACAAAATTTATCATAGGTTTGAAACTAAGGAAGCACTAAGGAATACACCTAAAATGGAAAAAAAAAAAAAAAAGAAAAAACAAAATCAGTGACTTTGAGGACAGGTTTGAGAAGTGTTTAAAATTCTATGAAGAATAATTTAAAAAGTAAATAACTTAGTAAAAAATATACAGGAATACCTCAATCCAGGTAAAAAGATCAGATGTTCTACAAAAGAAGGAAAAAATTAAGTTATCCTCACTCTTTTTCATAAAATATTAGATGAAAGAAAGTAATAGACCCATTTACATAAAAAGCTAAAGAAGAAAGTCTGTTCTCACAGACTTTTATAACCAGCTAAGATATCATTTTTGTATTAAAATAGTGGAACGTAAAGATGTAAAATTTGTAGCACTCATAAACTCTGCCACAGGTATCACGCAGTTTTTTTCCATATTCTGGGAGGCAAGAACATATAAATGGTTTTACTAAAATTGTAATTCTGATTAGTTAGGAGGAATTTGTTATTTCTACATACAGTAAATACTGGAGAAGTCTTGGAAATAATCTGAAGATTTTGATGAATTTTCAAAGTCAATTTAAAATTCTGCCCTAAACGTAAGCAGAAATTGATATCAGTACTGGTTATGAATTTATCCATAGTACATTTCTAGACTCACAGATCAACCCATAGTCCCTCTTTGAAGACTAACTTCTAATTTTTTTTTCCTTCTGACCATAGCTACAGTCAGAGACTGAAGCTTAACATAATAATTTTTATTATAAATATAGCTATTCCTCAGTATCCTTGGGGGATTAGTTCTAGGAAACCCCCCAAAATATGAAAATCCACAGATGCTCAAGTCCCTTATATAAAATAGCACAGTGTTTGCATATATCCTACACAGTTATTTCTGGATTTTTTGTAACAATGCCTACACATCACCTCATTTGTCTGGATTTAATGCAGTACCTAGCACATGACAACTTCAAGTTTGCTTTTTGGAAATTTGTATAATTTTTTTTGAATTTTTTTTTTGAGATAGAGTCTTGCTCTATCGCCCAGGCTGGAGTGCAGTGGCGTGATCTCAGCTCACTGCAAGCTCTGCCTCCCGGGTTCATGTCATTCTCCTGCCTCAGCCTCCCGAGTAGCTGGGACTACAGGCGCCCGCCACCAAGCCTGGCTAATTTTTTTTTTTTTTGTATTTTTAGTAGAGACGGGGTTTCACCATGTTAACCAGGATGATCTCGATCTCCTGACCTCATGACCACCCCCACCTTGGCCTCCCAAAGTGCTGGGATTACAGGCATGAGCCACTGTGCCAAGCCTTTTTCTGAATACTTTGTATCTGCAGTTGATTGAATCCACAGATGTGGAACCCATGAATGGAGGGTTAACTGTACATGTCAGTGGAATCAGGGGTGCAAATAAGGGCTTGGTTGCATCAGTGTCACCTAGTCCCATTATTAGGGTGCTACAACTCAGTGGCCACATCTAACTCTTTGTCATCAGTTGTTATAAAGGTGGAGAAAACATCTCAGAAAACATCCAAGAAAACAAAGAGAGAAGGTATTTGTCTAGAATACCACCTGGAGTTCAGATGGTATTCATAGGAAAAAATAAATTATCGACTCTCAGCAAGTAATTTTTAAAAGCCTTCTATGTGCCAGGCTCTGCACGAGCTACTGTAAAATTTCAAAAGATAAGTAAAACGCAGTTCTTGCCAAACAACTTTGAAACACATTGCTAAGGTCTAGATGTTTGTCTCCTCCAAACCTCATGTTGAAATTTGATTCCTAGTGCTGGAGGTGTGGCCTAATAGGAGGTGACTAGGTCATGGGTGTGGATCCTTTGTGAACTGATTAATGCCCTCCTTTGTGGTGAGTGAGTTCTTACTCTCTTAGATCCTACAACAGCTGGTTGTTAAAAAGAGCCTGGCACCTCCCCTTCTCTCTTGCTTCCTTTGTTGCCATGTAATCTCTGCACATGCTGGCTTTCCTTCACCTACTGCCATGAGTGGAAGAGCCTGAGGCCCTCACCAGATGCAACTGCTCAATCTTGAACTTTCCAGGCATCAGAATCATGAGCCAAACAAACTTTTTAAAAATAAATTACCCAGTCTTGTGTATTATTTTATAGCAACACAAAATGGACTAAGACACACATTTATTCATGAATGATAGAATCACAATAGTTCATCATGAAGAGAACATGGTTGTGTAGATAATGGAATGAGCCTGATGAAGGTAAGGATGTTGATGATTAAGCTGGTGGGACAGACACAAAGGTTTGTGTGAGGCTTATGTCATATGTTATGTAGAAATACTTCCTTCTTACATAAAAACTATTAAATGTTGGTATTAGTTTTCTATAATTCCCATAACAAATAAGCATACATTTAGCAATATCTTTTTATTACCTCACAGATGTGTAGGTGAGAAGTTCAGGCTTATTCTGAATTAACGGTTTCTCTACTCTAGGTGAAAAAAGCTGAAACTGGCTGGGCGCGGTGGCTCATGCCTGTAATCTCAGCACTGGGCAGAGGTGGGTGGATCATGAGGTTAAGACATCAAGACCATCCTGGCCAACATGGTGAAACCCCATCTCTACTAAAAATACAAAAATTAGCTGGGCATGGTGGCAGGCATCTGTAGTCCCAGCTACTTGGGAGGCTGAGGCAAGAAAATTGCTTGAACCCAGGAGGTGGAGGTTGCAGTGAGTGGGGATCGTGCCACTGCGCTCTGGCCTGGTGACAGAGCAAGACTCCGTCTCAAAAAGAAAAAAAAATGCTGAAACTAGCATGCTAGTAGGGCTATATCCTTTTATGTAGGCTCTGGGGATGAATCTGCTGTCAAGCTAATTCAGGCTGACTGAAGAATTAATTTAGGTCTTTGTGGCAGTGGGACAAGGGTTCCTGCTGCTTTGTTGGCTATCAGCTTGGGATTGTTCTCAGCTGCTAGTGGATAACCACATTATTTAATGCATGCCCTTCTTCCTCCAGTTTCAAAAACAGTAATAATGGGTCAAGTACTTCTCACAGTTAAAATCTCCCGTCCTCCCTTTCTGCTTCATCTCACCTGTCTTTTTCTTCTGCCACATCTCTCTGAAGGACTTTTCTGCCTTCCTCTTCTGCTTTTAAAGGCTCTTTGTGATTACATTGGGCCTACCCAGATAATCTCCCTATTTTAAGATCAGCTGATTAGTAAACCTTACTTATATCTACAAAGTTCTTTCACAGTAGTATCTACATTCATCTTTGATGTAATACCAGGGGGCAGGAATCTCGAGGTGGACATCTTTAGAATTTTTTTCACTATGACATTCAACAGAACTTCCGAACTAAAGAAATGCTGATTTATTCCCTTCAATACGAAGGCTGTAAATCACCGAATCTCTCACAGCTGGAAACTTGCAGAAAGTGGGGTGAAATGATGGGAATTGCTGATCACTTACAAATGTAAAGACTGAAATGATTTTGCTGTTTAAATATCAGTCCCATTTGGAGCCAGCAATCACAGAAGTCGACTATGTGCTTAAAAAAAATCAATACATTCCTAGGGTGATGATAAGTTAGAAGGGTCGTAAATTACACGCATGGCTTACGAGAAATGGATGGGGAGGTTTGCCCAGTATATTGACTATTTTGTCTTTGAAACGTAGCCATCAATTATGATGGCCCCTTGTGCAGAAGAAGCCAGATTTATGACTGTGATTGGAAAGGAGGAGTAAGTACAAGCTTTTACTGAGCTTTGACTTGGGGCCAGAAATTGGTAAGTCACTTTCACACTCATAATGTCTTTTGGCTTTATGTGTGAGTAAAGTAGGTGGCTCTATATCTCTGTGCTTTTCAGCTCAACAGAGCCAAAAGAGATGAGGAAAGGTGGTGTCGTGGGAAGTCCAGCAGCATCAGCCAGCTGAGCATAGCCACAAGGCTGCTGCTCTCAGAAGGCCAGGCTGCCTTAGGAGCTGTATTATGAGAAAATAAAAATGTTCACTATTTTGGCCTCTGGAGAGACAACTCTTGATTTCTCAGATTTGTACTGTTTCCCATTTGAATAATATACACCGGGTCTTACAGATAGTTTGCTAACTTTCCTTTCATGAAATTTCAGCTTGGGTGCAGGTGCCATGGTTTTGAATCAGAAAAAACTGGATTCAGAATTTTGTTTTTCCTTTAGAATCTTAAATAAAATAAGGATATTTTTAAGTAAATTATAGTTTTAAAAAGTGCTTCACTCACTTGTGTGTGTGTGTGTGTTTTTCATTATGAAACAGCTATGCCTCTAGCCACCTTTATTTTAGAAAGAGAACTTGAGCATTCCCCAGGGATGGCGGCGGCTGCTCTGGAAGGACTACATTGCTAAGAGCTGGTGGATACCTCACTCTTCTGTGTCTCAGTTTTCTCGTCATATCTTTTAAAATGAGAGGGGTGGGTTAAAGTTTTTTTTTCTTAAAGGTTGTTAACTACTGTCTAGGAAATTGACTAGAAATTGGGACATTTTCTGTGAATTTCTGTGGCCAAATGTAACCATGTTTAAAAAGGGAATATTGCCTTTATAGAGGCTCAGGCCCTTAAGACTATTATTTTAACTTTTGAGTAGATAGTACATTCCCATAGTTCAAAAAACTATGTGTATATATATATATATACATACACACACATAAATATATATAGAATCTATATATCTACATATATAAACATACGTGTGTGTATGTGTGTGTGTGTATGTGTTTAGGTATGTGCATGAAAAAGTTTTCTTCTACTCTGGCCCCATCTTACCATCACCTATATATTTGAATGTAGCAACATTTATTAGTGTCTTGTTTATCCTCCAAGGGCTTCTCTGTGAATATAAAAGCAAATAATAATATATTTTCTTATCTCACTTTTACACAAAGTATAATGTACTCCGTTTTGTACCTTTTTTTATTAATAATCATATTTTTGAAATTTTTCCCACCAATACCTGAGGACCTTCCACATTGTTTTATATAGCTACATAGTATAGATCCTCAATTCCTTATCTGCATTTCAGGAAAACATACCGAAATTTTAAATGGCTCAGTATTCCACTTCTACATATCTACAATATCCAAGAATAGTGTGTACAAGACATTGGCTACAAAACATGTATTAGATATTCCTAGCAGCACTATTCATAAAGCCGAACAGTGAAAATTCCCCAAATGTCCCTCAATAGCAGAAAGGATAAATAAATTTCTGTATAACCATATAATGCAATACCATGGGGCAATTAGGATGAACAATCTATAATTATACAAAACAATTTGGATGTATCTTACAGACACAAAGTTGATTGAGAGAAACAAGACATAAGACAGTAGATATGTTGATTCCATTTATGTAGAGTACAGAAAGAGGCCAAATTTGTTCACATATTTGAAGTCAAGGCACCATGGAAGAAAACACGGGGAGTATCTTCCAGGATGCTGACAATATACTATTTTCTGGTCTGGACTCTGGATGCACTAATGTATTCAGTTATTGAAAATTCATTAAGCACTTTACATTTGCCATTTGTGGACTTTTCTGTATGTATGTTACATTTTAACAAAAAGTTTTTTAAAAATAGAAAAAAGTAAAAGCACTGAAAGCAAAGTATTTTTATTGCTGATTTGATAAATGTTGAGGTTTTTAATTGCGTCCTGAGCAAATTACCGCAAATCAGACCCTTAAAACAGTACACATTTATTATCATAGTTCTGTGGGTTAGATAGCCAGGTACACTGTGGATTATTGGTTCTCTGCTTCAGGTCTCGCTAGGAAAAATTCAGTGTCTCCTTTCTGGAGGCTGTAGGAGAGACTCTGCTTTCAAGCTTATTCAGGTCTGGAGGCTGTAGGAGAGACTCCGCTTTCCAGCTTATTCAGGTTGTTGGCAGAACTCTGTTCCTTGGTGGTGGGGATGTCACCTCAGTTTCCTTGTTAGTTGTCCGCTTCTCTCAGCTTCTCAAAGACACCTGCATTTCTTTTTGCCCCCTTCACCCTTTAGCCAGCAATGGTGCATAAAGCCCTTCTCTGACTTTCCTTCTTCCACATCTCTCTTCCTCTTCTGTCTTCTCCTTCCAGCCAGAGACAGCTCTCTGTTTCTAATGATTTATGCAATTAATTAGATTGGGTGTACCCAGAAAATCTATGATAATCTCCTCATTTCAGTGTCCATAATGATAATTGCATCTGTAAAATTTCTTTTGTCAATGTAGCTCAATGTGTGCAACTTAATATAATAACTCCAAAACTCATAGGTTCCAGGAATTAGGGCATAGGCATATTTGAGTGGCCATTATTTTGCCTACCCCAGTGATACAATCTCACCCTGTCTGAACTGAACTGGCCTGACCTGAAGTAAGTATACTTATGTTTTTTCTATATATAATGCCACCGAATGTGATTTTTCAAACATGATGCAAAATGTTGATGCAGTTGGTAAATAGGTGCTATCCCAAACCCTTCTGGAAGTGTGATGTAATATGCTATCACCATATTATCTTTCAGTAAAAGAATTCTGAATTCCGAAACACTTCTGGCTCAGGGACTGTTGACTCATATTGTACTAGCTGGAGATATCATGGTATTTATTCTTCTCATTTGATACATATTTAGATTATTTCCTTTCTTCTCTAGTTACTAATAATCTTGTAATAAGGATCTTTGAACACACTTAATTTTGCATGTATGTAATTGTATCTGCAGAATAAATATCAAGAAGTAAAATTCAAGGGTCAAAAGAAGTGTGCATTTTTAATTTTGATAAATATGACCAAATTACCCTCTAGAGGGGGAGGCATGACACCAATTTATCTTACGTATGAGGATTCTGCTTCCTCACAGTCTTGCTCACATGGTTTGTAATGAAACATCTAGATCTTTGCCAGTTTGATAGATTCAGTGAAGTTTTATTTTAATTAATAGACTTTAATTTTGAGCAGTTTTAGGTTTCTAGAAAAATTGGAGCAGAGAACAGAGGGATCCCAAATGATTCAGTGAAGTTTTAATTTGCAATTATTTTATTATACATTAGCATATTTATAATAGGTTAATCATAATTTTTTTGTATGTTTAAAAGAAAATTGCATTTCCTGTCCAGGTGCAGTGGATCACGCCTGTAATCCCAGCATTTTGGGAGACAGAGGCGGGTGGATCACTTGAGGCCAAGAGTTCAAGACCAGCCTGGCCAAAATGGGGAAACCTCCTCTCTTTGAAAAACACAAAAATTAGCCCAGCATAGTGGCGCATGCCTGTAGTCCCAGCTACTCAGGAGGCTGACAGGAGAATCGCTTGAACCCCAGAGGTGGAGGTTGCAGTGAGCAGAGATTGCACCACTGCACTCCTGCACTCCAGCCTGGGTGACACCAAAAAAAGAAGAAGAAAGACGAAAGAAGAAGAAAGAAGAAAGAAGGAAACTATTTCCATTACTGTGAACAGCCTGTTCATATTGAGTTGTTGGTCTTAAAAATCAATTTATAGAAAATCATTACATATTTGTGTATATTTTTGGCATAAGTTAAAATGTTTGTTCCTAGTTTTGTCTTTGGACTTAGCTTTTTAAAAATATTTTGCATTATAGAAGTGTTTTATTAGGTGTAAAGGATGTTATTAATACTTTCTTTTATAGTTTATAAGTTTAAGCCACATTTTCAAAGGCCTTCAATAGAGCACTTTTGTTTATGAATTATCTAAGTTCCAATTCTGACCATATCATTTCATTAATAATAACATAGAGGAGCTGGTTACCTCCCAGTAAAGGCCTTCATATCCTATATGAATTAACATATTAAGATTTTCTAATCTGTATATTCATAAATCCTACAGCTAATGGATGGGTGTAGCCAGGGAAGTGGGGTCACCAATTATATATAGTACCAACATAGTAGGATTCATTAAGTATTAAAATCCTGAAACTAGATTGTATTTGTTCACATTATAGGGGTATATCTGTCAACGTGATCTTCTTCACTCAAAGGATAAGTCTTTGTCTAGATATAGCAATTGTACTCAGATGAGATCCTTGTTCCAGGTCTGATTTTCAGTCCTGCACTGAGCAGCTGCCATAGAAAGACAGAAAGCATTGATAAGAGCTTTTTTGATGTTATAAAACTTAAGAAAATAATGGAGAATTAGCAGGTATCACAAGACAAGAGAAAGGAAAAAATAAGGGCTGAATATTGGAGAGAATTAGGAGGTGTCAAAGGAGGTAAATAAAAGAATTAATGGACTAGAAGGAGGAACAATCCTAGGGAATTAGCTTATGTTAGATTGGGAGGTAAGAAGAAAAAGGGGGGATACAATCGAGAAGAAGTAACACATGTCGTAAAGGAGATACAATGAGAGAAAAGAGGGAAGAAAAACTCAGAACCTGAATTTATCTAGAATTTAGGTCTGACATTAGACATGGATCTAGACCTGGATGTTGGACGGGTGCCCCAGTCATGAACCTGAAATGGACCTAGGGTATGTATATTGGATCTTGACTATGGACATGGACCATGAACCTATACTGAATAAGGACATTGGAATTGGACCTCGGACCTTTTATACTTACCTTGAACCACGATTTCAAACTTAGACATCAGATGGAGACCTGGATCTCAGACCTTGGTGTAAGCCTTGACCGTGTACTTTAACTTGAATTTAGCACCTGAACTTGGACACTGGAACTGGATGTGGGGCCTAAAACTTGACACTGTATTCATCCAGAACCTCGAATCTGACCTTAATTATGCTCCATGGTTGTGCACTTGGGCTTTAGTCACTGAGATTGGACCTAGACAACTAATCATAAACTTGAATCTCAGATCTTGACCTGCACCTGACCTTAGACCTGGAATTTCAACACAAACCTCAATCCTAGACATAGATGTGAACCTGAACCTTAAAACTATGCTCTTGACCCTGGATCTTTACCTTATCTTGGACATTGAATCTTGAACATGGAAATGAATTTGACCTAGATGTTAGAACTGATATTAGACCTGGACCTTGAACGTGGACAATATCTTGAATTATGGGAATGTACCTTGGACTTTGACCTTGGATGTAGTCTTTATCCTTAGACATAGACTTTGGGCCAGCCCTTAGAACTGGACCTAGCCTTCACTTTGTCATAGATGTTGACTGTGGACCTCAGATCTTCACATGAACTTTGAAAAAATATATTTTTACTTTTAATTCTTATGGATACATACTAATAGCCCATATTTATGGGGTACATGTGACAGCCTGATACAAGGTTACAGTGTGTAATGATCAAATCAGGGTAATTGGGGAATCCATAACCTCAAGCGTTTATCATTTCTTTGTGTTAGGAACACTTCAGTTTTAATCTTTTAGTTATTGTAAAATAAACAATAAATTACTGTTAACTGTAGCCACCATAATGTACTACCAAACACTAGATGCTATTCTTTCTACCAACTGTGTTTTTGTATCCATCAACTATCCCTTCTTTATCCCCCTTTCCTCACTATTCTTTCCAGTCTCTGGCAACCATCATTCTACTGTCTATCTTTGTTAGTTGAATATTTTTTTTAGCTCTGATATACTAGTGAGAACATGTGATATTTGTCTTTCTGTTCCTGGCTTATTCAACTTAATATAATTTCCTCCAGTTCCATCCATGTTGTTGCAAATGGCAAGACTGCATTCCTTTCGATGGCTGAATAATAATCTATTGTGTACATATGCCACATTTTTGTTGTTTTTCATTCACTCGTTGATGGACACTTGGATTGAGTATATATCTTGGCTATTGTGAATTGTTCTGCAATAAACATGGGAGGGCAGGTATTTCTTCAATATACTAATTTATTTTATTTAGGGTATATACCCAGTGGTGGGATCCCAGTAGCTGGATCATACAACAGTTCTAATTTTAGTTCTCTGAGGAATCTCCATACTGTTCTCCATAGTGGCTGTACTAGTTTACATTCCCACCAACAGTATATGGGGATCTTTCTTTCTCCACATGATCACCAGCATTTGTTATCTTTTTGGATAAAACTGTTTTAACTGGGGTAAGATGATCTCTCATTGCAGTTTTGATTTGTATTTCTCTGATGATTAATGATGTTGAGCATTTTTGCATATACCTGTTGGCCATTTGTATGTTTCCTTTTGAGAAATGTCTATTCATATCTTTTGCCATTTTAAAATTGGATTATTTGTTTTTATTCCTGAGTTGTTTGAGCTCCTTATTTATTCTGAGTATTTATTACCTGTCAGATGGGTAATTTGCAAATATGTTCTCCCATTTTATGGGTTTTCTCTTCAGCTTGTTGACTGTTTTCTTTTCTGTGCAGAAGCTGTTTAACTTGATATAATTCCATTTGGACATGAACTTTGAACCTAGATTTTGGACCTGCATTTTTTCAGTTCCTTAAATATACTTTCCATTGCAACTAGGATTTTATTTGAATAGGTGGTAAGAAGTTACTTTGAAGAAGTGCCTGAAATTGACTTTCTTTGTTTATATGCTGCTTATTTCCACAAACGCTGCTTTGATTCATTTTAACTTGTTCTATCTGGAATAAAGTACATTTGAGATGAAAGTGTTTTTCTGAACTATTTTGCTGACAGATGCTTAATCTGGTTTCATTCACTAAACACCTGTTTCTCATTCCAAATGGAACAAAAATTATCAAAATCAGTGCCCTTTAGAATCAGATCAACTCATTTTCTCACTGCTACCACCAGGTACATTCTGTTTTATGCTCTCAAAAATCCCTATACATCTGTCTTTCAGAGCGCTCCTCATTCTGTAATTAATTGAGCTATTATTTCATTAATTTATTAATTATGGGGTACATGTGATAGCCTGATACAAGGTTACAGTGTGTAATGATCAAATCAAGGTAATTGGGGAATCCATAACCTCAAGCTTTAATCATTTCTTTGTGTTAGGAACACTTCAGTTTTAATCTTTTAGTTATTTTAAAATAAACAATAAATTACTGTTAACTGTAGTCACCATAATGTACTACCAAACACTAGATGCTATTCCTTTTACCAACTGTGTTTTTGTATCCATCAACCACCCCTTCTTTATCCCCTCATTTTCTGTATAGCAGGTATTAGCAAACTATAGTCAGTTGGCCAAATTTGTCCCGTTTTTCTGTTTGTATATGGCTTATGAACTTAGAATAAATTATTCTATTTGTATATGTTGGAAAATAATTAAAAGAAGAGAAAACATTTTGTGACACATGAAATTACATAAAATTTGAATTTCTGTGTCCATAATTAATGTCTAACTACAACACAAACATGTATATGGACTTATTTATTGCCTATGCTGCTTTCGTGTTACAATGGCAGAGTTAAATAATTGTGACAAAAATGGCATAGCCCACAGAGCTGTTTACTATCTGGCTCTATATAGAAGTTTGCCAACCTTTGTTTTAAAAAGTGAAAATAGAGAATATATTTGTCATTATTAGCACTGAATTCAGATTTCGGAGACTCAAAATGTGGCAAATTGCATATCCTGAAATCAACAAAATACACATTTCCATCAGTAGAGGAATGAATACACAGTTTTAAAAAATACTTATATGAATAAACATTGCATGGTAGTTAAAATCAATAAATTAGAAATATTTATCTCAATGTAGATATACTTTAAAACCTAATATTGAATGAGAAAGAAGTTCCAGAATGTTACATAAAATGTAAATGATACATGTATGAAATATGTAAATATAAAAGAAAATCATATCATATATAGCTTGTTGATATATCTATATGATGTAAATGATTAAAAATATAAATTGGCAGCTACCCTCTTTGGGTCCCCTCCCTTTGTATGGGAGCTCTGTTTTCACTCTATTAAATCTTGCAACTGCATTCTTCTGGTCCGTGTTTGCTATGGCTCAAGCTTTCGCTCACTGTCCACCACTGCTGTTTGCCACCGTCGCAGACCCGCCACTGACTCCCATCCCTCAGGATCCAGCAGGGTGTCTGCTGTGCTCCTGATCCAGTGAGGCACCCATTGCTGTTCCCGATTGGGATAAAGGCTTGCCATTGTTCCTGCATGGCTAAGTGCCCGGGTTCGTCCTAATCGAGCTGAACACTAGTTACTGGGTTCCATGGTTCTCTTCCATGACCCACGGCTTCTAATGGAGCTATAACACTCACTGCATGGCCCAAGATTCCATTCCTCGGAATACGTGGGGCCAAGAACTCCAGGTCAGAGAACATGAGGCTTGCTATCATCTTGGAAGCAGCCCGCCACCATTTTGGAAGTGGCCTGCCACCATCTTGGGAGCTCTGGGAGCAAGGAACCCCTGGTAACGTTTTGGTGACCGTGAAGGGACCTCCAAAGTGGTGAGAAATATTGGACCACTTTCACTTGCTATTCTGTTCTATCCTTCCTTAGAATTGGAAGAAAAGACCAGGCACCTGTTGGCCAGTTAAAAACGATTAGCACGGCCACCGGACTTAAAACTCAGGTGTGAGGCTGTCTGGGGAAGGGCTTTCTAACAACCCCCAACTCTTCTGGGTTGGGAGCATTCATCTGCCTAGAACCAGCTTCCGCTTTCACTTTTCTTGGGGAAGCCAAGGGCCGACTAGAGGCAGAAAGCTGTCATCCTGAACTCCCGGCATTAGCAGGTTGAGATCACGGCACAGCCCGAAGTCTCTATTCAACAGTTGCCCATGCGTACACCCCTACCTTTCCTTCTGACCCATATCTCCTGGGTCCTGACCATGACTTTCTTGAAAGTGTAGCCCCAAAATTCTTACCTCTGAATGTACTTCCTCTGATCCCCGCCTCCTAGGTACTAATGGTTCAGACTTTAATTTCCTCGCAAGTTGTGTCTCCAAAGGGATCTAGGGAAGCTCTATGCTGCATCCTTAGGCATCTAGGCTATAAATGCAGGGAGTCTTGTGTCCCTCGTGTCCCTCCCAATTTAGGCATACCGCTCTCGACACGGGCAGTTATGTGGGACCTGTTCCCCACCACTCTTGCCAGGACCCCAAGTTTGTAAATGGCTAAAAGAGACAGAGAGAGAGAGAGAGAGAGAGAGAGGCAGAGAGGTGAAAGAGGCAGAGAGGAGAAAGAGGCAGAGAGGAGAAAGAGGAAGAGAGACAAAGAGGGACTCAAAGAGAGAAAGAAAGAGAGATAGAAATAGTAAAAAAAAAAAAAAAAAAAAAAAAAAAAAAAAAAAAAAAAAAAAAAAGTGGGCCCTATTCCTTTAAAAGCCAGGGTAAATTTAAAACCTATAATTGATAATTGAAGGTCTTCTTCATGACCCTATAACACTCCAATACTACCCTTGTTGTCAGTGTAAACAAAGGCATAGCCTGAAAACACTGAGACCACTGACAACCATAGCCTTCCTATCAAAAATCCTTAACCCGGTAACCCGTGGATGACCCAAATGCATTCAATCTGTAGCGGCAACTGCTTTGCTAACAGAAGAAAGTAGAAAAGTAACTTAGAGGAAACCTCACTGTGAGCACACCTCACCAGTTCAGAATTATTCTAAGTCAAAAAAGCAAAAAGGTAGCTTACTAACTCAAAAATCGTAAAGTATGGGGCTATTCTGTTAGAAAAAGGTAATTTAACACTAACCACTGGTAAGTCCCTTAACCCAACAGATTTCCTTACAGGAGATTTAAATCTTAATTACTATACAAAGGTCCGACCAGACCGAGGAGGAACTCCCTTCAGGACAGGACGATAGATGTTTCCTCCCAGGTGACTGAGGAAAAAACCACAATGGGTATTCAGTAATTGATAGGGAGACTCTTGTGGAAGCAGAGTTAGAAAAACTGCCTAATAATTGGTCTGCTCAAACGTGCGAGCTGTTTGCACTCAGCTAAGCCTTAAACTACTTACAGAATCACAAAAGACTATCTCAATCCTGACTCAAAAAGTTCGCTACACCCTTTCTGAAATGAATTTGCATAAGAACTGTTGTTTATGGGAATGCATCTTGATGGGGCAGCTGGGTTGTTATGAAATACTCAGGAACCCAGCCCAGCTCTAGGACTCACCCCTGAGCACAAAGGCAATGTTAGGCATGCTGGTAAAGGACCACTAGAATCCAGCAGCCCGAACCCCTTTCTTTGTGGTCAAGAAAGGCGGTAAAAGGGGTGTAGGACCACTACATCGGTGAGCGTAACTAGTCTGATAAGCAGAGGTCCATGGGTGGTTACGTGCCCTGGAAAGGAATAAGCATTAGGACCACAGAGGACGCTCTAGGACTAATGTTCTTCAGAAAATGACTAGGGGTGCTGGCATCCCTATGTTCTTTTTTCAGGTAGCAAACATTCCCCTCAAGGCAAAAACACCCCGAAGATGTATTCTGGAGAATCGGGACCAATTTGACCCTCAGACGCTGAGAAAGAAATGACTTATATTCTTCTGCAGTATTGCCTGGCCACAATATCCTCTTCATGGGGGAGAAACGTGGCCTCCTGAGGGAAGTATAAATTATGACACCATCTTACAGCTAGACCTCTTTTGTAGAAAAGAAGGCAAATGGAGTGAAGCGCC